>NC_000015.10:53276874-53901874 GCF_000001405.40 Homo sapiens
TACATGAAAATTGAACAACCTGCTCCTGAATGACTCCTAGGTAAAGAATGAAATGAAGGCAGAAATCAAGAAGTTTTTTGAAACTAATGAGATCAAAGAGACAACATATTAGAATCTGTTGGATGCAGCTAAAGCAATATTAAGAGGGAAATTTATAGAAATAAACACCCACATCGAAAAGCTAGAAAGATCTTAATTTAGCAGTCTAACATCAAACAAAAAGAACTATAAAACCAAGAGCAAACAAACCCCGAAGCTAGCAGAAGACAAAAAATAACCAAGATCAGAGCTGAACTGACAGAGATAGAGACACAAAAAAAATTCAAAGAATCAACAAATCCAGGAGCTGGTTTTTTGAGAAAAATTAATAAAATAGATACACCGCTACCTAGACTAATAAAGAAAAAAAGAGAGAAGAATCAAATAAACACAATCAGAAATGATAAGGGGGAACATCACCACTGATCCCACAGAAATACAAACAACCATCAGAGAGTACTATAAATACTTCTATGCACATAAAGTAGAAAATCTAGAAGAAAACGGTTAATTCCTGGACACATATATCCTTCCAAGAATGAACCAGGAAGAAATTTAATCCCTGAATAGACCAATAATGAGTTCTGAAATTGAGGCAGTAATAAATAGCCAACCAGCCAAAAAAAAAAAAAAGCCCAGAACCAGATGGATTCACAGCTGCATTCTACCAGAGGTACAAAGAAGAGCTGTTACCATTTCTACTGAAACTATTCTGAAAAATTGAAAAGGTGGGACTCCTCCCTAACTCATTCTGTGAGGCCAGCATCATACTTATACCAAAACCGGGCAAAGATACAACAAATAAAGAAATGTTCAGGCCAATATTCCTGATGAACATTGATGCAAAAATCCTCAATAAAATACTGGCAAACTAAATCCAGCAACACATCCAAAAGCTTATCCTCCAGCACTGAAGTTGGCTTCATCCCCAAGATGCAAGGTTGGTTCAACATATGTAAATCAATAAATGTGATTCATCACATAAGTAGAACTAAAGACAAAAACCACATTATTATTTGAATAGATGCAGAAAAGCCATTTGATAAAATTCAACATCCCTTCATGTTAAAAGCTCCCAATAAATCAGGTATTGAAGGAACATGTCTCAAAATAATAAGAGCCATATAAGACAAACCCACAGTCAATGTCTTACTGAACAGGCAAAAACTGGAAACATTCCCCTTGAAAGCCAGCACAAGGCAAGGATGCTGTCTCTCTCCACTCCCATTCAACATAGTATTGGAAGATCTGGCCAGGGCAAACAGGCAAGAGAAAGAAATAAAAGATATTCGAACAGAAAGAAAGGAAGTCAAACCATCTTTGTTTGCAGATGGCATAATCCTATATATAGAAAACCTCATTGTCTCGGCCTCAAAGCTTCTTAAGCTGATAAGCAACCTCAGCAAAGTCTCAGGATACACAATCAATTTGCAAAAATCACTAGCATTCCTATACACCAACAATAGACAAGCCAAGAGACAAATCATGAATGAACTCCCATTCACAATTGCTACAAAAAGAATAAGATACCTAGGAATACAACTAACAAGGGAAGTAAAGGACATCTTCAAGGAGAACAACAAACCACTGCTCAAAGCAATCAGAGATGACACAAACAAATGGAAAAAATTCCATGCTCATGGATAGGAAGAATCAATATTGTGAAAATGGCCATACTGTCCAAAGTAATTTATAGATTCAATGCTATTCATATTAAACTACTATTGGCATTCTCTACAGAATTAGAAAAAACTATTTTAAAATTTATGTGGAACCAAAAAAAGAACCTGAATAGCTTGCCAAGACAATCCTAAGCAAAAAGAACAAAGCGGAGGCATCATGCTACCTTACTTCAAACTATAACACAAGGCTACCATAACCAAAACAACATGATACTGGTACAAGAACAGACACGTAGACCAATGCAAAAGAATAGAGAACTCAGAAATAAGATTTCACACCCACAACCCTCTGATCTTTGACAAACCTGACAAAAACATGCAATAGGGAAAGGATTCCTTGTTTAATAAATGGTGCTAGGAGAACTGGCTAGCCACATGCAGAAAATTGGAAGTAGACGCCTTCCTTACACCATATACAAAAATTAACTCAATAGGGATTAAAAACTTAAATATAAAACCCAAAACTATAAAAACCCTAGAAGAAAACCTAGGCAATACCATTCAGGTCATAGAAATAGGCAAAGATTTTGGGATGAAAATGCCAAAAGCAACTGCAACAAAAGCAAAAATTGACAAGTGGGATCTAATTAAACTAAAGAGTTGCAGCACAGCAAAAGAAACTATCATCAGAGTGAACAGATAACCTAGAGAGTGGGTGAAAAATTCTGCAATCTATTCATCTGACAAAGGTCTAATATCCAGAATCTACAAGGAACTTACACAAATTTACAAGAAGAAAACAAATAACCCCCTTAAAAAGTGGGCAAAGGACATGAACAGACACTTCTCAAAAGAAAACATACATGCAGCTAACAAGTATATGAAACAAAACTCAACATTACTGATCATTCGAGAAATGCAAATCAAAACCACAACGAGATACCAGTCAGAATGGCTATTATTATTATTATTACTCTAAGTTCTGGGATACATGTGCAGAATATGCAGGGTTGTTACATAGGTATACGTGTGCCATGGTGGTTTGCTGTACCTATCAACCCGTCATCTAGGTTTTAAGCCCTGCATGCGTTAGGCATTTGTTCTAATGCTCTCCCTCCCCTTGCCCCTACCCCCTGACAGGCCCTGGTGTGTGATGTTCCCCTCTCTGTGTCCATGTGTTCACATTGTTCAACTCCCACTTATGAGTGAGAACATGGGGTATTTGGTTTCCTCTTCCTGTGTCAGTTTGCTGAGAATGATGGCTTCCAGCTTTATCCATGTCTCTGCGAAGGACATGAACTCATTCTTTTCTATGGCTGCATAGTATTCCATGGTATATATGTGCCATATTTTCTTTATCTGGTTTATCATTGATGGGCATTTGGGTTGTTTCCAAGTCTTTGCTATTGTAAATACTGCTGCAATAAGCATACGTGTGCATGTGTCTTTATAGTAGAATAATTTCTAATCCTTTGGGTATATATCCAGTAATGGGATGGCTGGGTCAAATGGTATTTCTGGTTCTAGATCCTTGAGGAATTGCCACACTGTCTTCCACAATGGTTGAACTAATTTACACTCCCACCAACAGTGTAAAAGCATTACTATTTCTCCACAGCCTCACCAGCATCTGTTGTCTCCTGACCAAAATGGCTATTATGAAAAAGTCCAAAAGTAACAGATGCTTGAGAAGTTATGGAGAAAAAGGAACACTTTTACACTGTTGGTGCTGGTGGGAGTGTAAATTTGTTCCACCATTGTGGAAGACAGTGGTGATTCCTCAAAGACCTAGAGATAGAAATACCATTTGACCCAGCAATCCCATTAATGGGTATTTACCCAAGGAATATAAAACATTCCATTATAAAGATGCATGTATGCATATGTTCACTGCAGCACTATTAACAACAGCAAAGACATGGAGTCAAACCAAATGTCCACGATGATAGACTGGATAAAGAAAATGTGGTACATATACACCATTAACTACTATGCAGTCATAAAAAGGAACAAGATCACATCCTTTGCAGGGACATTGATGAAGTTGGAAGCCATTATCCTCAGCAAACTAATGCAGGAACAGAAAACCAAACACCAAATGTTCTCACTTATAAGCGGGAGCTGAATGATGAGAACACATGGACACATAGGGGAGTAACAACACACACTGGGGCCTGTTGCTGTGGGGCTGCGGGGAGGGAGAGCTTAGGGAAGAATGGCTAATGGATGCTGGGCTTAGTACCTAGGTGATGGAATGATCTGTGCAGCAAACCACCATGGCACACATTTACCTATGTGACAAATCTGCACATCCTGTACATGTACCTCTGAACTTAAAATAAATGTTGAAGAAAAAAAATATTGTTTGTCTTGATTACTGAGGTATTTTGGCACCACCTGAAATTGTGCACCTGAAGTAAGAAATTCCTTTGCTTCACTCTAGTCCCAGGCCTCCTGTGTGTTAAACATTATCACATGCTCACTGTATCACAGTGAGATAGACATTTGCAGATGACAACTGAGGCTGATGAAGGTTCAGAATCTTGTCTGAGGATATTCAGAAAGACCAGGGCAGAAGTGGGTCAAGAATTTCTTTTTTTTTTTTTTTAAGACAGAGTCTCGCGATCTTGGCTCACTGCAACTTCCATCTCCTAGGTTCAAGCAATTCTCCTGCCTCAGCCTCCTGAATAGCTGAGACCACAGGTGCATGCCACCATGCTTGGCTAATTTTTTGTATTTTGGGAAGAGATGGGGTTTCACCATGTTTCCCGGGCTGGTCTTGACCTCCTGAGCTCAAGCAATATGCCTGCCTCAGTCTCCCAAAGTACTGGGATAATAGGTGTGAGCCACCACACTGGGCAGTTTTGGTATTCTTTTCACTTTGGAAATTCCATGCCATCCTACCTGGCATGAAACTAATCTAGTCTTCATCACAACTCACATCCATCTAGCACTTTACGTACACAGCTCATGCTCACTTAATCTTTAAGACAAGCCTATACACAGGTATCATAATATTCTTGTTTATAAAATGAAAACTAGAGGGCTATGGAAATTAAGTAACTTGACCAGGATCACACAGAAAACAAATAGAATATGAGCACACACCTAGGTTTTCTGAGTTTGAGTCTTATGCCCTCTTAGATCTTGAGTAGGAAAAGATTTTTAAACAAAACACAAAAGATGTTTAATATAAAATAAAATACTTATAGATTTGACCACACTAAAATTAACATTAACATGTTAATAAGTGAAACTTAAAGTGAAAAGCCAAGTTACAAACAGGGAGAAAATATCTTCAATACATACAACCAACAAGAGATTGGTGTGAAGAATATGTAAAGAAACTTGCAAATACATAAACAAAATAAGTAATGGAAAAATGGACAAAGAAAGAAATAAATATATGAAGAGAAGTGTAACATCATGTTATCAGGGAAATAAAAACTAAACCCATCATGAGATACCCTTTTATACTTAGTTTGCAAAATATTAGCCTGCCTGACAATCACCAAAGTTAAACAGAAAATGGTTCTACAGGAATTATTACAAAGCACTGGTGGGAATCAGATATAGTATAACCATTTTGGAAAGCAGTTTGGCATTTTATACTGAAGCTGATTTGTACATGTAACTCAAAAATTCCATTTTTAGGTATATTCTCCAGATAAACTCTTATACTTGCATACTAGGAGTCATGTGCACAAATCATACACATACATGTACACACACACAAACATGCATGCACAGCTTTGGGGAATCATTTACTATTTTATTCAACAATTGTCTATTGAGCATCTGCTGTGAATCGAGTTTATTCATAGTTTTTAAATTATAAAATGAACAAATTACAGCTTCTTCCATGAGGAATACACAATATGGTCAATAACATACATAAACAGTACTTGCAGTGCAACGTGGCAAGTATTTTTACAGAATTATAAGCAAAGTGTTTCGAAAGCCTAGAAGAAGAAAAAAGCAATTGTAGAAGAGATAACTTTTGAGCAGGGATTTGAATTAAGAAGTGAAGAAATACCTGAGACCTGTGCGGTGGTCCAAAATTCCATTGCAAAGGTAGAATTTGAACTTGGCTTGGAAAGCTGGCTAGGGCCAAGATGGCAGGAAGAAGGATGGGCATTACTCATTTGAGAAGTGGGGGCCAGGAAGGGATGCAGTGAAGGATAGAATCATGGAGCACAAACCTTAAGAGAGAAGAAGCTAGAAATAATGAGTAGTGATAGGACATGTTACATTAAGGAGACCATAGGCCTTGAAAAAGGACTTTTGACTTGATATGATAAAGGACAACATTTTAGGTTTCTGAGCAAAGGGCATAACATAAAGTTTTGTTTTCAGCCCTTTTCTGGTTGCTGGGTTTCCTTCAGAAGATCTTCCTGCTCATGAGGTTGGCCAAGCTATGTAAGTGGGAGTCAATCGATAGTGTTTTATTTGGCCACCTGTGGGAGGGGGAATTATGACACGTGTCTTGATTCAGAGCTCAGTCTGGCTCTTTCCCCACAGGGTATGCTGGGTTTGGAGAAGGATTTGCCTAGTTCACAGAAGGCAGAACTGGGTAGAACAAGAACACCAGACGTTCAGGTCCTTGAAAAGAAGAGAGTCTTTAAACCCTCAAAAATGACCGACCATAAAACAGAGCAGATGAAGGAGAGGTGGAGGAGAACAAAGGCCATCACTGTGGCAGTAGCTGGATCATAATAATTATAACACTCAACTAATACCTTATACTTGCAGAACACTTTTGGCACTTTATCATTAAAAAAATGATTTCACGCTGGAGGGTCGATTTCACGCTGGAGGGTCAATTTCACAGAAGCTGAACCTGATTTTGTTCTGAGATTTGGAATGAAAAGAGGAAAAAGAAGATTGGGTAGGCAATTGACGGAAGGCTTTTTTGAGAAGACAAAAGAGGCCTGATGATTAATTATGAAAGCATGGAGATGAGGAGGTGCCCCAAATTGTTAAGAACTAAACCAGGGCCATGTAATCTAATGAAATGCTCTTTTATTTCATTAAAGAAAGGCTCGCTAGGTCAGGGGTCACTGGTTCTAGAACCAAGGAATTTTAGAACATTTGATATTCTCTTCCAAATTCCTCTTATGGCCCTATAATTTTTACACTTATATTTCAGTGCGTGTCCATAGAGTATATAGAGCATGGCATTTGCCTTTTAATTCCTTGGAGTATTTTATAAACCTGGGTAATTCAGTCCTGCTTAAAATTGAGAGTTATAGATGGTTTCATCTTTAGACCGTGTCTTCCATGACCTCAATTACCGCATTAAAATATTGTAAGCAAATTAAGATTCAAATAGCATTTATTACACAAGATCAAGTTCACTTTATAAGTAATTTACATATTGTCACTGACTCTATGCCAATTGCTTACAACTTTGACATTGTTTGTGGGAGAGTGGCCAACACTAATGCACAAGACTGAGACATAATTTATTATGAGACTCTTTCTCTGTGCTGTGGGATATTTAGGGAAGTCATGCAACATAACAGAAGTGAGTGCACCTAATCAGTGTGGCTGTTTAGATTATCTTAATTTAGGAAATGGCAATGCAGTAATAGTTCTACCTGTTCAGCTTCTAGAACAGGAAAAGTTCAGTACCAAGATGAGTTCAGGGATTTAAGAAAGAAGGGAGGTGGATTTCTTGTTGATAATTCAAACTACTCTCTTAAATCACATTTTACCCCCATCCATCTTTTTAAATTTTGTCTTTCTGTGCAGTACTGCAGATAGCATAGTGAAGAGGAAAGGTGTTGAGCAGGACTTTTGAGTTTAAGTCCTTGCTCTGCTACACTTTAGCTGTGTGACCTTGAGCAGCTCACTTAACCTTTCTGTGCCTCAATTTTCTCATATGTAAATGGGAATAGTCATACTCCTTACCTCATAGGGTTGTTGTGAGGATTAAATGAGTTAATAGAGCAGTGCCACACTTACAGTAAGTACCACAAAAGCCTTGGCTTTTTATTATTAGTCTTTTTGTTATGTGTTTCTATATCCTGTTTCACTTGGATTTCTATTACAGCACTAGCATTAGGTCATCATTTTTTTCTTTTTTTAATATTTCAATTTTTATTGGTGAATAACATGCATACAGAAATACATGCACAAAGCATTAATGCAGAGCTCAACGAATTATTACAAGGCAAATACATTTGTGTAACCATGGCATAAGACCAGCCTTTTTCATGCCCTTGACAGCCACTTACTCCCTTCTTTCTCCCCAAAGGCAGCCACAATCTTAAGAGCTAATGTTGTAGAAAAACTTTATCTTTTTATACAAGTGTTTTACTACAGAACACTTTAAACCTATACAAAATAAACAAAGTAGTGTAATAGACATGACCCCCAGTCTCAACAACTATTAATCATTTGCTGTTTTTGTTTCATCTATATGTCAACCCATTCCCCACCACCCCCATTTTATTATTCTTTTAAGATATATTTGTGAGATAAGATGTATATGCATTGAAATGTATAATTTTAACTGTAACTTTTTGATGAATCTATACACCCATATAATCTTTTCTCCTTTTGAGAATAGAATTACCCCAATTAAAACTCATTAATGTGCATGTGAATCACTTGGAAATATTTAACATCCAGATTTTGATAAAATAGACCTGGGTTTTGCCTGAGAATTTGTATTTTGAACAAAGTGCAGAACGATGGAGCACCTGGCAACTACAAGGCAGTTAAACTAAAAGAGTTTATCTAAAGTAAACAAAAGCTTATGAATAAAATGAAAGAAAATTGACCTCACGTGAAAGAGGAAATCAAAACACATGTGCAATGTGCTATCTGTAGGAGCATTTGGTTAACAATGACATAAAACAGCCAAACAGTTTTATAATGATTTAAATCCAAAATTAGCAAAATCTCTTTAAGGTTTCCATGGAAATGCTTCTTTAGAATGAAAAATTTTAGTATCATGAGAAGGATTTGGTTAAAAACAGCAAAGATTTGGAAGTAGATGTCTTATAAGTAAATAGCAGACCCCTTTTCACACCCATTGGTGGTTTTTACAGGCTTGACCAAAATTCAGTCATTTACACACCAAGTACAGATAATTTTCATATCTCTTTATTAAAATTATATTTTAATGCCCTTACAAAATTTAACTCATTTTTCTTTTAAAATAAAGTAACAACATTTTTATATGACATTATAAGCTCCATGTATATTAAACTTGAACTGACATAATTTTATTAGGCAGTTTCTGTGTGTCTACCATCCATTATTCTTTGGGGTTCCACCATTTGCACAGTCACCATGGCTGAGAAACATAATGCTCGAGACACAGGATATTCCCTGCATCTTTTCCTTTCTCGCAGCATCAGTTCATCAGTTAATCAAGTTATATGAGAGTGGAGGCTATGTATTCCCTAGGATAGAGGGTCTCATTCTTGGGCACTCTCATCAGAGGAAGTAGAGACCAGAAGGTCCTCTTAGGGGACACTTCCTGGGACCCGGGCCAAGCCCACTCAGGGGTGAGGGCTCTGATCAGCAGGTACAGGACTCTCAGGAGGGAGAGATGAGGCAGCCATTCTGAACCTGGAGTTCCACCATCCCTTGTCACATCCCATCAAGACAGTTCTGAGGGGCTGCTCTGGAACATGTCTGGATGGTGGAGGTTGGGGCAGTGTGGGCTTTGATGGGACTCAGGTAAGGTCTGTGGTAGGGAGGCAGGAGGTCCATAATCAGCATATGGGATGGTGTCCTTGTGGGTTGGGTCCAAGTCCATCTTCACTACAGAGGAAGCTGAAGAGTCTGGGTGGCTCCAGGTTGCATCTCTGACTCTCTTTGAAGGTGGGATCTGAAAGAAGCTAAGTCTCGGTATCTTTAGGAAATTTTGGAAAGTCTGCTTGATAATCTGGGAAGGCCTCTTGCCAGGTTCCTGAATGCTTGATTTGCTGTCCTGACCACATATATGTTTGACAGGAAGAGAGCTGGGTTTGCATTCACACCAGTACAACAGTGAGCCAGAGGTCGAAGTGGCCAGGATGAGTGTCTTGGTGACAGGCTAGGGTACATCATGGGAGCAAACTTGAAGCCTCATTGCTTGGCAATGAGGGTTGAGTCCCGGCCCAAGTGCTTGGGTGCAGCATAAGGCCAATCAACAAATCCACCTCCCACCTCCTTTAGCTGTCCATAAGGTGAGAAGGAGCCCAGTTCATGTTTTGATGGGAGGCTCTGCCAGGTACATGGATCACACCTTGGGTTTCTTGACCGCTGGCTGACTTGTCAGAATAGATTCAGGACGAGTCTATTCTTGGATGTGTGGACAGGCATTGCTCCTTCAGTTTTGCTGATGCTTCAATTCAAGTCTCCTGGGAAGTTTCTGCAGTAGAATCTTACTGTGCAGCTCTCTTGACTGTTTATTATAAAGGATATTGCAAAGGATATGAATGAAGACACGTGTAGAGCGAAGTATGGGAGAAAGGATGCAGAGCTTCTATGCCCTCCAGGCGAGTGCCGCCCTCCAGGAATTTCCATATGTTTGGCTTTCCAGAAGCACTTTCTAAAAAATTAAACATTCCTGTCAATCTCACTAATTTTAAGCTCTTTGATTCAGTCCCAGCACATATATTGGTCATTTTGGGAATGAGTACAATTCCCAAAATGAGTACAATTTTGGGATTGAGTAGACATTTAGTGCATGTAATTTTCAAAGGGGTTCTTTCTTTTTTTTTTTCAAATAGAGTTGGTAAAAGAAAGCTTTTGAAAATGATAGAACTCAGTGGTTTGGGGCCCTGAGAATTTCTGTCTTTTGCCCTCTGTCCTGTGACTGCCCCTTGGAGCATCTGGTAGTTGCTCTGGGGTTCTTCATTGAGAATTGTGGGCAAATCTGAAATGATTTCAGTCTTTCCTTGTGTAGACATGGCAGATGAGATAGTACTTCTTTCCTGTATATTCAAACACTTGGGAGGATGCCTCTGAATATCTAAACTAAGAAATGACAAATGCCTTTTTTTTCCCCTACCAAAATTCTCATTATAGCAGATACAGTTACTCAAAAGCAGCAGTTCTTCAACTGTGTCCAAGGACTGGCATCATCAGTATCATCTGGGAGCTTGTTAGAAATGCTAATTCTTGGCCTCACCCTAGACCTAAGGAATCAAACACTACAGCGGTGGAGGCTACCTAGCACTTTGTTTCTTAACAAGCCTTCCAGGGTATTCTGTTGCATGTTGAAGTTTGAGTAACACAGCTCGAAAGGGTCAGCGTTCTCTAGCTGCAGATCATTAGTAGCAACCACTACTCCAGAAAGAGTAAAGAAGGCTTAAGCAGCCGTCGTGGTTAAGACCAACCTCAACAAACCATCATGGAGTGAATGATTTGTGCCAGGCACAGTGGCAGGTGCTTTCAGATGTATTAGTTTATTTAGTTTCAACCACAGTCTTTTAAAAAGATGGCATTAGCCAGTGTTGTGGGAGGAGGAAACTGAGGCATAAGTCTTTACCCAAGGTCACTGAGCAGGTAAGTTACAGAACTGAGAATTGAACCCTGGTCTGGCTGATTCCCCAACTCATACTTCTACTATTCTACTTGTCCAAATCTCTAAAATGCTCACCTTTCTTCTTGGTGCTTGGCTTAAATGATTCTTATTTCAGATAAATATTTTTTCTCTGTTTTTCAGAATGCCATGTATTTGTGTATATTTGTACACAGGTGTTACAGCTAAATTCTGCACTTCAATAATGTAGATATCTATTTTGCTCTTTCAGCAAACATTTGTTGAGAACCTACTGTGTGCACAGCATTGCAAACACACATACAGAAGTGCTCATGCTGGTCAAGATCATCCTTGGCCTCAAAGTAATCACTCAAATAACTGGCTGGGATCCAAAACTGTATGGAGAAAAATAGGTTAAAGTTAAATATATAAGGTTTAAGATACTAAGATAGTGAGAAACTTCTCCAAAGGCAATCATAATAGCTAATGTTGAGATTAATTAACATTGCTGACTAATTTTAGATTAACTAGCTTAATTCAAGGTCAGAGGCAAGGGAAAAATGAGAGGCAAGTTTAGAATATAGAGTTTCATCCATATCTTTATAATACTATTCGTTCTCTCCACATGTATTAAGGCTTTGCTATGTGTCCTGTACTTTATAAGGTGCTGCATGTAATGAGAAAGAACTAGAAAATGGAGTCCCTGCTTTCAAGGAGCTAGCCAAAGGACTTTGTCCTTTGGCTTGCCTTGCTGTTATCAAGATCAATCACTTGTTTTAAAATAAAATGTTCTACTCCGCTTAAGGGTATTAGTGATCATCCTCACATAAAAATGATTTGATTTCTCACCAGCACCTTTGAATTTCACTTAATGTCCAGGGTTCCCAGTTCAGCTAACCTGTTTTTTATTTTTAATCAAATTTGTAGAAAAAGCATAAAGTCTTACCCTATGTAACAAATACTTGACTTTTATTCATTCTGCAAATTGATGAATGCTGTGGAGTGCAAAGATGAAAAAGAGAGTCCCCACACAAGGAAATCAGTCAGGTGTGCAAACACATTATTATAATGAGGAAAGATACATACTAATACAGTTATGTACAAATAATTAATGGTCATCAAGAGCAGAGCAATAGTTCTGCCTAGAAAATTTTTTCATGTGTGTGGTGGTAATTGAGAAGAGTCTCAAAGAATGATTAGACATTTTCTGGGTAGACATAAGGGAAGGGAATTCTAAGCATGGGGAACAGCATTTACAAAGTTATGGACACATGAACAAGCATGACATATTAAGGAAATGATGGTTACAGCTTAGGTGTATTTAAGGGGAAGGAAAAGGAACTTAGGGGAAAGATGTTTTGGATAGTATGTTCAAGAACCTGAAACCTATGTGATGGGCAATGAGGACCTACTGCAAAGTGTTAACGAAGGCCAGATAATCCTTGAGCAAGAGAATTAGAAATTCAGATCTATGCATCGAGAAGTTCTGTATGTCTGCAATGTGAAGAATGACTTGGATTATTATGGAGTTAGAGTAGATATTAATGAATAGAAAAATAAAGACTTGGAAGTAAACTTGACAGGACTTAGTAGTTGGATGTATAAGGTAAAGAATATTCAGCCTCTGAATGTACAAATCTGCCTTTTTTTTGGTATTTGTTGGTCTGTGTTTTGTTTTGTCTTTATCTGTTAGAAGTTGATACTATTTGCACTAGTTGTGAGTGTGACTACAAAGACTAACTTGTGGTCAGTTGCCCCTTTTGAAGCAAGAATTTGCAAAGACTGTCTTTTGCTTTGGAGGTCCACTCTCCACATGAGTTTAGTAGAGTCTGTTTATAACTCAAACTTTGAGACTGACTCTATAATATTGTTGGAGTCATTATTTCCACATTGATTGATCATGAAGCAATCAATCAAACCCCAAATGATTAATCTAATTCTGAAGTCTTATTGCTCATACAACCTAACTGTTCAACTACTGCCAGGGTTGAGACAAAAACAGCTCATATGCTCCAGATCAACTTAGTCTTTGATGACATTGAGATGTGGCACTAGACTGCAAACCATCCTTGACTCTCTGCTACCACACCCCTCCCCACACCATGAGGCTTCTCTTCTAATTTCCTGACATTCTCTGCTGCTAACTCTCTTTTCACTTCTATCGCTATCTGTATATGTGCCTCTATTATAAACTCCACGGAGGTATGATCTTTGTCATACTTCTCTTTTTGTTATCAGGAAAAGCACAAATTGGCATATCAGAAGGAATTTAGGGTAAAGCTATAAATGCCCTCAAATGCACCTGTGACCTAATGTGGCTCAATTATCAACTCCTCCTGAAGTATAGTAGGTTCTATATCAGGAATTTTCTGCATCAGAAATATTTGCTGGATATAAGTTACTTGTATGCCATCAACATGAGAAACGTTGAAATGGGAGTTTGGAAACCTTTTCCATATCCCATTCTCACACTGACTAGCTGGGTGAGCTTGTACAAATCATTTCCCTTTGCTGGGCCTCAGTTTCTTTATTGCGTGTAGTGGGCCAGATAATCCTAATTTTTTTTTTTCAATTCTAACTCTGTAACTCTATGATGCTGTGAAAAACCAGTCTACAGATCCCCTAGTGGAGCACTGTTCCTGGATGGATAATTTACAAAATCTTCAAATAAAACATCCCAATGATTTTCTTAAACTTTATTTTATAATTTTAAATAAGTGAAAAGTCTATGAATTTAATTAAGTAACATAAATAAACAGAATAAAAGATGACTGAAGAAGACACTAACCTTCTGAGACAAGCTTTTTGTTTGATCCTGTTTTATCATAATGGGCTATGTTTCTCTTAAAGCAAGTGGTATGATGTATATTCTAGGACTGGGAATGCATATGGAAAATAATAAAGATTTGAGAAAAGGCAGAAAAAACAGCTATTTGAGGGTTGTGATGGGAAGGGGTAATCCTCAGCTTCTGAGAGTTCTTCCCAGTTTTGGGACAGGTGTAAGTTGAGGTTGGTTTGATGTTCTTGATATAAAGGGAGTATTTCTTTTACATTTTTGTTTTATTCTAAGTGAAACCCACTGGAAACTGGATGTTGGTAAATAACATGGTAAAAACATAGTTCAGGCCCTCAGATTATTCATAGTCTAAACAAGATAAAATAGAGTAAGAAGCAACCGTGATAGTAAGCACATAAAAACTAAAAATATTTTAAGGTTTGACTATATTTAAACATCATAAATTAATAGCATAATGCAAAGCAAAAAAAAAATAGCTTCTGACATAAAATGTCTTCCTTTTCTTATTCAAATGATTGACTCAGGCTTTGGATTCCATAGTTAGAACTGAGTGTATGATCAAGAAGAGCAAAAGAGAAATGAGTGAAGTATAATGGGAAAGGCTCAGAACTAAGAAATAACACACATGGATGCTAATGTTGGCTCTACCACTAACTGAATGGCCTTGAGAAAGCCACGTCCCTTCTTCGGGTTTTAGTCTCCTTATATGTGCAGTGAGGAAATTGGGCTTGACCAGTGTTTCTCCATCTTCCAAATGTACCAACCTCTGTGAACATTTTCATAGAGCCCGGGGGTCCCTGGATCCCAGTTTGAGGAATACTGTCTTAAAGTATTGCTCAAGTAGTGCAGTGTGATTATATCAGCCCAAATGCTGGTGTGAAACCCTGAGATTGCTGTCTGTTATGCGGTGGTCAACGAGATGACTCAAAATTTGCTTATCTTAACTAGTCCATTCAACAAATTTCTACTCTGTGCATCACTATTCTAGGCATTTTGGATATATCCAAATATATCATGGACAAGATCATTGCTCCAGTGGAGCTTATATTCTAGCATAGAGAAACAAAGTATAAACAATATAGATAATAAATAAGAAAATTAATTTTGGAAACAAAATTCAAAACAGATTCATAGGGAATCAAGGACCCCTACAAATACATCTGTGGATTGCAGCTTGAGAAACACCTGCCAGAATAGCCCTAGAGGTTTGTCACAGATTCGGTGACCTCCCCCCACCACGAATCACCTTTTTCAGAGTGAGCAGCAAGCAGAGAGCGTCTCCACCCAGGAGCCTAAATGAGCAGAAACTGTTTTAATGGAAGTTTCACCATACGCGAGTAGCAACACAGGATTTTTCTTGCTCTTGCTTTGGTTTGTGACTTACCCGGTTCCGAAGCAACATGGAGGTGTTTCTAGGCACAGGGCCAAAACTTCATTGCAGGGCTCTGAGAGAGCACAACTCTGGAGAAAAATCATTAAATTAGGCAAAGATCCAATAGACTTAAATTTTCTGTTTTTGATTGCTTGCTGTGAGGAACACTATGACATGATTTAAAACGATGATTTAATGTAGCAAGAGGAGAGGGACTCTAAAAACCAAATAGTGCAGTCATACAGTTCTAATAAAATTAGTCTATTATGTGCAAATTGATTGCTGGTGCTTAGATTTACATGATGTTTATGATATCAGAATATCTGACAAAAATTGATGTCAATATTTATGCTTCTATAAATTACTCACACAGCACTATTATGATGGCTTCTAATTAAAGTGGAACCAAACTAATTGACCTTTAAATCCAAAGGACTTTGTAACCCAAAACTCATACATACTGGGATGGCAGATTGCATTTACAGGAGAATAAAGAGAGCTTTCAGGGAGTGTGATGTCTTACTATGAAAAAATAATTATACATTTTTCAAGAGCTGGTTCCACTAACAGACAGATTTTAGATTTGATTCAACCTGCGTTAAACTGCTGCTATGTAAGTTCATGGCAAAATGGGTCTGTAGCTTTAAACCTAGGGTGTTTGAATGATTTAATTTTTTTATTTTTGGCAAGAAATATTTGCTCTTTTGCTTTTGAAGGTCAAATGAGGTAACTGATCAAATCAAAGAATCTCTTTTTTGTTCGTTTTGTTTTAATCTTTTTATTTTGGAATAATTTTATATTTATTGAAAAGTTGTAGACTAGACTGTGTGCTCCTTGAAGGCAGGGATTATATTTTATTTATTTTTTGTAATCTCCTTTAACACCTGGCACAGGGTCTGATGTGAAGAGAGAGTGATAGGATTTTATTTGTTTTCTTGAAGAAGACAAGAAGGATAAAAGAGTGCAGGCTGAGTGTGGTGGCTCACACCTGTAATTCAAGCACTTTACGAGACCAAGGCAGGCAGATCATGAAGTCAAGAGATTGAGACCATCCTGGCCAGAATGGTGAAACCCCCTTTCTACTAAAAAAAAACAAACAAAAATTAACTGGGCGTGGTGGCATGCACCTGTAGTCCCAGCTACTCGGGAAGATGAGGCAGGAGAATTGCTTGAACCCTGGAGGGGGAGGTCGCAGTGAGCTGAGATGGCGCCACTGCACTCCAGCCTGGTGACAGAGCGAGACTCCATCTAAAAAAAAAAAAAAAAAAAAGCAAAGCACATGGTATTTTATAACATAAGATGTTCCTTTGTTAGTCATGACAAAGTTTGATCTTGGCTTTCCTTGTCCTGTTAGTAGCAAGCCAATATGTTTTGACAAATTTGTTTATTTCAAGTAAATTCACATATTATACTTTGAATTCATATTTTTAGAAACACTTATAAAAATAATTAATTTGGGGGATTTAAGTAACAATAGAGGAAGAAACCTGATTGTTCGTCCAGGGTCAGAATATCAGGATTCTTGCTTTGTTTCTGGCACAAACTCGTTACATGTCCTTGAGCAAACTACCTCTGGTTGAGGATCTTGCTTCCTTAATTGTAAAAAAAGAAAGGTGAACTCTGTTCTTCAAGGTTCTTTCCAGCTTGAAAGTGCTTTCTTTTCCTCTCTGTGCTCTCCTTGTTTAACACTGCAATTGCGAAGGGGTAAGGGTGATGAGATGCCGTTATTATGCTACTGTGTATTTTGATTAATGTAACTAAATTTTGAAATATGTAACTAAAGATTTGTTACATATTTAAAGTTCATCAGTCATGGTTTTCACACTTGTGTGCATTTTCAGCGTTCAATTGCAAATCCTTCTCATCTTTGTACTGAAAAGATTTCTATCTGCATTTCAGAGAGGGCTTTTCAGTTTTGTTATAAAACCTCATTACTTTTTTATTACAGACTTAGTGGAGCCTTCTCTGTTGAATTGAATCATATGATTCACTATTAGCTGGACATTTAATACTATATCGTCTTTATATTGTTCAGGATTCTTCTCAGTTCTTTTATTTGCACTTTGGAAATGTCTCAGGAGAAGAAATTGAAAGATGATAGTTCTTTCAAATAATTATTCCCTGTCCCAGGAAGATAGTGTTTTAAAGACAATTATTTAAACAAAATATACTACCATTTTCTAATTCTTTTTGATTTAAGCTCCCTACAATAATGAATGAGAAGAATGAGAATTAAGCGGTTTAGAAAACAATGTGGTTTTTGGCAAAATCAAAATATTTTTAAAAATCCTTTAAGATCATCAGTGCATACCACATGTTTTGTGAAGCTTTTGTAGAATCTCTGAGGTGTCCACCTCTCTTATTGTACTTATTCACATCTCTTCCACTACTCCTTATGGGAGTGCTCTGCCAATTACTAGACAGCCCATGTTTGTTGAATGAAATAAAAGGCCCCCAAACATCTATGCAATTATCTAACAAAACTCCCGGGAAGTAGATGTGACATGGCTAAACATTATTTTCAGGTTCAAGCTGCTTTTAGAAAGGTCTGTCTTTCCTGCATTAAAGTTTCTGTGCTATTAGAAGTCACTTCCCAATTTCAATGGCCTGGTTCCCTATTGCTGAGTAACAAACTACCCCTACAGTAGGTGGAAACAGTAATAATTCTATTTTGCTTATGATTTTCTGGGTGAGGAATTTAGGAAGGGCTCAATGGGGTGATTCATTTTTGGTCTAGTGGCATTAACCTGGACAGTAGCAGGACCATCCACTTCCAAAATGGCTTCATCACTTGCATGAAGTGGCACTGGTACCTCAGCACTCCTTGGTCTCTCTCTCTCTCTCTCTCTCCATGTGATGTGCCTTCCTTCAGGGCCTTTCCATGTGGCTTGGGCTTCTATAGCATGGCAGTCTCAAGAACTGGACTACTTACCTGACAGCTTACTTCCTCCAGAGTGATCACTCCAGGAAGAGCAGGGAGAAACTGCAAGGCTTCTTGTGACCTAGCCTCACAGAGTGTTACGTCCATACCATTTTATTAGCAAGTAGGTGGAGAACTTCTTGGTTCTTCTGGCATAGACTCTACCTCTCAAGGAAAGAATGGCATGGGCAAACAGGGAGGGATGGGATACATAGTGACTAACTAGAGACAAGCTACCACAGTAAGAAAAAAATTATATATATATATTTAGTTGAAAAGCCACAGAGATAATATAATTCAACTCCCCTTTTTCTATGGTCAGGCAATAGTCATCAAGCATTTATTGTTCATTTTGATCATTTGCTTTTTGTTTTTTCTCATGTGTGTTCAAGGCAACTAATAATTCTTTATTTTATTTAAATATGCCCTGTGGAGTTGAAGTCTTTTTGTGTCCATATTTCAATAGACAATAGGTTGAACCGTATAAATTTGCCACTATTTTGCTTTTTTTGACGAACACAGTGGCATCTCCATGCATTCTACTTAATTGTTTCTGTATTCCCTATTGAGGTAATAAAATGCCCGGTGAATTTTGTAATGGTATGTGGTGGCAATTTTTTTTTTTTGCGGGTAACGTTGACACATGTCCTCAAATCAATGGCTGTTCACATCCAGACTCATTTGGCAGAAACAATAAGTTTCCATGCCAATTCAGAAAGGGAGAGAGGTTCAGGAAGACAAGAGGGTTGAGAGACACATTTTACAATATATCAAATATGAGTAATGATATCTCAGTTTGTACTTTAAAAAGTACTGGTGATACTTAATCTTTCAATAACACTTTATAGCTTACAAAGCATGTTCTCATTCATTATCTGATTTAATCCTCAAAACCTTAGAGGGAGATAATTTTATCCTCATTTGACTGTTTCTGAGTGATTGTGATTTACAAGGTCAGGCAGCTAGAAAGTAGAAGAGCTGGGACTTGAACCTGAATTAGCAATCTATATAACAGAAAAAAAATGCTGGCTAATTTGTGAATGAAAAAAAATCTTAATTTTGTAGAAGTGTATGATAGCCAATAATTGAAGTTTACAGATCTAACAATTTCTAAAGATAATTATTGTCAAAAGTTGGCTCATATTTCTTTTAACTTATATTCAACATTCTCCACAATTATCTACTTTTTTAGTTTTTAAAATCAAATGTGTTAAATAGTCTGTGATTGTAAGTTTTATATACGCACAACCACATATATGTATATCTATACATATACCTACACATACACACATACATAGAGTTTTGAATTAGCAAAAGAGAAGAGTCCATTTTTAGGACCAGTGTTTCTGGCAAATGTAAGAATTGATTTGAAATTGAAATGCAATTGAAAATCTATATAGCCGTCTGTGAAGTATGGATTTTCAAAATAACTACTTTCCAAAATGCATATTAATATTTGAGAGAAGTGGAGAGAATCTTTTATTCTTAGAAGTCCTTGAAAGAGATCTACTTTAGGAATTATTTCCTCTCTTTGAATCTAGAAAAGACATCTTTTTAAATAAAATCACAGTTCACGGTAACATAGAGTATGTTATGTAGCTATTGTGGGCAAAGCAATCCTGGGACCCAGACTGAACAATTTGCTTCTTGCCTAGAGAAAGAGGCATTTGTAAACAGTGTGAAGAGCAGAGCCGAATTCCGATGGGGCTTTTCTGTTTGTCCTGTCAGTGGAGTCCCTCTTCACCTGATAAAGAAGATACTGCATTCTTCCTTGTTAGCAATTGAAGAAAAACCCCAATCCTCCTGCCCACTTCACATTTATGAAACGACTATTTGCCAGTTTCCTATTTGTTTGGGATGATGTAAATAGCAAATAATTCACAGCAACCCTTTCTTATAATGCAATTAACTGCATCACAGATAAGAAGGATTAAAATTACACTGGATTTTTCTGTGTACAATTTCAGTAAGGATCATACATCCTTAAGGAAATTTTAAAACAAACAAACAAACAAAACAAAACAAAAAACCCTTTCACCCTCCTCTCTTGGTCTCAGAAATATGTTTACTGAAGGAAAATTTTATATTGGAAAATAATTTGTTCCTCTCCTTCCAAAATGGCTCATTCTTTCTTTGTAGAAACAGATACTCTATTTCAAAATGATCGACATGTGTTGCTCAGTATTTCTTCTAAAACTGTTGGGGGAAATGCCTTTTATAAATCAGCATTTAAAGAAAAAGCATAGAATGTTCTTAGGTCAACAGTAAATGCATATCTATCCACTTAACGATTGTAATTTTGAGTGATCTGCTTAACCTTTGAAATTTTGAAAGCTCCTAATCCATTGTTCTATATGCTAATTTTTATGATGTACAGTTGTCCCTTGCTTTCCATGGGGGATTTGTGCCAGGACCCTCTCTAACCCCCACAAATGCCAAAATCCATGGATACTCAAGTCTCTTAAATAAAATGGCATAGTATTTGCATATAACCTAAGGCACATCCTCTTGTACATTTTATATCATCTCTAGATTGCTTATAATACCTAATACAATGTAAATGCTATGTAAAGAGTTGTTATACTGTATTGTTTAGAGAATAATGATAAGAAAATAATCTGTATATGTTCACAGAGATGCAACCATCCTTTTTTTTTTTCAAATTTTCAATTGGCAGTTGGTTGAATCCACAGATGTAAAACCATGGATATGGAGGACTGACTGTATATTCATTCTTAGGCAGAAAATATCTGTCATTGCGAATGTTCTTTTTTTAAAAAAGATACTCAACAGTGTCCTGGTTTCATAGGTAACTAAAGCAAACTTAATCTGTGAGCCAGAATGCATTGGACATTGTTTCCAGTAGGTCAATAGAATGACGGATGGATTTCAGCCAAGTTGTAACGGAGGACACACATCCTCTGTTGAAATAGCTGAAAAGACAAATTAATATTGAAGTGTGGAATACTGAATTGGACTGTCTTTCAGTGCACAGAAATAGACTATAGTAGATTACGAAAATGAGGCATGTGTACTTCAGGCAACTAAAACAGACTTGCTATGCAAACATGAGGTGGTAGATGAAGACTTGAATGTGATGGTTAGAAAAGTGATCATAGTTCAGCCTCCATCATACGCAGTAGAAGGTCACAGAGACACCTTAAATTTTAGGACCTGTGCAAAGACCATTATACACAGATGCTTACTGCTAGATTGGTAGCATGTCTCCATGGTCCATTTTCCACATCTGCAACTCCATGCTAAAATCCTCTTTGTCATTTTTATTGCACTTTAAGTAGTATGAATTTTTATGGGACATTTTCCAAAATAATTAGGTTAGGGGGGAAGTATCAGTCTCACTCAATAGTTAGTTATTGCAAGAGAAAATAAAGCACAACAAAATAACACAAAACTTTAAATATTGAGTCAAAATTTTCATAATTTCTATTGAGCACGGGAAAAAAATGTTGAAATTCCTTTAATCTAACACTGAAAGTACTTCATGATCAGTATAATTTATTTCCTATAACATTTTTATAGATGAAATTCTGGGAAAAAATTACAACTTAAATTTCACTCACTTTTAACTGAAGTTTAACATTTTCTTTGATTACAAATGTGGCACAATAGTATTAGCAATAATGTGTCTTTGTCACCAGTAGAAATTGCAGATATTTTCATATCACATTACAGTTGTCGCAGATCTCTCAAAGTAGATTGTTCATAGCTCATTATTGCTTTGAAATTGTTTGTTATTAGACCCACACACATTATTATTATAATACAACACAAATTATATTTTTGAATATTTTGATAATGATTTCAGTAGATTTGGCTTCCTTTGCAAATCTACATATTTTATTTTATGCAATATAAGCAAATTTGAGAGGTGCTCCCCAGACATCACCATATTGCCAAAGAGGTCCACAGTACAAGAAAAATTAATAATCTCTGCTTTAGAAAAGCTAACTTGAGGCTGGGCACGGTGGCTCACGCCTGTAATCCCAGCACTTTGGGAGGCTGACACTGATGGATCACCTGAGGTCAGGAGTTTGAGACCAGCCTGTCCAACATGAAGAAACCCCTGCTAAAAATACAAAAAATTAGCCGGGTGTGCTGGCAGGTGCTTGTAATCCCGGCTACTTGTGGAACTGAGGTAGGAGAATTGCTTGAACCCGGGAGGCAGAGGTTGCAGTGAGCTGAGTTCACGCTACTGCACTCCAGCCTGGGCAATATAGAGAGACTCTGTCTCAAAAAAACAAAAAAAGAAGCAAACGCTAACTTGAGGACCATCCCCAAACTGCTGTCATTCCATTCTAATCCCGGGCCTTTGCCGGACAAGCTGTTACTCCCAAGCTTCATCATCCTTGCATTTCAATACAGAGTCTGGATGTTACCACATCCTCTAGGTTGCCCCAGATTCCACTAGTCAGAATCTGCTCATCTTTCTTTATGTTCCCTCACAATGCGTTTCACATTTCTACATGTAGTTATTTCATATTTCATCCTGGCTTTTATTCTAATTAGTTGCTTCTTGCTATGTTTCTGACTGTAGAGTATAAACTTCTTGGAGGCAGGAATATGGTCCTAATTAGTTATCATTTGATTATAAAATTTAAATCTCATTGTGATTGAAGAATATGTTTCCATACTGATACTTTGGAAGTTATTGAAGCTTGCTTTATGGCTGCTAAATGACCAAATTTCATAAATGTTCTATTTATGCTTAGAAATGTGGTATAATGTGAAGCAGTTGGGTACAGTTGGGTACAGGCTTGTTAATCATGTGGTTCAAACCTGTATTCTTATGGGATTTTTTTTTACTGCTTGATATGTCATTTAATTACAGAGGTGTCTTAAAGGGTTTTGCTATGAGGAAGATGTATTAATTTCGTCTTTTACTTCTGTCATTTACATATACATATTTTAGATTTGTATTATTAGGTACAAATTTACATCGGTTTTAGCTTCCTTGTAAACTATGCCTTTAATCAATAGTCAATGATCATTTTATCTCTAGTAATGCTTTTTTTACAATAAATTTTTCTGATATGCATATAACTCAGATGTCAGCTGAATGAGAATTTTACTGGTATCTTTTTCCATTCCTTTCAATTTTTCTGTGCCATAGGTTTTGGATATGTCTCGTGAAAGTAACAATGCAGAATTTCATATTTTAAAAAATTTTAAAAATCTTTGTCTTTTACTGGAGACTGTAGCCAATTTATATTATTTGCATTTGTGTTTATTGATATATTTTGATACATAACATTCTTTTATACTTTATCTTTGGCCTGCCCTTTGTAGACTTTAATTCCTCTTTTTCTTAAAGTTTGTCTGATTAAGTGAAATGTTTTCTTCCTCATTACATTTTTCTCTACTAATTTGAAAGTCTTAATTTTACTTATATTATTTTTGTTATTCCCTAGAAAGTTTAACATTTATTCTGAAAAGTCTAAATTTATTTATATCTTTACCTTTGTCTCAAATAACATAAGGAATAAAAAAAAGTTTAACCTTCTCCTCTCTTGACTATTTATTTGCTATTATTGTCTTTAATGAGACAATAATGAGCAAATAAATTGTTAAATATCTAAAAATTTAGTATCATGTTAATTTTGCCTTTAGAATTTCTTTTACTCGCTTTTATTGGTATAAATTCTCTCAGTTTTTGTTTATCTAAAAATGTTTTAAAATTTTTACTGCTTTCCGCTTTTAAATAGTTTTGCTGAGTGGACTAGTATAGACCGAACAAACTGAATTTGGACTTTTATTTTTACTTAACCAATTGTTAACATTTCATTTTTAGGTAATCTGACCCTATTTCTTTTTCCCCAAGATGATTTTCATCTTTGGTGTCCTGTAGTGTTATACACTGTGTCTAGGTGTGAATTTAAAAAAAAATTACTCTGCTTTGGATATATTGAGATTCCTAAATTTGAGGATTTGATGTTTTTCACTCTATTTGAAAAATTCTCAGTAATTATCTCATTGAAAACTTTCTTGCTCTTCTCATTCTCATTCTTATCATTCTCTTCTTCTATGTCTTTTGTTAGATATATATTAGACAATCTCTATCTTCCATGCTTTTTATTTTCTCTCTCATATTTTTCATCTCCCCCTTGTACTGAATTATATTCTATCTGGTAATTTATTTATATTTATCTTCCAGTTCATTATTTTTTTATTTAGCTGTGTCTAACACATATTAAATTTCTAATTTTAGTTACTATACTTTTCACATTTAGAAATTCTGTTTTTTTTTAAATCTGCCTGATATATTTTATGTTTTCGTTCCTTTGTTGTACTATTAGTTTTCTCTTTTATTTGTTCAAATATGTTAATCAATCTTATTTTATATTCTGCTTTCATTAAACATAATATCTGCTTGTTTACAGGTTTGATTTAATGGTATGTTGTTTCTGCATATTCCTTCTCATGATAGTTTATTTCCTTGTGTAGTTAGTGATTTTTTTTTTGGAAAAAATTATGAGCTCATATTCCTTGGACTTTGTATTCCTTGGAGTTTCCTGTTGCTTCTGTAACAAACAATCACATACTTTGTGGCTTAAAACAACATAAATGTATTCTCTTATAGTTTTGAAAGTTGGAAGTCCAAAAAGGGTTTTAATGGACTTAAACCAAACTGTTAGCAAGGCGGCACTCCCTCTGGAGTTCTCAAAAATAGTTCCCTTGCCTTTTCCAGCTTCCAGAGCTGGACTTTTTTTTTGCTCTTCTTAACTTCATGGTTTCTTTTTCCATTTTCAAGGCTAGAAGTGTAACATCTTCAAATTTCCTCCTACAATGTCTTCGCATTACCTTCTGTCTGTGTCAAATATCCCTTGGTCTCCCTATTATTAGGACAATTGTGATTCTATTTAGGGCCCATACAGATAATCTAGGAGAATTTTTCCATATTAAAGTTCTTTATTTAATCACAGCTGCAGTCTCTTTTGCTATTTAAGGTAACAATTACAGGTTCTGGGGGTTACAACATGGACATATTGAGGGGCCATTATTCAGGCTACATCATAAGTCTTTATTCGTGGAAATTATTTGAGGTCTAGTTTTAAAGTTTTTCCTCCATAAAAAACTTGTACATCTCCTAGTTTTGCTGGCATTACCAATCCAGGACTAATTTAAACTAAAATGTTACATTTCTTTTGGTCTAGGTAGTTGGCGTGCATGAATGAAGCTTACAAGGAATTTTTTGTTTTTATTTTCAATTATCTAGAGCCAAGGCTAAGACAAGCATGTATTTCAACTATTTTCCTTTGTTGGGTGATTTTTTTTTCTATTTTTCCCAATGAAAGTATTATCCCTTGAATATCCTGGCTTTAGGTGAGTCTTCAATACAACTTCTTTCTTTACTTGGGCCCTAGGCTGTGTCTCCTGTTTCTGTAGAGGTGTATTTAAACTCTGCTTATAGACAGCCAAAACGGACATATTTCTCCAGGGCAAATGCTGGTTCCATAACTTCCTCCTGTGGATTAGCACCTTCTCTATTTTCCTTCTGACTGCCAAGAAATTCTCTATCAGCATAGCCAATGCTTCACTTTAAAAATATTTTATTCAGCGTTTTTAATTGTGCCATATTAGCAGGGGATTCTTTGAATGTAGGTTGCAATAATGCCAGAAACAGAAGTCAGGTACTAAAAGAGTGTCTAATTTTTCCTTTTCCCAGTGTAGAAAACAATGACATCCAAACTGTGACTAATAAAAGTTAAATAAAGACATAGCAGATTAGAGCTTGAAGGAATATTAAAGTTGAGTAGTTGTGACAGAGACTGCATGGCCTGCGAAGCCTGAAGTATTACCTGGCCTGTTACTGAAAAAGTTTGCTGAGCCCTTATCTAGAGAGTTGTTTTTGACCCCTCCATGAGGCCAGAACAGGGATGGTAACAAGTTCATCTTCAGAATCTCAGTTTGTCCTGGGGAGGGAGGGTGTCTTTCCTTTTGGTTATGGGGAACCACTTGGCCTTAAAAGTGCCTATGAACTTCACGAACTCAGGGCTTACCTACTATGTCTGTTTTCTCTGCAACTACTGATGCAGCTAATGTGCAAATGGCAAGAACGTAGAATATCTTTTACTGAGACTATCTCCCTTTCTTTCTGTCAGATTAATTGGCTCATGAGTTGCTGAACTGATAACTTATGGCTTCATGTTGGCTTGCAGATTTAATATGTTTGGAGGCAAACAAAGAGGCATCTGGGGTGTCATCTTGTCACCACCACCATTTAGCCACACAAATGTTGAAAAGCCACATCAAGTCACTTCCCTCATCTACAGAAAGAAAGGTAAACTCAGTGACCTGCAAGTTCTCTTTTATTTCAATGCTCTCTGATTATAAAGTCAGAACAAAAAGTGTTATCATTTTCCCAAGATATATTTCCTTGCTTGCTCATGAAGATTACATGAGGAAACACATGTAAAGTCCTGAGAACAGGGCTTGGCACAAAATACGTGCTCAATGAATGTTAGCTATTACATTGTTGTTAATACTGCCAAATGCCTCTTAGACCAGATTTAATCTTTTCTTTATGGATAGTAATCCCGCATGTTCACTGTTAAGAATTTGTTTAGTCATTGGCAGCTCTGGAAAGACATTCTGATCTGCATAAGACAGCATCCCAATGTTCTACATGCTTTCAGAGGGATTGATTAACCTCCCCACTGCTTCTGAGTGCATCACCAGCAGGTGAACCACAAGCCACAAAGCATTGAACAAAATCTGCATCTTCAAAAGAAAGAGAAGAATAAAGAAATAACTCTACAACCACAGGCTGGCTACGTTTCCCTGATGATGCCTACACCCTGAATTGGGAGAAGATAGGGTTATTGTGATGGATATGTTATGACTGTGGCATGCTTATTGCAGAGGTAAAGATGATACATAACCACACTTGCTCTAGCTAGAATTCTGATGCCCGACTTGTGTTCTGTGTCAGTCAGGGTCCTAGAAGGAAATAATTAGTCCCAGATAGTTAAAATGAGAAAATATGAATATAAGGAAGAGGCAAGGTTAAGGCAAAGTTAAGAAAACCATCAAGGGATGTTGATGCAGCCAGAGACTAGAAGTAGTGGAAACTGTTATTGCCACAAATACTTTCTTTCTGTCTTCCAAATACTGAAGGGGTAAGGGGAGAAAAGAGTGTGATTGGGGCACTGAGAGACCTGGGGCCAAGGAGAAAGGGCTGCCTGGCAAGGGGGAGTCATGGACTGATGCAGCTAGTTTCAGAGAATTAGGAAAGCAGCAAGAATGAGATCCTCCATCTCTTGTGCCTCCCACCCTCTGATTTCTTATGGAGTCTCCCATTAGCTGAATTCAGTTGGAAAGTGGTAAAGTAGCTTTTATTGAGGACTATTCTAATAGGGATATGGACTAATGCAATGGGGTTTTGCAGTAGGGGAGTGAGAGGGGGCTCAACTCCAAATGCAACAAGAAAAATTGAGAATTCGTAGCTAAGAGGGAGGGGCTATGGATGAAATATTACTAAGAAGAAACATTAAGTATGGGGGTGGTGATATGGTTTGGCTCTGTGTCTCCACCCAAATCTCATGTCTAATTGTAATCCCCACGTGTTGGAGGAGGGGCCTGGTGGGAGGTGATTGAATCATGGGGGTGGACTTCCCCCTTGCTGTTCTCATGTTAGTGAATGAGTTCTCACGAGATTTGGCTGTTTGAAAGTGTGTAGCTCTTCCCTTTTCATGTTGTCTCTCTCCTGCTATCATGTGAAGACGTGCTTGCTTCCCCTTCACCTTTCTGCTATGATTGTAAGTTTCCTGAGGCCTCCCCAGGCATGCCTCCTGTATAGTCTGTGGGACTATGAGCCAATTAAACTTCTTTTCTTTACAAATTACCCAGTCTCAGGTAGTTCCTTATAGCAATGTGAGAATAGACTAATGCAGAGGAATTCTGGCTAGTGCGGCCTAACAGGATTCTTGCTGAAGGCAGGCCAGGGTAATCAGACATCATCTGGGGCATGGTAGGGAATAAGGGATTTGGTCAGATATCAAGGGTATGGGATTCTGATTAAACTGACTTTTCAGGATTCTTGCTAAACTGGCCCTTTGTGGGCATGTCCAAGAGTAGGGCCCTTCAGAGAAGACTATGTAGCGTTTGGTCCAGGAGAGTCTTTGTCAGGTCCCAGTTCTGCCAAAAAATAAGTAACCTTAGGCAAGTCACAATAATGTTTGCCCAGTATGTCTCATTGAAGTTCAAAGATCAAATGGAATGATGGTTAAAAACAAGCTTCCAAAGCAATGTGGGAAGATATGCCCTGATACTAGTGTGGAAACCAAATGGGCTGTTTTTAGTAAGGAATTTGAGATTTGTGGTGCACAAGTGTTAACAGTGGACAGCTGGATGACAATACATAGAATAATGTGGCAGAGATTGCTGGTTATCCACCAATTCCATTCTTCCCTTCTTCCATAGCATTTGAATCATAATTTGGCATCTGGCTTCCCAGAGACATTCCATTTCCCAGGCTTCCTTCCTGGGTGGGGCACTGTGAACAATTCTCTCTAATGGAAAGTGAGCAGAAGGGATGTGTGCTGCTTTCACCCTTGTCCTTCTTCGTGTTTGCTCCCCCATTCTCTTCTCTTTTTCTCCCTGGAAGGGAGACCAGTAGGGTGAGCTAGAAGCTATCTATTGAGGATGGGAGAGCTACCGCCAGTCCTTGAATCAGAATCTGTCTCTGGAGCTGGGGATGATGGTCCACTTTTCCTTGAGGCACCTGGGCTGTATCAGAGAATTCTGAAAATGCTAGGGAAGCTTCCTTGAAAATGTGCAGATAGAAACAGCTAATGTGTTCATGTCAAAATATTCATAAACATTGGTTAACTATGTCACAATCCCCTCCATTAGTGTAGATTACCAATATTATTAATCAATATTTATTGTGTCTATTCTGTGCTGAATGCTGTTCTAGGCACCAAGGTAAAAACCAGAACTTGCCTGTGAACAATTTCTCATCTTTAATCTTACCCAAGCACAAATTTTTTTCCCTCTCTCCACTCCTGTTCTTCTGGTGTAGTGCGGGGGATGAGGAAAGGTAGGGTTTCAAGTAATACATATGTAAAGTGGACCATCTAATTCCTAGGGCACCACATCAAATGTAAAGCACTAAAAGTAATATGATCTTTCTCAGTGCAGACTGGGGTCACCTATAAATATTATTTGCTTAAGTTTTCCAAAGGGCTTAAACAATAATATAAAACTTAGTTCTGTCTTTTGAATGTAGTTAGAGGAACATGCAATTTAGATTTTAAAAATCAATACAAATTAGTCTTAATCTGAATTCACTTCAAGAGAAAGGCAATAGTCCAAGAGATAGTATAATGATTAAGAATCAATTTTTACCGTATATTTTTTTAAAAAATGTCTCATATATTTGGCATCTGAGACCAGCTCTATAACAAGGTTAAAAAAAAGTAAAACACCAGTAGATCATGGTGAAGTGGCTTCTGTCTATTCACTTAGGAAGCTTTGAGATTGGGGTTTTGTTTAGGATTTACTGCACAAGGCTAATGCTTGAAATGGAAGTCCACTGGTACAAACAGTAATCTTTGCCCAACTAT
Organism: Homo sapiens; assembly: GCF_000001405.40. NCBI lineage: Eukaryota > Metazoa > Chordata > Mammalia > Primates > Hominidae > Homo > Homo sapiens. Next base: position 53,306,697 of record NC_000015.10, read on the forward strand.
CTAGGTACGCAAATTAACGAAGGAGCAAGGAGAGAAGATTCAAAAAATTGCTTATGGTCTACAATAAGGGTTGTTTGCTCAGAAACACAGGTCTTGTTTGGGATGTCAGTTTAGATCGCCTCTTCAAACTTGACCTGAGACAATTTGGGTGACAGCATCTTGGCAGTCTTAGAGCTTTTTGTAAAGTGTAATGTGCAATGCAATCATTCACATTGTGGCTATTCTTCTATTTTACCCTTCCATGTTAGTTTGCTCATCTATCCCTCATTGCTCTTGATATCAATAGCTGGACCAATTTCTTCCAGGAGAAGAAGGCCCCACTCACATGCATGGCCGTTCCAGGCCTGAAAGGGGAATATGCAAGTGTCTGTGTGGATGTGTGCATGTGCACTTCTGTCATGGGTCACAGGAATTAGCCATTGATTAAATGAAATATTAAGAATGAAATTACTAGCTACAGTTATTGAGAGCCTACCATAAGGCAGGCACCATACAAGGCTTTTTGCATGTGTGATCTTTAATCCTCACAACTGCTCTTGGGGTTACATAGCGTTCCTGGCCTATAGGAAGAAATGGAGCTTGGAGAGGTTCAACAACTTGCCTAAGCTCAAATAGGTGGTGAGCAGCAGAGCTCAGATTCAAGGCTTGGGCACAGAAGCCCAAGCTCTTTCCATGTCACTGAGCCTCTGCTTCCAACAGCTGATGTGTCCCGACATTCTCTGTCTCCTACCAGGTAAGGAGGATATCTGAAAGTAAACTTGTGTTTCTCTAAGCTTTCTTTTGGGATAAAATACTTTTCAGAAATTGAAATAATTTTATTTTGGAAACCTGGGGTGGGGCTGGAACTCTCTCTGTGCAATAAAATTATAATGACAATAGTAGTAGTTACCATTTTTGAGAGATTATCATGTATTACCCTGTGAGGGAGTTAACTATTATCATCCCCATTTCAGTCCACCTCTGAACTGAATCACAGAAAAAATGAGAATTTTGCCCAAGGTCACGTGGATACTAGTGGCAGATCCAGCATGGCCAGCAAGACCATCTGCAGCCACAGCACACGTTGAGCAAGGGGTGGGGGGTACTGAGGAGCTGAAGTGAACCCCAGCTCTGCAGGTGATCATCCACATTAGCGCAGCTCCACATTAAGCTCCTGGGCCTCAGTTGGAGTCTCATCTGTAAAACAGGTGGTGTCTCTCTGACTTTCCCAGGGGATGGGGGAGTAGAGAGATTTGCCAAAGCCAGAAGATAGATTCTTCTCCCCTTGCAAACTTGCTTTTGAGGGTAAGATTTGTTCTCCTGGAGCACTTTGGTCTGGAAATGCCCCTGAGTAAAACCCAAAAAAGGGGAAACCAGGAATTCTCTATTTTGGAATCACTCTAGATTTGAAGAAAGAAAAGAGCAAAAAGGATCCTCTTGTTTGCTTCTAGGTTTTGATGAGTCACACTGACTCAACAAACCTGGCACTCATATTTTCAGATCAGAGGTTTCATTGAGGATGGGAGTGGGGTGATTTTTCAAAATTAATTGGCTATTTTAAATTTACAAATAAACATTGTATGTTTATCTTGTACAACATGATGTTCTGAAATACTTAGAAACCATGAAATGGCAAAATCAAGCTAATTAACAGATGCATTGGGGTGGCGGGTGGGGCGGTGCATTTTCCCAGAGCAACCACTAGTCTTGTATTTTGGAATCTGTTGTTCTCAAAGCTCCCCACTGGGATGGCTGAGTCAAAACAAGCAAGGACAAGACCATCTTTGCTTTCCGTGCGTCGACTCAGACTTTCAACCAACAAGATCCCCCTGAGTAGCTCCTAGCATGAGCATCTGAGAATGCTCAGGCAGCAGCTGCTCCAGGAACTCACCAGCACTGTTGTAAGCTATGCAGCTTGTGCCAGCTTTTTCTATCCCCAAATGAAAGACCCTCCTATGGCCACAAGGCAAGGAGGCGCAGGTGGCAAAGGATCTGATGTTCTTTGTAGCTGCACCACTAGGGCCTGGTTCAGGGTCTGTCTCACAATGACAGCTCGCGAATGCTGCTAACTCACTCTGTCGCTTTGGACGCTTGACCTCTCAAAGACATTTTCCCTGCCTAAAAGGTTATCATTTCAAGTACAAAATGAGACCATTTTTATAAACGAGCTTTGTAAACTCCAAAGTATTATATAAATGTAAAGGAAGTAAAAAAACACATTTTTTATAATCACTTCTCAAATATACTCATACAGGCAAACTGGCCTGGCTCCCTGGCAACAGGGTACAGCATCATGAGGGCTGAGAAATCCTCCTTCATAGGGCATTTTTGAGGAGTGAATAATACACTGGAAAGTGTAGAGCACTGGTTAAAGAGGACTTTGTAGTAGCGGCCCCGTAACCCACACAAGCCCCATAATTTCTGCACTGGTTTCTAAACAATTCAAGAAATTTCCTCAGTCAGTGAACCTACTTTGGTTGTCACTTTCACTATTCAACAAATGTTTCCATCTCCTGCTTTTGGGGCATATGAGATAATTGCATTTCTCTGCCCCTCCTCGAAATCGAGGTGTCCTTGTGTGCTGGGAATTCTCTGGGCCCCTGAGGTACATTCCCACTCTTCTCCACCGCCCCATACATGGGAGGCTGATCCTTATAGGCTGCATATTCAAGGCACTTTAAGGATTTTGTCACTGTATTAGGCCATTTTTACACTTCTATAAAGAAATATCTGAGACTGGGTAATTTATAAAGAATGTTTAATAGGTTCATAATTTTGCAGACTGTACAGGAAGCATCGTGCTGGCACCTGCTCAGCTTCAGGGGAGGCCCCAGGAAACTTACAATCATGGTGGAAGGTGAAGGGGGAAGAAGCACATCACATGGCCAGAGCAGGAGCAAGAGAGCAAGAGGGGAGATGTCACATGCTTTTAAACAACCAGATCTCCAGAGAACTCATTCACCATCATGAGAACAGTTCCAGGCGGATGGTGCTAAACGATTCATGAGAGATCCGCCCCCATGATCTAATCACCTCCCACCAGGCCCCACCTCCAACATCAGGGGTTATATTTCAATATGAAATTTGGATAGAGATACACATCCAAACTCTATCAGTCACCATCTAACCCAGATGTTAGAATGAGCTGTTTCCTCTTTCAAGATTCAGATGAAATTATCTTACCCCCAGATTTATGAATTGTTTTGCTGTCCTGAATGGGCCATCATTATTTCATATCTTTGTCTCTTAGATATGGAAGTCATCCATTGCTTTTATCTATGCCCACTCCACAATCCACAATCATAAGGAAGGCCTTTGGTTTATGTCTTTACTGTTTGGAGGAGAACCAGAAGGTTTACATCACTGATGGACAAGCAGTTTAGAATTGAATATCAGATATTCTTATACTGATTATTGTCCCTCTGTTCTTTCCACCAATTCAGACTTCAGTCGTTCATGAACCTGTACTTGTTCACACTTTTCTTTCCTTTGCTTCTCCTTCCAAAACCAGCTCTGGACCTCCCTTTGCATAACCAATGATTTGTTAGCACTCTGCTAGACGGTGGGGCTTATTCTCTGGGTCTCACTCCTTCTTCCTCCTCTACTTGTTTCCACAGTGGGCGGGAGCTGCACAGTTGCATCCACATTGCATGGATTATGTCAGCTTACCCTCACATCTTTCTCTACAGCCCCATCCATCCCTAGTCACTTTCAGAATACAAAAGCAGGCACAGCCAATGTCGGATTTAAATACCTCCCACCCTCCAAACATACTCTCCACACACACCCTCCGCATCCCAGTTTGCATTGCCTTTCTTTGCTTCTTCTCACCGTGGGTATGGAAAAGCCTTGAAGGCACTGACTAAGCAGAAAAAGGGGGCCCAGGAGTCCTGGCTGTAGTGAAGACCATAGGCCATTAGGGCTAAATCAGGGCAGTTGCTGACCACAAAGGGGTTTGGGAACTAGAGCCCACTTGATACCCAGCTGCTGTCAGCTGCTGGGCTAATTCTCTGAGAAGAAATACCTAGTGCTTTACATGGGTATTCACAGCTTTGGAAGTTCTACATCCTGGCCATCTCTTCATTCCATTCTACAACAAAATATAAACTATCAAAACAAATTCCTCATCATTACTAGCAAATTAATACAAAGCATATGCCACACTTTGCTACCTCTGAATCTCTCCACTTTTCTGTCCTCCCCGCTGGTGCCATATTTCAGCACTCTGGCCAGGACCAGTATGCCTCCTGATGGGCCTGCCTGCCCTCTGCCTCTTCAGGTGCAATTGGGTCTACCTCTCCCTTGTGTTTTAGTTAAAAAAAAAATACTATCTTTGTGGACTTTAATAATAGAAGTAGTACTTGCTCACTGTAAAAAATACAGACAATAAATATTTAGAAAGAAAAAGTGGAAGTCCTCCAGACCCTACTCTAATCACTCCCTAGAGATAGCCACAGTTAATAGTTATATTGTATCCTTTCATGCATGTTCCTATGTACATATAAACACATACAAAGATATAAATGCATGCACACATACACACACACATGCTCGCTTTGGTACATATTATTCTGCAACTTGATCTTCTTAACAATATATGGAGAGATTGCTCCATGTCGATACAAATCAGCCTACCCTCTATTTTCAAAGGCTGTGAAATAGTTCATTTATTTTACGAATTTACTCATATTTGTTTAGCCAGTCCTATTGATGAACATTTAAATGTTTCACATTTTTGTTGTTACAGACTATGTGCTTCAATGAATAGTCTTTTAGGTATATCTATGTATATGTTCAAACATTTTTAAATGCTTGCTGACCATTGCTTTTAGATCTATAGCAGTTAAAAAGGTAGTGGCTGAGGTGGGAGGATCACCTGAGCCTAGGAGATTGAAGGTGCAGTGAGCCGTGATTATGCCACTGCACTCAAGCCTGGGTGACAGAGTGAGACCCTGTCTCAAGAAAAAAATAAATTTCTAAGCAATAAATATACAGCTTTTAAAAAATCAAATAGCACTGTTAGGTTTATGATGAAAATGCAGTCTCTTGCTCTCCCATGCCACATCCTCAGTTTCGTCTCTTCACATGGAACTTCTTTCAATTCTGTTACCCGTAGTGTGATCTCATTTTTTTCCTGTACAATTTATTATTTTCTCTGGAATTGTTGTGTTATTTGTTCATTTTCTTGATTTTCCATGTATATTTCACTTTTTCACCCTAAACTTATCAATAGAAATAAAAATCTTTTTATACTTTCAAACTCTTTGGTCATATCAACATTTCTTTTTCTTTTTCTCTTGGAGATATCTTCTATAGATTTTTGTCCTATCTTTCTTTTTTTTTTTTTTTTTTGAGATGGAATCTTGCTCTGTCACCTAGGCTGGAGTGCACTGGCATGATCTCAGCTCACTGTAACCTCCGCCTCCTGGGTTCTAGTGATTCTCCTACCTCAGCCTCCTGAGTAGCTGGGATTACAGATGCACGCCACCATGCCCAGCTAATTTTTGTATTTTTAGTAGAGACAGGGTTTTGTCATGTTGGCCAGGGTGGTCTTGAACTCTTGACCTTAGGTGATCCAACCACCTTGGCCTCCCCAAGTTCTGGGATTACAGGGGTGAGCCACTGTGCCCGGCCTTGTCCTATCTTTCTAATCAGGAATCCTTTTTTTTTCCCTTAGTATTGCCACATAATTGTCAGTTGTCATCTCGGAACTTCCATGCTTATCAACCTGGGTATTCTCTTTGCCTCTCTCCTGTGTTGAATTTTCTGTTTCTTTAGTTTTATGTCTTTCTTTCTTCGTATTTACTGCCATACAAAGCACCTGGCACAATATCTTTACAGAACAGCAGTGTATGCACTCAAGTATTTGTTGACTGACAGAATGAATAAACGTGTAATTGAATTAACATCTTACTGCTAGGCTAGACCATTGGTTGAGCCTCCAACAAAATAGCATATCTGCGTATTGGCTAAGAATTCTGTGAAATCTTCAGAGTGTAAACTTGAGACCCTGACAGCAATTAAGCACCTAGGTGTGAGCTGCATGGTCTAGCTTAGTGGTGGAATCCATGGCCATGGAAATGTATAAAGCTAGCTGGCAAACGTATAAAGCTAGCTGGCTTTTGCAGAAAGTCAGCCTCCTGCCCTTGGCCTCATTAACTCACTGCTCCATCCAACAGAGCCAACTAGCCACAGGCAAGCAGCTCCTGAAATAGCCTGGTAAGCTGACCTGCATATCACAGCCCCTGGCTTTTGGCCCTAATGAGGATTGCTATTGTCCTTGAATTTAGCTCGATTCTTCTCAGCAGGCTGCCCTTTCAGGACGTGTCTTATCAGCAGTCACTGCCCCAACAAGGTGAGGAGGGTTTTCTCTTCTCATAATGACTCTCTATGTGTTTTGTCCAGACCAATTTACTACTGCAACCCACCTTCACTCAGTGGAGCTTTGCTCTAAGCTCCAAAGGTTAAGGTCAAGCTTTCTTCAAAAGTCTTTCTTCCAAAACCTTAAATCATTTATTTGTTTGCCTTCCACTGCACCTTTTCAAGCTCAGTCAGCATTACCCTTTCTTTGCCCACAGTTCAGAATTATAGGGACCTCAAAGAACACAGGCTGTTGATGCCTTCTATTCCTTCTTTGACTCAGATTTTTACCAGAGCCAGCAGTCCTAAGTAAAAGCCACTCTGTTCTGGCTGCCACTGTGTATTTCATATATTTCAGAATTCCTGGTTGTAATGTGGGGATGGCTGCTGTTTTCATGGGATTACACAGTCGTGGAAACTCTTCAGTGGGTGGGGAAAGTGAGAGGGACCTTTAATAAGGGGATGAAAGGGCAGGCGGGGAGGCAGGAAGCTGCTCAGAGTGGGGGCTGCTTGAGGTACTTTTCTCTGCCATTTTCCAGGGTGGGAGATTTTCCCCTTAAAAATAACATGGGCTCATCCTTATCCAAGACCTACTTTGTGCTGATTCTACACGTATATGACCTCACTGAATTTCTACTATTAACCCACAAGATGGGAAACTGGGGCTTCAGAAGTTGGCCTTGCCCAAGGTTGCATAACTAGTGATTGGCCCACCTAGGATTTAAATTCATGCCTATCTCCAAAGGCCATGCTTATTGTCAAACAAAGCGGCAGGAGGACCAGAGACAAGAGGAAAAAAAAGGAAGAGAGCTAGGTCCTTCGGGTCCTGCAGCATCCTACCTCCCTGTGGTGGAACCAGGGATGCAGCACTCAGACCTCCCTTCTGGCAAGGGCTGGCTGTTCAGTTTCTGTAATGGGGTAAGCAGACAGCTTCTACCCGCAGTTCCTTCAAGTCAGCCTCGGCGTCAAAATATGAACCTCAGTGAGACACAAAGCCCAATATGAGACAGGTGCTAGGGCAACCAGTTGTCCTGCTTTGCCCAGGATGACAGGACGTACAGAATATGAGATCTTCAGTGCTAAAACAAGGAAAATCTGGCAACCCAGGAGAAGTTGGTCAATATATGACAACATTGATGGGCTATATTTACTTCACAACTTCCCACTGGGTTGGTAAGTCTTTGTCTGACCTCTTACCCTCACCACAGTCCTGTTTCTTTCTCTGTCTTATCTTGTTTTTTTCCCCTCCCTTCCATAGGTATCAACCCCTGATAAATACCATGCACATTAGATTCCAACTTTTCCTTCCAAGACAACTCCTGAAAACGTCCACAACCATAGAACTTCAATGTCCTGGAAGAATGCAGAAGAACCCCAACAATCAAGAACCCTAGGCAGAAAGGGCTATGGTATGTGGGAGAGAATAAGGGCAGAGAATCTGACATTTTCACTCTCAGACACAGAGACTATTCAACTGTAAAAGTCAACTGGTACACAGAGCCACGCTGATGATATTTTGACTTGTTAACGGAGAGAAGAGGAAATAGATTACAGGTAACCACAGACACCAGGAAGAGTGCAAGGAGTGATGGGCAACACCAAGTTGTGCAAACATTTATGCAAATATTTTCTCTTTTCTTGGCAGGGATGTTTTTGTCACCTTCTGGCCTCAGCTGCCTGGCTAGGCTCTTCCTACCTAGGCTTTTCTTTGTGGCTGCAATTTGATGAGAATAATATATAACTGATGGAAGGGCTCTCTAGGTGCAGTTTTCTTAGATTAAATATGGATTTTGGTGAAGATGTGCTTTTTCAGTTAAAAAAAAATCCTATTCCTAGAAATAAGCTTTGTCCTTAACTATAGGTCAGAGGTGATCCACCCGCTCTAGGAAAATCCACCTCCACATTTCAGTGTGGGCCATATATGCCCATCCTACTCAGGTGTGCATCAAGATGGAGCACACCACTTTACCACTTCTTGAAGTTTCCAAGGGAGAATGGTTTGGGACAGGTGTTTGTACAGGAAGATAGAAGGTAGTCGGAGAGTCATCTTCTCTGATAGTCATAGTCCTCTCTGTGTGACAGCTCTGCCACATCCACGTCGCATACTTCTTTACACTTCATCACACCTGTTCACACATAGGAGAATTGACGAATCAATTAACAGCATCCTGCTGGTGCTCACACATCACTTTGCATCAAATCAGCAATTCTTTTGATGGGGGCTGACGTTTACCATCCTTGTTGGAAACTTTCCAAGGCATGAATTAAAATACAACCAAACTTAACTATGAAATCATTGAGAGGATTGGTAAAGGCCACAAACATTTAAAGTTTCAAGTGGGAATGAAATCTGCTTGCTTATTTTAATGCGACATGATGTTGCACTGTGTGGAGTGCTAACTACCACTTGCGAGGCATTTGGGTTTGGGAAAAAAGGATTCCCTCTGAATTGAGTTCCATGAGAAACTCGTTAGAAAAATTATCCACATTAGAAAAATGTGGATAATATTCTATCACAATTTTTACCTGTAGGGTTGTTTAGGATCAAATGATATACTGTGTGTGAAAGCACTCTTGTCAAACAGCAAAGAGCCATGGCATACAATGTATTTTAGCATATTGCAATAATAATAAATAATAATAATAATACAAAACAGATAATCCAACAATAATAGATTGATGAAGAAACTCATTACAAAAACTGATAAATTTTTAAAAAACAGTAGTAATTGGCCATTATGGGTAGCACAGTCAGATAGAACTGTGCTTAGTCTATCTGACTGTGCTTAGGAAGTCTTAGGAAGATTTTTTTTTGGTAGAGGATGTTTCTTACCTAGATTTCAGATACCAAAAGCTTGACTGAAATAGTTATTTAGGAACCTGTTCTTAAAGACTGATGGCATGCTAGTGCTTCAAAATCCTTAGGGGAGTTTTCTTTTAACCCTTTGATTATGAAAAATGTCAAACACTCAAAGATAAAAGTTTACAGTAAGCACCCATATACTCACCACCTAGATTTTGCCATTAATATTTTACTATAGTTTGTTGACCACATCCACCATATTTATCCGTTTTTTTTTTTTGTTTTTTTTTTTTTGAGATGGAGTCATGCTCTGTTGCCCAGGCTGGAGTGCAATGGCATGATCTTGGCTCACTGCAAGGTCTGCCTCCCGGGTTCAAGCGATTCTCCTACCTCAGCCTCCTGAGTAGCTGGGATTACAGGTGCGCACCACAGCAGAGACAGGGTTTCACCATGTTCATCAGGCTGGTCTTGAACTCCTGATCTCGAGACCCGCCTGCCTTGGCCTCCCAAAGTGCTGGGATTACAGGTGTGAGCCATCATGCCTGGCCCATTTATCTCTTTTTTATCCACCAATCCGTCTTAATTTTTTATGCATTCCACAATAAGTTTCAGTAATCAGTATATTTCTTCCCAGAATAGAGAATCTAGAAATAGACCCATGTACATATGAGAAAATGATGTGTGACAAAGGCACAAAGCCCTTTTTCATTTATTAGGTTGGTGCAAAAGTGAAAGTAGAGAAAGGAAACTTTTCAACAGTGACGCTGGAACATTGGATATCTATATGCAAAAAAAAAAAAAAGCACTTCAATCTGTATCTTGCCACATGTAAAAATATCAACTTAAAATGAACCATTGCCCAACGTGTAAAACCTAAAACTAAAAGTCTCCTAAAGGAAAACAGGAGAAAGTCTTTGTGAACTTGGGTTAAGCAAAGATTTCTTAAAAATGACAACAACAGCACCACCTGTAAAATAACAAATTGATAAATAGGACTTCATAAAAGTCAAAAACTTCTGCTCTTTGAAAGACACCACTAGAGAATAAAAAGACAAGCCACAGATTTGAAATAAATTTGCAAGCCACATATCTCATAAAGGACTTCTATTCAGAAAATAAAAAGAACTCTTAAAACTCAGCAATAAAATAACAAACAACACCCCCCCAAAAAACAGGGCAAAAGATCTGAACAAATACCTCACCACAGAAGATGTATAGATGGCAAATAAGTATAAGAAAAGATGCTCGGCTGGACGCAGTGGCTCACGCCTGTAATCCCCACACTTTGGGAGGCCGAGGTGGGCGGATCACAAAGTCAGGAGATTGAGACCATCCAGGCTAACACGGTGAAACCTGTCTCTACTAAAAATACAAAAAAAGGAGCCAGGTGTGGTGGCGGGCATGGTGGCAGGCACCTGTAGTCCCAGCTGCTAGGGAAGCTGAGGCAGGAGAATGGAGTGAACTCAGGAGGCAGAGCTTGCAGTAAGCCAAGATCGCGCCACTGCACTCCAGCCTGGGTGACAAAGCGAGACTCCATCTCAAAAAAAAAAGAAAAAAAAAAAAGAGAAAAGATGCTCAACTTTGTTTGTCATCAGGGAAATAGAAATTAAAACAACAATGAGATACTACTATATACCTAACAGAAAGGCTAAAGCCAAAAAAAAAAAAAACAGAAGAAAAAGATAAAAAAAAGAAATCTGACCATCCCAAGTACTGATGAGAATTTGGAACAATAAGGACTCTCGTTAATTGCTGGTGGGAATGCAAAATAGTATAGCCACTTTGGAAGACATGTGGCAGTTTCTTATAAAGTTAAACACAGATTCATCATATGACCTAACAGTGTACTCCTAGGTATTTACCCAGCTAAAGAAACTTATGTCCATACAAAAACTTGCACATGAATGTTTTTAGAAGATTTATCCATAATTGCCAAAAACTGAAAGTAACAAAGATATCCTTCAATAAGTGAATGGCTAAACAAATCATAGTATATCCATACAACAGAATGTTTTTTGATAATAAAAAGGAGTGAGCTATCACACAACATCGATGAATTCTATTAGGTTAGGTTGCTGCAAAGGTAATTGCAGTTTTGGCTATTACTTTTACTTTTGCACCAACTTGATAAATTCATTTTGCTAAGGTGGAAGAAGCCAGATTCAAAAGGTTACTGTATTAGTTGGGTTCTCCAGAGGAACAGAACCAATAGGATATAGGTATCCTGTATACGTATATGAGGAGATTTATTTTGGGAATTGGCACATATGATTATAGAGGCAGAGAATTCCTACAATATGCCATCTGCAAGCTGGAGGGCCAGGAAAGCCAGTGGTATAATTCAGTTTGAGTCCAAAAGCCTGAAAACCAGGAAGGCCAATGGTGTAACTCCCATTCCCAGGCTAAAGGCTGGGGTGCAGGAGCGGGGCATTGGTATAAGTCCTTAAGTTCAAAGAGATATCCAAAGGTAGGAGAAGATGAATGTCCCGGCTCAAGGAAAGGGTGTGAATTCACCCTTACTCTAAGTTTTTTATTTGTCTGAGTCCTCAGTGGATTGGACGATGCCTGCTCACACTGCTAAGGGCAGATCTTCTTTACTTGGTCTACTGATTCAAATGCTAATGTCTTCCAGAAACACCTCACAGACATACCCAGAAATAATATTTTACCAGTTCTCTGAGCATCTCTTAGCCTAATGAAGTCAACACATGAACTCAACCATCACAGCTACATATTGTATTATACCATTCATTTGACATTTTGGAAAAGGTCCAGAGAGGTTATGTAACTTGTTTGCAGTCACACAGCTAGTAAGTGTTGGAGCTAGGATTCAGTCCAGGAAGTCTGTCTCAAAATCCATTCATGTAATATTCACCATACTGCATCTACAGGAGAGGAGGAGAGGAGAGGAGGTGAAAGTAAGATGAGTTATTGACAAGCCAGAGCCTGTGGGGCAGGAGAAAAATGTAGAAAACGCACCGTGATACTCAGCTCTGAGCACTGACAGGGAGCTATGGGGAAGGGGGGACCAAGGAAGCTGCCGGTCCATATTGGCAGGCAGCAGAGTGGAGAGGTGTGGCTTATTTTTAGCAAGAGAAGCCCAGCAGCAGCATAGACAGCCTGAGATATGCATAAGTTGCTCTTCAGAAACAAGACCTACATGTGGCTGGTGAAGTGACACACTGAAAAAATGGGTGTCTGAAAGCAAGAGGCCACTGGGCAAACTTCAGATTTTTAAGAGGCAGCTTCGCATCCATGAAAGAACAGCAATGCATTGCCAAACAGAAGACATGAGCAAACTTGTCCTGGCATTCTCATGTAAAATCCTAAGACTTTCTAGAGACCTCTGAGATCTCTGAGGCCTGCCCTTAGTCTCACCAAGCCAAATGTGTGCTGCAAAGACCAGAGAGAATAAGAGCCACTAGTGTGTAGAATCCAAGTCACCCCATTGCCAATAAAATGTCTCCCCCAGGTAGCCACACAAGAAGAGAAGCCTCCTCCTATATTCAATCATGCCTTAATTGAGTCTATCCTTTGCCTAAATTTGAGAGAATCATGCAAATAGATCCTTTATTTTGCTGCCTACTCTGGAGTTTCCTTGCCTGCCTTTTTCTCCCCACTAGGAAACTGACATGAGAGTTGGGTTGTGGACCCAACTCTAACATTCTATCCCAAGAAGGAATTTCTGGGGTAGGGAAGGTTTCCCATCTATCAACGTAAAGACTTATGCTGCTCCTGAATTAGGGATTGTGCGAGGCCCCATGGGGCAGGCATTTGCTCAGCTTTCCAACATCCTGCAATCACACCACAAAGGGGTCCCCGTTCTACCTGGGGGTGGAGTTTTGAACACTTGGATGAACTACCGTAGTCTTTTCCCTTTTGTTCACCATTAACCTACTCATTCCTTAATACCTGTACTTTGCCTCTATAGAGCCGAAGGAAGAGATCTCCTCAAGGTCATTGGTGACCTCAGAATCCTTTGATCTCCCTTTAGTTCTTATGCTTTGTAGTGTCTATGCTATATTCAACATCGTTTCTCACCATCTCCTTCTTAAATCTGTCTTCTCCCCTGGCTTTCTTGATTCCATTTGGCTTGGGTTCTTCTCTTAACTCTTCAGCTGTGGCTGCTCTAGCTCCTTTGCGGACTTTTCCTTTCCATCATTGGGTCCTATGCACAAGGCTTAGTTCCCAACTTAGCATTGGATTCTACCATGAAGAGGGAAGCAAAGCAGAATACTTCAGGGAGGGTTTCTGGGGGTCTCGGACAGCTTAGAGAACTAGGGTAAGGACTTCCGAATCAGAACTATAGGAAGGAACATGCAGAATAATCTGGCCTCTGGCACAGTTTTACCTTTACTTGGAGGATTAGGCTTATTAAAGAGCAATTTTATTTTTGCTTATTTTTCAAAAAAAGGAAACTATACATTCTGACTTTGATATTTCAGTATCGTGGCTGAAATTGCTGATTTATCTTGTCTCAAGAACAGATCTGGCAGCTAAAGTTCTATGATGCATATTTTTGTAAATATAAATATATCATAGCTAAGCCTCTTTAAAGAACTGGTATCAAGGGACAGAAAAGGCTCCATTCTAATTGGGTGAGCATTTTACATGAAGTTATGTTTTAAGAGATGCCACTGCCCTATGGTAAATCTGAATCAACATAGTAGCAAGGGCATGCTCTAACACTGTTCAGCTAGATAATAAAATATTCTATGTTTGGTTTAAGATACACCAGGGTGATTTTAAGCATCATTTTCTTCATGAATGCAGTTAATGTTAACTATTACAATCCCTCTCTGTCTCTCCAATGAGGTTTCCCATGGTTGCATTAAGAAGGAAAGCAAATGAAATTTGTGTTAAGACTCAATAACCTTTTAATTCACCGAATTAAGGATTTCCCAATTAGAGGCAAAAGGCAGATCCAGGAAAAGAAATGTGTGAGTATTTACTTTCTGTTTAAAGACTTTTTGGATTAAAAGATATTGGAACAGATAACACCACAAAATTAGTTTTTGCTGTGATGGCAAGGTTAAGACTTCTGCTGTTGCTAGGATATACCGCCCTATCACAGCTGATCTTGACGGTGAAAATTGGTGTCTTAATTTCCCAGTGGTCCGTGCTACTTCTGACTTCGGCCTCATTCTGGCTAATCACACTGTCATTCTCACTGCAGATTGCCTTTTGACATCTTCATCTGCAAAAGGATCCTGCAGCCAAGATTCAGTATGTGGAGTCAATTCAACATCTCTTCAGTAGTCAAGACCTCCTTACTGGTCTCTGGGACGTGGTGCTGATGGGGGAGGAAAGGAGCTTAGGAAGGATGTGTGTCACAGCTGGCAGAGAGGTTGGAAGGAAAACAATATTTCTCTTTGTGCACATGGGGCTATGACTGCAAGCTATATGCAAATGCAATTATGGAGAGGATCTTAATGTGCAAAGTTAAAGTCTGTAATAATTAGAGCCAGTGAGGTAAGGGGAAAAATCTATTACTTACATTTTTTAATCCAAGGAAGATAGAAAAATCAGGTGTATTGTGTTTGAAAATCTAGCTTTCATCAACCCCATATTTTATATCTGCAGCCAGTGACAAAGATTCTTTGCTTGATCAAACTTTAGTCAGGCTCCTGAACCTTCTCCTGGGCCCATCTGTGCATTTCCTTGTAAAATCCAGTTTTAGTAAGAACCCTGCTAAGTCAACTTAGCAAATACCTCCCACTCTCCATATCTGATCAGGTTTCTTAACCTCCAGTATCCCTCGGGTAATGTGTGATTACCTTGGACTGTCTTCAGCAAGAATTGTGATAGTTCAGTTTAGCCAGAATTCCCCCGGCCCCTGATATTTTCTCTTGGTGATTTTCTGTCCACTGACTTCTGCCCTGCTTCTTAGCCGTAAATTCCCACTTGCCCATGCTATATTCAGAGTTGTGGCTTATATCTCTCTCACACTGCAAAATTCTATTGCAGTTGTTCCTATACCTATATCGATGGTCCTGAATAAAGTCTTCCTTAATGTGCTTTAAAAGTATTACTGAATAAATTTTTTTTTTGAGATGGAGTTTTGCTCTTGTTGCCCAGGCTGGAGTGCAGTGGTGCAATCTCGGCTCACTGCAACCTCCGCCCCCTGGGTTTAAGATATTCTCCTGCCTCAACCTCCTGAGTAGCTGGGATTACAGGCGCGTGCCACTGCACCTGGCTAATTTTTTGTATTTTTAGTAGAGACAGGATTTCATCATGTTGGCCAGGCTGGTCTCAATCTCCTGACCTCAGGTGAGCCACCCGTCTTGGCTTCCAAAGTGCTGGGATTACAGGCATGAGCCACTGCGCCTGGCCTGCTGAATAATTTTTTATTATTCAGTCAATAATGTGTGAATAAATGTCCCCAGTATTTTCACTGGATATAAAAACAATAAGGATCACCATGAGAAAACCCAGGGAATTCCAGAGCTACAATCTGGCCAAAGGGTAAAATGCACAGACCTGAGTGAAGAACTCAAGCTTGAGTTTTAAGGGAGAGTTCTAATAAGATCTTGGTAGATCCCTCAAACGAAGAGCTTTAGACTTTATATATTTTTCCCCTAGGGTATTTGAATATTACTGTTATTGCTGGAAAGACCATTTCATTCCTTCTTAACATTGATATACTCTTTTATAAAGAGTTCTGGGAAATTACCTAGATGGAATGAAAGAAAAATATGGCTCAACCCATTAACTCAACATGTTACCCTGAGCAAGTCACTTAACCTTTTTCAGGGCTTCTACAAAATGAGTGGATGAAGCTGTGGGTGTTCTAGGGTTCCATCCCAATCAAGAGTTATATGATCAACACATGAGATTTGAAGTGGTGATGTTTAGTATCTCCCCATATTGGCATGTCATATATATCATCTCCTTAGGACTAGGGAAGACTCACAGTTAAGGAAAAGTCCCCACCTCAAAGAAATTATAAATATACCAGTATGGGAGAACAGCTTCAGAGGGCTTTATGGGTTCTCAAAGAGTTGCCTATTTCCTCTCCTCAAACCTTTAGTATTTCAGTTTTCATGCAATACTAACAGAATTGACATTTTTGAGCACTTGCTATATGCATTATATGAATTACTTTAATACAGATTATCTTAGGTCATTATATTCTGTAAGGTAGGTATTGTTATCATTCCAATTGCACAGATGAGGAAACTAAAGTCCAGAGAAGCACAGTAGCTGTACAAGTGGACAGAGCTGATAAGAGGTAAAGTCTGGATTTGAACCCCAGTCTGTCTCACTGCTGGTCTGGGACTTTCCCCTTTATAGCACTGCCTCTTAATAGATGGCAAATGCACAACAGGTCTGATTTCAATAACTCCAAATGTTAAACAGATGTGTACATTTATTCTACAGAGGCCAGCAGTGAAAATATTCACTGTGATCATCTTGTTCTGTGTAATAGAGGGCTAATTTTCAATAACAAACCTCTCTGGAATGCTAATGAGTCATGCCTCCGGGATAGAGTGCACAAGGCAAGGGGCCCTGGCTGTGAATAGACCTCACCATGCAGTGGGTCCCTCCCAGCTACTTGTCCTCCTTCCTTATTGCCCTATTGATTGGCCTCTTTCATTTACAAAGAATGCAGCACTTGAAGAAGAAGATAAATGGCTGTGAGTGTCTGCCCTGATCCCCTTCCTTCCTTCCTGCTATTGACTGAAGAAACCTGAAGTACTGGGTTAGGGGGCCAGTGGGTAGACACGTCTTCCAATGCGCAAAAACTGGGAGTCCAAACCAACAAAGAAGCAAAAGCAAATCCAAGCCAGCAACTGACTTTTCCTTCCTTTGCCTGCAGTTGAGGAAACACCTCCTTATGGCCTTGTCCTTTTTATAGACTAGATGGATTTCTTAGTTATAGTTGAGGTAGACAGCTAAGATGCTTGTTCAACTTTCTTTTTAAAATTAGCATATTGGGAAGTCCAAGAAAGTACTACAGGGCATATTCTTTTCTGAATGAAAGAAAATATTCTCCAAATCAGATTATCCCTTCATTTTTTATTAACCTTCTGTTTCTGAAATGTCTGTTGGGTCCTCAGAACTTATAAGGGGCTTGACCCCTTTCTTCCATAGGGCCCAGTCAGTGCAGCTTTAGCATGTGCGGCTCAGAGATCATTGTTAACTCATCTGTAATAACTCCCCAAATAGCATGCACAGTGTGCCGACGAGGGTTTGCATATAGCGAGAAGAGATCATTTTAGAAGATAATGAGAATTGGTCCCTTCACAAACAGCATGTGGGGCAGAAACAGCTGAGATCATTAAGGAAATTTCAGAAGAGGATACACGCTAGCCCTCATCCCAGGTGGTCAATTCTCTTTCCTTTGTGTGTTGAGTTTGTCTTCGCTTTGGCACCGTGACTAAACAACCCACCCAAAATGAATCTGTTTTTCACTGACACAAATTTTGTAACCTAGATTCAGTCCTTTGGGCTCTGGCAAATTTCAAGAGCTGCTTCCAGCTAACCATGTGTTTCCATGGTCAATGCAGTCAGGTGGACAGAATTCGTTTTTCCAGTACATCCCACCCGTGTGCGCTGCAGTTTTTAATCCATGAATCGCCACAGCACAAGTCCTTTAACTGTTTACAAGCCACACACTCAGAATAGATGTAAAAATCAGCATTGATTTTTACTTTAAGCTTAGAAAGGTTCACTTACTTTTTCTGTAGCGGATGCTGCCAATAATTGCACTTGTGGCAGAGCTGTGCCAAGTGTTCCGGATCAGCCAAGGCATCTGAAATAGGAGGAATCATCTGGGTTAGAAATTGCAGTTTATTTCTCCTCCCTTCAGTGTAGGCTTCAACATTTATCATTCACTTTGCTACACCTCCATAGTAATAATGTAAGAGTTACGTAGCGCAAGAGTTATTTCTGTACTTTTCTTTTAAAAATAATGATAGCAATGACCTCTTACGTAGCACTTTTCAGCAAATAATGTATACATTTACTTTAATATACAAAGAGACTACACAGAATTTTTTAAACAACCTTGTGAGGTAGAATTATTCTCTTCTCTCTACTTACAGAAGAGAAAACTGAGGCTCAGAGAGGTTGAGTAATTTACACAAAATCACACAGCTAGTAAAGGGCAGACCTGAAACACAAGGCAGGCCATTTAATGTCAGAGTCAAGGCTCTTTCCATTATTCTATGCTGCCTTCTAATAACACTTTCAAAGAGCAAGTTTTTGCCTCTAAAACCTAGTAATAGCCTTTTCAACATGCTGAAGTCCAAGTCAGAGGATCGGGGGCATATACCATCCAGGCCATATTCACAAAGAGTAGACAGCCACAGAGAAAGGCAAAGCATACAAATGGCTACTTTGAAGCCCAGCTATTAATATGGATTACTGCACAGCTGATGGCATCCGAGGACAGCCACGTCAATTTAGCAACAAGCAGTGATGATCTGCGTGAGCTCTGCTGTCATCCATTCTGCACATGCCTAAAGGTGGGCAAACTTGCCATCTGAAAAATAGTGGGGTGCACAGCTTAGGTACCTCCCTGGTAGTGCACAAAAGCCTCTGATCTGGCCTTCTGCACAGTTGCAGAGTGTTCAGAAAGCTTGGAATGGCTCTTTGAGAGGGTCTGGACAAGGTTTGGATCATTTGGGAAGGAATGTGGCTTGCAGAATGGGCTCAGCAAGGACTGGCCTCTCCTGGGGAGTCCTGCACCATTCCTGCACTCTCTATCCTCTGCCTCCCCATCCCCCACAGCTGCCACGGAGCTGACAATAAAAAACGATGCCCTAGGCTGTCCTGTTTTTATTATTAGTTATATGGCATCATAAATGTACATCGAGATGTTCAGTAAATGAAATTGTGCCAAACACCAAACAGGGCCGCTGCCCCAAAGATCTTTTGGCTTTAGGGCAATGGCAGAACAATATAAGAGAAACAAAGGGGACTGAGAGCCAGATGAGGTGAGGTTTTAGTACTGTTTGACCTTTCAGAGGAGGAGGATCTGGCAGCCCAGGAAACTGAGAGGTACAGCATAGGAAATGCCTGACAGCTCAAATGGGCTTTGAGGCCAGCAGTTCAGGGTCCCAGGGATGGATAGGAGATGATTTTGGAAAGTCAAGGAAATTTGGCCCTTATGTTATTTAATAAGATAAATGCAAAAGGGTGGAGGTAGGTGAGACTATTTGCTCCTAATCATGAGCAATCTGACTTAGATAGTAGGGGCATAAGCAGAAGATTCGCCCTCTTTGTGTCCCTTTAGCTTCCACGTAGTAATAAATTGCACAGACTTCTCCAGCAGATGCAATGTGTAAATATAGGACAATAACTGGAAATTTATGAGGTTAAATACTGAGGAATTGCTGAGTAGTAAAATGAAGAGACATAAATTACAGGAAATGCTGCCCTTCGATGAATACATTATGCATAATAATGAAACCTTTAAAAGGCAATAGTAACCAAATATCAGAAGAGGGTCTAAAAGGAGAAAAGCCACACAAAGAACTGGGACTAGGACAGTCCAAAGACAGAGCTACTTTATCACTATTAAGTAGTCATATCAGTTCTCTTAGATTTCTGTAGCTCTTAAGGGAGGACGAAGTGGAATACTTATTTAAAAGAGGTTATCTGGTGTGTAAAGAGTGTAGGGAGTATGGTCTGAAGAGCCACTGTGCTTCACTGCCCATGTAGCTTGGCTTTATGAACCTGTTATTCCATCTACAAAATGGTTTTAATAAACCCATTTCATGGAATTGTAAACATTGAAAAGTACAAAATGTGAAACACATAGCCCAGCATATAGGAATTTTTTTAAAAAAAATGAGTTCCCTGTAAGACTGATACCAAATGTTAATAAAGGTTTAGCAAAATACAGATGAGAAAGATGGGTCTCGCTAGAGAGATTAGGAAAGATTTAGGCAGGGAAGCATTTGAAAACTGGTTAGGTATTGATGAAGAGACGGGAAGAGTATGAATCAAGGCAAGGAAGAGAGAAAGGACAAGGAGTTTTCTGGAACTAAAAGGCAGGGGAAATAGATGACAGTAAGGAAAAGGATCTTGGTGCCCAAATCCTGTAGGGTCTTGACTGGAATGCCAAGTCATCTGGCCTTTGTTCTCTAGGCACTGGGCAGGCATCAGAGGTATAGGAACAGGGGGTCATATGGTCAGAGAGGTATTTATGGAAGATTATTCTGGCACAGTGTAAAACCATATTGGCATTGGGAAGGACTAGAAGCAGGGAAGCCAAATAGGGGACTGCAGCAGGGATATAGGGAAGGAAGCACGAATGAGAGTTGGAGCTAGGACAGAGGCAGAGGGGATAGAAAAGAGGAGACAAATGTGGGACATGGAGGATGCTGATCTGGCAGCATTTGGCTATTAATGGATTATGGAATAATGGAAAGCAAGGAGTATAAGATGGCTCTGAAATTTGAAATCTAGGAGACCAAGGATCTGGTGATGTCATTAATAAAAATGAAGAGGATGGGAAGAAGATGAAAGAAAATTTTAGATCTATCAAGTCTGGGGTACCCATAGCATTTCCAAGAACTGTTGAAGAGGCCACTGGAAATGTAGTCCTGGGGCTTGAGCCTGAACTGGCACCCATGTCATTGACATCTCAGTCCTAGTTGAACCATGGCACTGAGTGGGACATCCATTGGAGAGAGAATGGGGTGGGGATGAAAGAAAGTAGAAACAAGGGGAAGAGAGAACTAGGGCAAATGGCAGGAACTGTGTCTGCCTCAGGCAGGACAAGGAGAGAGCAAAGAAAGTAGAGACAGAGCATGACAGAGATGGAACAAGGAGGGTGTTTCCATGTGACAGCCAGCAGCAGCATCAAAAGTTAGAGAAGGGCAGAGGTGGGTGCGAGCTGAGAAGGAACCACGGGACTCAGTGACTTTGGTAACAAGTAGTTATTTCTTGCCCTTTCCCAAAATGT
This sequence comes from Homo sapiens, assembly GCF_000001405.40. Classification (NCBI taxonomy): domain Eukaryota; kingdom Metazoa; phylum Chordata; class Mammalia; order Primates; family Hominidae; genus Homo; species Homo sapiens. The sequence continues at coordinate 53,327,756 of NC_000015.10, forward strand.
ATTTGAAGATACTTAAAAGATTATAACACACATTAAGTAGGAGAACTGAAATAAACATTTTAAGAAGACAGCTCAATAATGAACTAGAAGGTGGCACTAGAAGTGAGTTAAGTGCTGCAGTTGAGCACTAGATTTAGCACTGAGTTTCTTGGCAGGTAGGAGATTTAGAAGTCATGGTATGCCTTTAAGGGTTCAGTTTCATTGGGGGTAAGAAACACACAACTTACACGACTTAGGATAGAAAGGGATGTAGGGTAGGGGGTGAGAAAGGAAGTGGAAGAGCAAGTCCAGACAAACCTTAAGAGTGGTTTTGTGGTGTAGAGAAGGAGAAAGGAGGACAGTATCAGTGTCTGGGATAGGACGTAGATTGTAGTGACAAAGGTAGAAAAAGAATAAACAGATACACTGTGCCAAGCACATGAGATAGACAAAAACAGTTTCTCGTATACTCTTTCTATAAGAATATGCTCATTAAGAGGTATAGGAAATCAGAAAGACCAGTGTGAGAAAACGTTACACAGAAGACAGCCTCTCACTTAGACATAGGTCAAGATGTGGGGAAATAACATTTTTTTAGGAATGAGGGCTGGGGTACAGCCAGAGGAAAGGTGCTGATGTATGACAAAACATGGTGCCTCTTGAGTGGCAAAGAGTCTGTTTCTTATAACACATTCAATGGTCTCCCTCTGGGGTTCCACTCAACACAAAGGTTTTCTAACTCCATGGATGATGAACAGTTGAGCAAAGACATTTCTCTGGTGCATCACTGGGAGAACTTGTCCAAGGTCCTGAAGATAGAGGATCCCAGCAACTATGACTTGAAAGTGAGGTGGCTGGGGAAATCCAGTGCAAGGGAAGTACTGGGGCTTCCCCCTAGTCAAGGAGTGCAAATTCTCTACAGGCCTTGGGCCTCCTTCTCTCCTCTCTCCCACAGTTTCGTGTCCATAGGCTTGAGGATTGGGGGACCCTGAGGGACATAAGAACACCTCCTCCCTGGGCTTCCAGCTCCCTTTTCCTATTCCTCGAAGCCTTGTCTGGTGGTTTTAGGAACCTTTTATGAATCACAGAACAGTTTCAGCTTTTTTTCTGACTCCATATGACATGATCTAAAAGTACTGTCACCCTTATTGTTATTTTTTTAAATTTGGAAATTAAATGATAAAAAAGAAGTGAAGTTATTCACATTTAATGTATCAGCAATAGCCATTTGTTGGAATATTTGAAAAGTCTTTGATGTTATTTTATTGGATGCTTTTGTTTAAATGTTTGAAACTCTGGTAAAATATTTTAAGGTGGAAATTCAAATAGTTACTGTTACATCTTTTTTTCAGTTGGAGCCCCTGATCATTTTACGGATGAGATTATTTGAGTTTGAGGTTCAAAGAGGTTAAATGACTCACCTCACACTGGGTAGGGTCAGAAGTTGCCTCCAGGAACTTCTGACTTAAACATCTGTTTTCTTTCCACTATGTCACACTGACTCCTGTAGCAGAGACAGATAGTCAGGGATGGAGCCATGAATTGGGCTGCTTCTCCCTTAAGTTCTCAGAATGGTTGACTGTGACTCTGAGCACCTGTGCTATGCTTATGTAGCAAATAAAGTGCATGTGTGCATCCCCGATGGGTATTTGTGCCACCCCCAAAAGTGTTATATAGAAATGGGGTTAGATTTGTTCCATAATTTCTAACAGGTAGACCTTGGACTAGTGGGACCAATTTTAGCTTAATATAAGAAAGAGCTTTCTAACAGAGTAGCCCATTGTATGTGAAAGTGCAAAGGAAGAATCACAAGTGGGGACATACAGTGTATCCAGAAATGAGGTAAATAATAATAGGTACTATTATACCCCCATCATACAGATGAGGAAATTGAGCTATGATACCATCAGGCAACTTGGCCAAGCTGGGGCTGAAATTTTTCCCAGTTTGGCCTAAATCTCCTTTCAGGCAAAGAAAGTAGGGCCAGTGAGAAGGGGCTAAGGTGCTGTTACGTATCACAGTTTATTTTTTCCCATTCCATACCTGAATTCTAATATACAAACAAAATTGTGGACTGGGATGCAGGGATGAATGAGCAAAGTCAACTTTGTCTTCTTTCTTTCTTTCTTTCTTTCTTTCTTTCTTTCTTTCTTCTTTCTTCCTTTTTCTCTTTCTTTCTTTCCTTCCTTCCTTCCTTCTTTCCTTCCTTCCTTCCTTCCTTCCTTCCTTCCTTCCTTCCTTCCTTCCTTCTTTCTTTCTTTCTTTCTTTCTTTCTTTCTTTCTTTCTTTCTTTCTTTCTTTCCTTCTTTCTTTTTCTTTTCTTTCTTTTTCTTTCTTTTTTTTTTTTGAGACAGCATCTCCCCCTGTTGCCCAGGCTGGAGTGCAATGGCACCATCTCGACTCACTGCAACCTCCGCCTCCTGGATTCAAGCAATTCTCCTGCCTCAGCCTCCTGAGCAGCTGGGATTACAGGTGCCCACCACCACACTTGGCTAAGTTTTTGTATTTTTAGTAGAGATGGGGTTTCACCCTATCTGGCTGGTCTCAAACTCCTGACCTCAGGTGATCCACCTGCCTTGGCTTCCCAAAGTTCTGAGATTACAGGCTTGAGCCACCGTGCCTGGCCTCTCTATTCTTTCATAGCAGTCCTTTCACCAAGACATTGCATGGAGTACCTCTGAATCATGACCCAACTAATTTGCCCGGCTGTTTCTTCACAATTATTCATTTATCTAATTATTCATCTCACAAGCATTTATTGAGCATCCCTCATTCTAAATATGATGCTAAACCCTGGAGATGCAGTGATGACTAGGACATGGTTTCTACCCTCGAAGGGCTTCCAGTTATCACAAGAAGTAGTTAGATAAGCCCACAAGAAATGATCACATTCAGACTATGATGAAATACCTTAAGAGAGGCAGGCACAAGCAAAATGCTATGAGATTTGAAGATGGAAATAGGAAATAATTTTTAATGGAGGTGGAGGATCCGAAAAGACTTCATGAAAACAAAAACACACAAAAAAATTGTGTTTTGAAAAAATGTACCAGATTTCGGGAGAGACAGGAAGAAATGATCTGAGCCATGGTCTTGATAAATAAACAAATGGCATGCTGGGAAACTGACAGTAAAGGACATGTGAGTGGGAATTGAGGAAGATAAGGTTGCAACGTCATGCTGGGACTGAAATGTGAGCCATCTTGAATATTGTGGACATTTAACTCGACTTGGAGGATGAAAGGAGGTATCTTCAAGTGAGATCCCAAAGCCAGACAGATTTATAGACTTTTTAAACAGCAAACAGATGCTAGACCTGGCAGTCAGGAGGCCACCGTTCTGTGCAGTGGCTATTCACACATGCCTGGGAGTCAGCCAGACCCACTTGGAATCCTGACCCCTTCCCTGCTAGCTCTGCAGCAAGTTATTTTGTCTTTGGGCCTCAATTTCCTTATCTGTAACGTGGGAAAAATAACGTCTACTTTGTAAGTTTGTTGGGCAGATTTATACAGAAATGTCTTGGCAGATAATAAGCCCCCCATGAATGGTAGCAAAACCCGAATTAGGACTGGCTCACTGAATAATTGGGTCTCACCTGCTCATCAGCTTCTCTGGAGAACCTGTTAACTGCCTTGTGCCTGGGTTTTTATCATCTCTCCCATGTTTGGTGTACTCTGAAGAAAAACATCATCAGATTAGAAGATTTTGCTTCCTTTTTCCCGTGGCAAGCTCAAGGCTACTGGCATATTTCCCCTGTGATAGGTTTTCTCTGTGGGCTGCACCCATACCACACAGCCAGGATGATTACACAGGACTGACCTCAAGGCTTCGCCTGGGGACCAAAATGAACTCTAGGGGGAGGGGAAAAAGCAATTAACTGCTCTGTGTTTAAGACAAAAATAATGGTAAGAAAGCCATCTCAAGTGACTGTTCATGAATTGGCCTTAAGACACACTGACCAAGGTGTCATGCTTTCAAGAGAGAGACGGTGACACCTCTGAGGTTCATATCTTTTCCAGATTTGATGTGGCTCATAAATGCACAGCAGAGCCTATCACCTGTGCTTTCCTTCATATGCTGTGATTATGTGTTCAGTAAATTTCATCAAGACTGTAAAGACTTTGTTGTGAAATCAAGCAACATTAACTCATTAAGTCAATAATTCATGGACTCTTTTATCTAAAGTGGCAACATCACACCATCAATTCACAAAACAGCCACTTCTCTGAAGTGTATGTGATGATAATAATGGATTTTCTAACAATACCCTCTCAAAGCAAGGTCACTGTGCCCAGATGCTGTGGACATGCTGATCTGACCTAGGTCAGCAAAACAAGCTTTATTATTGAACCTAATTATGAACTATCAAGATAATGGTTTAGACTAAACTGTTTCCTAGGGGATTATTTAGAAACTAGTGAGCCATTTTAGTTTTAAATCTACTGTACTTGGCAGTACCTGTGATGATGCAGGAAATGTTTTTGCTACATAGAATGAACTACAATTGACACAAATATTTTGGAATCTTAGAAATAGTAGCAATATTGTACAATGTTATACTTTACTTGTACATAATTTTCAGATTGCTATCTGTTATATACAATCTTACTCACAAATACCTATGTAGGTATAGTTCCAATAATCAAAACTTACAATGAAGAAACCAATTCCAAGTGTTTATCAGTTCTGTAATGTGACACACAGGGATACACGGTTTGCTGTAGCAGCTTTTGTGTCTTAACTTGGGAGCTCCTTGTAAAGATTTATATGTATTTATTTTTTCTAGAACAGGATCTTGTTCTGGCACCCAGGCTAGAGTGTAGTGGTGCTATCACCGCTCACTGCAGCCTCGAACTCTTGGGCTCAAGCGATCCTCCCACCTCAGCCTCCAGAGTAGCTGGGACTACAGGCACATGCCACCACCCACAGCTAACTTTCATTTTTTGTAGAGGCAAGATCTCATTATGTTGCCTGGGCTGATCTCAAATTCCTGGCAGCAGGAAATCCTGCCTTGGCCTCCCAAAGCACTGGGATTACAGGCAGGATCCACCATGCCTGGCCCAAGATGTTTATTTCTAATATTTATTGAGAGGTTTTCTCCTACCGTCAGATTGGTGATTAATGTATTTCATGGGCAGACTGTGCTTCCTGGTTGCCTGACACGAGGTAATGCAGCCATGCTGGCTGACCTGGGCATGAGTGTTCACAGTGAGAATGGGGCTCTGGGAGGAGGAGGAGCCAATGAACATAGTATTCCCTGGATTGTAAACTGCACTGAAGGTTTATAAAAACTTTTGGAGAAAACCTTGACTAAAGGTAAGCAGTGATTATAAGGTAAGCCACTATATCAGATATGTGAAACTGAGAAAAAATACATCTTAGAGTAATAAAATAATAAATGTTCTATTTGGCAAAATGCATAAAACTATGCATTTTGTATGAATGAAGAATTGCATTTTCAGGTATAAAAATAATATGATGACCAATGAAACCATTGCTTGGAGATTTCAGCCCAGCATCTTCATCTCTTTGCCATGAGTAAAACATTTTGAGGTCATTCCAAGTCAACTTTGGTGATATGAAATCAGATATAGGAGAGGTATTTAAGCCTTCTTGCTTTTTTGGCATCTTAAATGCAAATCTCAAAAGTTACCTGAAAGTTTTCATGTATTACTATGACTAAAAGCAGTATTAACTTACAGAGTTTCTGCTTTCTAATTTTTGCATGAAATTTTACAGTAATTTGCAATCATTATAGAATCTCTGAAACTGGAAGAGAGATAATTAGCGTGGTAGCTAATAAATTGATCTCTGTAATACCATAGTGAATTTGTATCCTGACTTTACTACTTTTTAGAAATGGACCACTTGCTTTAGCTTTTCTTTGAAGGCTCAATACTCTCAACCCTAAAATGGTGAGAATTGTAGTCCCCTACATTATAGACTGTTTGGGAAGATAAAGTAACATAAAGTGCCTGCCAATTAGTAAGTGCTCACTGTATATAAATCATCATTCTTTAGTATAAGTTGCCAGAAATTAGCATTAATAGGACTTTTTTCCTTTTGTTGTCTCCCAAGTTTTTCTCTCTTTATCTAGATCAAAGACTAGGGTTTCTACTATGGTTATCCTTTCCTTTCAGTCTTACCAGCTTAAATTTTATGAAGCTGGACTTTGATTGGATTGCAATGATTTGTTTTTCCTTGTTCTTTCTTGTTTCTCTCTATTTCTAAGATCTTAAAACAATAACATGTTATTGAATCATTGAGTGGTAGTGTTAGAAAACAAAACTCTCTGTTTTCATGTGTATACATATACACACACAAATACACAGAGAAGGCCAAAATTTAGAACCATTTCAATAACAATGGTTCTGCAGACTTTTGTGGGTGTATTTGTTTGTTTTTTAAATATGTATTTTTTTGAGACAGGGTCTCATTCGGTTGCCCAGGCCGGAGGGCAGTGGTGCGATCTCGGCTCACTGCAGCCTTTAACTTTCAGGCTTAAGTGACCCTACCCTCTCAGCTTCCCAAGTAGCTGAGACTACAGGTGCACTACTATGCCCAGCTAATTTTGTTTTATTTTTTGCAGAGATGAAGTCTCGCTATGTTGTCCAGGCTGGCCTTGAACTCCTGGGCTAAGCAATCTTCCCACCTCAGTCTCCCCAAGGGCTGAGATTACAGGTATGAACCACTGTGCCCAGTCTCTTCAGAATTTGGTCAGTAAATCTGCCGAAAATAAATAGACTAAAAACTGATCAGTGTAAATATGTGGAAATAGACTTTGTTAAAATGTTGCTTGCAGAGCATATGATTTTTTCCTATCGCGTGATGCTTGTTTCCTCATTTCTTATGATTTTTAAGTGTGACAGCAGTAAATTTGGTATAGGAAAGAAACGTTAATGGAACTTTCACAAGAACTTAAATAATGACTCCAGCTAAAGTCATCACCACTATTCAGGTCATAATGAAATGGTTTTACATAATCTGTACATTTACTATAGCTGTTACCAGCCACACAGTTAGTTAAATTATTATATTAAATGTGTTGAGAGAGGAAAAATCAAATTTAAGTGAAATTATCTCATTTACATTCTATTCTAATTCGAAAAGAATAAAATTAATGTCTGAAACTGTCAGTGACACTATGCCTTTCTTTCTATTTATAATGTAAAAGAATTTTGCTGTACTCTTTTAATTTCCTGTATCTGAGTTTTCAGGCATAATAAATAATACAAATAATAATTGCTATTGAAAAATATCACACTGCTTAATTGTTTGGAATTCTTCATTTAACTTCACATAATTTTCTTATGACCTAATTCAAATAAAAGGACCTAAAATCAAGATAGAATTCTTCACTTATGGGCTTCCCCAGAATAAACTGATGTTTTTATGTTAAGGACTAATCAAACCCTCAGGAGTCCATCAGCAAATTCCAAAATAGTGCCCAGGTCATAATTAACAACTAGTTTGTCTTACAAGCAGTGGTCCTGGTGGGGGTGCAGGGTTTAATTAGCACCACTTCACTCGGAAGGCAGCTTCCAGGCTGCACTTAAGCAACTAATCTGCAACATGGCCCTTGGCTTTAGTGACGGCTGCCCACATATAAGGGCTTCAGGATGGAGAAGATTAATTACTGAAACACGTAGTTCACAAGGGCCTAGGCCCCTGAAGCCTTGGTAACACGGCTGAGATTGATTGACTTGTGGTGGCTCTGGAGTGAAGTTTGGACTTCTGTAGTGCCAACATGAAAATAGCATAATGAGATGAAGCAAAAGAGAGTTTGAAACCACATTGACATAGAAGACTATGGGCCCCAAATCACAGCTTCCCTTATTGAGATTCACTCAGTTCTCAATTCTGGTGCTTCTGGCACTGAGTTTTTATTCTTCTATGATTTGCAAGTCACATCAGGAGTTCACATTTTTCATTGGCCAAAGTAGGCAGAGACTAGTTAGAATATTAATAAAAATAATCCCTTGTAACTGGTGCTTAAGCACACTGAGGAGGAATGCATAAACAAGTGAATGAACCATGAGCGGATTAAATGTATAGAGTGCTTCACAATATGTTCTTACTTATACGATCTCAGTTGAGCCTTTAAGCCAGTGTGTTGGTATCAGTGTCTTCACTTTGCAGGTGAGAAACTGAGATTTCAACCAGTGAAATGAACTTGCTCAGACACATGTAGATTGGATGTAGCAAAGCCACGGCCAGAATGCAGAAATTCTAAGCACTAATCTGGTGCTATTTCTAACCTACCAGGCCAGGAAGACTGGGCAGAGAGGATCTGGAGTAGGAGACAGCAAAGGAGATTAAGATCAAGAAAATTAAGAAAGGCAGAGGAAAATAAGATAAAGAAAAATGGCCAAAGTAAGTGGCTTATTATCCTGCTTGGGTCTGTACAGAATATCTAATGACAATGTATTAGGATGTATTTACCAAACACCAGGACATCCTGTAAATGTGTGGGTTTCCCTTCAGGGTGGTCACCCTGGGAGAGAAGCAGATCATGGTGGGACCTGTATTTCAGAGAAAGAAGGGAGCTAAATCAGATATGGGGGAGACTCAAAGTATGATTCATCCTGGGGCAAATTCCTCTCCAGCTGTGAAACTGTGAAAGCAGACAAATTATGGGCTTCCAAATTACACTGGCAGGATAGGCATAGAAGAGACGTTGCCATTCCAAAAGGAAGAAATAGGAAAGAAGGAAGGAGTGATGGGTCCCAAGCAAGTCCAAAACCTTGCAAGGCAAATTCCATTAGATCATTAGTCTTGAGAATAATCCTCTTTGATTCAATGTTTTGCCCTCTAGGCCCACTGGGGTGGCAGTGCCACCCTTGTAGAGCTGTGCCCCCAACCTTGAGGCCCTCAGTGGAGTCATTCTGGCCCACTGAAATGAAGGGAAGACTAAAGTAGAACCAACCCTGTCGCCTGGGCTTGTGGCAGCCCTGATGATTTCAGAATCACGCTTAGGGTCATTCTTCCGTCTTATTGAAAGATAAGATATGTTATAGTCTGATAAGTTTATTCTGTCCTGTAGAATCTTAGAACTACAATAGCTTTACTTCATTTGCTTCATTTTGTTGCATTACTGTCCCCTTCAGTTTAAAGTGGCAGCATTTCTGCCATAACAGCCACACCCTTATTATCTTCCAAACACAATTTCTACATGGGAAAGCGTTCATTTGCTGGACACTTTCTAATTTTTTGCAATATGGACAGGCTGAGAATTTTCCAAATCTTTAAGTTCTGGTTCCTTTTTGCTTAATAATTTCTTCTTCATTCACCTCCTTTAGCAATTTACTATAACCAGTCAGGGGTACCCTGGCTGCACCTTAAACATTTTGTTTAGAAGTCTCCTCAGCTAAATGTACAATTTCATGCCTCATAAATTTCATCTTCCACAAAACAGCAGAACACAATTCAGGGAATTTCTTGTCCAGCTTATAAGAAGGATCCCTTGTCCTCCAGTTTTCAATAACTTGTTCCTTATTGCCAACTGAGAACTCAGCAGAATGGCCTTTAACACCCATATTTCTACCAACTCTGTGCATGGCAATCTAGACTTTTTCTAGTAAGCACCTCAAAACTCCTACTACTTCTACCATTACCCAGTCCCCAAACTGCTGCATCATCCATAGGTGTTTTTTACATGAATGACCCACTTTTTTGATACCGAAGTCTGGATCAGTCTGTTGAGGCTGTTATAAGAAAATACTATAGACTGGGTGGTTTAAACAACAGAAATTTATTTTCTCACAGTTCTGGAGGCTGGAATTCTGAAATCAGAGTGCCTGTATGACCAGTTTATGGTGTGGGCTCTCTTTCTGACTTGTCAATGGTCACCTTCTCGTTGGGTCTTCACATGACCTCTTTGTGTACACAGAAAGAAAGATCTCTTTGTTTTCCTCTTGTTAGAAGGCCCCCAATCCTATAAGATTGGATTTATGACCTTATTTAACTGTAATTACCTCCTTATAGACTCTATCTTCATATGCAGTCATATGGGAGGTGAGGGGTTCAACGTGCAAATTTGTGGGAATACAATTCAGTCCATAATAGTAGCCCCTACTCTCTGGAGGGAGCTGGCTGTGAAGACCATGACTTCCACTCTACTGTGACTTCAAAGGGACTGCTGAGCTGCTGGAGGGAGTCTCCATAGGAATGAGAGCCACTAAGGCATTTTGTCATTTTTATGATATAGCTAAAATAATTATTTCTGTGTTAGAGATATACATTGTCATCAGAATATTCCTGATCAGAAATATCATTTCTATGAAATGCTACTTACCTTTATGCTTCAGTAGTCCTGTGAAGTATATATGATTTTTATTCCAATTTTATATGCAATAAAATAGAAGTTCAGAGATGTTAAATTACTTGTCCAAGATCACACAGCTAATATGAGACAGGGTGATGGCATGATTAATCCTTTCGTTCAATAAATAAATACGTATTTAGTCCAGGCTCTATTTTAGGGGATAGAGTGGTGAACAAGACAAACAAAGGCCCTGCCCTTGTGGAGCTTACATTTCAAGCTTCTGTTTATAAACCTGGAGTTGTTTCCATGAGCCATAATTGCCTGAGTTCTAGGACTTCAGTCCAGGGCATAAATTCCCTCTGATGTGTCTTTCTCCAGGCATGGTCTCTCTGTCCTTTTTACCCCTGGAAGGAAGGCTTTCTTCTATCTGCATTCTTGGGATATGGGGAATGCTCCTATCCCTCCAGGAATGGTTTCTGACCAATGATTTAGCAACTGGCCGTGTAGCAGTGCTGAATATATAGATCAACACATTTACTCCTTACTATAATCTTCTGAGACAGGCATTGCATTTTCTACTTGAGATATCTGAGTTGCCAAATACCTAGACCAAGTCACAGAGTCAGACCGACAACCAGTTATCTGTGACTTCTGAGCTGGGGCTTGACCATCATGCTCTGCAGAGTGGAACTGACACATCCCCAGACCTCTCTGCTCCCCAGCTGGCTTTGCTGAAGTGGTTTCCCTATGACTGACTTGCCTGTTGAGTTAGATGAGGAGCTGCAGTGTTCTACAAACTATTGCCAATGATTATTCTTTAAAGTAGTTTTGTTGACATACAAGTTTTCTAAGTAACCTTCCAGTACTATGAAGATCTGGGAGTTTAATTTAAAAAAGCAGATTACACAATTTCCATGCTGCGGATAATTTGCATTGTCTTCTGTATTACACGTCTTGTTGACATAGAACTATGGGTTCCCTGAGCACATCATTTCCTTGGCAAGCAAGAAAATATTGAGCATAGGGTAATAGAGGGTCAAAGCAAATTTGTAGAGAATTTTATTATAATGATGTTCATTTGCTGGGCAAGAAAAATAAATTACTCATTTGGGGGCCAGTGAAAAATCTTTCAGTGACGTAGTTTATTGAAATGTTCTGGGTATTCAGTGACAATATTTCTTCAGTTCCTTTTCAAAGAATTATAATTGCAGGACAGAACAATATGCTTGCAAAAATTATAACTTTTGTTGAATGTTTTTCCTTTAATAGAATATGTGTTATTATGTAATTCAATTCCCCAAGGAATTTTGTGGAATTTTACATAATGTGTACCATTTCAGGAAATAGCATCATGTATACCAATCTTGCTGAAGTATGCACAAGGATGCATGAAAGCAAAAGTTACATGACCTGTGTATGTTTTAATTGGTTTTGTGTGTATGTAGGCATGAAGGGAACTAATGGCATCACCTAGTTATTTAACTCTCACTTGGTATGGATAAATAGATACATTTGAACCAATCATACTAATTGGATCTCTGATCTAGCTTACCTAATATGATCTGCCCTACCAGGTATACCATTGTGGTTTCCTACCTAGAAATAGGGGGAAAATCCACAAGAAACTTTTAGCACCTCTTTTATCAACAAGACAATTATCATTTTCTGACAACAGAGAAAAGTGAGATTTTTTTTCTGTTGTTAAGAAAAACTACCTTTCAACCTTCTCCTCTTTTCATGTTAGTATTTTAACCATCACCTCTAGGTGTTTACATGATAAAGTCCCTAAAGGCATGGGATCTGTAGAAGGAAAAGGCTTGAGGGGTGTGAGACTATCAATCACAAGAAAGCAGAAATCAAACCTCCAAGCCAGAAGATTTGAGAATGAGGTGAGCACATCTGTATAGCTGTGGCATCCATGCCTAGGTGCTCACCTGAACCTCTGCTCCCAAATATTGCCAGACAGAGGAGGCTTGAGAGGGATTTGCTGTGTTGTGTGTGCTTCCAGAACTTAACGAGTATTGCTTTCCACTCCTGGTACCCACCCAGTGTAGAGACTAAATAGTTGATTTGGATCTAGTACTTCTATAACAATAACAATGGTAGTACATATTGAGCACTCACTGTGTCTCAGTTACTTTACATGGATTGTGTCACTTGATCCTCATAACAATCCTTCGAGGTAAATTCTTTTTTTTATTATTATTTTATTATAGTTTAAGTTCTGGGATACATGTGCAGAACGTGCAGGGTGTTACATAGGTATACACGTGCCATGGTGGTTTGCTGCACCCATCAACCTGTCATCTACATTAGGTATTTCTCCTAATGCTATCCCTACCCTAGTCCCCCACCTCCTGAGAGGCCCTGAGGTGTGATGTTCCCCACCCTGTGTTCTCATTGTTCAACTCCCACTTATGAGTGAGAACATGCAGTGTTCGGTTTTCTGTTCCTGTGTTAGTTTGCTGAGAATGATGGTTTCTAGCTTCATCCATGTCTCTGCAAAGAACATGAACTCATCATTTTTTGTGGCTGCGTAGTATTCCATGGTGTATATGTGCCACATTTTCTTTATCCAGTCTATCATTGATGGGCATTTGGGTTGGTTCCAAGCCTTTGCTGTTGTGAACAGTGCTGCAATAAACATACGTGTGCATGTGTCTCTATAGTAGAATGATTTATAATCCTTTGGGTATATACCCAGTAATGGGATTGCTGGGTCAAATGGTATTTCTGGTTCCAGATTCTTGAGGAATCGCCACACTGTCTTCCACTATGGTTGAACTAATTTAAACTCCCACCAACAGTGTAAAAGCATTCCTATTTCTCCACATCCTCTCCAGCATCTGTTGTTTCCTGACTTTTTAATGATTGTCATTCTAACTGGCATGAGATGGTATCTCATTGTGGTTTTGATTTGCATTTCTTTAATGACTAGTGATAATGAGTTTTTTTCATGTTTGTTGGCTGCATAAATGTCTTCTTTTGAGAAGTGTCTGTTCATATCCTTTGCCCACTTTTTGATGGGGTTGTTTGTTTTTTTCTTGTAAATTTGTTTAAGTTCCTTTTAGATTCTGGATATTAGCCCTTTGTCAGATAGATAAATTGAAAAAACTGTCATCATATTTCTTTAGATAAAACTGAAACTAACTGAAGGTTAGTTTGCTCACTATCATACAAAGAGGAAATAATCAGCCCAGGATTCAAACCCAGATATACTAATGCATAAATCTGGACTTCTAACCACTCTACTACTCTATAGACCTACACAAGATCTTATCTGAATGAAGTTTTAAAATGTGACTTTAGGAACAAAGATGTTATTTGGAAGAAACTCAGAACTACCAAGAATAAACATTAATCAGGGTTTCCTAGATTATTTTGGTGAACAATTCTGTTAATAACAGCTTTGTAATGTAATTTGCATTCTGTGGTTCATGAATTTTGCGTTGTATTCATTGTTAATCAATTCTTTCTCACTAGAAATTTATATTTATAGTTTTCTAATCACATGTGTAGCTCTATTTCTGTTCCTTGGTATATAAATTTACTGTTAACTTCTATTTACTTCTTTACTCAGTATATGTATATATACACACACACACATATATAATTTAAATATGTATACTTCATATATTATATATGTATAAGCATATATGTATATATTTTGTACATGTATACCTTATATATATAGAAAGTATAGAGTATGTATTATGTATGTTACATTATGTATATATACTATATATAATAGTATGTATACTATATTTTCTGTCTATATAAAGTATACATATATACTTTTTATACAGTAAATAAAGTATACATATATACTACATATACTATACAATGTATGTATACTTTATGTATATGTACTATGCTTTCTCTCTATATAAAGTATACATATATACTTTATATATAGTATACTGTATATAGTGTATATATAAAGTATACATATATACTTTAGTATATAAAAGTTGGGACTATACTATATATACTTTATATGTAGTATATATAAAGCTGGGACCATACTATATATACTTTAATATAGTATATATGTATACTTTACGTATAGAGAAAGCATAGTATGTGTATATATGTATACACACACATACACAAAGAGATTTACAGATTCTGTCTGCATTTTCTTAACACCCCATCATGATATTTCTAGATCTTTACTGCCATAGCTGTAATACCCTGAGATCTTTTCCACTGTGGCTGTTTGATTATTTTTCTTCTCTGTTCTCTTTTGTTCTTTGAATTCAAGCTCTCAGTGCATAAAGTGCATAATGTCACTCTGTGTCAGGCAGATCTTCTTTATTTTTTTTTATTATTTTTCTTTTGAGACGGAGTCTCGCTCTGTTGCCCAGGCTGGGGTGCAGTGGCGTGATCTTGGCTCACTGCAAGCTCCGCCTCCCGGGTTCACGCCATTCTCCTGTCTCAGTCCTCAGCCTCCCAGGGAAGCTGGCACTACAGGCGCCCGCCACCATGCCCGGCTAATTTTTTGTATTTTTAGTAGAGATGGGATTTCACTGTGTTAGCCAGGATGGTCTAGATCTCTTGACCTCGTGATCCGCCTGCCTCAGCCTCCCAAAGTGCTGGAATTACAGGCGTGAGCCACTGCGCCCTGCCCAGGCAGACCTTTTTATGTGATCCTCTCTCAGGCTGAGTTGTCTGCTTATCTGCCCTCAAGGTTTCTCTTTTTCTGGCCACTTATCTTCTGAATCAATCAGCTAAGAATGTAATTGTTACAAGTATTATTAATAATAGAAAACCTAACTACCAAAAGCTTAAAAGAAGGCTGAGGGTGTTTTTTCTCACTTCCACAAGTCTAGAAGTAGTAGTTGTTAGTATGAGTCTAGCAGTTCACTGATGTCAGGACAGATATTTGTGTTATTCTCTTGACTTTTCCTCATGGGCACAGTTAAACAGCTGTAGCTCTAACCATCACATCTGCATTCCAGGGAAGCAGAATTAGGAAGGACACAATACCAGCTGTATCTATCCTCCTTTAGTAGTATAGCAAAGGGTTTATCTAAAACCTCCAGCCAATTTCTGCTTTTATTCTCACTGTCCGTGTCTGTGTCACACTGCATGTCCTAACTTCACAGCAATGGAGGCTGAAAAATGAGCAATTAGCTAGGCACATTGCTCCCTTAAACAATATTGGGCTTCTTTTAAGTAGAACAAAGGAGGCATGGAGAATGGGCAAACAACTTGGTAGATTGCAAGTGGTTCCACCATATCTGTTCTTGCTTTCTACTATAGTAATAGAATATTAGCTGAGCAGATGGCTAACTAAAGTCTACATTTCCCAGACTTCCTTGCTGTTATATGTGGCCATGTGGCTACGTTCTGGCTGATGGCATTTGGGCAGATATGATGTGTATCTCTTTCAGGTCTTTCCCATAAAATGATCAGTTGTATATTTACCAAGCTTTTTGTCCTCTTCCAGTTAGCTGGGGAATAGCAAGAACTTGGGGAGCTGCCTTGGATCCAGTGTTGAGAATGGCAGAAATGACCACTAGCTTTGAAGGGCCTTCCCACCCTTGGACTATTACAGAGAGAGAAATAGATCATTCCTCATTTTTGGTGGGTCACTGTATTTTTAAGCTTTGTTATAGCAGCTTAGCTTGTCTCCTAACCATCACAGCAACTAATAATATCTGCCATCTCATCTACACCATATTTAGTCCATCACATGCCCTAAGAAACTCTCTGGCCACTGACCATGACACAGTGATCTCCCTGGTCATGCTGCTCACCATGGCTATGGTAGTGTAGCCAAATGCAGGCTTGGCTGCTCACTGCTTGCAAAACCAATAACGAGAATGAGGTGCAGTGGAAGGAAAGTGGTTTTATTTCAGAGCTAGTCATCGGGAAATGACCAAGGCTTGTGCCATAAAGAAACCGTTTCAGCTTTTTGGGTTGAGGGTATTGATTTAAAAAGGGGAGTTGTGTATGATGGGCATGCAGGAGCGATGAGGAGGTGCCAGTCTACATGACTTGTTCCAGTGACTATCCTGAGCTGTTGCCCCGTCTGGTGAATGGGCTGGCACTATCTCAGGTACAGCCGGGTTGTAAATTAACAAAAGCCTTGAAGATCTCCAGGTAGGGGAGAATCCCACAGTGGCTTGAATTGTTTCAATAGTTAGTCTCGGAACTTCTAAACAAACACATAATTAGATAAGGAAAACATTTTTCAAGGGGGTGCCTGGTAGAAAGAAAGTGAGCAAAGACTGGTATCTCATTATTAAAGGCAAGAAAAGAAATGGGCAGGAGAAAGAAAAAAGCTTTTAAAAACAGAACACTCAGAGTAGCTTTGATTGTGCTAAACCCAGCAGATGACTAGATCTCTCTATTCTTATTTACTTTCAGGTTTCCCAGAGTCTGTTCAGTCTGGTCAGTATAAGAGAAGGGAAAATGTACTTTCTTGGTTTGGGGAAAGGAAAAACAGTGGCTAGGAGCCATTGCTTCTCCTCCCTAACCCAAGCCCAGGAAACAAAGAGCCAGTCCTTCTAAGAATTTTCCTTTTTCCCACTTTAAAAACTATCCCATTCTGAGAACAAAGAGATACAGAACAAAAGGTAGTGCTTCAAAAGCTACCAACTCGAGTCAAAGGGCTATCATCCTGATGGAAAAATCTTTTGACACTTGTAACCTTCAAACTCTTTCTTTCTGGTCATCTCAAGCCACTTTTGTCTGTCTTAGTCCCAAATTTTATTAGGCTTTATCTTTTGGTTTGATATTTGCTTTTTTCCCCTTTGAACTATACCAAACAGCATTTTAGGAGAAAATGATTTGATATAAGTGAATGATGTAAATTTTAAAAATGTGATTTGCATCCACCTTTTCCATACCTACACTCTACAAAATTCATTTATGGGCAGTGTTGATCTTGTAAAACTGAGGAGTCAATAAACTTTGTCTCCTATCTTTTTATTTTCTTGCATTTTTTCTGCCCTTTCAAATTTCTTGCATCCCCTTTTATTCTACAAGATTTGCCATTTCATTTTGCTTCCTTGATCCCTCTTGCTGTTGAAAACAGCTTCCTCAAAATTATCAAGGTCATCAAAAACAAGGAAATTCTGAGAAACTGTCACAGACCAGAGGAGGCTGAAGAGACACAATGACTGAATGTAAAATGGTATCTCGCATGGAATACAGAAAAGGGGCAATTAGGGAAAAACTATTAAAAGTCCAAATAACGGGTTGGATGTATGGATAGTAATGTACTGATGTTGATTTCTTAGTTGTGATAAATATATAACAGTAATATGAGATGTTAAAAACATGGTAAACTGTGTGATGTAAGAGAATTCTGTATTACCTTTGCAACACTTTTGTAAATCTAAAACTATGCTACTATGAACATTTTATTTAAAAATATATTAAATTTTTTTTAAACTAAAAAACATGTGTGTGGGGAAAGTACTTAGCAAATTCTTTCACAGTAGGACTTTGGGGGCCCAATGTGAAGCCATCTGTCATGCATTTCCCTAAGGCAGCATTCCCCCAAAGTGTAGCTCTCAGAATACAATCCATTAGATGTTTTGTGATAAAATGTTCATTGGTAAAATGATTGGTAATACTATTCCTCCCTTAGAAATTCCTAATAAGTATATATAAAACATAGCACATAATATAAGTGCTAGACATATAGGAGCAGCTAAAGGGCTTTTGTATGACTTCCAGTGGAATATGAAGTATGGTGAAATCAAGAGACCTCTTTACCTAACATGGGGTTTTACACATTTATTTGACCATGTGAACTTTTTTCTCAAATAATATATAACATCTCGTGGAAATTATATTCTTCAAATACACCCCAGGAAAACTGGCCCAGAGAAAGCAATCCTTAGTTTAGACCCTTGACTAGTCAAGTTTAGGGATGGCATTAAACCTCTGGGGGCAAAAAGTTCATGGTTCTGCTCATGTGACCCCACACACCACTCCACCTAGCCACAAATGTGATTCCTCAGAGAATGATCATCCTACAGGAAAATCACTAAGGTTTTATTATAGATACAAAGGATTCAAATTATACTTAGAAACACACAATGTCAGTCTCCTGACTCTGCTAATTGACTCCAACTTTAATGGTGCTAGGCTCATTATTCCCCTTTTAGCAGTGTCCGACCTCAGCATTTGGGAGCCTTTGAAACCATATGCATCTTGAATAGGTTGCAGTTTGATCATTTAAAGCAGGAAAGATCAATTGTCCAAGCTCTAGCTAGATGGGGCTGGCAAACCAGACTGCAGGATGGCTGATCCCCTTACTCCACGGCCTTCCAATTGATACTGATTGCTGCATCCACATCAATCACTCAGTGATCCACATCAATTAAAGCCTCTCAAAGGCATAGGGAGAAGTCGCTTTATCCAACTTCACTTCAGTTATATAGGAGCAGCTAAAGGGGAAAAGGATTTTGTGTGACTTTCAACAGGATATGAAGTATGCTGATCTGTTGTCCATCGATACGTCAACTGCAAGGAGGATTCTAATGAGCCACCTTCTGGCTTCCAGGGAAAGCAGTAGATTTGTGCCGCTTGGTCTGTATTCTCTCACTTTTCCCCCCTGGGTTGCATTATAGTCAATCTGGGGGATCTTTGCAGGGGTAAGCCGGTGGCTACACCTAATTATACCTCATTTGACCATGAATTAGTTAATTAAGCAATATTTGATTTAAATAAATATTGATTAAGTACTTACTCTATGTCATGCACCATGCTATGATATATGAGTGAACAAGATATGCTCTTTGCCCTCAAGGAACTCCCAGGTTGTTAAGAAAGGCAGACGAGAAAACAGGCAATTATAATACAACATGATATGAATTTTGATAAGGGAAGGTTCCGGGTGCTTTGGAAACATGAGTTTCTGAGGAGGAACTTGTATCCTGCCTTGGAAAGGGGAAGGCATAGAGGGGATTTCAGGGAAGGGTTAGCAGTGGGCTCTTAGGAAGGTTAGTGAGAGAGGTGGCATCTAAGCTAACAAAATGAAATGTGTTCTGTTCCATGACCGTGCTGATCATCAAAATATGGAGACATGCTATTTTACAATGAGGCCATCTGCTGAACCATGGACTTCTTACATAAAACAAAAGTTAAGCACCATGGGGGAGATGCTTTTATAATGTTTTGATGTCGAGTGGTCTTTAGTCTCTTTGGCAAACATTTGTACGTCATCTAGACCAAGAATCTCATGTGTGTGAAACAAGTATTTTCAACATGCACAACTCTGGAGGTAACCAAAATATAACTTCACGTCTTTCTTTCTGCTATGCTTTACATACATTTTATTTAATGTGAGTAACTTGTCTCTGCCCACAAAAGAAACTGGAATGAGTTCCTGACTTTATGGCTCACTCTAAAGCAGCAGACTCAGAGTCTATTTAAATCACACAGTCTCAAATCAGAAAGCAGAATGTCCAAGAACATATAATAATAAAATCTCCAAATGCAAGTTACTGTCCCCTCTTCATGGGTGAGCCTTGGCCTGAATGCCCAAAGTGGACAAGGAAAGGGAAGGTCCTCCTCCCTGCTCACTTCTTTCTCAGCAATAGTCAGTGCTATTTTGCTCCCCGTGTGTAAGCATGGAGGAGTTAGAGGGAGAAGTATAGGGGTGGAGTGGCATGGGGGCAGCCACCAGATAGGTGGCATCTCACTTTCTGGGCCAGGGAGATGGTTGAAGCTTATTCTCTCTTTGGAAATAGCAATGGCAGGCTCTTTGGAGGCCCCCTATTGACCCCTTTCTCCCAGTCTCCTGACCCTGGTAGATACAGCTCTATTCCAGGCTGGTGGCGCCTTCCTAAGCCACTGTAAGTCTGGTGCTATTTTCTAGCCTTTTGTTATTTTTGTTAAGGCCAACTTATCTTCCCTAGGTGACTCTTTGAGAGAGCTCTAGATCACCCTAAATCTGCACCCCACATGCCTTGCCCTGCGGAACTCAGGCAGAGCAGCCCCACCTTGATGCAATAGCACTCTTTGCTCTGCTCCGGCCCTGCCAACCTTTTTCAAATTCTCTGAATTTGGGGGTGGATGTCACACCCCAGATGACAGGCCCTCAGCTTTCTCAATGAAGTCCTCTTAAGAAGACTTTTCAAATTTCTTTACGTATTCCATGAAATTTTCTTCATTAGGTAAGAGAGGAAAGGGCATGTGTGCACACACACACACACGTGCGCACACACACACACATACACATACACACCACACACACACACAATCACTCAGATGGGGGTAGGGGAGATAGGTCTTGCAGCTCTGTTTTCTCTGAAGATAGGCCCCTCATAAAATTCTCCTCTCTCTCTCTCTCCCATGTCTCTCTTTCTCTTTTCACACTGTAACTTTTAAAAAAAATCATTCATCTCTTGAGGAATCCTAGAGTCTCAAAACTGATTTTTGAAATTTTGTTTAAAAATATGCATTTGAGATCTAACTTCACACCTAAGTGACACTGTGTCTAGATCGTGTTAAAAAAAATTAACCAGCTTGTCAAATGTATCTCCTGAATATGTCATTAACCTTTCTATTTTAATTCATTCCAGTTACTATGGCTATACTCGGCCTTAATCATAAGCGTCCTGGTCTTCCAGGCTACATCCCTGTCCTTCTCCAATTCATCCTCTTCCTAATGGCCAGAAGAGAGAGATCTACATAAGATGCAGATTTGTACCTGTTACTGCAATCCTTGTAACTTTTCGCTGATGTCCTAATAGCTAGAGGATTAATGCCCAAATTTCTTCTAGCAAATGCTTGCTCTTGCTTTTGCTTCTGGGTATCACTCTGGCCTCAACTCATCATCATCCTTTATACTCCAACAATACAAAATGAGATAAAGCACACCATGCATATGGTTGTTTCATACCTCCATGCCATTTCTGCCCCAAACACTCTTTTTCCTCTTTTCAATCAGTGATGCCTACAGTCAATTCTGCTCTTCCATGACACGTGTGTCCCTAAAAATCACTGTTCTGTGCAAATAGGTACAATAACCCCCACAATGGGGTTAGAAGCACAGCATTCAAAAAATCTCTGATGCATGTAAAAATAAGATAGGATCCTAACAAAACCAGTAGCATTGCTTGACGTATGTTAAATGGTTCAGAAAAACACAAATGCTGCAACAAATATGTCACTTCACCTTGAAAAAGACTTTAAGCTTGCGGGTGGACATGAGCAGCAGAAGGGCTGCAGCCTGGGGTGATTGTGAAGTGGCAGGAGAAAGGTTAGGTCAAATCACATGGAAAACTGCAGCACCTGGTGTGGGTGGGTGTGGCTCCTCACACCCCCAGGGAACTGGGGTAGCTGTCAGATATTTGTGGTGTGTGCATGTGCTGGTGTTATTATCCTTATGCAGCTCATTCCAGCAAGCAGCAGTTTTCTGCATTCACCACAGTGTTTCTTGTTTATAAGCAAATGCTAAATTGGTGTCATGCTCGGATTATTCCCTAATATATCAATCATGCTGGAACAAATTCATGTCTTTAAAACAAGCCTTGTAGCAAAACTGACTATGCCTATCTTTCAAAAGATGGAGGAAGGACAGGAAATAAGCAAAATGAGCTTGGGGCATCTTGGAGTGCCAGTCGGTAAAGAAGTGCTCAAAGCAACACAAAACAGGAAAAGAACAGAAAAAAGGAAAAGGCCCACAATGATGAGGGCCTGTCACAGAGATATAGGAGCCAACTGAAAGAGCTCCCAATGGCCAAAGCTGGAACAATTTGAGCAATAAAATAAAGTAGTATTGGATTAAAACTCAAAGTATAAAATAAATACCCATGAGTTCATACTAATATAAATAAGTGATGGAATAAATAAAGAAGTGGGAGAGAAGAAACAATCCTACTATGCAGAAGAATTCTAAATAATTTGTGTAGGTATTCCTCCCTCAAGGAAAGGGAGCATAACTTTTTATTCCCCACTCCTTATGTGTGAGCTGTGCATAGTGAATTCCTTCCAAAGAGTACAGCATGAAAAGCGGGGGGGTACTGGGGGGTCAACTTTACAGTGAGAAACCTCACAGATAGTACCTCAACCAGGTGTTCAAGGTCAAGATTAACACAGTAATGAGTCATGTCAATTGTATGTATCCTTGATTGTATGTGATGAAAATGGCATTTTTACCTTTCTGCCCAAAACCCCTTAACCAAGCCCAATCAAATCATAAAGAAAACACCAGACAAATCCCAATAAGAGACATTTTATGAAATACTTCATCAGTACACCTGAAAACTTTCGAGGTCATCAACAGTAAGAAAAGCCTGAGAAACTGTTAGATCCAAGAGGAGACTAAGGAGACGTGACAACTCCATGTAATGCTGTCTTAGACAGGATCCTGGAATAGAGAGAGAACATTCAGTACAAACTAAGAAAACCTCAATAAATGGTGGACTTTGGTTACTGATCATGTATCAATATTATTTTATTAATTGTAACAAATATACCACATATTAGTATAAGATATTAATAATATGAGAAGTGGGTACAGGATATATGAGAACTCTCTGTATTATTGCTACATTTTTTTTCTACAAATCTAAAATTGGTCTAAAAAAATGTTTTTTGCTGGGCATGGTGGCTCATGCCTGTAATCCCAGCACTTTGGGAGGCCGAGGCGGGCGGATCATGAGGTCAGGAGTTGGAGACCAGCCTGGCCAACATGGTGAAACCCCGTCTCTACTAAAGATATAAAAAATTAGCCTGGTGTGGTGGTGCGTGCCTGTAGTCCCAGCTACTCGGGAGGCTGAGGTAGGGGAATCACTTGAACCCAGGAGGCAGAGGTTGCAGTGAGCTGAGATCGCACCATTGCACTCCAGCCTGGGTGACAGGACAAGTCTCCATCTCAAAAAAAAAAAAAAAAGAAAAAAAAGAAAAGTTTTTTTACAGAGATGGTGGAGAAAGCAATGCATCTTCCACAAACTCTCTTCCCAGATCCCATCCAAACTAAGTCAGGTAGCTTCTGAGTTTGCAGATCACCTTTGTCTTGATCCTGTTCTCTCATATATTCCATCATGGTTTAATCCTGTTCCTCCTTGACGAGATCATCATCTCCTTAAGGAAAGGAATCCGGCTATATTTATTTTTGTATCTCCAGTACTTATCTCATGTTAGTTAGTAACAGTGGCCAAATATGTATGTATGAAATGGAAACACACTGTCAAATAGTAGTCCATGTGTCTGCTTTGTGCAACTTCAATTTCCCTTGTCCGATATTAGTATGCCAAAGAGTTGGATGTATGTTAAGTATGGCTGAATCCTATTTTTGACTCTTCAAAGTGCTTTCTTTAGTTGGGACCTAAGAGAAAAAAGATAGTAAGTGAATGAGTCATGTTTCCCTATCCTAAAACCTTCTGTCTGATTATTTTTTTCCCACTGAGCAGTGCGTTTCTGATTTTGACACTTTCATCTCCCTTTTCATCTGCATTGGCTTCTCTCTGTTCTAACAGAACGTCAATCTAACAAATCAAAGTGATTCTAAATAATCCATATGTCCAACATCTAAGTACTTCTTCCTTGAGCTGTTCTGCTCCATTTCCACTGTCTTTTACTTAGGTGAGCCTACAGACTGGGAGCTCTAGGAGGTGCTGTTCAAATGAGCACTTTAGTGTCTCCCTGGGCACAAGACTCTTCTGCTAGTTAATCTGTGTTGTTTATCCTCAAATCAAACTTCCCTCAAGACCTAATGAGCTGACCAGACTGCCTGATTGATGGGGGTCAGTGCTGATTCAAACATCCGCACTGACTTTCCCATCAAAAGCAGTTAATTTCATGAAGAAAATATTGGCAGTAGGACACTTTTAATTTTAGAACAGCTACCAAACCCAAAAAACTATAACAGGTAGCTCAAAAGACTGTTGTTCCTCTGTCATCTGACTGAATATTCGGAAACTTCATGGTGAGATTACCATTTTAAAACAGCAATTAATTTTACAGGGAAGTTATGTCTTTGTTGAATTTCATGTATATGAGAAATATCAAATCATAATGATGTTTACTTTTAAGTGTGCATAAATAAATAATCTCCAACTCTCCTCAGAGGCTGACATGACACAGAGGACTCAAGCATAAGGTGAGAAGTTGGACTAAATGGTCTTTAAATTAGGTCCCTTCCAACAAGAGGAGACCTGATTCTAAGATTCTGCATAATCTATAGTCTAGATATCATATAGTATATGTACAGTCAGGGTTCTTTAGAAAAGCAGAACCAATAGGCTATATACATATATATATATATATGTAAATAGAGAGAGAGGGAGAGAGAGATTTATTGTGGGAATTATGGGAATTATCTCATGAAATTATGGAGGCCAAGAAGTCCTGCAACACGTCATCTGCAAGCTGTAGAACTGGAAAAGCCGGTGGTGTACTTTAGTCCCAGACTGAAGGGCTGAGAATCAGGGAGGCTGATGGTGTAACTCCCACTCCAAGGCTGAAGTCCTGAGAACTAGGGTGGGGGAAGTAAGGGGTTTGAAATGTGAGGGTTGGGGCCATGGTGTAAGTCTAGTAGTCTGAAGGCTGCAGAAACAAGGGCTCTGATGTCCAAGGGCGGGAGAAGATGGATGTCCCAGCTCAAGAAGAGAGATCAAATTTCCCCTTCCTCTGCCTTTTTGAACTATTTGGGCCTTTGGTGGATTGGATGATGCCTATACACATTGGTGAAAGCAGATCTTCTTTACTCAGTCTATTGATTCAAATGTAAATCTCTTCTGGAAACACCCTCACAGGCACACCCAGAAATTATGTTTTGCCCACTGAGCATCCCTTAGTCCAGTCAAGGTGGCACATAAATAAAATTGAGCATCATGGTAGATCTGAATTGAAATTTGAGGCAAGTTCAGGAAAAGGTAATATTTTGACATTGAAATTGGTGAAAATAGAGCACATAGATAAGAATGTCAGGGGTCAGCAGAGGTGACCTTTATTGGAAGACAATTTGTAGATGGGACCAGAAACCAGTGTGTATCCCATTCTATTGCCCAGAAACTTATAAAATAAATGTAAATGTGTGTTCTGGTCAATAGACAGGTGTGTTGTTAGGTAGACTATACTGTGAATAAACTAAAACAGCTTTAATTAACTGAGGATTCATTGACATTGAACAAGGCACTGTAGGGATAAGAACGTATAGAATGCCTTGATGCCATTTGATGATCCTTGCTCTGATTCCAAAATAAAGAAACAAACTTCAAGTTAATTATTCTGCAAGTAAGATACCCTAATACAGAAAATGGGAAACTATGGAGAACTGGCACAGGGTTTTGGCCACTGAGAAGCTGTCCTACTTTAGAAGCAATTTTGGTTTATAAATTACATACTTGTGAGTTTGGTTAACACGAGTCAGACACTAAGATACGGTCATTCTTGGTGGAACAGACTAGAACAAATTTTTGAACCTGAAAAGCTGAGGTGAGATCTTGGACTCATGTTGACCACATTAAAGGTATAGGCACATTGAAGCTCACCTTGGGGTGGTAAACTAACCTTACTCTTTAATGTCACTGTACAGCATAATAATAGTAATAATAATGATAGCTTCATCTTCAGTAGTGTCATTAAGCCCAAAAAGTTATCTCTCTCCATTACATCTGTATTTGACTTTGGAATATATTAACATTCTGGGGAGTAGATTTTGTCATAGTTGAAACTTTTTTTTATTTTATTTTTAATTTCTGTGGGTAGTCTATATACTCGTGAGGTACATGAGTTATTTTGATGTAGGTATACAATGCATAATAATCACATCAGAGTAAATGGTATATCCGTCACCTCAAGCATTTATCCTTTGTGTTACAAACAATCCAGTTATACTATTTTAGTTATTTTAAAATGTACAGTGAAATTATTTTTACGGCAGTAACCCTGTTGTGCTAGCAAATACTATATTATTCAGTCTTTCTAACTAGTTTTTATATCCATTAACCCTCTTCACTTCCCCTCCCACCCCCCCACTACCTTTCCCATCCTCTGGTAACCATCCTTCTACTCTATCTCCATGAGTTCAACTGCTTTAATTTTGAGCTCCCACATATAAGTGAGGACCATGTGAAGTTTGTCATTCTGCCCTTGTCTTATTTCACTTAACCTAATGACCTCCAGTTCCATCCATATTTTTGCAAATGACTAGATCTCATTCTTTTTATGGCTTAAAAGTACTCCATTGTGTACATGTACAACATTTTATTTATTCATCTGTTGACAGACACTTAGGTTGCTTCCAAATCTTGGCTATTGTGAATCATGCTGCAATAACATGGGAGTAGAGATATCTCTTTAATATCCTGATTTCCTTTATTTTGTTTATATACCCAGTAGTGGGATTGCTGGGTCATATGGTAGCTCTATTTTTATTTTTTTGAGGAACGGTTAAACTGTTCTCTGTAGTGGTTGTAGTAATTTACATTCCCAATAAGAGTGTATAAGGGTTTGCTTGTCTCCACATCCTCGCCAGCATTTGCTGTTGCCTGCCTTTTGGATAAAAGCCATTTTAACTTGGAGAGAAACATGGCTTAAATTTATAATGAAATTATTTTTCCATAATGACTATTATTCATTATTAATCAAAAGAGAACGAAGAAACAAGACAGGAAGTGATGGGATCAGGGGACATTGGATTGAAATAAAAATTAATCCCAGATAATTCACAAACCTGGTAACACTCAAAAAGAGGGCCAGTGAGTATATTCATTCATCTATCTATCCATCATTGGTCTATCTATCTATCTATCTATCATCTATCTATCTATCTATCTATCTGTGTGTGTATCTTATTTCTTTTAGACTTCATGGACTTCAAACTATAGTTCAGAGATTCTGCTACATTAATTAAAAAAGCAGAAGATTCAAGAGGCAGATATCGTTTGGATAAAGGGATGTACATGTCTTTTAGATCTGAGCCTGGGACTCTGATTTCCTAACCTCATGACAATGTTCAATATTCTACAGAGAAAAATAATAAATCCTAAACCTGTGTGACATCACACTTTCAGACAGTCTCTTTATCTTTCTGTGCCTACATCATTTATCAAGAAAGAGGCTCTCTGAGGAGTTGATGCAAGTTTTTTGTGATGATCTGGACACTGGTTCAGGAAAGAAAAAGAATTTCCTTGTTGATTCAATCAAGGATGGATGAGTCACTTTGAAATATGTTTGTCTCTTACCACTAGTCATTTTCTTCAAAGATCCCCACCATCAATAAGAATTATAACCTCTGAAATGCTTTTCCCTAATGAAAAAGTATTTTCATTTTGATAATGTAGCATGTGATTAGTAAGACTCTTTAATTGACTTACTTTCTGGAGGTTTTAAAATTTTTCTCAGAGAGGAGCGTTTCATTCATCAGAATACAAGCAGAGGCTACCCTTCCTGTGTTGGTTCAAACAGTTAAGCCAGGCACCAAGGGCCTCCCTTTGTTGTTCTTTTGGGTAGAGCCTCCTTGGATGGCTGCCCTAAAAACTGCAAGGGAGGTTGTATTGCAGACTGCAGGCAATTATTATATTAGCTCCCAATCCCTGAGTATTTATTATGCTCCAGGCATTTTATAAGCACTTCATATGTATTATCTACCTCAGTCCTCGCAGTAACCCTAAGAACATCATCCCCATTTAGGGAGATGAAACTGGGTCTCAGAGAGGCTCAATGATTTGTCCAAAGCTTCATAGCTAACTAACATTAGAGTCAAGATTTGAATGAAGGTTAATTAGAATCCAAAACAGGTACTCTTAGCCAATATGCTGTACCTACTTCCAGTATAGTGCAAAGTGATCGCATTTAGAGACCTGGAAAATCTGTTCTGCTTCCCTAAGAATTTTCATTACTCAATCTTTGACCCTGCTCACTTCCCCTCTGGAGCTAAGCAAATCAGGATGCTACAGTTTTCTAAAATTTGAACCCTTCCTAAAATACCAAGTGTGTCTTGGCAAAGACAAGTACCTAACAAGCAGGGGCTAGTGAATTACCATATTTCATCAAACTAAAATGCATTGATTGCGAGATGTATCATTAGTTTATATATGCTACGAAAAAGAAAAGGGATGCCAAATTAAATTGACACAGTGTTTTCCTATCACATAGATTTTTTATTTTAAACATCTTGGAAAAGCTTTGACTCCATGAAACAATTTTTATAGTTTATCATTCACATATATACATTAAAAAATTTCCTTAAGTGGATATATTTCTAAAATGTCCTCAAATTTGGAGCCTCACTCTTGTGAGTTTCTTCCTTTCTCACAGTCAGCTCTGACTATGCTTTTCCACACAATATTATCCCCTGACATCAAGTGTGTGGAAGGTGCAGAAGTTCTTGCAGAAATCCATAAATAAATGAAAAATCCTTTGTTTTGGCCTCCTAGGCTGGCTTTGCAGTCACGTAGAGGTAGCCTAGCTTTGGAAATGTTGCTAAACATGTCTGGTTTACCCTCTTTCTTACTCCTTTCCCACAATCATTTGGTTTCTCGAGGTTAAAAGAATGCATTGTTATTGACCCTTAGATTTTCTTCCAAGCCCGAAATGAGTTGGTGGACTAAGTAAGGCCAATTGTGCTCCCTGTGTGGATGGGTATCCTCTGACACTTGAGGGGCTGAATACAGCAAAAGGTGGAGGCAGGTTGAATTCATTCTTGGCCTGACTGCTTGAGCTGGAACATCAGTCTTCTCTTCCCTCAGCACTCCTGGTTCTCAGGCCTTCAAACTCAGACTGGAATCTACACCATTGGCTCTCCTTGGAACTACACAGAAAGCTTTCCCGGCTCTCCAGCTTGCAGACGCAGGTTGTGGGACTTCTCAGCCTCCATAATCATGTAAGCCAATACTTTAAAACAAATCTTTCTCTCTCTGCACACACACACACACAAACACACGCACACCATGGTTCTGTTTCTCTGAAGAATCCTGACTAATACTCCCATTCTGCAGGTATAATTTTAGTGCTTTTATGTTCTTTCAAGCATGCAATCCAGTAGTTCTAAAACTTGAGTGTGTATCAGAATCACTTGGTGAGCTTGTTAAAACACAAACTGCTGAATCTGATCTTCTGCTTTGCTATGTCTGGGATTAGACCCGTGAATTTGTACTTTTAACAGATTCCTATATGATGCAGATGCTGCTGGTGGGGGAGAAGCACAAACTTTTAGGATCATTGGTATAAGCAATCTCAACCAAACCACTGCCAGGCTCACAGCGCTCGCAAGACTTCACTGATTTTAAGAGGCAGTCAGAGATTTTAAAGTTTGAAAATAACACACAACTTTGAATTGGTGAAGTACGATAAATTCCATTTTCCTTTACCTTAAGCTATGGTATCATTTTCATTCCTTCTTTTTTTTATTTTTTATTTTTATTTATTTATTTATTATTATTATACTTTAAGTTTTAGGGTACATGTGCACAATGTGCAGGTTAGTTACATATGTATACATGTACCATGCTGGTGTGCTGCACCCACTAACTCGTCATCTAGCATTAGGTATATCTCCCAATGCTATCCCTCCCCCCTCCCCCCACCCCACAACAGTCCCCAGAGTGTGATATTCCCCTTCCTGTGTCCATGTGTTCTCATTGTTCAATTCCCACCTATGAGTGAGAATATGCGGTGTTTGGTTTTTTGTCCTTGCGCTAGTTTACTGAGAATGATGATTTCCAATTTCATCCATGTCCCTACAAAGGACATGAACTCATCATTTTTTATGGCTGCATAGTATTCCATGGTGTATATGTGCCACATTTTCTTAATCCAGTCTATCATTGTTGGACATTTGGGTTGGTTCCAAGTCTTTGCTATTGTGAATAATGCCGCAATAAACATACGTGTGCATGTGTCTTTATAGCAGCATGATTTATAGTCCTTTGGGTATATACCCAGTAATGGGATGGCTGGGTCAAATGGTATTTCTAGTTCTAGATCCCTGAGGAATTGCCACACTGACTTCCACAATGGTTGAACTAGTTTACAGTCCCATTGTCACTTGACTTACATTTAATCTATTCATTCACTTATTTATAATAAGAATATTATTACTTGTTCCAAAGATGACTTAAAATGGTTTCTACAATTTTAGCTAAAGTTTCTTTCTCCTATTATTTTAGGCAAGAAATGGTCTGTAAATATATGTATATGACTATGTATATATATATTATATATAATATATATATACTATATATATATATATCTGACTGACTATATGTACACACATAGAGGAACTTATTCTATATATCAAACTCCTGCAGGCTGACATGCACTGCCTCTGATAGGGAACTCACTGCTTTGAGATACAGCCCTCTTGGCTTCTGATTTCTAGAATGTGTTTCTTTATATCACCTGAAGGAACAAGTAACCTACCAACATTATAAGATGATCTAACAAAGAGCCCCATGAGATACATGACTGCACCTGCACATCACATACACCTCTCATTCTGAGAACACACATGAGAAATATTCCTATCTGGTCATAGCTGGGAACAGTTGTGTTTTTCCTAAGTAACTTTTTTGTGATCATTATGTGTAAACTTTTAATTGATCATGTTTCCCTTTTTGGCTTTATTCTCCAGTAGCTTAGACTCAAGTTTCTTGCCAGCTTTTAGCAACTAACTGGACTGTGCTCTCCCTCTGCTCCTGGACCCCTGTGACCACTGAGATCTTGTCTCTCTAGCTTCTTTACTCCCAGGCCGGGCTACTCACCACTGTGAAGATTTCAGTTCCCTTGAGTGAGGCTGAGGCTTTCTCACTGGGATTCACTCAATCAGTCAGAATCCTGGAAGAAAGCCTGAAGTCACTGTCTCCATCTGAGCCTGAGACCTTCTTAGGGTGCAATATTTACAAGCCATATATGCCTCCTGGGATGCCTGGGTTCCCTGCTGTCCACCAAAGGAGTAGTGGGTGCATTCTCTTGGCAACCTTGGGCTGGCTGCATCCACCCTATTCCCATCCCTGAATGCCAGTTGGCTACCATGAACACAGGTCTTCCAGCCACTGGTTTTCCTCAGTACCTTCCATGTTTCTTCACCCAATCTTCCTCTGTCCCAATCTTTACAGTCTGACCTCGGGAACCTTGTTCTCTCATTAACAAGCTCCTATGACTTCTTCACTGAACATTTCTTTTACTTCCTTTCCCATAAAAAATCTTAGCTTCTCCTAGAAGAGTTCACTCCCCATTCAGCCTCTCAATGGGCAGTAGCTTTTTTCACACCCCAAGTGCCTCAAATCAGGAGGCAGGGCCAACACTCTCCTGATAAAAATCCCTGCTCACTGATAAGTGTGTCATTCAGCTTAACCACTCTTTATACCTCCCCTTTACTATCACCTACTGTCTTAGTCTGTTTGGGCTGCTGTAATAAAATACCATAAACTAGGTAGCTTACAGATCACAAATTTTTTTTTCCTCGCAGTTGCAGGCTGAGAAGTTCAAGATCAAGGCAGAGACAGATTCAGTGTCTGGTGAGGGCCCTCTTCCTGGTTTCCAGAAGGCTATGTTCTTACCTTATTCTCAAATGGCAGGAAAAGAGAGAAGGAGAGCTCTCTGGGGTCTCTTTGACAAGGCATTAATGCCAATCATGAGGGCTTCACCCTCATGACCTAATTATCTCCCAAAGGCCCCACTTCTGATACCATCATATTGGGGGTTAGGATTTCAACTTATGAATTTGGGGGCACACACTCAGTCCACAACAGCATCTCAGTGAAGGGCTTACTATATCCCACCTTTTCCTTCCTCTCTACACTCACAACCAGTTGATTAGAAGTTCTGTTAATTTGACCTTCCACTCTGTCTCTTACTTTACTTACTTTTCTCTATCCCCATTGCCATTATCCTAGCTTAGATCACCATCACCTATCTCCTGGATCACCCTACCCTCCACAGCCATCCATCTGGTTTTCTTACCTCCATCTTCCCCCATTTCCAATCCGGCCTGGCTTCTGAAAACTATAGATTAGGGTCTCAGGGCTTGCTTTTGAGTATTGTTTGTCAATTCCCCTGATATCACTGGCTTTGAGACCTCATGGTTTCCATTTATGCAAGTGGGAATTGGAAGACTATAATCCCCCAGGAACATCAATTATGCTAATTGTAATAAAATTATAATACTTCCTTTCTGTAGAACTCTGGGCTTTAGAATGCATTGTCACATATATAATGAGTCCTCAAAGATGTTTTTCACCTGTATTTCATAAATCAGGGAACTGAGGCTCAGCGTACTTGAGTCATATTTAAGGTTCATGAAGTAGTAACTAATCAGGAATTTAAATTCCATTTCCCACACCTATGCTCATTCCTATGCTCCAGGCTATACCATAACGGAGATTGTGTTTTACATTTAAAATGCCAGTGACTCTATTCTTAAATGGAGAAAACTGTCGCAGTCATCAGAAGCCTGTCCTGTACAAAGATACCCATGTGTCCATTTAAATGAATGGAGTAGAGGAGGAGCCTTTCTCAGATAGACTGGCCACTTAGATAAAGGTAATGAGAGTGTTAATACAGTGACAGGTATGCAGCTCCACACATGGGGAGGCCAGGACATCCAGTTAGGCCTATCGAAACAATATTTAGAAAAAAAAAACACACAATAGTGGTCATCCTTGCTTCTTAGCAATTTTTACTCATTTTTTTATTGTTAAAGGAAAAAGTCAGCTGGGCTTATCTCATTTGTCCATTTGTTCGAGAGACAACTTGTTTTATTTTCAAAGTTACAATCGATAATCTTGAAAACAGAAACAATACTATAGTAACTGGCCAACACATTTTTTTATAGAGGTAAAGAAATCCAACAAGTGCATTCAAAATTTAGTTCAGGAGCAGCGAGGAGTGATGTTTACTTGTCCCTTTGCTTGAGAGACCTGGGGTTTCTCCCACCACCCAGGGTGCATTATGAGGCTGGAGTGGGAGGACCATCTGTATTTAATTGAGGAAGGAATAGTAACCTATTGCCTGATCTGCTATTGGTGACATTTGCCCTGTTCACTAGGGAACAGCTCTTTAAAGGGTTTCAAGAAATAGCTACCAACAGCCTTAATTTAACAGCTGTGCTGAACTATTGCGGAACATCCAGATGTGGAGCTGTCTGTGGGAAATACAATCCGTCCAAAGGAGGAGATAATGGTTCCCCTTGTGGGCCCAGCCTTCCCGAGCTTTCGAGAACTTAGTGTCTACCCTGTCTTTGTTTAAGGCAGTTATCAGCCTAATTACTCATATGCAAGCCAACAGCTGTTTTCCCAGTTGAGAGTCATTTTATACTATATTGCCTCCTTTACACTTATTTGTCATATTAGGAAAAATATTGAGGGGCAGAAGTGTTTGCAGCTGTACATTTAAAACATCTCATGTAGCACTAAAGTTTGATGAGATGAACTGAACTTCATTTCATTATAGTGACTTTTTCTTTCTCTTTTTTCTTCCTCACTTTAGCTGTCACCTTCACTATGGTGTCAGTCCTTGGGTTCTACTTATGGAGACTCATATTATTTTGCCGGAAAGCCTAAGAACGAGTTTAGCTATTAAAAGTAACTCTACTTCTGAAGTCATATTTTATTCCCCTGCAATAGTTTCAATACCAGGGCAAGTAAACAGTGATTAAACAAAAAATGGCGGCAATTATCTTTGCGGGCTTTGCTGTACACATAAAATCTCAAAGAAGGACTGAATTCTTTGACCAATTGAAATGATCCCCAAATTTGAAGAGAAGCCATTTATTTCCTGGTGTACTTTAGACTTCATCTTCAGAACTGCCGTTTTTATTAATTGTCCAATTCAGAATTCAAAGATAGTACTGTTCTGCTTAGGAATTCAAAGCAAACTCAAGAAGTAACTCAGCAAAATATGCATTGAATTTTGTGCCTAAAGTCACAAACGTTTTAAAGTGTTTTTTCTGCAGCCACATAGAAGACTAAAACTCTCATTCCAGAAAGGAAGCAAATTTTTAGAGATACTTCCTCATTTGCTGGTGTGGATCAGATTCACTCATACCTACTTAACAGCCATAACAGACCATAACATGATTACTCCAATCCACATTTACTTTCTACAAGTAAGTTGTTAGACTTACAAATAAGTTGTTAGTATCAATTATACTTCACTAAAGCTGAAAAATCAATGAAACACATGAAAAAGTGATTGCATAAAATTTTAGGGACTGTAAACTCAGGATTAAAAACTTCTATCATCTTCTCTTGTCTACGAATAAGTTGTTATTCTTGGGAGAAATAGAATAGCAAGATAAATGCAGCCATGGAATGGGGGGCAAGTGTAGAGACTCAGGGAGCCTGGAGATCTACATTCCAGTCCTACCTCTGCCATTTACTTCCAGGCGGTTCAGCTGGCCTTGGTTTCTCCATTTGCAAAATGAGGGGCTTGGACCAGATGAACAATCAAATCCTACTGGCTCTAACATTCTACATTTCTGTGGGAGAAGAGCAATCCTATAAAAGCAGAGAAGGTGTACAACTTGAGCATTCCCTCAAACACAAAAGTTCATCCTCATGAAACAGGGAAAGCAAGTAACTGCAACCCCAGAGAGGTGACAGAGGCCTCGGGAAGGGGCCATTTTAGGAGACAGACAGCAGGACTCTAGGAAATTATCACTAACTTCAGAAAAGCAATGGAATTCTGGGGAAGAGATCCCATTGAAAGAGGCAGCACAGGCAGCTTGTGAGCAAGTCAGGGCCAAAGAAGCAGAAGGTCTGTGCAAGGGAAATATTGCCCCCTGCCCCTGCCCCCCGCCCCCACATCCACACACAGACATGCAGAGCAAGATTTTGGACAGGCTCTATTTTACATAGCTCAGGCTTAGAAATCAAACCTATTGTTCTCCCAGAACAGATTTATTTTTCTACCCTCAATAATTAGAAAAGCAGTTTGCTAGTCTATACTGTTTATTGCTTTACTTCCAATGTTCACGCTCCTTACAGCCTGAAATTATTAAATAGCACTTATGACTGGCAAGGAATCACACTCTGAGTTTCTAATTAGCACAGACAAACCCTTGTTGGGCTAGAGGGGAAACATTTAATGAAGAATTACACAATAAGGTCCCATATTCGCACCAACCTGTTCTCTTCTATGGCATGGCTCACTGGTGAATCATTTTCACCTGCTCATATCAAATCATGCACAATCATTTGTCCCAACCTCTCTTCCTCTACTTTTGCTGAAAGCTTATCCACAATGTTTTCTTGAAGATTTCTTCTCCACCTGTGTATATCCAGGAACATTTCTTAAATTTTTGTTTTTGAAACAGCAATGAGAGTTACCAGTTTTTTTTTCTTTGACAGGAGCTTTATGTACAAGTGATCATGCAAGTTTGTCCTTACAAAAGTCAAGATAAATTCAATAGTCAAATACTTGCTTCTATTGGATCTGTACAGCGAGGGAGGTGGTCAGCAGTCCTAGCTGCCTCTCTCATCCCTTCCTGAATTCCCTTTTTTTCCTCCCTGTGTTTTCTCTAGCCTCCCACCCCTCAAGTTTAATCTTCTGTTTCTTAAACAGGCACTTCACAAACACAGGTATCCATATGGCTAATTCACAAACAAAAATGGATCAATAATTAGAAAAATTAATTAGTAAATTACTATTATTAAGAAGTTATTATTAATTACTCCATTATTAACAAGAGAACTACAAACTAAAACCACAGTGAAATAGCTGTATCACCCATTAGAATGGCCAAAATAAAAAGAATTGACAGTAACAAGGGTTACCACTCTAGCAAGTTAATGGTGAAAAATGGAACCCTCATACACCACTGCTGGGGGGCAGTCCTCATACACTGCTGGAGAAGGTGTAAAGTGGTAAAAAATTACTTTGAAAAACTGGTAGTCTTCACTAACGTATATAAAAAATATTCATGGGAAACACCCATAACCCATGACCCAGAAATTTCTACCCCTGAATATATCACAGGTGAATATTTTCAGCAAAATACATGTACAAGAATGTTGATTGCAGCTTTACTTATAACAGCACCCAAATGGAAGTAATGAAAGTAGTCATCAATAGTGGAAGAGATTTGTTAAAAGAGTGGATCTTAAGTATGCTCACCATACACACACACAAAAGATAACTATGTCAGGTGATATATATATATATATAAATATATATATGTAAATAGCTTGGTTGTGCTCTTCATTTCACAATGTATATGTATATCAAAGTATCTCATTGTCACCTTTAACATATATAATTTTAATTTGTCAATTATACTTCATTAAAGCTAAAAAATCAATGAGACACATGAAAACATGATTGCATAAAATTTTAGGGACTGTAAACTCAAGATTAAAAACTTCTATCATCTTCTCTTGTACGCTGTTAATAAGAATGCAAATTGGTAAAAAGCCAATGGAAGAAAATTTGGTATTATTTACTGAAATTATAAATGCACACATCCTGTGAAGCAGTATCTCTGCTTTTAGGAAGTTATCTTACAAATATATTTTTATATGGGGGAAATGATGTTTGTATAAAGACATTAACTACAGTATTTTTATTATAGAAAGATTAGAAACAGCTAAATGGTCATCAATAAGGGATTGCTCAAATAAATTTTAGTATGCTTATAAAAATATTAGAAGATAGAACATTTTGGTATATTCGTTAATGAAGTATTACACAGCAGTGAGAAAGAATTAATGTCAGCTACACACAGCAACATGAATGAATCTTGCAGACATAATGTTAAATGAAAGAAGCCAGAAACAAAAGAGTGCATACTGTTGATTCATGTCTAGGGAAAGATAAAACTAGTCTTTGGTGATACGCATTAGAATAGTGGTTTTATTTGTGGGAGGTTGGCTCTTAACGGCGAAAGAACACAAAGGGGACTTCTGCAATGTTGGAAATATTCTCCATGTTGATCTGGGTTATGGTTACATGAGTGTATACATATGTAAAAATTCATCCATTTACACAATTAATCGTGGACTTTATTTATTGACATATAATACACCAATAGTAGAGAAAAGCAAAAAAATTGATATGTCCCAGGCAGTGAATGCAGCAGACCCTGATCATTTTACTTGTATTATGTACCCAGCTGACATAACAGCAACTGCTTTTAATGTACTAGATGTTCCCTTCCAGTGACTCTACTACTTCTGATGTCTTATGGGTCTTGTTTGCAAGACCCATAAGACACCGCAGAGAACATCTAGAAAGAGCTGCTCTGTACGTTAAGTCATGCTTATAGCTTGAGTATGCAAATATAGGTACCTGAGAGTATCTTTCCAAATGATTCTACAGTAGGCTGGCTAGTTCCACTTACACATGAAAGAACAATTACTAAAAGGAAGAACATTAGAGAGTGAGCATTATTCAATCAAATTAAATATTTACTGCTACATTAGATAGCACTGTAGGAGCTGAGGTGATTCAAGGATGAGCAGGACACATACACTCCTGTTCTCAACATGCTTCTGCTTGTTGGTTGTGGCATGCAGGTATAGGTGGAGCTAAGTATCTTTAAGTAAGAGAAGGTAGGAGCTAAGAGAGAGGCATAAAATAGCACAGGGACATAAATGAGAAAATGGGGAAGCCTTACTGGATGGGTAGCATTCTCTGAGCCATGAAGCTTGGTTAGAGATTTCACAGACTAAGTAGGAAAATGAAAAAGAAGAAGGACACATTGTTATGAAAGAAAAATAAAGCCAAGTTTGATAAGACAACTCTCCAGCTACTCTCAGTTTGAAAGTCCCCATCTCATGCAATGGCTCTTTTGTGCTGACAAGTATTCCAGTCTGAACCTAGTGACTGCCTTTTCATCAGAAGCATCTGACCTCACTGCTTCTCCTCCAGATGTTGATATATGAGAGTTTGTGGCACAGGCAGGGATGGGTGCTGTGTAATGTCACTTCAAGACCTACAACAGATTAGTGAAAGGAGACCTTTGAACATGGACCTCCAGCACCTCTGCAGTACTTACAAGCCCTAACTCTTCTGACTTGGAGATAACTTACCAAAAGGCCAAGCATGGGATTAATTTATTGCCAAACTGGTTTAAAAGTGAGATCAAAAACAGACTTTAGCATTTCTTTTTTCTAATTTACCATGAGGTTGAAGTCCATCGTTTGCAATAAGAAATCACTCGTATGGACAACTGGGGTGAGAATCTCACCCTGTGTTACATTTTATGGGCTCAAAATCATGAGAGTAAGAGTTTTTCACCTTATCTTATTTGACCAAAAAGACATTTGCTCTTCTATCCATCTCATAGCAAAGACTCTCAAATTTTTTATTTTCCTTTTTTCAAAAGAGATTATGAAATGTCACATAAATAGACTACCTCAAGTTATAGATTGGGTGATCACTTAATTTATGCCCCAAACAGTGGTACTTTTTATAAAGTATTAGGTGTTCAGTTTGGATGAGATGTCAGGACATAGTCATAAAGTGAGACTTTCCTGAGCAAACCAGGATATATGGGTACTCTAATCATTATAGAGAGAAACACATTGAGGAAACAAAGTAAATTTTCAAACTGGGTTAAAATGAAAAGTACCATCATATTTGGAAAGCATCGCTGGGAATCATACTGTTAGGCATGGTACTTCTGCAATTATTGAAGAGGAGGGAGCAATTTTCATCATCCACATTATATTTCATTGAGGAGTTGGAATCTAATTTTCTATCCTTGGCATATTTTAGTATCCTTGCGACAATGAAATATAGGCGAAGCTTTGAAATTTTGATTTCTGGTGCTTTCCCTTCGCTCCCTGAAAGAGAGTTCTTATCAATTAACATGCCTCCCATTGCCATGAGGTCTGGTGGGAGGTGAAAAATGCAGCACATTACTCACATGGATTTTTCTAATACCAAATCCATCATTCAGATTACATTCAGATTATTGGAATTGTGAATGTTTGACTAAGTTTAATGTTATCTATTGTCATATCATAACAATGTTTTCTATGCTTTATTTATGCTCTTCTTATTTTTTTTAAATTGTGTTTTTACTGTGGATGCCTCCACCAGCTCACAACACAAACTAGCTACTACACAAACACACACACACACACACACACACACACACACATTATTGGTTGTGGCAAGCAGGTGGATCACTATACATCCACAGTGATATGGACCTGAGCCCAGACTCCATAGATCATCTGACCTCCATAAGCCCCTACTTTAATAAGTATCCCATAGACTGGCATTTTGGGTCTCCAGGAATTAGTGTCACTCCAGAGCCATTGTCCAGTAATCCCTTTCCTCAATGCACAGTCACCCTGTTAAATGGCCGCAGCCCCCTTGCAGAAGACTGAAGGGCACAATGCACAGGATAAATTGGTGTAATAGGGCCTTTCTTCAAAGGGATCCAGCCTCCACCTTCATTCAAGGGTTTTGGGTCTGCAAACTGTCCCAGTACTGGGAATGTACAACTCTCTATTGTGGTAATTCAAGTCTGACTTCCTGTTACCAAACCTAGAGCTTTTTCATTTACACCAATCAAGTAAGGCTTTAGTTGTCTCCTATCTCTTTCAGTTCTAGAGATATCATGATCAGCTACACAACACTAATCTCTGTGGGTCGAACTATTCTGATTGCCGTTTTGGCTCTGTTGCTCTTTCTACTAACCATGCTCACCATCATCTCCATAGTATCCAGAGATTCTAGTTTGATGGCAGCACTTCCTACTACCCTCTGAGCTACAGAGAATAGCACAACGAAACACTTTGGAAGATGCTGGGGCTTCTTTCATAAATGTAGTTCTCACAGGCTTGGTAAAGGGAGTATAGTCTGGAACTTCCCAGGGGGCATAGTGAGAGGGCAAGTGAAGTTCTTAGGTAATAAATACGCTTGAGCATTCCAATCTCCCTAAGACTTTGGGCACCTTCTAAACTCAATGACCCAAAGTCATACCATAAGAATCTAAATGAAGATGAGCAAAAAACCAAGGTA
The DNA here is from genome assembly GCF_000001405.40 of Homo sapiens. Classification (NCBI taxonomy): domain Eukaryota; kingdom Metazoa; phylum Chordata; class Mammalia; order Primates; family Hominidae; genus Homo; species Homo sapiens. The sequence goes on from NC_000015.10 coordinate 53,367,888, forward strand.
AGTAAAAGTAAGGAAATAAAAAATAATAAATATTTAAATGTAATAATAAATAATAAAATAACAAATATTTGAATAAATAATAAATAAAATTGGGAAGAAACAATTGAGAAATTTAACAAATGAGTAATATTTAACTGTAAAAATGAATGTAGACTATCATTACAGATGCTCATTATCTTATAATAGTTATATCCAGATAAACCTAATGTAAATCAACTTATGGTAGCTTATCTAGATGTAAGTGTAATGAATGTGTATTGCTTTTGCAACATCGTAAAGTTAAACTAGCATCAGTTGAACCATCTAAGTTGGAACTGGCTGTATATACTACTATGGAACAATCTTTAGGATATAGTTATATGTAAAAGAAATCGAGGTAAAAATGTGTGTATACTATGCGACTATTTAAGGAAGAAGGGCTTACAAAAATACACATGCACTTTATTAAATTTATTTAAAAAACAATGGAAGGGCAAGCCATTAAACACGGGGAAAGAACAGAATAAGCTAGAATTGACAGGAATAGGGGGATTTTTCTTGAGGAATTTTACTTTAGAATCTGCTAAACTGTTTACATAAATATTAAAACATAACTAAGTTATAAGAAAAGTCTTTTAAAAGACCTTAAACTGGTTTCCATAATCATTTCTATTGATAGTTTCAGCTTTTTTAATTATCTGTTTTATATGGTATATATATTTGCTAAAACAAATGAGTAATTATCTGAGTGTCACTGAGAACTGTGGCTTTTGACATGGGATAAAGGAGATACATATGTAAGATCAGTGAGGTTAAGTAAAAGTACTGTATTCCTGAATTTGAATTAGAAGTATCAGTACGGATTTGTGATGATTCCAGCTTTATTAAAATATACGTATTTCTTAATGACTTCCACTAATGATAGATTCTCTTTCCAGGAACCAATCTTCTTATCAATAACAACTAGAAAAGTTAGACAAAATATCGAGAACATCCATTCAAAGAGAACACATCAGACAGCTTTCAAAGGTGCCAGGACTGAAGAAGAAAAAATTTCAGAGTAGGAAAGCCCACAAAGTGAGATATTCTACAGTATTGTGCCTTTTGAGGAATTTGCTGATTTTTAAGGGATTTGGGAGCGAGAGAAAAGCAGAGCAAAAAGTGATAGTTCGGTGGTTAGGAAGCTGAGATACAGTTTTTTCAGTATTGTGGTGCTGGGGAAACACAAATTGGAGGTGAGGGTGGGATAAGTAGGAAGAGTGCTGTTATTAATTCTAGACTTTCAGTTAAGAATCCTTAAAAAGCTATATTTTAGTATATTTTAGTAATAGACTGGCACACAGAAAAGAGCACGACCAAACTTCAAACAAGCTCTGTCAGTCCCACTCATGGAATAAGGCAATCTGTTCCTATTTACCAGCACTTTAAAAGTAAAAAGCTTCTCTGGGAAAAGATAACAGCAACCAGAGCTTTGTTATCACTATAATTTTGTATATGTCTGGTATTCAATAAAAAAATTAACAGGCATAGAAGAATACAGGATCAAATGACCAAAAAACGAAGAGAAAACAGAAGTAGATCAATAGGCAATAGAGATATCAGATAATTCAGACACCGACATTAAAGTAACTGTGATTCATAACTCAAGAAAAGAAATGACAAGATAGAGGAATTCTTCAAAGAGTTTGAACCTATTAAAAATGACAATTCTAGAATTAAAATATAATATATATAATTGTAGTAATATAATTGAAATTATGGACTGAATAGGTGGGTTTAACAGGAGATTAGACACAGAAGAAGACAGATTTGTAAAATCAGAAGGTAAATCAATATAAAATATCCATACTTAAGGACAAAGAGGAAAAAAATTTTAGTACAGAGAAACTAACAAGAGTATTAAAAAATGCCACAGTATCTATGTCTAACAAATGTATAATTGGAGCCTTAGAATGAGAGAAAAAAACGGTGCAGAAGCAATATTGGTAGACATACTAGCTATAAATTTTCAAAAAACTGAAAAACATCAATTCTCAGATTTAAGAAGCTCTACAGACTCCAAGCTGTTTAACAAGAAAAGCATACCAAAATAGACTTAATAGTTAAATTGCTAAAAAGCAATGAAAAGAAAAAAATAATTAAAGCTGACAGAGAAAAAGAAAATGACATTACTTTCAAAGGAGCAACAATAAAACTGATACTTGACTTTTCAAAATAAATCATGGAAGCAAGAAAAAAGTTTATAGTTCTGAAGGTAACTGCCAACCTAAAATTATATAGCCGATGAAAATATCCTTCAAACATAAATGTGAATAAAGATGTTTTTGCAAAACAAAAAATTGAGAGCATTTATCATTTTGAAAAAACACGCTTAAACTTTGTAAAAGTTTATTGCATAAAATTATATATCAATAACTCTAATTAAAAAGAAAAAGAAACTATTAAAGGGAATTCTTTTGGTAGAAGAAAAATGGTCCCAGAGGAAAACATGAATATATGGGAAAAACTGAAGAACACTAAAAAGGATAAACCTGTGGGTAAATCTAAATGAATACTGATTGTACAAAATAGTAATTTTAATATCTTATATGGATATTTAATATCTTATGTGGATATATATATATCTTCTATGGTAACCACTATGAGCAGATTATAAAAACATAGAATAAGCTAACATTTTAAAATAAAATACTATTATATATTCTAACAGTTGGGAAATCTTTCATTATATTTATTCTTAGGTACCCTTTTTGTTGCTATTATAAATTATATATATATATTGTTGCTAGTATATGAACATATAATTGTTTCATGTAGTAATTTATGTCTACCCAACTAGTTAAACTCTCTTCTTCATAATAACAATTTTTGTGGAATTTTTGGAGCTTCTATATTGGCAATTATATTATCTGTGCATAATGAGAGTTTTTTCTCTCTTGTTTTTATTTCCTATTTATTTCTCTTGTTTTACCATGTTTGCTAGGATCTTGAAGACAATGGTGAATGGAAGCAGGGTCTCTGGACATATGTCTTATTTCTGATATTCAAGAGAATTCTTAGGATAATATTTGTAGTTTTCTGTTAGTGAGGTTAACAGAGTTCCTTTGTATTTCTAATTTACTAAAAATAATTTTATCATGAATCTTATAAAATGTTTATGCATCTACTCAAATCATTTATTCTTACTTATCTATTAATATAGTGAATTACACTAATCGATTTTTCTAAAGTTAAACCAATCTTGAATTACTGAAACAAACTCAACTTGGTAATGATCTATTATATTTTTAATATATTGCTAAATTCCATTTCCCAATATTTTGTTTCTGATTCTTGCATCTATGTTTTATAAATGAAATTGGCCTGTAACCATTCTCTCTTGTAATGTCCTTGACAAGTTTTGACATTAAGACTATATCATTTTTACAAAAGAAGATGAGGGGTTAGTTTTCACTCTATTTTCTAATTTCTGGAGGAATTTGCATATAGCTGCAAGAATCTGTTTATTAAAAGTTTTTAAAGCTTATTTGTAATATGTTTTGGGCCTAGAGTTTGTTTAATGGGAATGTCAATATTAATTTTTTAAATTTCTTTTTCAGTACATTTCGTTAAGTATATTTTTCTAGAAGTGTTTTTTTGTGTTTTCAAATTGTACACATTTTAAATTTGTTGAAGTGAAGCTGTTTATTTTATTCTGGAATTCCTATTGAAGTTTTATCTTTGAAATCTTATTTTCTTGTGAAGATGAGATTCCTTGTTGGCTCACTTTGCCCACACAGATTTTTGTTTAGCCATCATCATGAATCTGCAGCACCTTCAAGTGTATTAGCTTTATATGGAATTTTAAGGTTTAGCTCCTACTTTGCACAAGTCTAAGTCTTTCATTTCATATACTATCATTTATTCCCAACTTCTAGGATTTGGTCAATGGCATTTCCCGTGAGGGTAATCCCTATGTCTCTGTTCTTAATGCTCTAGTTTGAACTGTCTTTTAGAAATTTCTCTTGCTTTGTAGTGAGCACCACGATGCATAAGTAAATGTGTTGTGGTTCATACGTCATCTGCGTTTATACATTTGCAGAGGAAAGGCTTTTCAAAATTTTCAGTCTAACATATTTCTAGAAGTTGAAGCCTGATCTGTTTTATATCAACCTTAGGTAAATCACATCACCTCTCTGAGCCTTACTTTCCTAATTTTTAAAATGGTATACCCATATCTATAACTTACTGATATGGTTCGGCTTTGTGTCCCCACCCAAATCTCATCTTGAATTGTAATCCCCACGTGTCAAGGGAGGGGCCTGGTGGGAGGTGATTGGATCTGGGTGTGGTTTCCCCCATGCTGTTCTCATGACAGTAAATGAGTTCTCATGAGATATGATGGTTTAAACGTGTTTGGCAGTTCCCCCCGACCCCATCTCTCTTTCTTTCTTGCTTCCATGTAAGATGTGCCTTGCCTCCCTGTTGCCTTCTGCCATGATCGTAAGTTTCCTGAGACCTCCCTGGCCATGTGAAACTGTGAGTCAATTAAACGTCTTTTCTTTGTAAATTATCCGGTCGCAGGTAGTTTTGTATAGCAGTGTGAAAATGGACTAATACACTTATTTACCTCTTGAACTGGATGAAAGGATCAAATGAATGTCACATAGTGAGCATTGAATAAAGGCTAGTCCTATAGGGTTACCTATAATAAAAAAACTATATGTAGTTTTCCCACATGGTTATATGCAATCTCTTCCATGGTGCCTTATTTCTAAGTTCTTAGGCTTTGGGTTCATATTTTCTCAGACTTTAGGTGAGAAATCTGGATTGATTTCTATAGGAGATCATGTTTCTTTTTAGTACACCCTGCAAAATGCAGGCATTCTGCTTCTCTAGCCTGAAAGTCTCTGTCCATGCATGTTGTCTGCTGAGTTCTCTCAAACATAGCCAGCAGTCTTTCACATAGCATTACGATTGAAAAGAGCATTTTAAAATCTTTTAGGCTAAAGGACTTTCTGCTTGAGTCTATGCTGAAGATGCACTATCCACCGTGGGGCAGCATCATGACAATTCTTACTTAATCTTTAACATGCCTGTGAGATACACAGGGAAGTATTATTACTCCTACATTACAGATGTGAAAGTTGAGGTGCAGAAAAGTTAAATTGTGTATCTTGGGCCATTAGATTTGAAGAGCTTCATATTATTCTGACCCTTATTTTGTGGTTGAGACAGTATCTCCAGTCAAGTCAGGGCATTCCCTTTTCCCCTTCGGTTTCCAGCCCTATACTTTGGCCCTGCAACTATGATGGATTTGTAAAAAATTGGATGACTGCTAAGGAGAGGGATTTGGAGAGTAGATGAGATGTATGCAAATCTCTAAGTGCACAAATGATGATTGATAGAAGTTCTAATATGTGAATTAGCTGTAAATGTATTTTTGTGATTCAATTTGGGTTGGACGCTCTAACCTTAGAGGGTCTAAGTAATGAGGCATTAAATTCACTGCTATTTCTTCAAACCACCACGAAACATAACTACATGTCAAAAAAATAATCAGATAATGATAGCTGTTTTATGGGTGGTATTTTTAATATCATTATTGCCATTGCAAACCCAAGCAAAATGAATATGATCATTTCAGCAAAATCCCTGGTGAGTAATAGTGTCCATTCAGAGGCAAAGCTCACATCTTAGAATGTCTGTCTGTCCATGGCTGTTTTAAAAGGGGCTTATGGCTGTGTAAGTTATGTTTCGCAGATTGAGGAGGGCTTTTCTGAGTTAAAATGTCTGATTTGGCCATTCAGGGTTAACTGGTAAATGAAAATGAAGCTGAAAAACTTGGTTTGAGGATCCAAAGTGTTCCTCTACCTTTTTCTCTAAGAGAGTTGTGAGCTCTGCCTATTCTGAGAGTCAACTTAAACTTATTTTATTATCTGTCTTGTTTGGCGTCATTTCTGGGTGCTCTCACTCTCTCTCTAGCCATATATAAACTTGTGACCTGATTTCACACTATCTTCCTAGTTCTGACCTTGAACTCCAATAGAATCTTGGTCCCAGTAAGACCTCCCTGAAACCTCCCATGAAAACCCTAGACAACAGGCTGCACAAACAGGACCCCAGCTCATCAACTTTGCTTTGGACAGGTGCACATAAGCTCCAGCCTCCATCTGTTAGGGTAAGAGGAGCAGACTAGAAGGGTCCTTTTCTTCTCCCTGGCTTAGTATTTAACCAGTGCTTACTTTCTTCCTTCCCTCGTGCACGCCTGCTGCTCTCAGAACTGCCCTTATCTCTCTGGTACACATGACTGATAATTGTACATGGTGGCTCTTAACCTTTTTAACCACCAAGGACCCTATTTATTACTTACTCTCCATAAATGTAATGTTTTGAGATTTTTCTCTACCAAGCTTTATTATTAATCCATTTTTAGATTTCTTCATTCATCAAATACATACATAAATGCCAATCAGGTTTTATCAGTACAAGATAACCGCACTTACCACACTGACTTGATGTCATCATTCCAGCCAAAAGCAAAGAAACTGAAATTATAGTCTGCTTTTGTAGCCTTATCAATATTTTCCTTTCAGCTTTTTTATACTGGAATCTTTCCTCATAAGTTGCGCCTACTGACTATTGTTTCTCCTCTCAGAGGGAGTTCATGTGAACAGAAGAAAAATCTTCAAGAAAGAGAGAGAAAACTCAAAAGGGGAAAGATAGCAGTTGCTAGGGAAAGATCTCTTGGAACATTGGGAACTTCTTGGGCATCGAAAAGAATTTCTATAAAGCTATAAACTTAGATCTTCAATTAGCCTGTGAGCTAACAAAAAGCACCTAAGAAAAATCAAATAGGACAAATTTCATGATCACTGGACATTGTAAATGTTGCTAATCACATGTCTGACATGGTCAGAGTTAATAGTGAGATGACAACCAGGTCAACAAGACAGTGATTAAAGAGGAGGATGGTAGTGAATAGGGATTCTATTTTAATTGACAGGGGGCTGGGAGAGTAATGCATCAGGTGATTCTGTTATGCAACTAGGGTTGAATATCACTGCATATAATTGGTCTTTAGGCCACTGGTTCTCAAAGCATCAGAATTACCTGGAGGGCTTGTTAAACTGTAAATTATTGGGCCCTTGTTCCAGAGTTTCTGACTCAGCAGGAGTGGGATAGGAGCTAACCTTGCCCTTCCAACAGGCTCTCTGGTGGTGTTAGTGCTGCTGGTCTAGGGGCTACGTGTTGAGGCCTAAGGTAGTTATTTACATGTCGGTTTCCCACTAGACTGCAAGCGCCATGAAAGACAACTGGTCTTCTTCAATTAGTAGCGCAATGCCTGGCACATACTGAACACTTAAAAGATGTCATTGTATTACAGTATATTCAATTTCTGGTACAACTCAGTACTATATGAGTTTGGGGATCACAAATAGAAGTTCCAGAGCTCAATCCTTCCCATGATGGCCTCCACCTGAACTCTCTGGACATGCAAGGCTATTATAAGACCAGATCTTGGCTGGGCATGGTGGCTCACACCTGCAATCCCAGCACTTTGGGAGGCCAAGGTGGGTGGATCACCTGAGGTCGGGAGTTCAAGACCAGCCTGATCAACATGGAGAAACCCTGTCTCTACTAAAAATACAAAAAAGTTAGCTGGGCATGGTGGCTCATGCCTGTAATCCCAGCTACTCAGGAGGCTGAGGCAGGAGAATCACTTGAACCCAGGAGGCGGAGGTTGCGGTGAGCCAAGATTGTGCCATTGCCCTCCAGCCTGGGCAACAAGACTGAAACTGCATCTCAAACAAACAAACAAACAAACAAACAAAAAACAGATCTTGAGTTGTCATCATCCCCATCAAGGTTTTCAGGCTGAATTTCATTGTTCAAGAGACTCAGCCTGAAAACCGAACAGCTCAACTGTTTTCATCAACTGCGCTGTACTCTCCGTTTTAAAGACATCAGATATATATCTATCAGCACTATTTTTTTTTTTTTGCTAATCACTTATTGCAGGCAAATTATTTATATCTTGGATTTTTGTTATTTAGTTGGACAATGAGGTTTTGGACAGGTGGATGGAAAAAATTTGTCCTGATTTTAAAAATAAATTACACAGCCTAACAGATATCATAAATATTCCTGCTTTCTTCTCTACTAGGTTCAATAAACATGTTTTTAGGAGTTAACCAGAACCTTCCTCATTTAGCAAAGCATTACCGACCATGCAGTATCTGTGTTCAATCCATGAAGCATTAAGTCAGGGAATACATGGATAAGCAAGAGCCAGCCCTGGTCACCCAGAGCCCACAGGTCGCCTAAGCTTGGTAGGGGCTGAAAGTGGTTTTCAATCACCTGTGCTGTTTAGAGCAGTGTGAGGGGAGGCCAGGGAAAAGGTGGGGCAACAGGTGGGGACAGAAGAGGTCCCACCATAGAAAGTAGACAGTTTTACTCCTCACGGAGTGAATGCTTGTAAGGATGCTTTTAATAAAGAAAAATGAAAAGGGGGCTTCTTAGGATCCAAATGATGAGAAAGTCCCATTTAAGAAACACAAGGAACCAATATATTTCCTTCATAAAATTTAGCTGTTGTTTCGTGAGGCTGAAAAGTGAGACTCTGGGATCCTCGGGATTTTTGTTGGTTGGTCTGTGCCTGTATCCCCCAACCCTAAATACCACACAAACCACCCAACTTCCCTCCACATATATGCATCACACACCCATCGAGTTCCCTCCTGGAATTTTTTCGAGTGGATCCTTTGTTTGCTCTGCTGTGCACCCCAGTGTCAGTGTCACTTACTTACCTGCAGATATTAAGGAAAAGGAAGTAATTACAGTCTGGAAAAAGCACATTTATAGGCACTTTACATGTACATTCAAACCCTTCCCCCAGCAAGTCTTGCCTTTGGCTGCCTCTAGATAGGGAAGCCAGTTTAAAGCCATTGTGTGCGTGTGTGTGTGTTCAATTGTAGCTTCAGAATATACTTACACATTTAGAATCCTGTCTTAGCTTTGCCTTCTGTTAAAACAAACAACAATTGTGATACTCTGATCTTTAAATGTGGGATATTACTTTTGAAAAAAGATTTATCAAGCCTCGCAAATAAAACTCCTTGGGTTTTTATGGCTTGCAAATGATACATTCTCTTGTAAAACAAGTTTGTTTTTGTTTTTTTTTTTCTAAAAAAAAAAAAACCCTCATTGATTTTTAGATGGGCTTGTGGTTAGGGTACACACATTGATTTCTATTCAGGAATACCTCTGGAGCTCTCTTTAGATGGGCCAGTGTGCTTGTCTTACTAATAGAGCTATGGTGAGATAATTTACATCTAAACAGGATATTTTTACTTTATTATCGAGCATGTTTTAGATTATATTTTTCTGAATCATTCTTAATCTTAAATGAAAGGAAGATGTGCATTTCTGCTCTTTTCTTGATTTCCAAGCTGAATATTTTGCACGTCTTTTTCTTATCAGAAATTATATTCTATAAAAAGCACATCTTTTCCTTTCTTCACTGTGTCTGTGGAAATTTCCTATTTTTCTGCACATCTGTGTTATCTTTGTAGGTGCCTGATGAGGGGTTGACTTTCATCCTAAAAAGCATTTCATTTTAAAATAGTTATTTATTTACCCTCTGAACAGAAACATGGAAGAGCGATTCACGTAGCTTAAATGTTAATTCAACGCGAGAACAAGATGTGAGGAGAGACAAAAACACAAGATGAACAAAGACATTATCTCACGAATTTTGTTTGGAGCAGTGCAGTGTAGAAGGATAATTGTATCCCTGTCCAAGGGTCGTTGTGAGCATTAAATTAATTAATATACATAAAGCAATTCTAAGAGTGCTGGACCCTGTAAGTGCTCAATCATTGTTAGCTGGCGTTACTCTTATCTGAAAAAATAAAAGATAGAACTTAAAATAGCACTGACACCCACTATTTTGTGGGAGGAATCTGGTGAAGGATTATAAATACCTGATTTCAAGTTGATTTTAAATGCTCCACTCCCTTGCTTTTTAACCCTCCATTATTCTAGATAGAAGTCAATATATTTTTCCTGCTCAGTTGCTGTCCACATGGGAAACAAAACAGCCTCTCCCCCTCCCCACTGCCCACCCTATTAAGGAGATGGTGGCCTCTAAGGCAGACACAAAACAAATAATGATAATAAAAAAATCCTTTCTTGAGGCCATCCTTTCACAAGTCCGGGTTTGTTGTTGACTGGTCAGTAGTTCATCAGTCAGAGGGTCCTAGGTTTGGGGCTACATAAGCAACCCTCTCTCCAGCAGTATGACTCTCTGTTAATTGGAATGAGAAGTTAATCTCTCTCATACTGAACCCAGCTGAGTCTCTGAGAGCAATGATGTATTTAAAAGATCTCTGGCAGTCCAGGGCATGTGGCACTAACCGGATTTAGCTCATTAGCAAATCCGCAAGGCCCTGCTGACACTGCACCCAGAATAAAATACATGAGGCCAGCCCATACCCTGTGGGCACCTACAGCATGACTACATAATAAAAAAGCATTTATTAATAATCTCATTGGTCACACAATACAAAGGAAGGCTACAAGAAGTCAAATGCTGTCATTTGTTGTGACTAGAAAGGCATAATTAAAATAAGTGCCATGTGATTAACCTCTGAAAAATTAATCTGGTATAAAAAAAAGGCACAAAAACAAGGAACATAGGCTCTTAAAGTGAATTTAATACAATAGGCAGCTGTTGTATGCACTTGGATCAAATTCCATGTGCTTGTGAAACGTTAACATCACTGACAGCAAAGAGCAATTAGCGAAGTTAGGAGGCAGGTTGTCTATTATTAAAGATAACAGCAGGGCACAGAGAGGCAGCATTCATAGTGGGAAGAAGCATAGGGTTTTGGTGTCATCCATCTTGGGTTTGAGTTCAGATTCCTCTGCCTATTGCCTATATGTCCTTGGGCAATTTTCTTAACCTTCTAGTAATTCAGTTTCTGGACCTATAAAATGGGGATATTACTGCATCTCATGCTATTCTTATAATAATTAAATAATACCATATATGTAAAGCTTTCAGCGCAGAGTTAGGCATGTTGTAAGCACTCAAAAAATCTTAGGGATAATAAAAGTAGCTTAAGTCCTTAAAATGAAAAAATAACACTTTTGCTTGGCATGAACAACATGTTACATGCAACCTCAGTACTGCAGTTGATGATGGTTCAATGCCGGTCAATGGTGTTTTCCCTAGGGTCTTTCTGGCAGTGAGCTTATCTTCTGATTTAATGTCAAGGGTGGCACATTGGTAATCCTGAAAGAATGTTACAGGCTATGGCTGAACAAGTTTTATGAAGGTTAGAGATGAACATTTATACATTCTCCACCTGGTCTAGCCCCAGAATGCTCAATTCAAATGCCTACAGGGACCAGGTAACTGAACTGAGAGGGAGCCAGGGGGCTTCAGAGAATAGGAGGGCACTCACCCCCCAACCCCCGCCATTGGAGGCAGCTGCCATTGACAGGAAACCATAGTTGAGGTTTGCCCTGTGGAAATACAAGTCCAATATTGCCAGGTATTGTGATTTTTACAAGGGATGCCAGAAATACTGATTTTCATGGGAAATGTCCTACTTTTAAGACCACTCCTGTGGCCACATTTAGCCCTTCCTTCACCCAAGATGGGGATTAGGGTGAGGTAAATGAGCTGCCCATCTCAGGTGTAAATTTAAGGGAGCACCCAAACATTTAGCAATCAAAATAAATAATATCTTAATGCAATATGGTAAAATCAAAATTAAAGCAAAAACTTCATTTTGAAAAAAAATCAAAATCTTAAAATGAAGATGGAATCAGTATTAGCATTACTTTCTTTTGTCTCAGGCTCCAGTATGGCTCTACCCAGCGCTGCATTCAGTCTCCAGTTTGCAACCTCTGATCTGGAACATACAGGAGCCACTCTACTGTCACAATGAACCAGCTTTGCATTGGATCAATTCAAGGCACAATCAGGATATGGCCTAAAATAAAATAGTTGGGTAAATTGTCAATTATTGTTAAGGATATACTAAACTCTATCTTTGTAGAATACAACTTTATTAACATCAACTAAGAAGGAATTAATTAAAAGTCAGACTTAATCTATTTGTAAATAAACATGGGTGTTGCTTTCCAATACACAGCTATCTAGAAAACATAAGATTAACAAAATGATTTGTGCTGGATGATGATTTTTTGTGAACAGAAAGGGAGAAGTTTATAAATTGGCAGTAGTGCAAGGGTTCTTTAGTTGGAAAACCTCTGGAAATCATGCAACATTATGAGTGTGTTCTGTTTCTCACCTTTTATTAGATTCTTGTAAGGGTCCGGGACCTGCGGAAGATCAGAAATTTTTGCAATGCAGCATCCAGAGGAGAAAATGGGCTTTGGAGCCAGACATACCTGGGTCTGAATCCTTGATGAAGGACCTTGGATAAGTCAATTAATCTCTTCCTTAGTTTTCTTATCTATAAAATTGGACTACCTTACAGGCTTTTTGTAGAGACCAAAGTTGATGATACATTACGTTATCTCTTATTCTTTCTTTGGAACAGACACTTGGTATATGGCAGTTATTATTATTATGCAGCATATTCATTGCAAACCATCCCCTGCCAACATTTAAAAAAATACATGGTTATATTTAAATAACTTAAATATGTCATTTATTTATGCTATTAATTTGCTTAGTTCATCTTTTCTTTTTTTTTCCTTTTATTATTATACTTTAAGTTTTAGGGTACATGTGCACATTGTGCAGGTTAGTTACATATGTATACATGTGCCATGCTGGTGCGCTGCACCCACTAACTCGTCATCTAGCATTCGGTATATCTCCCAGTGCTATCCCTCCCCCATCCCCCTACCCCACAACAGTCCCCAGAGTGTGATGTTCCCCTTCCTGTGTCCATGTGATCTCATTGTTCAATTCCCACCTATGAGTGAGAATATGGGGTGTTTGGTTTTTTGTTCTTGCGCTAGTTTACTGAGAATGATGATTTCCAATTTCATCCATGTCCCTACAAAGGACATGAACTCATCATTTTTTATGGCTGCATAGTATTCCATGGTGTATATGTGCCACATTTTCTTAATCCAGTCTATCATTGATGGACATTTGGGTTGGTTCCAAGTCTTTGCTATTGTGAATAGTGCCGCAATAAACATACGTGTGCATGGGTCTTTATAGCAGCATGATTTATAGTCCTTTGGGTATATACCCAGTAATGGGATGGCTGGGTCAAATGGTATTTCTAGTTCTAGATCCCTGAGGAATCGCCACACTGACTTCCACAATGGTTGAACTAGTTTACAGTCCCACCAACAGTGTAAAAGTGTTCCTATTTCTCCACATCCTCTCCAGCACCTGTTGTTTCGTGACTTTTTAATGATTGCCATTCTAGCTGGTGTGAGATGGTGTCTCATTGTGGTTTTGATTTGCATTTCTCTGATGGCATTTTTTCATGTGTTTTTTGGCTGCATAAATGTCTTCTTTTGAGAAGTGTCTGTTCATGTCCTTTGCCCACTTTTTGATGGGGTTGTTTGTTTTTTTCTTGTAAATTTGTTTGAGTTCATTGTAGATTCTGGATATTAGCCCTTTGTCAGATGAGTAGGTTGCGAAAATTTTCTCCCATTTTGTAGGTTGCCTGTTCACTCTGATGGTAGTTTCTTTTGCTGTGTAGAAGCTCTTTAGTTTAATTAGATCCCATTTGTCAATTTTGTCTTTTGTTGCCATTGCTTTTGGTGTTTTAGACATGAAGTCCTTGCCCATGCCTATGTCCTGAATGGTATTGCCTAGGTTTTCTTCTAGGGTTTTTATGGTTTTAGGTCTAACGTTTAAGTCTTTAATCCATCTTGAATTGATTTTTGTATAAGGTGTAAGGAAGGGATCCAGTTTCGGCTTTCTACATATGGCTAGCCAGTTTTCCCAGCACCATTTATTAAATAGGGAATCCTTTCCCCATTGCTTGTTTTTCTCAGGTTTGTCAAGGATCAGATAGTTGTAGATATGCGGCATTACTTCTGAGGGCTCTGTTCTGTTCCATTGATCTATATCTCTGTTTCGGTACCAGTACCATGCTGTTTTGGTTACTGTAGCCTTGTAGTATAGTTTGAAGTCAGGTAGGGTGATGCCTCCAGCTTTGTTCTTTTGGCTTAGGATTGACTTGGCGATGTGGGCTCTTTTTTGGTTCCATATGAACTTTAAAGTAGTTTTTTCCAATTCTGTGAAGAAAGGCATTGGTAGCTTTGATGGGGATGGCATTGAATCTGTAAATTACCTTGGACAGTATGGCCATTTTCACGATATTGATTCTTCCTACCCATGAACATGGAATGTTCTTCCATTTGTTTGTATCCTCTTTTATTTCCTTGAGCAGTGGTTTGTAGTTAAAAACAATACAAAACTTCTGTTTGGGTACAATTACCACAAGTCCTGGATTTAATGGGGCCCAAATTAGAAAAATTTAACTATATAACAAGGTTTCCTTTTAAAATTTCTTTTTAAACTAAAAAGAAAAAAAACATAGCATTAAAGCAAAAAAAAAAAAAAAAACTGCATAAATAAATGACTGCAGCCTTATTGCACATCTGGGAGGAGAATGACAATGACCAGTCAACAGTACAACTCAATACATGACCAGGGTGCTGTGAGATATGGCCCAGCAGAATTAGCAGTAGAGTTCAACTGTAGCAGCCAGGTTTTCCAGTGCAATCGTGTTCCCGATGTCCCTGTATATTGTGGATGTTTCTAAGGTGGGCAAAAGCATCGTAACTCAGTAGCTCTGGGTTCAAATCTTATTCCCACTACAAATCTGTAGAGTGACTCAGGGCAAGTTCAATTAACTTGTCTGAGCCTTGGTTTCACCCACTGTAAATTATTTCCCAGGGGGCTTTCTACTGGAGCCCTGTCATGTGCATTTAAGAAAAATGTGAAACTTGCATAGGTCTGCTATCCTCTGCAATACATCTTTATTTTATGTTCCTTTTCCTCCCAACTATTCTTCTAAGAAGCAGCTTGAATTTCTCTTTTAATCAGGAAGCCATTTTTTATCATCAATGAAAGTGTAAAAACTCTATCAGTTAGAACTGTATATTTATGGCAGGTTCATATGATTGGAACTTAACTCTATTTCATTAATACAGAGAAATGTCCCCTTTTTCACTAATGAAATGCATCCATAATAGAGCTGTATTTTCAAAGGTATATTATCAGAAATAGCCATATGCAAAATGCCCTTCAGAGTGCATGCAAGTTCCTCACTAGCAGGCTCTCTGTTCTCTCTTGTATGCATCCTTGACATAAGTGAAAATTCCTATTTACTGGAGAAGACAATGTTTCAATATAGAGAAGAACAATTTCCAATACTTCTCCATCTGAAAAAAAATTTCCTGTATTAGTTTCTCACCTTGGTCCGTCCTAAGGGTGTCATAAAATATTTAATTAAAACACTCAATGCATATGTTAGTCTGTTCTTGCATTGTTATGGAGAAATATCTGAGATGAGTTAATTTATAAAGAAAAGACAATTAACTGGCTCATGGTTCTCCAGACTGTGCAGGAAGCATGGTGCCAGAATCTGCTTCTGGTGAGGCCTCAGGAAACATACAATCATGGCAGAAGGCAAAGAGGAGCCAGCATCTCACATGGTGAAAGCAGAAGCAAGAGAGAGAGGAGGGGGAAGCCCTAAACAACCAGATGTGACGTGAATTAACTTAGGAAGGAAGGACTCGCTCATCACCAAGAGGATGGTGCTAAAGCATTCAAGAGGGATCTGCTCTCATGATCTAATCATCTCCTGCCAGGTGCCACCTACAACATTGGGAATCACAACTCCACATGAGATTTGGAGAGGAAAAACATACAAACCACATCAATGCCACAAATGACAATCTTGTTACACCTTGGAGAAGAGCAAAGGATCTGTAAAAGCACTGGAAGCCAGTTAATTTTGAGGCTTCCTGGCCCCCACTGGCAGTGTTCTTTGCCATAAGCAAAACGGCAAAGAACTCTGCCATGTTACCAGGCCTGTGATTTGGAGGCATGCAAGGAAATGGTTTTTCAAATATCACACTGTCTGCTGAAGGAGACCCTTCCCTTCTTCCTCTTGGCCACATCTGCAAGAAGATTTTGCAGAGACAAACTGTAGAGTGTTAAAAAGAAACCACTGAGCAGATCATGTCCCTGGGGCTGCTGTCTTAGCTTTACAACATAGAGCCAGCCGGTTTAGCAAGGCAGCGCCAAACCATGAGCACTGAGGCAGAAGACTCCATGGGAGAAGTTGGTTTCTTCATCTTTCCTTCTCTTCTTTCTCTACCTCTCTCTGTCCCTTCTTTCCTCTCTTCAACCTCCCTCTCCCCTTACTCCCTTACTTCGTTACCTTCTTTTTTCACCCATCTCTTATTTTATTCAAAAAACATTTATTTAGGATTCAATATTGCCAAGTATACCATTAGGCTCTGGGAATACAGAAGTGAAAGCCTGCAGGGAGCCTCCAGTTTAGTGACAACAGGTCTTCATGTACTAAACAGCCACAGCAATGGGATTCTCTATAAGGGGCACTTTGCTGGCTCCGAGGTGGAGGTAATCACATCTGCTTACACGGCTCAGGGAAGGAGGTGACTTTGAAGTGGCTTATGAAGGAGCATTTATGGGCTTCCCAGGCTGATGTGGAGGAGAGGATATTAAAGATAGAGGAGGTGATAGGACCACGGCATGGCAGCCTGGCAGCCTAGCAGCCTGCAGGTGGCACTGTGCAGTTGGGCCACTCTAAGAGGGTGGTAGAGGGGGAACCTGAGCATGGAAACAGGAGAGGTTAAAGCTGGACAGGTAAGCCAGAGGGAATGCTGGGGCCACATCAGGGAAGAGTACCCAAACAGGTGGGACAGATGGTTAGAGGCCTCACTATGGGTCATACTGTTCTTGGTGCTCAGGATACTGTCCATACTCTCATGAAGCTCATATTATTTGGTGAAAAGATAGACAATAAAGAAGTAAACAAATATTCTAATCTGTCAGATCCTGATACATGGTATTAAGGAAACAAAACAAAGAAATAACACTGAATAAAATAGAGGGCATTGGTGACACTCTCCTTCAGATGGAACAGGCAGGGAAGACTTCTCTAAGGAAGTGACATGCAAAAGAATATATGCTTTTCAGATTAAGTGCTTTTGAAGTGAGACCTAGACATACGTGCTTTTAAAAAGCATCCCGAGATTCTGATGAGCAGGTGGGTGAAGCGGCCTTACCTGAGGCAGTGGGGTAAGAATATTCACTGGAACATTCAGCATGGGGCAGGGTGACCTGGCTGGGTACATGTCCTGGAGAGTTAGTACATAAAGAGGCATGCAGGAAGCTGCATGGGAGGCAACTTGGAGGCCTTAGACTGGAGGCAGAGAGGCCGTTAGAAGACGGTGGTGGAGTACTGGCAGGTGGAATCATATCTGTGAGCTTCTGCCTGCAGAGTTGCAAAAGACTTGGAATGAACTGGCATCAGAGGAACTTACAAATTAGGAAGAAAAGATGTGAAGATAAGGACGACAACCGGCTGTGGCCACAAACTCTAAGCCAACCAGCCACCACCTTGGACAAGTTTCACAGAATTCCCTTACACGGGAGGTAGAATCCATTTTGGCTCTGCATAAAGCTGCAATGGTCTAACACAAGTTCCACAAACATCTTCTGTAAAAGGCCAGATAGAAAATATTTTAGATTTTGCAGGTTACACAGTCTCTGTCACAACTGCTCAACACCACCATTGTAGCTCAAGAGCAACCATAGACAATATATCAGCAAGTCGGCATGACTGTGTTCCAAGAAGACTTTACTTACAAAAATAGGCAGCTGGCTGGTTTGGCTTATGGACGGTAGTTTGTCAACCCTCACTTTAATGTGTCAAGTGGTTCTTTAGATGGTGGCCCTGGGCTCTAATGGAAGGAAGCCAAGGAGTATCTACCTAGGTATGGATACACATTATACAAAATTTGACTTTCTTATTTTTACTAAGCAGCAAGTTTAGACTATTTGTTTCCAGCTCTGTGGGTCCTGGTTTTGTGCTTTGTTGGCTGGCAGAATTGTGGTAGGTTATATTCACACAGGACAATAGAGAAGTAGGAGAGTCCCCCTGTGGAGGTCAGAAGGTCTGCTTTTAAAGTTCATCCCCCTTCCTATGTGCCTTTACCTCTCAGAGCCTCAGTTTCCTCTTTAATAAATAAAAAGTGTTGGACTAGATGAATTTCAAGGCCCTGCCTGGTACTAATATTCCAATTCTCTGTGCTCTGTACATTTGCTAGACGGGTAGTGAAATTTGATGAATAGAGGCCCAAAGAGGAAAAGGGAAGAGGCAGAAGTCAACCAGATGAGACGTAATCTGGGTCTAGATGAGGGGTTTGGCAGTGTGGTTGGAGATGACAGCACACAGATGATAGGGGTTCATCATATGATGTTAAGCACACTGTTAAAATTAAATGAATTAGCAAGAATGTCTACGTAAATGGCAATCAGATAGATGCGGCTACTGTGGGATAAGAAACAGTAGAAGATGATATTGAAATCTCAAGTCTGAAAGACAGAGGCCATTGCTATGTTCAGCTTGGATGAAGGGAGGGGAGTAGATAAATGCAGACCCCCGAGTGGTAGCTTGGAAGTAAATTGTAAAGTCAGGGATGAAGGAGTCTGGCTGGGGATCTTTTAAATATGGCCACATTTACTACCTCAGGTTGGCCTCTACCACTCCCACCCAATTCCATCTTATGTATGGCTTTCAGATAAATAGTCTCCAACACATAGCTTTCACCCTGTGTTAGACAGCCCAGGAAACTGTGCCCCCATCACCTAACTCCTTGCAGCAGCATTCTAGATCGGTGATTATTTGGCCCACCTGAAATTTTAGGTCCTGTGCTTGCCTTAAATCTCTGCAAAGAAGGCTCTTGATGTTGCTGAGTGCTCGTCATTTTGCAATATAAGGCTAGAGATGTCTTCTTGGACACAGGGAGGGCTTCTAACATGCTGTAAGGCTAGCACTTCACCCCTCTTCCCACAGTTCTCCATCTCGTCCCTTGGTCTTAACCTTGGAAGTATTGGAAGCTTTCTTGGTCCTTCTTACCATTCCTCAGATAGAGTCAAACCAAACCAAAGTTAGGTCACATGTCCTGACTTCAGATAACAGAGGTGTCAGGATGGCAAACGCTACTATTTGTGAGACAACTCAGTGTGTTAAGGGAGAAGCAGGCTGGGTATGTGAAATGGGGACCTGATAGCCACAGGTTGGAGGCAGCCAGTGCATTGCCGTGTCTAGGTCTTCAGTGGGAAGCTCTGCCCTTGTTCTCCTAAGCCTGGTAAGTCTGGCTTTTCTAAACAGGCAGTCAGGCTTTTCTAGACAGGCAACCACAGACCCTCAGCAAGGCACCACACCAAACTCACCGCTTGTCCCAGACCATGAGACACATTAACTTCCATGAGTCGAGATGAAAATGTCATAAAATATGTGCTTTGAAAACATTAAATGTGCTAAAATGTATACTAATAAAAACCTCTTTGAGCGCCTATTTAGTTCTTGGCAATGCAAAGAGAATATGAAAGAGTCCAAGCAATATAATAAAAATTTGGTTAAATGCTCTCATTACTTGGCACAAAATGATTTTAATTGAAACGTTTAGCAGCATTAAATGTTAACAACAACAAAAACATATCAGTTTGCATGTTTAGAATTTTCCACAGCATTAGCAGTTTTGTTCTGGGTTTTTTGTTTTGGTTTGTTTTTGCGTTGATGTACGTTGAGGTTTTATTGTGAGGTCTTCATTGGATTGATGCATGCTGAGTTTTTTATTTTTTATTTATTGTACATAACATTTGCTATTTTAATCATTTTAAGTGTGTAGTTCACTGTGCATGAGACAGATATGTTTATCTCTTTTATGTTTTGTTCATTATCTTGCCTACGTTATCCTTGGTAATTTTTATTTATTTTGAATAGGTATTCAAAGATATTCAAATATTCAGATGTTTGAATGTCATAAAGATACCCATCATTAATTAAACTCCTAAAAGTGCACCAGTTACTGTGGTAAGTGTTCGATATGTCTCATCTCATTTATTCCTTACAGCATTCTGGTAAGGAAAACACCATTTACTTATCCCATTTTATAGATGAGGAAACTGAGGGTCAGAGAGGTTTCATTTTGCTGATTCAAAGTCACACTGCTACCAAGAGGAGATACCTGGAGGAAGTTTGTATGCTGAAGAATCTGCGTGTTAAAACAACAATATCCACTGACCCACTGGGCCTGTATGCCACAGACCAGTCCGCTTTGCTGAAGACACAGGCAATGCATATCCTAAATCTGTGCTTGTGCCTCTCAATTTGGCTGCCGTAAAAAAGCCTGAACAAATAGAACAGAGCCTGGCTGGATTTTACAATTTGTATTCTATCTCCCCAAAGATGCTGAGGAACTGTCACAAACTCAATAAACCCAGTGATGAAATAGAACCATCCTTACTTATTCCAAAAATGGAAACATGCATTTCCTGTTTGTATAGAAAGAGAGGTATGAGCATTCATTCATTATTGTGTGGCATTGCAGCTAGAACCCAGGCCATGTAATGATACTGACCAAATGAAAATCCTGGCTCACATTCTTCTAGCTACTATTTAGCCTCTTGGGCCTCAATTTTCTAATCTGTACAATGGAGGTAAGGGTAGTATATAGCTCTTCAGATGACTGTGATGATTAACTTAACTGCTTGGTACACTGCTGAATTCGAAATAGTGACTAGTCATGTATTCAGCAAATATTTATTGAGTTTGTCCTGTATACCAGGCATAGGGCTGACTTGGCATAGATGATTAAAGTACAGTCTTAGTCCTTTGTACTTTCAAAAGGGTAGACATAGATGAACAACAAATTCTATTAAGGAGGCTATTTTAATGGTGTCTACGAAGTGTCATGGAAGAACAAAGGAGAGGAGAGGGAGTAGGTGGGGACAGGGGGCAGAGAAGGCTTCAAAGGAGGTGGTGTCTTGCTCTTGGCTAATGGCTACTGCATTTCTATGCTAGGAAAAACAACCGTGCTGAATATTGTGTCCAATGTCTTTTATTCTCCTTAACTAAACTGTACACAAACAGAACTTTCCTCCAGAAAAAGAGAGTAAACAAAGCCTTTTGAAGACCAGGAACTGAGGTTAAACAGAATCCCCCCCGCATTTGGTGGTGTTCCTGTACTGCAGGGAACTCATGGTTCTCTTTGGGGCCTAGAGAGCGGTGGGCTATGAACTTTATCTGACATTCTGAACTAGTTTCCTGTCAATATGCCCATTGAGTGGAAGCCATTGATCAACCAAGTGAAGCTGCTAAAAATGGATTCCAGCCTGGGAAAAATTCCCTGGGGAGGCTGTAGATGTCCCGGCCTGGCCTGGCAAGGATGGGTCCTTTGTGACTCAACTGGGTGAGAGCTGAGGGCTGTTCCACCAGTCAAAACCCCAGCCACAATAACCTGGCTCTCGGGTCTCAGATACCTAGCACCTACTGCAGGCTGAGGAGAGAGTGGAAGGAAGAAGCAGGTCCCCCTAGTGTGGACTGGGCTGAGATCGGGTCATCTGCTGAACTCAGCGGCCACACACACCCTAGCTAATTCCAGCGTCTCCAGAAGTGTGAGCGTAATGAGGGGCTGGTGGTGGTTTTGCCGCGTCTCTGCCCTCCTTTCTTGCTTAGTGGCTCATCACACTTTGATGGAGATGAACAATGAGGGGAGGGGCTAGGGGGCCAGTGGGTTAGACAAAGAAGGAAACTGTGCCTTGGCCAGATCCACGCCAATTATGTCTGAATAAACGCATCCACAGTGCGAGCTAAAGAGCCTTCCTTCCCTCACCCCACTCCGTTTTATTTATTTTTATCTTGGTCTGGAAAGTTGGACATATTTCCTGTACCGTCCTGGTACCCAGATGGCCTGTTTGAGTAAGCAGTGGGGAAGAAGGTCAATAATACATCAGCATGCAGAGTCTCCGCTAAGGTCAGTCCTGCATAAAATATGCCATGACAACCTGAGGGCAAGTTTAAAATGGTGCTCCACAGTGGGAGTGGGGGTGGGAGTTGTGGGGGGATGTACAGATGCTGCCTTTGAGCAATTGCTGCAAAAATGACTTCTGCCCCCCAACATCACCCCCCCGCAAAAGTGTAATGTACTGGGTTTGTATAGTGGGGACGTAGGAAAAGTTTTCTTCAACACAGAAGAGCTCAGGATCCAAAGGAAGAGGTTTTTAAGAGAGTCCATCTTTACATATAAATGCCTGTTGTGTTAGGGACATTTTCAAAAAGAGTCAAATCCAATTGCCCCAAACAGGAACACAATGGCTGGCTACTGGAGTGTCTCATATTCCAATCAGTTGAATTTCTTTTTGTCTCCAGATATGTTTGAATAGGATTTGAGCACTGAGCTAGGCAGTACCTATGAATGTTTAGCTGTTTTACCATTCATATTCTTAAGAGGCCTTTCTCAATTATATTTGGCTTATGCCCATTTAACTAATAAGGATAAACACAGATAAATATGCCTAGTGTCACTGGAAATTTTATAAAGGTTCTGCTTTTCTCATCCTTTTTTAAGATTGAGGGAAAACTCAGCAGCACCCTTTTAATGTAAAAATAGAAGAAAAGTCCATTTCAATTTGGGAATTTGTGAATAGTGACACAAATATTCTTGAAGATTGATCCAGTTTGAAGCATGTTGTGCATGGGTTTACTGTTCAACTTGCAAGTAATTTGTAAAGCCAGAGTCAGTCTTGACTATGAAACATTGTATCACTGTGATTGGAATCAATAGTTCTTGCACTGTCATTTGTCACATATTTACAAGCTTGAAAAATAGTTCATTTTGTCCTCATCCCATAACTCAAAAGATTGAATCAGAGCCCTGGAGGGATCTGCCAACAGGACACATTCATTACTGATCACCCGCTTTGGTGAGGCTATAATCACAACCACAGCAAAAATAGAATATAAATAAAAATTAAAGCACTAGTCATTTGGTACACCCTTAAATATTTTCAGTTTCAAGTATTTAAAAGTCTGCTGGGAGACTTCAATCACCTTCATGACCTACCTCAGTGACCACAAAGAGAAAATTCACTGAAGCTGATTTTCCCATCATACTATTAAAACATTCAAAGGTATCATTTTTCTAAATGAAGAAAAATAAAAATCTAGAGTTAATGGTCCAAAGACTTCATAAAGTATACTTCGTCCAGTCACCTCACATATAGTGCATAAATGACCTTCTATTCCCATGAAAGATTTGTAGAACACGTTTAAAGTAAATGCTTTCAATTTTAAGATAAAAGATTTATGAATGATAGAACTTGTGTCTATGAAATCGCTAATACCAACTCTCTAATATTTCACATGAAAAGCTCCATAAAACGAAAAGACTGCCCATAAAGTTGGACTACCCCTGCTGTCAGAGACAATCAGTAACGGAATTGCAAAGCGAATATTGAAACGGATGTGAGACGTGCATTTTGGGTTACAGTAACATGTTTTAAGTCCTCTCTATTCCACCGCTGTATTGATAAAGTATTAATGGTTAATGTGCTAGCGGCCAATTCAGTGTCTTTATATAAATCTCCAGATATTAACAGATGACCACGTTGTTCATCAAATTTAGTTACTAAAATAACACCAAATCCTAGCTTGGTAGCTAGACTTTTTTCAAGCATTTTCCTTGCAGAATTCAACCTATGAGAGATCAATCCATTTATCAAGTCTCAGGCTGAGCCAAACTAAAAACTCCAAACTGTTCTCCAAATGGTCAGTTGAGTGGCTCTGTATAGATTATGGCCTGAAATTCCTTTTGCCAGAACAAGGCTGAAACTAATGTCATGTAACAGTCATTGCCTCTCAAACAATCTCTTTAATTTGTACCTTTACATTTAGGTTCTATGACTACCATTTATTATATGAAGTGACCCCATTTCCTCTATCAACATCCTCACTGCGAATGGCTGAAATTTAATTAGAAGTCAGGCTGAGGTCGAGGACCTAATCTCTCTTTGTGCTTTGGAAAAGAGATGGGAAGGCAAACCTCATGAAGACAGAGACCTGAAATTGAATATATGAGCATTCAACAGAGTTCTTGATATCTGCTCATCAGCATATCTCCTTTTAGAAAGAGTAGGTGGTGAATGAGGAGATCTGCATCCCTCCCCCTGCAATGCATTGGACTAGGGGTACCTCTAACCTAGAGATGCCCATCCATAAACTAGTCAGCGACCTAGGACTGTATGTCCCGTCTTGAAAAGATGAGCTGGCTAAATCAGATTTTCTTTCATAAATAGAATGAAAAGTTGCCAGTTGTGGGGGTGGGAGGTTGCTAGAGGTAAAAGCTTTTATAGGAATCTGTCTGGGGCAACAATTACTGGCTATGTGCAAGATGAGGCAGCTTATCATCAGAAAAAGAAGAAAGTGTAGCAACCAGGGAGGAGATGTTATGAGAGAAAGAGAGAGAAGCTGGTTGTGTGAGCAGCCCCAGCTCTGTGCCTTCCGGAAGCACAGTTGTACAGCTTTACTGAGGCCCATGAAACCTCTCTGAAAATGCATAAATCTCCCTCTTTGTTTGGAAGTGGTTTGAGTGAACTTTTGCTTTTTGGAAACTCAAAAAACAGAATGAGACGTATTTAATGTTGTGTCCAAGTCAGAGCTAACCTCTCAAGTTTAGGGGACACTGTGCCATTCATCCCATGCATTACTGACATGGTTCTTTGAGGATCAATGTGTGCTGGAGGTTAGTTATGGTGCATATCTTTATAACTCTTAGCCCTAATAGAGAAAACAGGATATTCAAGCACAAACAGTAGAAAAATACCTGCAAAATGAATCAGTAGATGAGCGGAGATAGGCTAAGAATTATACTAATAACCTAAAAAAGTAATTGGAAGCCTCAAAGATTATACTGATAGAAATACCTTACTTATGTTTTGGGGACAGGTGTGTGGGAAGATGGCCAAAAGGAACATGCATTTTGGGCGGATTCTAGGAAAAGAAAACTTTGTCCTTTTGAGGAAAAAAGTGTAAGGTAGAGTCAATAAAATATGGGTTTGAATTTTGATTCTGCCATGTACTGGCTGTGTGACCTTGAACAAGTTACTTGATGTCTCTGAGTCTTAATTGTATTTGTAAAATTATAATAATTATAACTTTCCTTACAGACTAGTAAGGATTAAATAAGATAATTTGTGCAACAAGGGCATGGAATAAATGAATACTTTTGTCCTTTACTGAGACTGAAGGAAAGGGCTTAGTATCTTCGTAATTGATGCTTGTTTTGCTGTCAAAAATCTATCAAGAAGCTGACCACATGTGCTACTTAAACAGTGTTTTTATAATACAAGGAAACTCAAAGAATTTTGTAAGAATCCTCTCTGGCTGATTTCTGAGAGCTGATTTGGTGACAAATGTTAATACATCCATTTTCCTGGCGAGGAAGCAGTTTCTCGAGATAAATAAAACTCAAAACTCAAATAACAGTGTCATATTGGAAAATGAGACTATAGAGAATTTGAGGCAAAATGCCAGACTTCCTTAACTTTATTGGAAGGGCCTGTGATTGTTGCAATAACAACTGATAGACTATTTAATAGTGTGACTGTGAGATCTGATAAAGTATTTGCTCTTTTTGTTTTAGCAGTAAGTTCAAATGTTCAAGCAACAAACTTCCTATAAGGATATCCATAAATGGCCTTTATTATGCAACTTCAAAACTGTATTTGTGCTTATCTACTTAAAAAGGCATTAGGCTGTGATAATTAATAACAGTGTAAGCTTATTATGTCCATTTCTGATATTAATCTATGTATGTGTTAATTCCTCCTCTGCCACTGTTAGCAATTCATTTGTGAAGACAGGTGGAAGATAATTGCTGAATATGTATTTCTTTGTCCTCTGTATCCTAAATTTCATTGTCATGCTTCAAGATCCCAATTGCCCTTGACATTCGTCTCTGTGCACAAGAAAACATTTTTATTAATAGTTGAAATAATATATATGAGGGGAAACTCATTATTTATTTTGCCTGCTGCCTTTCTAATTTTCCTCATTCTCCTTGTATAATCTGACTAATTTTTCCTGGTACAAGAAGTCATGGGGCATTAAGAAGAACAAATTCAAATAAATACAAACTAAAGAAGGAAATAAAGGAGGGCACTCAGCAATAACATATTTATTATTGCCAGATGTGTTTTGATTTGTGGCAGTTATGTGGAGAAACTTAAGAATACTTCCCCAAAGTATGAAGGCAATGTGACATTGTGAGGCATCAACATATAATAAATGGGGTCAGCTATGCATGGAGATAAGCAACCCTACAAAATAATTGGAAAAAAACTGAACGATAAAGAATTGAGTTTAGTCCAAGGAACTTTGTTCATCTCAAGAAGGCCAAACCAGAATGTGATTGAATAAAGAAAGGTAGAAAGAGATCAGCTGAATGTTACTGGGTCTGAAGAAAAGAATGTGTGATTTGAATGAAGGTAGATCACCTGTCTGTACCTAAGAGAGGAGAACCCAGGAATGAAGGTCTTGTAGAATGCTTTCAGCATAGTGCCCTGGCCAGAGAGTGCTCTGAATGGATTCTCCTTCTTAAATTCATTCACCAAAAGAGATTGAGCCTTTCTCTGGACCATATAGTGTGCTAGGCCCGGAGTGAGTATGGGAGAAGATGGATGAGCTCCCTGACCAGTCCTTTTCCTTGGTTTGTATAAGTGAAGCCTTATTCTCCTGGGCATCTGATATTATCTAACATACCATTTGGTTTATGTTTTACTTTTTTGATTCTCTGTCTTCCCCCGCAACATAATGCAAGTGTCATGAAGATAGGGATTGTTATCCAGTGCTGTCAGTCTACCATTGTATGTCAAGGGTCTAGAACAGTATCTAGTATGCGGTAGGTACTCAGTAAATTTGGTGAATAAATGAATCAGAAGTAAACAAACAAGGAACCAAACCCGCACAAGAAAGAAAGCTACAAAGAAGGGAAAGAAAAAATTCACAGAACCTCCGTCTGCCCATACAAGCCACTTATGACTATGCTCATTTTGGTGGATATTCTTTCACTCACAAAAATTTACAAGTCTGTTCTCCAATGCCTTCTATTTCACAAACAGCTTTTTTCTTTTTTACTTAACAATACATTGAATATCCATTCCATAATATAGCTTTATATTTATGGTTACATAGCCAACTATTGTTTGGCTTATACCATAAATTATTTAAGCAATTCTTATTGATAAACAGTTAAGTTGTTTGCATTGTTTTGTACTACAGACAGTGTTATGTTGAGCCCTTGTATACAAGTGTCTTTACATATGTATCTGATTTTATCTTGGGAATTAATTTTTAAAGATAAACTCACTAGGTTAGACAGTATGTACATTTATATTTTGATAAATATTTTCAAATCACCTCCAGGAGCAAACAATTTGTACTAACACCAGAGAAAGAAAAATATGCACTTCCTCCTACACCTACCGACTCTTAGTATTATCATTCTTTCTTACGTTTGCCAATATGATAAGGAAAAATTTGCATTTCATCATTGTCTTGATACACGTTTCTTTGATTTCTATTAAGGTTAGACATCATTGTAGGTACACATCAGTGATTTGTATTTTGTGTGTGTACATGTGAACTGCTTGTTCTTGTCTTTTGCTCATTTTTCTACTGTGGTGGAATAATATTTTTAAACATTTATTATGAAATCTACAGTTTCCCACATTGGCCCATATTGAAAAATTCAATATAGAAGGCATAAAAATGTAGAGTATTTATTCCCAGAAATGAAAATACACATTTACCCAGTAAAACAGCATTATATTAGTCATTTGATAGTAGCAGTATATTGTCCAAGAATTATTGCATTCTAACTTCACAATCTACTTCAGTTCAGCCTTTTATGTTTAGCACAATCTCCACGATTCTAAGACTTGATGGCAAGGTCATAGCAGCACTGAAACAGCAGGGAGATGACACCAGTGCTATTTGGAGTGAGATTAAATAGTTCCTGTAAATGGGAGCAGCTGGGATACCATTTATTCAAGGATGCTGTACTCAAGACACTGAGCCATCACACTCCTGCATTCTGGATGTGCTTGGGAGTTTGAGTGTTGCCAGATATGTCTGTTGACTGCCAGGGAGGAAAAGGCTCAATCTCTCTCGAACTGCAGCTTTTTGCCAGTTTGGGAGCAATGGCGGGGAAACTCATTTATGCTAGTCCCATGTGGCTCTGTGTCTGGTATAGATTGTTCAAATCTCTTGGTCCCACCAGAAAACCTATAAGCCTGATGCTAAGTTGTCTCCTGTGTGTCATTTTGGCTCATATGACTTTGCTCAGCCTGTCATCCTTCCTTTTCTGTCCTTAGAGGAACATATGAAAAGGCCCTCTTGAAGGACAAACATAATCCCTAAATATCCCAGCAACATCAAAACCCTGCCATAAAAAGCGTCATCCTTTATCCATATACCTCCTCTCCAATTAGAGTGAAAAGATGGGCAATAAACTATGCCTGGAAGCTCACAAGTTTCTATTTTATCAAAAACATAAGGGAAGAAAATTTTGGAACTGAAATTATCCTCCTTTTATCTCCTGCTACTGTATTTCTTCCCTTCCATGTGTGTCTCATCCATCCTAGGTCCAAAGTCCTGTTTCTAAATGGGCACTTGCCCCGCATCTGTACAGCAAACACTCCCTGGGATATGGCAGTAGAGGTTACTATCACCTTCTGGAAATGACAGGCATCCATTCCTCTAAACGCACATTTCCAGATATGACTAGATTTGTTTGTAGATTTTCCATACAGAAACTGACTTAAACACGCTGAAAATCTTAAAATACTGACAACAGATGACTAACAGGATTTTTTTGGTGTCCTTAAGCAACTGGATCTGAGAAATGTTTTTAAAAATATGAGCCAAGGAGCTACATGTCACACAATTTTGTCCCAGAACTTAAAAAGCAAAATAATGTTTGGTTGCACATTTTATCATATATGTATTAAAAGTACAGACGTATTAGGCTAAGTATTATAAATATAAGGTTTTTTCAAAATTAGTTATAGATTACAAAATTAGATATAAATTACAAAATATATGTAAGAGATATATAATGGGATAAAAAGTACACATGTATTTATTTAATGTTTAATTTTTTTTAACAAAATAACAAAGCCAACACAAAAGTAGGCATCTCGAGTTCTTATTCTATGTGTCTAAGGTTTGTCTTCCCCAGTTTTGACTCTACGTTCCCTGAGACAATAAAGCTTTTTTGGGTTTCACTTGTCATCATTTCAAGACCACAGAGGCATCTATTCCAAAGCTATTATTAAAATTGCTGAAGATGTCCTTTAGCATCCTCTTGCAGATTCAGAGAATCATTTCCCTTTCCGTAGACTTGTGTTCCTTATTTGGAAGCACTCAATAATAAACAAAGCAGGAAGTGGCCAGTGCAGGGCCCCTCTGAAATGGCTGAGCAGTATTCAATCTGGTGGCAAAAAAATAAATAAATAAATAAAATTATGCTGGTGATGAGACATCACTTACATCTATACTCAGGAAACAGAGAAAGGCCATCCACTCTGGGACCTTATAACAAGGCACATATTAATGTCTCTTTCTGTCTAAAAGGAAGGGCTAGCTCTACTTAGTAAGCAGCCATGCAACAGGGAGGTGTGGGCTGAAGAACACCATTCACAGCTCCTACATGAAGGTTGGATGCCTTCATGGTGGCTAGGATAGGGGATGAGGCCCAAAACATTCTTCCTGAGACTCACAGCCAGTGTCTGTGACTTCCCTGTGTGTCTCTTTCATCTTAGGCCCAAATTCTGTCACTAAATGGGCACTTGCCCTGCATCTGTATAGCTAACATTCCCTGGGATATGGCAGGAGAGGTTACTCTCACCTTCTGGAAATGACAGGCATCCTTTCCTCTAAATGCACATTTCCATACATGACTAAATTTGTAGATTTTCCAAATAGAAACTGATTTAAACACACTGAAAATTTTAAAATACTGCTGGCAGAAGATGACTAATGGGATTTTTGTTTTTTTAATGCCCTTTCTTCATCTTTGTCACTGGATGTGAGCTCACTCTCTCTCTCCTCTTCCCAAAATGTCCTCTTGCTGCTTCTCTGACACTTCTGGCCCAGTTTAAGTCTCCATCCTTCACAAAGCCCTCCCTGGAGGCAGCATGCTATTGAAAGAGTGTGGGATTTAGAGCCAGAGTGAACTGCCAGAGTGAACAGAGTAGATCTGTGGCCTCAGGCAAGTAACCCAAAGTCCTCAAACCTGTCTAGCCGGGGTAAGAATGACATCTACCTCTCAGGGTTATTGTACAGTTTATAAGGCAATATTGAATGGTCATTGTTTCAAATGATTCATGAGGACCTGTGTTCCTTGTACTAGTCTTTCTGTTTTTGTGTGTGCTTGGGTATTTCCACAATAAAAATCTTTTCATAAAATATATGGTCTATAAAGCACCTAGCACATAGTAGAGAATACCCTTCTCCCCTTACTTTCCCTCTGTACCAATCTTCACTCTCTTCCTCCTCCTCAGAGTGCATCTGGTATTCATTCCTGCCCTTCAGTTAAGTGTGTCACAGACAGGGAGTATTCGAAGGCTCACTGGGAGCCAACAACGTCTGCCTCCACCCTCAGCTACTTCTTGTTGAGGCTCCCAGGGGAGATCCAGCAATGTGAATGCCATCAGGCAAAGGAGGCCTTGTTTCCTGAGCCTCAAAGTCCAGACCCCAGGGTAGGCACCCCGTGAGCTCAGCCCCACTGTAGGATCTATAGGGCTCCTTTGTCCAAGGTGAGAGACCCTGATTTTTTCTTTGGATTCATATCCTAATTTTGCATTTGTAGATACTTTGATTCTTGTAATGAGAAAAAGTAAATGGAAGGGAAAGAGGTAACATTTCCTCAGAGCCTAAGACAGAGCTAGTCTCAACTACTCACTCCAGGATGCCACAGAGATGTCCCCTCTCCCTCAAAAGGGGAAGGTGCCTGGCTCTTATTAGGGACCAGGCCTCTTAAGGGAGAAGCCAGAAAATGGCCCAGCGTGGGAGCCACAAAGAGGAAAACAGAGAACTCTTCAAAAGGTTTAGTCTCCCCTTTCCTCACTCCTCTTCGTTATGGTCCAAGAAATTCTTGACTCCCTCTTCCTGGGAAGAAGCAGAACACAAGCTGTGGGAGTGGGGTGGGGGGATGCAGGGGAGAAGAGGGAATTGGGGGTGTTGGATAGAGGCATGAATTCATCCCAGAAAAACTGAATCGTAGGGTAAAACCATAGATTTGCTTTCTGTCAGAAGGCAGGGAGGGAAGATACTGGGTAGGTTAAAAAGAGGAGTGATATAGAAACTGTGTTATTGTAATAAGGAGTGTGCCTCCATTTCTTGATGATTGACAGATAGCCCTGTTTAAGCCTCACCCCTCTCTCTGCCCCTTCTGCTCCAGCCCTGGTATATTAGTCCATTCTCATGCTGCTAATAAAGACATACCTGAGACTGGGTAATTTACAAAGGAAAGAGTTTTAATTAACCCACAGTTTAGCATGTCTGGGGAGGCCTCAGGAAACCTACAATCATGGCGGAAGAGGAGGCGAACACATCCTTCTTCACATGGCGACAGCAAGAAGAATGAGAACCAAGTGAAGGGGGGTCCCTCTTATAAAACCATCTGATCTCAGGAGAACTTACTATCATGAGAACGGCTAGAGGGTAACCACTCCTGTGATTAAATTATCTCCCACCCATCAGACCTGGGATTATGGAAACTACAATTCAAGATGAGATGTGGGTGGGGACACAGCCAAACCATATATCTGGGAAGCTGATGAGAAAACCGGGGTGCTCCCTCCTTTGGCAATAGTGTAAGATTCAAACCATATAAGCCTCTGCCCTCAGGCAGAAGCTCTCACTCTGCCCCACATGCTAACCCTCCTAACAGCCCCAGGTCAGTCTCCTTTCCTGGCTCTTTCCAGACATCCGAAGACCAGTTTGGGAGGCCTTTCCGGCTCTTCCCAGAAAAACCTTGACGATGTAATAAGAAACTTTTTATACTCTGTTGGCATGCGTGTAACATCATAAGTCTCAACATATGAACTAAATTTGGGATGAAGGTCCTGTTTCTAAAGAGTTACTTCCATAGGAATAAAAACGAGGAATGGGTAATATTAGCATTTATGATTTCTGAGCAATGAGATTATGAGATATTGATTTTTTCTTTTCCATGTCAGTTTACTCTAATGCAAACATCAGCAAACTTTTTCTGGAGAGTACCATATAGTATATGTTTTAGGCTTTCTGGGCTGTATGGTTTCAACAACTCAACACTCGACTCAGTGTGAAAGCAGCCAGAGAAAACACATAAACAAATGGACATATTCCAATAAAATTTTGTTTTAAAAATTAGACAAAGGGCTAGATTTGGCCTGCAGGTAACAGTTTGCCAACTCCTGATCTAATGTTTCTATATCAAAGTCTATTATTTGCACGATTAAGAAATATAAAAGTTTATAATAGTTAAAAAAATTGGGACACGTAATCTGAATTAAGATTAAAACCTAATGGTTGGCTAACTAACACTAATGTTTGACTCTTTGGGGGATGATAAAAGGATATGATGAGAACTGTCTTTCTTCTTAGCTATGGTTTCCTATGTATGTCCTACTTACTTACAGAGGGGGAGTCTTTGAGTCCTAGATTGTCCTGCCCATCCACCATGAGATGTTGTGACATTGGCCCTCTGACCTTGCCAAAATTAATAACTGCTACAGTATCACAACTTGTAATCTAGAATAAGAATGTGCATCCTAAAAAAATCAATTGATCCCAGCCCTCTAGTAGTCAGAGAATAAATCTGAATATCTTAGAGGAAGCTTCTGATAAATTCAATATGGTATCACTGAATGACCATGACATGGTTTTCCATTTCCTTAGATTTAGGTTTTCCTGATTTGTTTCTGCTCACAGGGCTGGGACCTTGTAGGAGAGTGAGATGGGCTGAGCAGCTCCAGAGGAGTCTACCCTTTGCCCAGTCACTATGGGGAATTGTCACTGCAGTTTGTATTTCATCAAGGGAAAATGCCGACCAGACTTCCAAAATGCTGCTTTGGTCCAGGCCTCATTCACAGGCCCCTAGTCATCTCTTAAAGTGTGCTTCTCTAATCAGCTGGCTTGCTATGAAGGAAACACCAAGTGTGGCAGAAATTGTCTTCCTCTTGGGAGAACAGTGGTAGAGCAGGTGCTTGAATGTGGGAATGTCAGAGCTCAGAGTGAAGGCAATTATTCTCCCCCATGTAGCTCAGCAGGGAAGAGAAATTAGCAAGGAAAAGGCAGGCAGCTGCTCTTCCCCGGGTGTCACAGCAGCTGTGATGAGAGGGCACCACACACACCTGGGCACACGCAGCCCGTGCTGGCCCCTGTAGGTCTCGTGGGCCACTGCCCAGAATTCTGGCATGTGCTGCAGAGGCCTGTGCCACAAAGGATCTGGAAGGAGGATGATCACTTCTGGACTCTGTGCAGGGGCTGGAGGTGAAACCAGTAGGATGATGCTTATGCATCTTCCCAAGTAGGGACATTTTTCTAAATCAAAATTAGCGCAGAGGAATAATATTCTCTCCCCGCCATCTCCAGATGCTCATCCATCCAGGCTCAATTTTTATCCAAATCAAGTGACAAATCTAATGGTGGCTATTCTACTTTCTATTAGATAATCCAAATGATGGGGAAGCAAACCCACTAATCTGGTGAGAATGGGATGACTCACACCCAGCTTTCTCTCAGTGAGGGGCAGTCCCTTCAGATTTCTCAGGAGCATGCATTATCAACCCCAGCTGGACCCTGGTGATCAGGAAGGCTCCAGTTGTTCTTGGAGATTTCCTGTGTGAGGATTCCTGGTTCTTCTCTGCCCTTTGAACTGTGTAGCATGGAAGGGATTAAAGATTTTCACAGAGGCCTGAGAGAAGGAGCACTATATTGGCCTAGAGGAAATAGAAATTTCTCATGTAAGCACCTGTCATTTCTGTGTGGCTAGACAGTCTTATGCTGCATTTTAAATTTCCAGAATTCTTTTGTTTCAAGGTAAAAAATAAGCACTCCATTGGGGCCTACAAGTGTTCAATTCCTGTGTTAGTGACTATATTGGCTCAGCGCTGTAACAAACAAACCTCCAAGCCACAGTGGCTTATCACAATATATATACATTTTTCTCATGCATGTGGAAGTCCAATGCAGATGTTTCTGACTGGCAGGTGGCTTTCCTCCACATGGTCATTTAGGGACCCAGGCCCCTTCTACTTTGTGGCTCTTGCCTCTTTTGGAGCCACAGAGTCCTCTCCAGTTACTGAAAGACAGGGAACAAAGTAAGGAGAAGGCACATCTGCTTTTTATTCACTCAGACCCAGAGGGGACACAGATCACTTCTGGCTATGTTTCATTCATGAAAATTAGTTTGCATGGCCACACCTAGATGACAGGTGACTGTGACATGCAGTCCCTGGCTGGGCAGCCACTTCTCAGCAACAAACTGACACTATGAGGAGGGAACATGGATCTAGGGTGATCAGCTGGCTGTCAGCACACTCACAGCCCTTTCACACACACCCCGTAGAGCGGCCCGCTGATGCTGCCGCTCACATCCAGGATGACGGTACCCGAGATACTGCTGCATTTTGCCCTGTCCTTCATTCTCACAGGTCATCAGGTAGTACTTTTGCTCATGCTTCATTCTAAGGTAAAGGCAGGTGAGGAGCTGGGGTGAATTCATAGTAGGAAGGCCGGTCTGACTGTTTTAACAGAAGTCAATAATGCCTCCTGTAGGGCTGGGCTTCCTTGGGGTCTGAGGACGTGAGAGGGCAGAGTTAATGGTCACCTGTGTGAGAGGTGCGGCTGCAAACCTGAGGGATGAGACTGTCTTGGGAGGCAGAGCAAGATGGCCTGTGAGTAGAACTCTTCTGAGACCACTGACGTTTCAGTTCCTTCACACCAAGCGTGAGTAATAAACATTTAAACAAACAAATCCATGGCTGGGCATGGTGGCTCACACCTGTAATCCCAGCACTTTGGCAGGCTGAGGCCAGTGGATTGCTTTGAACTCAGGAGTTCCAGACCATCCTGGGCAACATGGCAAAACCCCGTCTCTATAAAATATAGAAAAATTAGCCGGGGGCTGGTGACACGTGCCTGTAGTCTCAGCTACACAGAAGGCTGAGGCTGCAGAATGGCTTGAGTCTGGGAAGTGGAGCTTGCAGTGAGCTGAGATCGTGCCACTGCACTACAGCCTGGGTGACAGAGTGAGACCATGTCTCCAAAAAAAGCAAAAAGAAACAAACCCCTGTAACAATCTCATTCCAGATTTAAATTTCACTATATATATTTTACAAAGCCCAGGCCAGCTGTGGAATTTCCAGTTCCTTCTGATCCATTTTAACACAATTCCTATAAGTTTATCTTTCACGCTTTTCTTTTTCAAGGTCTGACCCAGGAAATTTACATTTCTAGGATATTAAAAAAAAAAAAAAAAGACAACAACAACAACAAAAAACTGTTTCAAGTCTTTTTGGATCTATTCTCTCCTTGTTCCTCAGAAAATTCCCGTGGGCTAGAAAGTTCACAGAGCGTGAATGACACAGGGTATCCGATGTCACATGGCTGACTCAGAACAGCAGTAGGACCCAGATTCCCTAATGTCCCAAATGTTCCCAGTTGCCCTAAATGTCCTGACTCTCAGGATCTAAATTTAACTGGACCATGCTACCTTTCTCATCTCTCCCAATCCATCTCATCCAAGAAATTCCTGTTCAAAGGACCTTGTAAACACTGAGCAATGAACTATTTTGACATAATAAGAAATATATATTTGGTCTTCGTCTCCAGTTCCTTAAAGAGATCTTCTAAAACCGTTGGAATTTCTTGAGTGGCAGGAGGGATAGAAGAATCTTTTATTATTTGCAGCAATGAGCTTTCAACCATAACTGACTTTATGCTAATGAAGTGATTCTTGGTGGGCCCTAGATAGCCTCAATAAGGGGGCTGGTTGCCAGAGGAACCAACCATGTGATTAGAGGGTTGGAACTTTCAGTCCCATCCCCTGACTTCCTAGGAGGGGAGAGAGGCTGGAGATGGATTTTGATCAACTAGAAACTGCTCATAGTAAATAAAACGCTTTCCTGAGTTCTGTGAGCCATTCTAGTAAATTATTGAACCTGAGGACAAGGTTGATGGGAATCCCCCCAACTTTATAGCTGGTCCATCAGAAGTACAGTTGAACAAGACTTGCCGGTGGCATCTGACGTGAGAGTTGTCTTAGTCTTGCAGGACTGAGCCTTTGATTTGTGGGAGCTGCACTCACTTCAGGTAATTAGTGTCAGAATTGAATTGAATTGTAGGATACTCAGTTTGTGCCAGAGAGTTGAAGAATGTGTTGGTATGAGGAAGAAATTCACAAAAAAAAAAGACCAACCATCCACCAGTCTTCTTCTCTGTACTCTGCCTACAAACCCTTCAATAGCAATAGGTCAGAAACGTTTTCTTCAAACCCGTGTGATTAGAAATACAGCTTACCTGGGCAAATTTTCATCAATGTGGAAAAAGGAAGGATCTTCACACATCATCATACCCAGTCTCCAGCTCCAAAACCTTATAAGTCAAGATGCTTCAGCACCTCGTTATGGCTGATGGATGGGGCAGTGAGCACATGCTGCAGAGGACCATGTCCATTAGCAGAAAAGAATCCCTGTTCTTTAAAAATCACGCACGTCCAAAAGGTTAAGCTCATCTCCATGCTCTCTTTGGGGAAAGAGGACGGGTTTCCACTCCTAATGTGCTGCCTGAATGGACCTTGTTGTTCTGCTCCTCTAGACTCAGGAGGATGAGAGGCAGCAGAACAGAATGTGTGAGTGTGGACCCTGAAGCCCATTAACACATGTTCAAAACTTGGTCTTGCACATAATAGCTGTGTGATCTTGGAGAAAGTACCTTACTCTCTGTGCCTCAATTTCTTATCTGTAAAATGCAGATGGTAACCTGCTTTGTAGGTTATCATCTGCATTTTAAAATAGGATTAAACGTATTGGCAATATAAGACACCCTGAACTGTGCCTGCCACATAATTAGTACTGCAGAAGCTTTTGCTACTTTGTAAAGCACATAATTTGCCAGGTCTGGCTTATCAATGAATGTTGGGAAATCAGCCAGACTGTCAGGAAACTCCTTCTCAGCCTTGCATGCTTTCTGAAATCCATATCCTTGGTTGGGCTCACCTAGCTTTAGTTCTCCCCAGGGAAACAGAAATAACAGGGAGTAGAATCTGTGCTACCCAGTAACCTCTGCACCTGGTGAATGGCTGGCTTGCTCTACTCCTGATGCTTTGGTTCTCCTATAATTTATTGTGCAAATCCAGGCAATATTTGAGAGTCCAATAGTATTTAACTGAGTGGGACACTCTGTCAACAGTATTCCTAAGTGTAAGTACTAAACTGAATGGGACTCTCTCCCAACAGTATTACTAAGTGCATGTCCTAGTTTGTCTAGGGCATTCCTAAGCTAGGAATTGTCACCCTAATTACTGCTGATTTGATGTGTGACTATTTGACTTGCTGCAGCCCCAAGGTAATAATTATAATATTTAATTCAACAACACCTCACAGTCTATCAGGTGCTTATATATGCTGTTGACTTCTTTCATCATACCTATGAAATAGATTTTATTATTTCCTCATCTTACAGATGAGGCAATGGAGGTATATTGATTTGCTAAAATTATACAAATAGTAAACAGACACACTCTTCCTATTTTACCGTATTATGGTTGCCTCTATTCCCAGAGACCTCCCAGTTCCTGAAAACTTTCAACAACTTTGGACAATCATTTGACTGAACTGTCTGCTCCATGTGTTTTCAAGATTCCCTCATCTTGTCTCTGACCAGCGATAGATCCAGATTTTATATTCATTCATTAAACTAATTTTAAAAGTTATTTAAATAGATGTGTTTGTTATTTATCTTTTTCTAGGCCATAATATAGGGAAAATGATTTTGGGAGGAGAAAGTTTTAATTTGGCTCTACCGACCATTAGCTGTGGGATCTGGCTTAAGGCTTTTACATTCGTTACACCACGGTTCTCATGCCTGTATATGCTCCTGCAATTGTGAGCATTTCCTTATCTGTAAAATGGGAATAATAGCATTTATCTAGTTGTAGGAATTAAAAGAGATGTTATAGGGACAGCACTTAGCAAATAGTAAGTGCTAAAAACAGCAATAAATGATGATTATTTTAATTACTACCCATAGACCCAGAAGAACCATTGATGAATTAATGCATGAACAAATAATCAGCAACCAAGAGGTCCTAAAAGAAAATGTTTCATACTCTTCTGTTTAAAAATGTATCCTACATTTGCATCAATATGCAAAGATATATATGCAGGGATGTTTATCTATTTGTAACTATTTGTAAACACAGAAAACAAGATATCTTTGACTTTGGCTAATTGATGATGGTGTCTGTCATACTGAACTAGATGAACAGTATCCTTACTTTGTGTGAATGGAAGCATTCTGTGTTTAGTGACCAGAAGCCTCATTGAATCACCACAATAGAGAGTTATGGACCTACCAAGCCCCAGACCTGAGCCAGAGGAAGAACCAGAGCCCTTGGAATGAAGTGGAGTTCGAGTCCCTTCAAGGAAGGATCTTGCTACACTGTCAAAAATGTACACTCCCTCCTAGATTCCTCTGGATGAAAGTCAGTGGGAAATAATGGCCACCACATGCAGGACTGCTAATGGCCCAGACACTTCAGAAATAAAGATTTAGGTTGCCCCACCAGCCAAGGAACGCCTCTAGGCAATATACTTGCAAAGGGTAAAGGAGTATGGAATGGGTAATAGAAGAAGGTAGTTATAAATACCACATATAATTATGTGACAAGTTGCAGAAATAAAGACTGTAATAGTTATCAGCATTTCTTCCATATTTTGACCTAAATATCTTACATATATATCAGCCAATTCTGTCTTCCTCTTTCCCATTCCATAATGTAAGATGTGTTAATAGTTGTTAGACCTAAAGCTCAGTATGCAAATTGTGAGCTATCCAAAATGGAGTATGACTTAAAAACAAAAATCACATCAGCCCAATATGTGTAAAATGATGTTGTGTTCTCTTTTGTGGAGAGGGATAGTGTATTTTGATTGGATGGAGGATTGATGCATTATGTTTGTTGTAAATGAGATTTTGCTTTTGTCTTTATTCGGAAGTTAAGTATGGTTAAAAGAAGTGCATATGGAAGCCATGTGACCTGGGTGGGTTGCGATGGCTTTGTATTTTGTCAACTTTGCTAAGCTGGAACTGTGTTTCCCAGAATTCCCTTTCCCATACGACTCTTGACTGGGTTTGGCCACAAAAGATATTTGTATAAGACTTGGGAAATGGGAGTTAAACACCAGCCTTTTCCTGCTCTGAAGGTGGCTGTGGGCACTTTGAGAGGGGATCCACATTGTTGCTGAGCTGCTGGCTTGCCTGTGAGGGTGAGGCAGCACCATCTCCCATCAGATCCTCTTCATCTTCCTGGGCCAGGTGTAAGTGCAGTCCCATGGCAGAAGGTGTCAGCTTTTGCAGGTCTCCTGCATCATCATGCTAAGAGTAATTGAGAGACAGTCATAGATTCCAATCTGCTATGGTCTCTCTAACTTCAAGTTTGGTTTTCTTTTCCAACAGTTTACACATCTGATGTAGAGTGGCTTCAGCCCAACATCAGGTTCAACAGCCTTGCAGGCACTTCTTCACCATATCCCACAATTGTGAAAAGTCTGTTCCTATTAATGATCCTTTATTCTATACCACTGATAATGATTCTGCTTCTCTGATTAAATGCTCCCTAATACACTATGATTTCATTTTTTATTTAAAATCATATTCTAGTTCATAGCATGATGGAACAAATTATGCTTTTCACAAGCTTTGGAGCTGGAAAAGACTTGAGATAATACCCAGTTGAATGGGTTTCAAACTCTCCTTCACTGTCTTCTAGGTTTTCCTGAGATTCTTCTGGGCTCAGAGGTGGGACTGGGGGTCACAGCAGGTAAGACTCCTCCACTCCGTTCAACCAGAGAAACCTCATGTTTACCTGTTTCATTTTGTGTTTCCGTTTAGCTTTCTTTTGCTGTAAAAGAGGAACCTTGTCTAACCCCCTTATTTCAGTTAAGGGACTTCAGGGACAAAGAGTCCCAAAGTTAACAGCTAACTGCTGAGTGAGCCGCAGTGAGATCTCAGGACTCCAGGTTTCCATCCAAGGATTCAGCCCATTCACCCACTGCACTAAAAGGCAATTGTGTTTGTTCTGCCAAGAGAACTCAGATTACAGCCCAAGGCCAGTGGGATGTGGGTAGATGGGCTTCAGAGCCAACCCTAAAGGGGCTTCCTAGGATGCTGCTCATTTTCTCCGAGATATGCAAGGGACACTTAAAACCCTTATTATTAGTCCTTCCAGGTCTCTGTAGCAGGACCTGAATGAAAAAGAAATAGAGCAACATTCAGGAGTTATTTATTTCCCTATTTAACTGAGGTAGTTTATTTTCTTTCTTAAAGAAGAGGCATCTTGTTCCCTTTAAATCCACTTAGACAAAAACTAGATGTTGTTGACAGAAGGCCTGTGATACGCATCTCAGGTTTTATATGGGGATTTTCATTTTGTCACATCCAGTTTAAGCCACCAGCCTAATTTAATTACAATTAATGAATCACCATTTACCCTGAGGCAAAACCAGGTTTTCTTGCTGAAGAGGTGTTCAGTGCATAGCATTCAAATTCATGACCTAGACCTCAAATTAACGGGCTGTCCATTAAGAATGGATGAGTGGCTTTGAAGACTGCATTTATCGGTTGTCGACAGTGGTCTCTTGCAGTCCCCAGTGGTCCCTTTGGAAGAGACTATCAGAACAGGAAGATGCTGCAAGGGGAATGTCCAGGGCTACCTAGTGCCAAGTGGGGTTTCAGTAAAGAACAGCTTTGTCCTTGTGGGGATGGATTGTATGAAGTGATATTTAGTTTTGCCTGCCCTGGTTATGAGAAGAGGCTCTGTCTCAGCTGCAAGATTTTCTGTACCCAGAAAGAAATCAGCCTGCTGAGAAATTGGATCCTTCCCACAGTAGGGGAAACTTCCATCCTGTATGCAACCTCTAGGGTCTTATTGTTGGGAAAAAGCTAATGGGATATAAGAGACAGAGTGCATTGGATGACAAGGTCACCTTTTGTGATCAATGGAACTCTGGGAAACTGAAACTCTGGGCACAAAGACTTCCCTGACTTTTAAATTAAAACAAAAGGGTTTTAATGTATTCAGTAAGAATTTGATGAGCACCTACTTTGTGCCCAAA
This sequence comes from Homo sapiens, assembly GCF_000001405.40. Classification (NCBI taxonomy): domain Eukaryota; kingdom Metazoa; phylum Chordata; class Mammalia; order Primates; family Hominidae; genus Homo; species Homo sapiens. The sequence continues at coordinate 53,409,289 of NC_000015.10, forward strand.
TCTTGAGATATTTAGATAGCAATGCCAAGGAGTGTAGTATTAAGTGTAACTATGAGGGGTGCAGACACCCTTGGCCTGGGCTGGGAAGAAGGTTCATCTTGTTGAGTTCTTCATCATGCCATGTTTACCAGAGTTGATTATTCAGCTGGTATCATTGACTGGCTTCTTGGCCCTTTCTTCCTTCCATTGCTCCATTGGTCAAAGAGGTGCCATTCCATGATAGAAAAGGGACACTCCTAAGTAGAGGTTATGGGAGTTGTGCTTCCCTGCTGGAACTCCAATTGTGCAGGACTTAGGTTTTTAAGACACCTGCTTGGCACATCAGGGAAGTCTCTCAAGTGATGTAAGCTTGACCTCAAAAGGCGAGAAGGCCTGAGGGCAGGGAGGCATTCCTGGTACTGACTTCAGGAAGTACAAAGGCTGCAGCAGCAGGGCCCACAGAGAAGCAGGACACTGCTTTGCTTGGAGAGATAGGATCCTGTTGGCAGTGAGCAGGAATAATTGCTTGGCAAGCCTTCCCATTTGCAGTGTTCATCAAGTGTATGTGCGGCTGTGGTTGCTTTTAGTGCAGCACTGCTCTTCCACTGTCAGTCCTAAACTTGGTTGCCACATGTTTTGCCCTTTCCTCTCTGCTCAGTGTGGTGATGACTCCCCACAACTGTGTGCCCTTAAGTCTCCGCTCATAGAGTCCACATTGGCCTTCCCCAGGCTGATTCCCTGAGCTCTCATCATTCCTGATCCCTGGCCCGTCCTCACTTCTCCCAAGAAGTTTCAAATTAGGTTGCAACATATTTATATTCTCTTCCAATATCTACCTCTGTTTCTCTCCTGCAATCAAATCCTGATTTGAACAATTTCCCTCTTCGGGGTGGCAAATTACCCTACTGCCTCTCTTTCAAATTATTTGTAGAAGTCCAAACTGGTGCTTGGTGCTCAAAAGTGGGAGTGATGAGCTGTATAGCTAGGGAGAAATGCACTAACACTGTGAAATAAAATTCATGGAGATTTAGCTCAACCTCCTTGCAGAAACCCTCTTTTATTACCTCCAACCAGTCCCTCTTCTAACAGCCCATGGCATACATTATGAGCTAAGTCTGAATGTCATATTTTAACATTTGATACATAACTCTTTCATTTAACAGGACAGAACAGGGCTTGCAGGATTATATGGAAGTTAATAACCTGGTTCTTGCCCTCAAAGAGCTTATGATCTTATTTGGGAGATGTCATCATCATCATCAGTGTCATCATCAATGCCACCACCACCACCCCAAACACACACTCAATTATATAGCAAGACGATGCAAAAGTTGCTGCAGGACAAGATACCATAAATGCCAAATGAGTGCTCTCATCTCTAAGTGTGGGATGAGCGGAGTGAGAGTCTGCAGGCTGGGTGGTCAGGACACACTTTACAACAGTGATTGAAGCTTGTCCTAAGAGGAGAGTAAGAATTAGATAAGATTCAAGTTTGCCATGATGCTACAACATCACATTCTCTACTTATCGAATGTGTGTCAAGGTCATCTCCTCAGCTAGACTTCAACTTTTTGAACACGGAAACCCTGTCTCAAGTTCTTTTTGAATCAACGTCTTCTTGGGGTGTATGCCCTCTGGCATGCACTGAATTGATTCAAATTGAATTGAATTAAGTCACACCCTGAGGCATTTGTGCTGGGCTTGTCCACATAGGAGAGAATTTGAGGTCTGACGTCAGCTCAAGTAAAATGCCATCTTTGGGCAGCAAAAGACACCCAGCCTCTCACAGGAAATGCAAACTTTCCTTTCTCTGAGCAGCTGCAGCATGGTCAGAAATTGTCCCTTCTAGCCCACACCTATCTAGTAAGACCAAAAGGGTCTGTGCTAATTATTCTTACAATAAGTATTATCTGATTATCACTTTCCCAGAGATAGAATTGCCATGAAGCTTAAAGTGGATGGACTCTCACTTGTCTGGACAGCTTCTAAGACCTTCTACCTAATAATTTTAAGTTCCTCTTTTTAAAATAGGGCCCTTCTATTTGTATTGGCTTCATTCCCCCCGCCCCCAAATTTGGATCTTTTCCTAAATGCTTTTTTCATGGAAGCTTCATAATAGTATTATGAGGTAAATTCTACATAATTTAGACTTTATCAAGAGTCCTAGAGAGGTTAACTGACTTGCTCAAGGTCACATAGCAAGTTAATAAAGATACAACTTCTATAAATGAATTTCAAAGCAGAGATGAGATATTCTTATAAATTATCCAAGATTATACATTGGAGCCTTTTCATTTCTTCTCCAGACAGTGAATATGAGAACACACCACTGAGTAATATCATGTCCTTTCAAAGCTACCTTCTGCCTGTAAGGTGAGAAGCCTGGGGTTGCTGTCCTAAGTTAGCAGGGCTGGAGGCAGAGCAGACACCAAATGGAATCATGTGGCTATTTTGCTGATGCTTAAAATCTACTGCATTCTCCAAATCAAACTGCGGCATCAAAGCGTTGGAGAAACTGACTTAATTCAAAAACATGTCTAGGGCATCTAAACTTATTGTCTCTGAGTTTCACTTGTTTTTTGTCTTTTTTGTTCCTGGGAAGTCAATTATGTCTCATGGGTTGGGACTTTGAACAGGAAAGTGGTGTGTCAGCGTGCAGTCATTTGTGAATACTTACTCGCCCACTCATCAAACACTTAGTGAGCATCTCCTTTGGGATATGCCCTGTGGATTCTGCATCCTGTCCCCCATGGGGACTTTGCTAGGGGCTGCCACACAGAGTCTCTTTAGGCAATTATATCTGTTTCTGCAAATCTTTAGGCCATCAGAGGGTCAGGAACAGGGGTGGAGGGACTCCTTGAGAAGGCCGTGTGGTCAAGGCCTTTAAATGTAGATTTCTAACTTTATCTTAAAATAAGATTTTAGAGATATCGTAATATTGAGATCGAGCAAAGACATTTACAATCTATCTTGAAACATGTGTCCCGTTACCAGACCACGCAACCTATAGTGCAGTATGCATTAATCAACTTTTAAAAATAAATCTATTATTTTGTAAATAGCACCTTTACATATCATTGTAATCTTAGGGTGACAAAAGAGTTAATTTGTGAAAGGTAAATAATTGCAGTTTATCGTGACTTACAACCCTATTCTGACATGTCATCGTTGTGAAATGTCCTAAGAGCACAGGCCTCTATAGATCTCAAAGAAGTCCTGCCCTTAGAGTCTATTCATCAGAAATCCCTGCCTATCCCTCCAGTTTCCTTCCATATCACACTGTCTTTGGCTCACCCCATCCTCACTCTGGTCTCTGCGAAGTTCCTCTAATACAACACATTCTTTCTGGTCCCTGAGCTATTGCTGCTACTTCTGCCACCTGGGAGGCTTCTGTGGGGCTGGCTCTGTCTCAGCCTTCACATCGTGACTCACCTGTCACCTCCTTAGGGGCTTTTCCTTCACTTGTTGCCATGTCAGCTATTTTCCTACTTTGATCACTGTGATATTTAAAGAATTAATTGCATGAAACTCATTTATGGGGTTAGAATCCATCTTGGTTCAGGAAGACCTAGCTAAACTTGGGCTAACCCCTAATTGCTCCCTTCCTCTTCTTGTGCCCTTTGCCTTTCTGTTCCCAGGCTGGGGTGTGCAGTCAAGATTCCGCATTCTGTCCCCCAGTATCTCATAACCTAGATGTAAAGATGTAAGCTGCTTCTTCTCTGGTTTCCATCAAAAGAAAATCCGTTTGCCCTCAGATAGTTCCTACGTCTAGAACCTCATTAAAGATCTGAGCATCTCATGGAAGACAGAAGATGTCTAATGGCTCCCTGGTGCCACCCTATCATCTCTCTTCCTCCATTCCTGCCACTCGAGTTTACAGTTAATGTCTTCCCTTTTGTGGGGGCAGACGAGATGGCAAATGGTCCTGCCAACATTCAGGTTCATTTAGTTTATACAATATACCTCTGGCAGGCAGGCATGCTATTAACTTCCTCTTGAAAAAACACAGCACTGTCTCTAAAGGGTTTGTGATATGCAATCATCTCCACCTATTTCATGGTTAGCTAATGCCTGTCTCCCCCACTTGCAGGTAAGCTCCCGGAGAGTAGGCAGTGTGACAGTCTTGTTTACCACTAAACCTCTAGTTCTTGTCAGACATAAAGCATGAGCACTCATTAAAATATTTGTTGAATGAGTGAATGGATGAAATTGTAATCCCTAAGGGTGAAAAACACGTAACATGAAAGACCATGCAACCAGCTGTTATGTTAGATGCTTTACACCTAGCACTTTATTTCTTAATGGCTTGGACAAATAACTCTATTGTTATCTCCATTTTACAGAAGAGAAAATTGAGGCCTAGTGATTTTTTTCTATAAATATTACATTATTTGTCTGTGCTAGAGCCAGCATTCAAACCCATGACTGTTTGACCTCATAGCTTGAGCCTCAACCACTTTGCTCTTTTGCTTCACTGTATTCTGGCATAGAAAACAACAACAACAGTAGTAATAATAATGACTATTCTTACTGAATACTATGCTCTTATTGCTGTGCTAACCACCTATAAAAATTGTCTTGTTTATTTCTACCGAAAACCTGTGAAACAAGTACTACTGTCGTCTCTATCTTACATATGGGGAAACTGTAGCTTAGAGGGAATCAACTAACCACTCATGAGCTGTTTGGATAATGTTGAATATAAACCAAAAGGTGGTCACACAAAATCCATATAACTTAATTTTCGTTTGCCATATTTAAATTATAATGAACACAAATCTTTCTAATAATATTAAGGGAAGCAATTTCACACCAGAAATTCCCTCAGAGGCTGGTGTCTCACAAATGAGAGCCCTTCTGTTTCTGGAGGCTTTCATGTTATTTCCAACAATTATTTTTCATTTCCCTCTGCTGAGCAAGCCAATAATTGGTGACTTCTCATCTGGTCACTTCCCTGGATGACAAATCACATTACTCTGAATTCCCCCATTGCTTTCTAACTCTCTCCAAGGCTGGTGGTCGAAAGCAACAAATGAAACTTTGGTCACCTGTGTTCACAACATGGAAACTGGGCTTCCAAAGGCCCCTGGTTGCCTGGTGACAAGGCCCCATGGCCTCTGAAGTCCTGCGCTGCCTGGAGCTGCTGCAGTGACTCAGATCAGGCAGGGACCGACCTTGAAGGTTTGGGGCTGTATTAGTTTTCTGTGGTGCTCAAAACAAATTGCCACAGACTTAGTAGCTTAAAGCAATAGAAGTTTGTTCTTTATACCTGGTGCATGGTCATTCATGTTGTGTGTTATTCACCTTTGGAGATTAAATTTCATTCATTCATTCAACAAATATTTGAATGAATGCTTATGTTTTATGTCAGTTCTGGAGGATAGAAGTCCAAAATCAAGGTGTTAGGAGGACTGTGCTCCCTCCGGAGGCTCTAGGGGAGAACCTGCCTTGCCTCTTTTGACTTTTGGCAGCTCCATGTCTTCCTTGGTTTGTGACTGCATAACTCCAATCTCTGCCACTGTCTTCACGTGGCCTTCTCTTCCACCTTTTACAAGGACATTGGTTATTGGATTTAGAGCCCACCCGGTTAGTCCGGGATGATCTCATCTTGATATTCTTAATTATATTTACAAAGACTCTTTTTCTTTTCTTTTTTGGTGTTTTTTGTTTGTTTGTTTGTTTTTTGTTGTTGTTGATGGAGTCTCACTTTGTCGCCCAGTCTGAGTGCAGTGGCACTATCTCGGCTCACTGCAACCTCCGCCTCCCGGGTTCAAGCAATTCCTTGCCTCAGCCTCCCAAGTAGCTGGGATTACAGGTGCCTGACACTACACCCAGCTAATTTTTGTAATTTTAGTAGACATGGGGTTTCACCATCTTGGCCAGGCTTGTCTTGAACCTCGTGATCCACCTGCCTCGGCCTTCCAAAGTGCTGGGATTACAGACGTGAGCCACCGCGCCCGGCCTTCTTTTTTTTCTTTCTTTCTCTTTCTTTCTTTCTTTCTTTCTTTCTTTCTTTCTTTCTTTCTTTCTTTCTTTCTTTCTTTCTTTCTTTCTTCTTTCTTCTTTCCTTCTCTCTCTCTTTCTTTCTTTCTTTCTTTTTTTTTTTTTTTTGACAGAGTCTCGCTCTTGTGGCCCAGGGTGGATACAGTGCAATGGTGCAATCTTGGCTCACTACAACCTCTGCCCTCCCAGGTTCAAGCGATTCTGCTGCCTCAGCCTCCCAAGTAGCTGGGATTATAAGTGCCTGCCACCATGCCTGGCTAATTTTTTGTATTTTTAGTGGAGACGGGGTTTCACCATTTTGGGCAGGCTGGTCTCGAACTCCTGACCTCAGGTGATCTGCCTGCCTTGGCCTCCCAAAATGGTGGGATTACAGGCATGAGCCACCATGTCCAGCCAAAGACTCCTTTTCTCTTTTTTTTTTTTTTTTTTTTTTGAGACAGAGTCTCGCTCTGTCACCCAGCTGGAGTGCAGTGGTGCCATCTTGGCTCACTGCAAGCTCCGCCTCCTGGGTTCACGCCATTCTCCTGCCTCAGCCTCCCGAGTAGCTGGGACTACAGGTGCCCGCCACCACGCCTGGCTAATTTTTTTGTATTTTTAGTAGAGACGGGGTTTCACCGTGTTAGCCAGGATGGTCTCGATCTCCTGACTTCATGGTCCACCCGCCTCGGCCTCCCAAAGTGCTGGGATTACAGGTGTGAGCCACCACGCCTGGCCCAAAGACTGTTTTTTTGAATAAGAATACATTCACAGGTACTGGAGTCAGGACTTGGACATATCTTTTTGGGGACCACCATTTGGCCCACCACAGTGTGCACTCAAAGTTCTCTCTGCTAACTCCAGCTTTTAGCATAGGGATGGCAGGAGGCTAAGGGATATTATTAAAGGTGCACAGATGCTGCTACAGTCTAAATGCTTGTGTTCTCCCAGAATCTATATGTTAAAACCTCATGCTGAAGGTGATGGTATTTGGAGGTGGGGAGTTTGGGAGGTGATTAGGCATGAGGGCAGGACATTCATGATTGGGATTAGAGCCTTTATAAAAAGAGATTCCAGGAAGTTATTATAGCTCTCCCTTTCCACCATGTGAAGACACAGTAAGAAGGTGCCCTCTATGAAACAGGAAATGGGGCCTCACCAGACACTGAATCTGCAGGTGCCTTGATCTTGGACTTCCCAGTCTCCAGAACTGAGAAAAATAAATTTCTGTCACTTATCAGTTGCCTAGTTTATGGCATTTTGGTATAGCAGTTAAATGGACTAAGACAGATACCCAGCTTTTGAATAACTTGACTGATACCCTGGCTCTTACTTTATAAACAATTACTGAGCATATACTGTGCTAGGCACTGGGATTTCAGAGCTAACCAAAGCTCCAACCCTAATCTCCACATTCTCAGAATCTAATCAGACAGACTGACAAGGGCACAAATACTAATGATCCGGTGTGGCATGTTCTCTAAGAGAAGTATGTACAAAGAGATTGTGTAATGGGTACAGTGAACACGTGAAGACAGCAGGGCAGGCAGTCCATATTCTCTTTCACTAGCAAGGAATCAGAAGCCTAGTGGGGCTGAATGGTCTAAGACCTCACAGCTTGAACTTTACAGAACTAAGACTTACACTCAGAGCTTCTGACAATCATTTAGATGCCATATGCTTCTGTCAGCTGAAAACAAAGAAAACAAAGAGTTTGTCCTCTCAGAGGGCAGATCCTCATGCTCTTGGTGACTTTCCTTTGAATTCTGGACACTTTTATTATACCTGTAGGGCAACTGGTAGGTAAAATTTACAGACTGGGAGTAATCTACATTTTTGCTTTGTGTATCATTGATCTTTTCTTCTTTTTTTCTTTACCTCTTCCTTTTCTGTTTTTGAGTTAGGAAATGCTAGAGATGAAACCCCAAACTATCTCTTGACAAGAAGTTTTCAAACAGCAATGCAATAGGAGAGCAAGATTCTAGGCCAAGAAACATGATAAAATTTAAATTCACTATAAGCGTGCTGCAAACTGACTTCCTTCTCAGCCCTTCTCACTTAGAAAACCTCCATGAAGCCTTTGAGGTGAGCCTTGCTTCAGGCTGCCCCTGTTCCCACCCTCACCTGTTTAAGTCCCTCTATCTGATGCTGAGGCCCATCTAAGTCTACTATTAGTATATCATCGTCCTTCTCTTGCTTCATGGCTGGGGATTTACGTCTCACATTTTCCTTCAATGTTGTGTTTTTAATGCTCGCTTTTTTGCTGGGTTTGACTCTGACACCTCTGTGAAAATCTCTGATGGGTGTCCTCTGATCTGGAAATCAGTTTTGTCGCAAAACTGGGGAATCTTCTCAGTTTGGTTTAGGAAAGTAGTAGGGGTCCTTTTCCATTTGCATGAATTTTATCAAGGCTTTCCCAGTCGTAAAGTATTGGTAAAGTTTTTATTCATTCATATATTTATTCATCTGTTTCTGCTTTAATTCACTACACAAAAATGTTGAATGTCCCAAGCACAGTGCTAGGTACTGAAACTGCTCACGTGAATCGTATATAGACATGGACCTCATGGAGAATTTGGTCTAGAACACTGTTTCTTCAAATGTGTTCCTCACAACCTAATCTTATAGGGGTTTCTTTAAAAAAATGCATCGGAAAGTGAAGTACTATGTATTAATTATCCCTTTTAAAGATTCTCATTGTACATTAGTTGTAAAGGTTTCAAAAAGTCTGATAGAAATATCTCTTTGTTTAACCCAGTCTTTGCCAAATGTATTTAGCCAAGAGAGACCCCGTCCCACCCCCTTTTTTAGTAGTTCATATTAAAATCCTTCAGACTCAAGTTCTGGGGAAAAATTAAGAACGCAGATACAGTGAATGATTTTCCTTTGAGACCCTTCCTGGGAGAGGGCCCCCAGGGATTCTGCATCTCTGGGCACTTTCTCCCTGTTCAATTGTGGATCCCAGCACTGGCCAGATGGAGCTTCATTTACTATCCCTATTCAAATAATATAACTGAATCATTAAAAAAATGATGTGGTGACCACAGGATTAGGCTTTTTCATGTAGTGGGCAGTGTGGCAACTGCCTTACATACATCATCTCCTTTGACCCTTCAACCAGTCTTCTGAGATAGATTTTAGGATTTCCATTTTACAGATGAGAAACCTAGAGATTACAGTGGTTAAGTAAATTTTCAAGGACACTCAACTAATAAATTGTGGAGACAAATACTGAACTCAGTCCTGTCTCATTCCAAAGCCCAAGCCCATTGTCATTAAGCCACGGTTTCCCAAAGTGAGCTACTTAAGCTGACTTTAATAGAATAATGAACATTTTAAACATATGTTCATTATAGTGAATATTAGAAACAAGTACACTTAACTTGTAATAAGACGTTTTCTTTTGAAATAAAATTTGTTTCAGTAATAAAAATCAGTAGATTTAAATAATAATAATAATAAAGGTCTGTTGATACATGTATTAGTCCATTCTCATGATGCTAATAAGACATCCCCAAGACTGGGTAATTTATAAAAGAAAGAGGTTTAATTGACTCACAGTTCAGCATGGCTGGGGAGGCCTCAGGAAACTTATGATCACGGCAGAAGGGGAAGCAAACAAGTCCTTCTTCACATGGCAGCAGGAGAGGGAAGCATGAGAGCCAGGCAGAGGGAGAAATCCCTTATAAAACCATCAGATCTTGGGAGAACTTACTCACTGTAATAGTCTGTTCTCACGCTGTTAATAAGACATCCCCAAGACTGAGTAATTTATAAAGGAAAGAGGTTTGATCAACTCACAGTTCCACATGGCCGGGGAGGCCTCACAATCATGGCAGAAGGTGAAGGAAAACCAAAGGCACATCTTACATGGCAGCAGGCAAGAAGAATGATAGCCAAATGAAAGGGGAAACCCCTTATAAAAACATCAGCTCTCATGAGACTTATTCACTACTATGAGAACCGTATGGGGGAACTGCCCCCGTGATTCAGTTATCTTCCACTGGGTCCTTCCCACAATAGGGGGAATTATGGGAGCTACAATTCAAGATGAAATTTGGGTGGGGACAGAGCCAAACCATATCAATACAACAAAGACTGTGAAGGTGATGCTACAAAATAAAGGGGAGAAAGAGGTGTTACTTGACTGAATGCATTTGGAAAAGGCTGCGTTAAACAAAGATAAATATTTTTATAGGCCAGACTTTTAAGTTGTGAACACATTTGAAGGAACAGTGTTCTATACCAAATTCTCCATGAGGCCAAAGTCTATGATATATATGATTCACTTCAGCAGTTTCAGAACCTAACACAGCACTTGGCAGAAGTTTGGGAAGCACTAACCTAAGTCTAATTTCTTCCTAATAGTCTTGTTCTTGCTATTCCTGATATAACCTTAAGAGTCTACAGACCCAGGTCCTCTGCTGACTTCACTTCCGGGTAGTTTTCCTGGAGCTGGGGATGAAGGACTCTAAAGTCCATATTCATGGTTCCTCTCACATTGGGTTAAGGGCCCTTGGGAGTCCACAGATGAGGTCCCTCAGGGCCAGACAGTTCTCCTCACACTGTGGGGTAAGGGCCCCCAGGAGTCATAAAGACAAGCCCAGGGATTCCATAACATTTTCTTAATTTTGTATATTCATTTTCAATACAATACTTAAAAGTATTTTTGTGTATTATAAATTATTTCATTTATATTACAAATAAAAATCTGTCTTTTGCATTGGTAATTATCATTCAAAAGATTTTTTAATTGTTTTCATTTCTTTAGTTTCTCTTTAATTGATATTTCCCTTTATTAAACTTTAAAAGTGGAGACAATGTATAATGTACTATGTAGATATATTATTGTGAGTCATTATTCATTAAAATACAAAGATGGTAAGATATTTTTTTCTCCAAGGATGAAGATAAAGGAAAGAATAACTATAATATAAGTTCCCTTTAGGGGAGAACTTGAAGAGGTACAAAATGGTAAGAAAGTATAGGAGAGAGAGAAAACTCAAATAAGAGTCATTTGAAAAGCTCTGTTGAGTAGACACATTCCAACTTCTCTGTGATCTCTAAAGTGCAGGGTGAGGGAATTCCCTAGTGTAACCAATTTCAGTAGCGAGTAAAGAAGAACCTTGAGATTGGAGTCAGCTGAGGTTCCCAAGAGGAAAATTAGTTTACTTGAACCATGGGGAGCTCATTGAGATGGTCCAATCTGAGACATCCTGTGTTGTAGAGAGTCAGAACCCACAGGGGTTAAGATCGTGGTGGAGGTTTTGAGAGGATACACACCCAGGAATGAGGGGATAACTCGACATTGAGTTTCAGACTTAAGTATCTAACTGTCAAATTGACTCCTCTGTTGCGTATTAATAGGCATCCTTGTAGGAATGACAGCAGAAGGGCAGAAACCACCCACGTGAGGAAGCACGGTAAGTGTATTGGTCTAATTCTAGCCACAATAAAGGGGAAAGCAGTTGATCATTTGTGTGACAAACTGCAGTGGAAGCCAGAAACAGATCTGGATGAAATGAGAGCCAGAGCCTAAATTAAAATGCTTACTGCTGAACTCCATAGCAGGAGGGAAACTCAAAGTCCAGGGTAGGCAGGAAAGCAGTTATTTGTGTATTCAAATATCATAGCCTCTTTTTCATTAGTGCTTTGATTGTTCTAGCCTTTTCGTCTCTGGTCAAGGGGCTGTGACACACTTAGTGCCTGTTGAAGAACAACAGAAACAGATGCACAGCTGAAATATGGGCCAGCCCCTCTTTTTACATCACTTAGTAGCTACAGAGCAAAACTATAATTTAATAAAAGGACACTGGACTCCAGCTTGAGCTCTGACATAGTTTCATATGGGGATTCAGGTAGAGGTGTATTTGTGAGCTTCTGACACCTTCCAGAAGGTCAAATCACACAATTAAAATATTCTATTGCAAATGATGCATGGGTTTCAAAACTATTAATATATTTGCAAGACAAAACAAGGCTGCAAGTAATTACTTGTGTACTCTTTAATTTGTTGCATCCTACCTCCTCCTAAAAGCATTTACAGAAGCTTCCTTCTCTGAAGCTTGGCCCTCAGTCCTCTTCTCCATCTTCTCCACTTTTCTCCATAGGTGCTGCATTTACTTATTGCTCTAACTATCACCTATATGCCAATGACATCCACATTTGTATTTCTAGCCCAGACATTTCTACTATGCTCTAGACTTGTATGTTCAACAGCCTAGCTGATTTCTCCACTTGGATAGCCGGCAAACATTTCAACCTTTAAAATATGGTCGAATAGAATTCTTAACTTTCCCTCCCAAGCCTGGTTTGTTGTTCTGCCTTGAATCTTCTCATTTCCATGAATGGCACTACCATACACTCACCTCCTCAAGTTGAATACCTAAATTCACCTTTTTCCTTTACTTATACATTGAATTTATCAGCAAATTCTGTCCAACTACAAATATATCTCAAGTCTGTCCAATTTCTTTATTTTCACTGCCACTACACTTGTCCTAGACTGCACCATCTTGCATCTCTGGGTAACTACAGTGGCCTTCAACAATGACCTGCTTCTCGCTTTTGCTCCCCTTTAGTGCTTTCTCCATACAGCAGCCAGAGGGATCTTTTAAAACTGTAAGTCCATGTCACATTTAAAATCTTCCAGTGCCTCCCCATCTCATATGAGCCAGTAAGAAAAGGCTACATTCTACACGATCCCATATGATTCCAACTCTATGACAGGGGTCCTCAAGCCCTGAGCCAGGGACCGGTACCAGTCTGTGGCCTGTTAGGAACTGGGCCACACAGCAGAAGGTGAGTGGTGGGTGAGCCAGCATTACCGCCTGAGCTCCACCTCCTGTCAGATCAGTGGCAGCATTAGATTCTCTTGGAGCATGAACCCTATTGTGAACTGTGCATTTGAGGGATCTGGGTTGCATGTTCCTTATGAGAATCTAATGCTTGATGGTCTGAGGTGGAACAGTTTCATCCCCCCACACCCCCATTCATGGAAAAATTGTTTTCCACAAAACTGGCCCCTGGTGCCAAAAAGGTAGGCAAACCTGTGGAGACAGTAAAAAGATAAGTGGTTTCCAGGCATTAGGGAGAAGGGAAGGAGGGATGAATAGGCGGGACACAGAGGACTTTTTGGGCAGTGACTCTGTGTGATACCATAATTGTAGATATGTGTCATCATACCGCTGTCAACATCCACAGAATGTGCAACACACAGAGTGAACCCTCATGTAAACAAACAACTTTCGTTTAATCGTAATGTATGTATATTGGTTCATCAGTTGCAATGAATGCATGACATTAATGCAAGATGTTCATCACGGGGAGACTGTGTGTGGGGAGAGAGGGGGTATATGAGAGCTCTGTACTTTCTGTTCAATTTTTCTGTAAACTTAAAACTGCTCTAAAAATAAAGTGTGTTAAATAGAAATCTGCCTTCCTAACCATGTCCTGAGAAACTCGAAGTGCTCTGACCTCTGGCTTCTTCTTTGACTTCCGCTGTCACCTGCTCTTGCTTGCTCATACTGACTGTTGGTATCTCACAGGCTCCATGCTCTTTTCCAGCTCAGGGCCTCGGCACTTACTGTGCCCTCTGCCTGGAACGTTCTGCCCCCAGATGCTTACCGAGCACCTCTCTCTTCCTGTTGCTCAGGTCTCTGTTTTGTGTCACCTCCACTCCGATGACCATTCACACCAGTGTCCCTTGCTGCCTGCCCTGCCACTGCCATTGCTTCATCCTGTCTTGCTACCTTCTCAGCATGCATTATTGTTCAAAAGTATCTTGTTTATTTATCTTTGCTTCATCTCTGGCACAGATTCTGGCATATCATAGCTTCTTCATATGAGGTGTTGAACTCGGGGCATTGGAAATAAAATAAAATTTTAGATATGATTTCTTGTAGGTAATCATGAAAATGGCACAGGTACATGTACTATTTATGTCTGTATTTCTGTCACATCAAATGACTCTGATCCACGTCACTGTGAGGGTAGAGACCAAACTAGTATCATCCACTCAGAATAAATCCCTGGTGTCCAACATTACGCTTGGTGCATTATAGGTGTTCAGTAATTATCTGATGAAAGAATAAATGAAAAATAAATGAATGAAAGGCATACAAAACAATATTATCTCTTCTCACCCATGATTTCACTAAAGTCAGTTTTTAAATGTCAAATTTCAGAAAAGGTGAAGGCAACTTAGTTGTATTTTTAAACACTTATTTGATTCAATAGAAGCACACTCAAGACATTTTATAATTAATAGTATAGACACGTTTCTCTCCATTGTACCTCCACCCAGTCAGTCACCCAGTCTGGTAGATCTTGCCCCCTTAATGTATCTGTGCACAACCCTCTACTTAAATCTCTGCCTTAGCTCAAATACTTAGGACTTCTATCAGGGGGATTGGTAGACACAAAAGTGCACTGGCGTGAAAACAGTAGCCTGCTTCCTTGTATAACTATGATACACATACACATGTTTCCTTATATAGAGACGTTCATTTCCAATATCTAGGACTAAGTGTGAGTGGCCTGGCACATATCCAAATGCCTCCTCATCCTTAGTAGTCTGACAGCATTCTGGGGATGGCAGCTATAGTGTATCCTATCTGTTTTGACTTATGTAGTTCAATACCTATCTCTGTCCCTACCAGGTGCTTCTGCGGTAGGGCAAAGCTTGGACCTGGGCATTTAGCAAAATTTCTTCCACTAACTTGGATTGATATGCTTCATTGATGTGCTTCATTGCTGTAAGAGAGTGAAAGACCATTCTCTCTCTTGACTACCATGCCACCAAAAGAGTGTGAAAATGCCCATGAATTTAACTAATTTAGCCCTAGTTAGCCAATCAATGAATGCTTTTGAGTGTGTATTCACTCTCTTACTTGAATCTCTGTGCTTCAGCCTCTTGTTGTGGCCATAATCCCTCTAGGCCAGTTGCTGATTCAAAGGGCCAATCATCTTAGACGGTTCCACAGTAAAGACTTTAAGTTTTTCTACAAGACCAGACTGAAAGAGCTCTTTTCCAGCTGACTTGGTTTTATTAGCCACAATAACAGCCAGTCAATGAGCTATCTATGAACACGCATGCATGGTTGATCCAATTCAGTTGTTAAGGTGCCTGCAATAACATCAATCCCATTGATTGCTTTGCCATTAATGGCAATCAGCCCTTATGATGACTGGCCAAAAAAACCTATTTGATTAGGAAATTATCAATAGAATCATAATCATGCCTTATAGATATGTCCTAGTGGGTATTAGGGGACCTTTCCTTTCCTTAACTCCAAAAAGTGAGTCTTCTTGATCGAATTATAATCAGAATTCGAATCTTGATTCGAATTATAATCAGAAAATGGCACGTGTGATTTTCTGAAGGGGGAAGAGGGTGTTGTGACTTTAGTACCAACAATTCTTTTCTTAGTGAGCATATGTGATGCTCCTTCTTTGATCATAGCCAAAAGGGCTCTCCCTAGTTTTAATCCTTATAATTGCTGTGAACTCACTATAGTCACTTCATTCTTCACAGAGACCTGTTCTCCCAAATTCAGAGATGGTGGCAATGGCACTTGGGCTATTCCATAGTTTTAACAACTACACTAAATTGGACACACATAAGCTGATTAATGCAAGCTAATTGTCCACAATTTGTTTTTTCTTTATTTTGCTTCGAGTAGCAATTTTGTAGTTATCTGTCTGTTTAACCATCCATCCATCCATCTATTCATCCATCCATAAACACACACACACACAGACACACACACATATATACACATATGTATTCAAAATATCTGTGTGTGTGTTTTGTATTCTTTGTATTTATCTGGTTGCATTAATTAATTTCTTGTTTGAGTAGAAATGAGCAAATATGGTCCACTACCCAATCAGAGAGGGGGAAAGTATTTTATACCAGAAGTTCCAAAATATACTTCATATTATTTTTGGAAATAGGTGGGAACTAAATTATACATTTTTTAAGAACAAAAGGGTTTCAAAATCTGAAATTACATTGCAACATCAAATTCACAGAAAAATATAGGAGAAAGCCATACAAAAAGCAATTTGTATGAAAAAGAAAATTTTTATATAATGAGAGTTGCAGACTAAGTACAGAAAGCATGAAAATGAAAACATGTGAAGTAAAAACATTTAAAAGCATTGAAGTACAAATACATAAATGATTTCCTTACTTGCAAAACAAAAACTAATGTATTACATCAGTAATATACATATTTTCAGATAATATATTTTTCCAATTTGGGTTTTGCGGTTATAGAGAATTTTAATCAGATTGTGTAGAGTGAAGAAAGCAGAGGAGCCCATGTAAATTGTACTTAGTCTTTTTCATTAGAGGATGTGTCATTGACAAATCCAGGTTCAGAGCACAGCTATTCCCAACCCTGGTGGTCTCCGTGCATTTCTCTTGATCCTCTGCAAGGAAGATTATTTCTATATGAGGGTTTTGATTTCTGCTTAACTAGCAGAGGTGCAGGACTTCATTTCATTGACAGCTGTTCAAGTGTGCTTCATCTTTTGGCCAGGACTGAGAAACTTTTTAAAAAAGTTCTTCCCTGTTGTATTTTCTAAGACTAGATTATATAGTATCAAGTAAACTCAACAAAACTAAAGAGCAACTGTGATGCCATGAACATGATCTGATCAAACTTAATGACTAAAATTACATGACAACTTCTTAATGAACCAACTGAGTTAAAGTTGGCCACAGAGATGCAATTCAGATGCTTGATGAAATGCTAAACATCTTATGTCATTGAGGGGGTGACAAACGCTGGTGCTGTCATCAGGTAACATTTATATGGGGAAAAAATAACTCGTTTGACTAGACCCCTTTTTCTTTTGAAAAGTCAAATAACATTTAAGTGGCAACTGATATTTATAGTCTTCAGAATATAGAATGTTGGTTAAGTAAAAGAAGGGCTCCATTGTGCTCTGTAATTGTGAATAGCAACAGGCTCTGGAACACTTAGGCAAAAATTAAGATGGCCATGCCATTGTAGCAATAGCTTTGCTTTTGCTCCAGCTAAAACCAACATCCGAACTCCTCTATCCTTTTATCTTCTTTCCATTTGGTCTTAAATTTTTACTTACTGACTCCATGATCCTGGGCTTAACAATTTACTTCCTCTGGAACTCAGTTTTCTCATCTGGATAACAAAAATTTGAGGCTTGCTCAGTGAATGCTCTCTAATTTAAATAAATTTTTAAAGTAAACGTTACCCAACTTTGGTATCATATTTTAATTAACAACTTGCTTCATACATTCCTTATGCCTGTTTAGAAGACACCAGTATTTTGTGTCTATAATAAGAAAATGCAGTGTCCCAGCAATGAAAATTAATAAATTGCTGTTACAAGTAATGGATCTCACATAGTACTGCAAAAGAAACAGATCCAAAAGAATAAATATGGCATGATTCCATTCATATAAAATTGAAAAACAGGCAAAATTGATATACCATGGAAGAAATTTGATTAGTAGCTCCATTTGTTGGGGGAATTATGACTGGGAGGGATGTAAGAAGGGTTTCTGGGGTTCTGGTACAGTTCTGTTTCTTTATCTGGGTGGAGACTTTCGTGCGCGTCCATGTGAAAAGACCACCAAACAGGCTTTGTGTGAGCAACATGGCTGTTTATTTCACCTGGATGCAGGCAGGCTGAGTGCAAAAAGAGAGTCAGCGAAGGGAGATAGGGGTGGGGCCATTTTATAGGATTTGGGAAGGTAATGGAAAATTACAGTCAAAGGGGGTTGTTCTCTGGTGGGCAGGGGTGGGGGACACAAAGGTGCTCAGTGGGGGAGCTTCTGAGCCAGGAGAAGGAAATTCACAGGGTTAATCCCTCAGTTAAGGTGGGGCAGGAACAAATCACAATGGTGCAATGTCATCAGTTAAGGCGGGGCAGGGCTTTTTCACTTCTTTTGTGGATCTTCAGTTACTTCAGGCCATCTGGATGTATACATGCAAGTCACAGGGGATGCGATGGCTTGGCTTGGGCTCAGAGGCCTGACATTCCTGCCTTCTTATATTAATAAGAAAAATAAAACAAAATAGTGTTGAAGTCTTGAGGCGGCGAAAATTTTTGGGGGTGGTATGGAGAGAGAATGGGCGATGTTTCTCAGGGCTGCTTCGAGCGGGATTAGGGGCGGCGTGGGAACCTAGAGTGGGAGAGATTAAGCTGAAGAAAGATCTTGTGGTAAGGGGTGATATTGTGGGGTTGTTAGAAGAAACATTTGTCATATAGAATGATTGCTGATGGCCTGGATACGGTTTTGTTTGAATTGAAAAACTAAATGGAATAAGAGAAGGAGAAAAACAGGTATAAAAGGTCTTAAGAATTGGGAGGACCTAGGACATCTGATTAGAGGTGCCTAAGGAAATTCAGCATAGTCCTGCCAGCAAAGATTATTTATTTACTTCAAGAGTTTAGAGTGGCAGTTTGGGGATAGCACCAGAAGATATCAGCTGTGATGGCTTGGAGAAACAGTGTAAACCAGCAGGGTAAACAAGAGCAGGGCATGTATGAGTAGTTGAGAATGGTGAATAGGAGTATGACTAGACAAAAGATAGTAGGGATGACAAGTTTTTTTGGGGCACAGTCTAAGTTGGTCTGGTGTTGAATGAGACTGGGGCCTAATAAAAAGGAGCGTCTATACAGGAGCTTAAATGGGCTGTACCTTGTAGCATTCTGAGGACAGGCCTGAATTCTGAGAAGCGAAAGTGGTAAAAGTATTGTCCAGTCCTTTTTAAGTTGGTGGCTGAGCTTGGTGAGGTGTGTTTTTAAAAGACCTTTAGTCCGTTCTACTTTTCTTGAAGATGGAGGACCATAAAGGATATAAAGGTTTCACTGAATACTAAGAGCCTGAAAAACTGCTTGGCTGATTTGACTAATAAAGGCTGGTCTGTTATCAGACTGTATAGAGGTGGGAAGGCTAAACTGAGGAATTATGTCTGACAGAATGGAAGAAATGACTGTGGTGGCCTTCTCAGACCCTATAGGAAAGGCCTCTACCTATCCAGTGAAAGAGTCTACCTAGACTAAGAAGTATTTTAGTTATCTGACTCAGGACATGTTGAGTAAAGCTAATTTGGCAGTCCTGGGTGGGGGCAAATCCTCGAGCTTGATGTGTAGGGAAGGGAGGGGGCCTGAATAATCCCTGAGGAGTAGTAGAATAGCAGATGGAACACAGAGAAGTTATTTCCTTGAGGATAGATTTCCACGATGGAAAGGAAATGAGAGTTTCTGAGAGGCAGGCTAGTGGCTTGTACTATAGCATAGCCTGCCTTTGCTGGTGTGTGGCGATTAGGCCTGGTGGAACTGCCATCAATAAATCAAGCGTGATCAGGGTGAGGAACAGGAAAGAAGGAAATATGGGGAAATGGGGTGAATATCAGATGGATCAGAGAGATAAAGTCATGGGGGTCAGGTGTGGTATCAGGAATAATGTGGGAGGCCAGATTGAAGTCTGGGCCAGGAACAATGGTAATTGTGGGACTTAAAGAGTGAGTACAGCTGAAGGAGCCGGGGAGCTGAAAGTATATGCATCAGGTATGAGGAAGAAAATAGATTTTGGAAGTTATGAGAAATGTAGAGAGTGAGTTGAGCATAGTTTGTGATTTTTAGGGCCCCTAACAGTATTAAAGCAGCAGCAGCCGCTGCACGCAGACATGAGGGCTTGGCTAAAACAGTAAGGTCAAGTTGTTTGGACAGAAAGGCTACACAGTGTGCTCCTGGCTCTTGTGTAAGAATTCTGACCACACTAACCATGCCTAGGAAGGAAAGGAGTTGTTCTTTTGTAAGGGATTGAGGTTTGGGAGATTAATCGGACACGATCAGCAGGGAGAGCACGTGTGTTTTTATGAGAATTATGCCGAGATAGGTAACAGATGAGGATGAAACTTGGGCTCGACTGAAGTAATGGGGGCTGTCTGTGAAGCCTTGCGGCAGTACAGCCCAGGTAATTTGCTGAGCCTAATGGGTGTCAGGGTCAGTCTAAGTGAAGACAAAGAGAGGCTGGGATGAAGGGTGCAAAGGAATAGTAAAGAAAGCATGTTTGAGATCCAGAACAGAATAATGGGTAGTAGAGGGAGTTATTGAGGATAGGAGAGTATATGGGTTTGGCACCATGGGGTGGATAGGCAAAACAATTTGGTTGATAAGACGCAGATCCTGAACTAACTTGTAAGCCTTGTCTGGTTTTAGGACAGGTAAAATGGGGGAATGGTAAGGAGAGTTTATAGGTTTTAGAAGCCCATGCTGTAGCAGGTGAGTGATAACAGGTTTTAATCCTTTTAAAGCTTGC
This sequence comes from Homo sapiens, assembly GCF_000001405.40. NCBI lineage: Eukaryota > Metazoa > Chordata > Mammalia > Primates > Hominidae > Homo > Homo sapiens. The sequence goes on from NC_000015.10 coordinate 53,429,570, forward strand.
TGTTGGATGGGATATTGGCGTTGAGCCAGGTAAGGGTGATTAGGTTTTAATGAGATGGTAAGTGGTGCGTGATTGGTCGCCAAGGAGGGAGTAGAGGTATCTTATACTTGTGGGTTAAGGTGGGGGAATACAGGAGGAGGAAGCAAAGGAGGCTTTTGGATTGGGAAGAAGGGCAGCAATGAGATGCGGCTATAGTCCAGGAATAGTCAGGGAAGCAGATAATTTGGTTAAAATATCTCAGCCTAATAAGGGAACTGGGCAGGTGGGGATAACTAAAAAAGAGTGTATAAAAGAGTATTGTCTAAGTTGGCACCAGAGTTGGGGAGTTTTAAGAGGTTTAGAAGCCTGGCTGTCAATACCCACAACAGTTATGGAGGCAAGGGAAACAGGCCTTTGAAAAGAAGGTAATGTGGAGTGGGTAGCCTCCGTATTGATTAAGAAGGGGACGGACTTACCCACCACTGTGAGAATTACCTAAAGCTCGGCGTCCGTGATGGTCTACAGGGCTTCCGAGGCGATCAGGCAGCATCAGTCTTCAGCCGCAAAGCGAAGAAGGAATCAGTCAGAGAGCCTTGGGCCAGAGTTCCAGGGGCTCTGGGAGTGGCTGCCAGGTGAGTTGAACAGTCCGATTTCCAGTGTGGTCCCGCACAGATGGGACATGGCTTAGGAGGAATCCTGGGCTGCAGGCATTCCTTGGCCTGGTGGTCAGATTTCTGGCACTTGTAGGAAGCTCCTGGGGGAGGAGGTTCTGGAGGAATGCCTGGCTGCTGCAGTTCAGGCGTTTGGAAGTTCTTGTGTGCTGGAGATGTGGCTGGGGTTTGTCTTACAGTGGAGGCAAGGAATTGCAACTTTTTTTTTATTATTGTACACCTTGAAGGTGAGGTTAATTAAGTCCTGTTGCGGGGTTTGAGGGCCAGATTCTAATTTTTGGAGTTTTATTTAATGTCGGGAGCAGATTGGGTAATAAAATGTATATTGAGAATAAGACGGCCTTTTGACCTTTTAGGGTCTAGGGCTGTAAAGCGTCTCAGGGTTGCTGCCGAATAAGCCATGAACTGGGCTGGGTTTTTATATTTGATAAAAAAAAGAGCCTAAAAGCTTCTGATTTGGGATAAAGAAAAAGGAGCCTTAACCTTGACTATGCCTTTGGCTCCAGCCACCTTTTTAAGAGTAAATTGCTGGGCAAGTGAGGGAGGGCTAGTCACAGAACGAAACTGTAAGCCAGACCAGGTGTGAGGAGGGGAGGCGATAAAAAGATTACAGGGTGGAGGAGCGGAGGCTGAGGAAGAATTGGGACCTAGCTTGGCCTGGCGAGGAAGGGAGAGGTCAGATGGGTCTGTAGAAAAGGAAGATTAAAAAGACTCAGCGACGCTTGGGGTTGGGACTGAGGGGACAGACGGGAGGGAAAGAAGGAAGATTTGGGACGAGTTGCACTGGGCACAGAGACTAGGAAGGGACTGATGTGTAAAAGAAAGCCTGAACGTCAGGCACCTCAGACCATTTGCCCATTTTATGACAAGAATTATTTAGATCTTGTAGGATGGAAAAATTGAAAGTGCCATTTTCCGGCTATTTGGAACTACTGTTGAGTTTGTATTGGGGTCGAGCGGCATTGCAGAAGAAAATAAGACGCTTAGATTTTAGGTCAGGTGAGAATTGAAGAGGTTTTAAGTTTTTGAGAACACAGGCTATGGGAGAAGAAGGAGGAATGGAAGGTGGAAGCTTGCCTATAGTGAAGGAGGCAAGCCCAGAGAAAAGAGTAGAGACACGGAGAAGGGGTAGGGGTTTCTTGCCCTCCAGAAAAGCAGAGAAAGGGTTGGGGCATGGAAATAAGGAATTGGGGCACAGAGATAAGAGGTTGGGGTGTGGAAATAAGGGATTGGGCGTTCTTGCTCCCTAGAAAAGCGGGACTTGCCACTAAGGGTGAAGGAGAGGGGGTTGAGGGGTACTTGCCCCTCCCCCAGAAAAGCAGAGAAGGGGTAGAGACAAGGAGAGAAGCGGGACTTGCGGCTAAGGGTGAAGGACCAAGGCAGGTGTCCCTGCGTGGTCTGACACCTTTGAAACATGGGTGAATAATCAGAGAGGCTTCCCTGCAATGATTAAACACCAAGGGAAGGCTGCCTTCCCAGTCCGTGACCGGCGCCGGAGTTTTGGGTCCACGGATAAAACGTGTCTCCTTTGTCTCTACCAGAAAATGAAAGGAATTGAAATTAAGAGAAGGGAGAGATTGAAGTGTGGCGCCAAGATTGAGAGGAGAAACAGGTTGAGGGATAGTGAGGGAAGCTGGAGAAGAGAGTAAAAAGAGGCCTCTTACCGGATTTGAAATTGGTGAGATGTTTCTTGGGCTGGTCGGTCTGAGGACCTGAGGTCGTAGGTGGATCTTTCTCATGGAGCAAAGAGCAGGAGGACAGGGGATTTATCTCCCAAGGGAGGTCCCCCGATCCGAGTCACGGCACCAAATTTCATGCGCATCCGTGGGAAGAGACCACCAAACAGGCTTTGTGTGAGCAACATGGCTGTTTATTTCACCTGGGTGCAGGTGGGCTGAGTCCGAAAAGAGAGTCAGCAAAGGGAGATAAGGGTGGGGCCGTTTTATAGGATTTAGGAAGGTAATGGAAAATTACAGTCAAAGGGGGTTGTTCTCTGGTGGGCAGGGGCGGGGGTCACAAGGTGCTCAGTGGGGGAGCTTCTGAGCCAGGAGAAGGAAATTCACAGGGTTAATCCCTCAGTTAAGGTGGGGCAGGAACAAATCACAATGGTGGAATGTCATCAGTTAAGGCAGGGCAGGGCCTTTTCACTTCTTTTGTGGATCTTCAGTTACTTCAGGCCATCTGGATGTATACATGCAAGTCACAGGGGATGCGATGGCTTGGCTTGGGTTCAGAGGCCTGACAGAGACCATGTGGTTTTTTTCACTTTGGGAAAATTTATCACACTATACACTTATGATCTGAATACGTTGCTGTATGGTTGTGTTTACTTAAAACGGACACATAAATAAAAGGTATGCTGGGCTGGATGCTCTCACAGGGAAAGGCAGCACAGAATAACAACGTTATCTGTTGAGTGTTTACCATGTACCAGGCTCTGATAGAAGATTTGTGGATACATTATCTCATTTAATTCTCACAACATTATTAGAATCCTATTATTATCCCCAGTTTACTGATGAAAAAACTGTAATACAGTCAGCTAAGTTAACTTTTCCGAGGTCCATGCAGGTAGTAAGTGATAGAGACAGGTCACAAAACACAGACTTTCGAATACACAGCACATGCTCTGTACCACTGAGCTACAGAAAATGACGTGTTCTGTCTGGACTAGTGCGTCTGAGGGTGAGTTCTTCGTTTTCCTGGAGCCTCAGTTTCCTCTCTGCTTCTTTCAGCTCTCACATTATAGTTTAATCTGAATTGACTAACAGGTTCATGCATCTCTTTATTTCTCTTCCTCCCTGTGGCCTTCCCCTCAAAAAAGGACTCTTGTTATAGCCGAGTGAGATGTTAGCATACAAATAGAACTTTAGTCTGAAGTCCAATTGCAGAACCATTTTTTGTTCTTCCTTTCCAGGTTGGTGGAGTACTACCTGTGCAGAGCTGTCTGAATCTGTTCTAGGGCTACCTTGCATTTGCTATTGTTTAATACAATCCTATCAACCTTGAAGTCATCATTGGTGCAGGCCCCACCCATACAGGCACTAGTTTCTCTAAAAGAGGCACTCCTGTGCTGCAGCCCTGCTCATTTGAATGAGATTTTACCTGGATAATGCAAAAGGCATTTTGAGGAATGCATCCCAGCATTTGAGGCAACTCCCAGCAGAACAACCTGCCATTTGTGATGCCTTCTTCAGGTTAAACATTTTAGATTAATCAATAAGTAAATGGCAAATAAATGGCATGAGCCCCATGTTCAATATAAATGAGATCAACTGAAGAAGCAGAAAAGGGCACTTTTGGCACCATCCAACACGCCTTAGGAAGTGCTGCCTTCTCTGCCTACTTTGGGTGAATATCCAGAGATGTTTTAGAACGTCAGAGTGTCTGGTGCCTTTTGTTTTAACACATGGATTTCATTTTGGGGTGCTATTGTCCTGAATCTCTGTCACCCAGTAGAAAGGTCATGACTCTGGCAAAATGTTCTCCCTCCTCCAATATAAATCTAAGCAACCAGCCCCAGAATAATACAGTGGCACAAAAATGCCGAGACCAGAGCAGGAACATTGCTGCCTTGGAGAATTTGCCAAACACTACCCCAAATAAGCTTTTCATAAGGAATCCCATTTATTTCTCCCAATACTTGCTGCTAATTTACTTCAGTTACACTTTTCGGGTGTGTAATATCTCATTTTTGAGAAAAATATGTTGCAGCCAAAAGAGCTGACCTTGGTGTGTTTTCAGACTATCTGCTGTGTACCTGACAAATGAGGCACCAAAGCCCTTCCATATTCTGTTTGGGGGGCTATTGGCTGAGGAATCCTTGGTCATCCCACCTGCCTGGCATCTAGGATCATGATGAATTGTCTCCAACTCTAGCCTCAGATTGTTTTTTAACATTTAATTTAGTTTCTTCCTGTGCTTGGATGAACATGGCCATGTTATGGATTTCTGCTCTAATGTACACCAGCAGGCTGGAAGAACAAGCCTCAGCAAGCTGTGGAAATTAGAGAGACTGGATCAATAGGCAAGGTCACGACCCCCCAGCTCTGATTCTGTACACTGTCCTGAAATTCTCTCCCCTGGAAATCCTCCTGCTGCTTCGAATGTGAATCCGTGTGCATTCCCAGAGAGGAATTCATGTAAACAAGCCTACCCCAAACCCCTCACATCTCAGAGAGCAACACCCATAATCACAAACACTAAAAAAATTTGTATAAACCACAACCTAGGAATATAAACATCTAGGCATTTGCTTTAGGTGCAGTTTGTGAACTCCATTGTTTAAAAGACCCTTTCAGAGGGAGGGAAAATAGATGAGGACAAAGAGACAGACGACCTGCCAATTCCAAAGTACACCTCTAAGAAATAATCCTGTGTCACACACACACCTCAAACAAAAGGATAGACTCTTCTGTCCCTATGTCTTGAAATTTTTATGAGACACAAAATTGGTAAAATCAACCTGATTTCAACTCTAAGAAATACCTCTGGGCTCAATAAGACAGATTAAGGAGAACACATTTGAAAATATTTTAAAAGATAGCAGGTGACTTTTAGATCTTGTCAGTACGAAGAACCTACATTTCCAAACACTGGACAATATCCTTAACAAACCAGCTTTCTATCTGGAGATGTACAAGTTGATGTTGTTCAGAGTTATAATTTTCCTGGGTGGAAATAACTAATGCGTCAAAACTTCAAACCTGCTAAAGCAAACCTGCTAGCGGTAATTTATCATATTCACTAATCACTGGTTCCAAAATGACCTGACATCAAAATGATCAATTTAGTGGGGGGAAAAAGGCATCTTAAAGATCTGTCTTTGGGAAGAAGGTTAAGGATGTGCAAAACAATGGGAGAAAATGAAGGAGATTTGGGTCGAGGGGAGGAGGAGGAGGCTCCAAGAGCCCCTTTTCATCTGGAATCTGGGTGCCACCTTCATGTGTAAATCTGAAGCCACGTGGCCCAGGAAAGTGGGATTTCTTTTATTCGAAAAGTAAGTTCAGTATATGATAATCCGCATCTTTATCTAAACCCCTTATTCAGGAACAACAGCGAAAGAACTTTCTAGAGTCCAGTATTTCTATGACATTTGATAGTTTTGCTCCATAATTTAGATCACTGGGCTATATTTGAGGATGTAGGGGGTGATTCTCTGTTGCATTTTTGACAAACCACTTAGCCAATCCCTTGTCTTCATACTACTGCATATCAGAAATTTTAAGTGAAACAACATCACACTTTAAATCTCCAGATGGAAAATTAGTTTGTTAAGAATACTGCTTTGTGCTTGGAAGAAGGTTGTTACTGGCAAAGGATATTATTTGCAAGAATTCTGGGCTGGGCGTGATGGCTCATGCCTGTAATCCGAGCACTTTGGGAGGCTGAGGCGGGCGGATCATGAGGTCAGGAGCTCAAGACCAGCCTGGCCAACATGGTAAAACTCAATCTCTATAAAGAAAAAAAAAAAAAAATTAGCCGGGTGTGGTGGCTTGCACCTGTAATCCCAGCTACTCAGGAGGCTGAGGCAGGAGAATCGCTTGAGCCCCAGAGGTGGAGGTTGCAGTGAGCCAAGATCACGCCATTGCACTCCAGCCTGGGTGACAGGGCAAGACACTGTCTCAAAAAAAAAAAAAAAAAAAAAAAAAAAAGAATTCTGGAAAGTTAGGGTGCTTTTTGGCAGCCCAGAAAGTAATTGTAAAGAAGTGTAAATCTTGTGCTTTGACAGTACTTTATTTTGACAGGAAAATACACACACAACCCCCTATTTGTTTTTAGGTACTGCAAGAATCACATTTGCTCTGGTCCAACAGAAATAGCCGCAGTGAAAGATCTAGATATGAACAGGGATTGGTGAGGATTAATGAGGGAGTGATTTAGAAGATATAAAAAGGCAAATGATAAAGATTTTTCTCCTGCTGAGTGAAGGCTTTCAGTTTGGAAATACACCTCACTTTTGATCACAATGGCAAGTCACAATGAGTATCTGGATGCATAAATGGCTGTTCAGAATCATAAAGTCTAGAGCAGGAGCTAACCTATTATCCAGTGTTTTCCTCTAGATGAATAAGGTTATGATCTCAGTTTTTCAGCACCTAAGATCCTGAGACATTTATACACCCTGTCCAAGGCCTACCTACCAGGAATACACAATTGACTGGAGCTCTGCATTGCTGTCTATTGATACAGGGCTTTACCTTCATATAAGGCTATGTCCTCATTACAGGGTTCTCCTGTAATACCGACCTCCAACCCCTGATGCAGGGCTCTATCCCTCATACAGAGTTTTACCACAATGAAGGGTTCTGCTCCAATACAGGTCTTTATTCTAATACAATAGGGCTCTGTTCCTACTGTGGGGGCTCTGATCTCTCATGCAGGAATTTATTTCTGTTCTTGTGATTTAATGTCACGTAACAAGTTGCCCCGAAAATTAGTGGCTTAAAACACTAACAGCATGTATTTGTTCATAAATTACAGTTTGGACTAAGCTTCAGGTAGATAGCTTATCTCTGCACCATGTGGCATCAGCAGGGGCATCTTGAATCATCTGGAGGCTGCTGTATTCACAGATCTGGTGGCTGATGCAAGACATTGGCTGAGGCCTCAGTTCCTCTCCGTAGGGGCCTCTCCATGTGTTCTCTCCACCTGGTGATTCAGACTTCTTCACAACATGATGGCAGGCTTTGTTGGAGTACAGCAAGCATCCCAAAAACGTCTAGCCTTGGAAGTCACATAGCATCCCTTTTGCCTTAATTTATCAGTTGATTCCCAAGCCGCTGCCCAGATTCAAGGGGAGAGAACATAGACCTCACCTCTCAGTGGGAGGAGCCTCTATTTCACATTGTAGGATGAGCAAATGGAAAAGGAGATGTTGTTGCATTCAAGACAATACAATCTGCTATAATTTACCTTCTGGCCACAGCAATTCAAATCCCTCCTATGTGCTAAATATATTCATGCCCCCGCTTCAAGGCCTCAAGTCTCATTCCCCTGAACCATCAGCTTAAGGTCCAGGATCTCATCATCTAAATCAGGTCCTGATGACGTGGAGGACCCTTGGCTTCAGATCCTGGAGCACTGGTCTTTTTGATATGAAGCCCCGTGAACTAAATAGACAAGGATCCACATGGATAGCTCATGTCTGCTCCACTTGGTATCAGATAGGGTAGCTCCCAGGCTGGGGGCTGGAAGCATCTGGAGTATCCCTTACTCGCACATCTATAGCTGGTGCTGGATCTTGGCTAGGAGCCCCAGTTTTTCTCTAGGTGGACCCTTCCATATGTTCTCTTTGTGTAGTAAATTTGGGCTTCCTTACAGCACACTGGCTGGCTTCCCTAGAACAAACATTCTAAAGAGTGAGCCAGCTGGACGCTGTGGTCTTTTTATGAGCTGGCTTCAGAAGATACACAGCATCACTCTCCTGCACTCCATTGGTTAAAGGCTTCCTAAGCTCTGTCAAGATACAAGTGGAGAAGCCCTAAGCTTTACTCTCAATGAGAAAGTCTCAAAGTCACATTGTAAGAAGAGCAAGTGGGATGGAAAAATATTGTAGTCATTTAGGAAAATGTAATCTGCTAGAATGGGCTGCCTTGCAAAACAGTGAACTCCTTTCTACTGGGGTCATTCACAGTGAGGCTGAATGACTAGCAGTCAGGAATGCTGCAGAGGGGATTCCTAATATGAAGAGAAATTTTGACTAAATGACTTCCGAGGTCTCTTGCATCTCTCAGATTCTATGAGGCTATAGAAAGGACAATGGAACCCAGGTACTCTGAAGATTTTAGGGAGCTGAATTATATAGGCCTGTGGCATATAAGAAAAAGCCCAGGCAAAAAAGGACATATGGATAAATTGAAGGTGCTAAGGATGCAGCCCTAGGATAGCCTGTGTCTGAACACTATGACCTTGTCTGCTAACAAGAGCAGATGGCCATGACCCTGGACAGCTCAGGCTGGCAAGAAAGGTGGCAGCTCATATAGTTTATATTGACTTAAAACCAGATGAACCTGCTGCCCAGGAAGAAAAGGGGTTGTTTCCTCTGCTGAGCCAGAATGTAGACAGATACAAAAATCCATGAACTTTTGGGCCAATAAGAGGGAGATGGGACTGTGTGCATGTGTGAGGGCTTTATAAGCCGCGAAGTGATGTGTCAATGTTGTTTATTGTGTCAGGACTTCCATTCATGTAGCAGAGACTTTTGTAAACAAAGCTGAACCCTCTCTTGTGCTCTGTCCCATACGTGGATTTCTTACATTTGGTCAAATCATCTTTCCATGAAGGGGCTTGTCTGTGTCCATTTCCTGTGAGACTCTTGCTTAACATTCTGAGTCAATCAATCAATGTGGTTACAATATTGGCCTCGGACCAGTGACAGGGGCTGTGTTGGTGGACACAGCCTCAGAGTGTGCCTCTCTAAACCTGCTGGCCATCTCTTATCATGTCTTCTTGTCATCAGTTTTTCAAAACCAGGCACTTTTTCTGCTGCGCTCCACCAGGCTGGCTTCCAACAGTACCTTGCTCTGGGGCAGAATTGTACTGGCAAATGCATAATTCAGTGGTTTGTACTTTGCATCTATTAACCATGGCACCAAATGCAGGAATGACACAATGGTGAGGCTTTTGCTTAGACAGTGTTTTTCCTGAGTGAAGCTTAACATTCAAACCAATTTATAATTCCTTTGCATAGTAGATAAGTATCATAATAGTCTTTTAATAGATGACTCGATGGAAACACATATATTATAAGGTCAATGTCACTGCAAATTATTACAAGAGGTACAATTCAAGGGTCCTAACTGTTCGTATCTAACATTTACTTCTAGATTATGCATAGTACATAGTAGGTTTTTAAAAATATCCATTGAGCTTTATTATATTATCAATAGTCAATTAAATAAAATGCAGCTTCAAGGCTTTTTTTAAAACCAAAGACTGACTTAAGATAGACACATTCAACTGGTTTGAAAATCTCTAGCTGAAAAATAACCATTATGTTTCTACTAGATAAATGATGGCAGCCGGATTAAGTCTCAACTAACTAAATATCATATTTACTTGCCTTTATGCAAGTCGTGAAAGCAGAAATAGAGCTGTGGTGGTAACTTTTTATTTATTTTCCCTATCTTATACTTACATATCTTTTACAAAGTCCAAATATTCATAATTCTATTCATTCACAGAATGTCTAGGAGAATCTGTTAGTACAGATACTGTTATTCCTGTTTCAAAGACAGAAGTCAAAAGGTTAGAAGTGATTTATTTATTTTTGCTATGCTTTTTTTTTTTTTTAAGTTCCAGAATACATGTGCAGAACCTGTAGATTTGTTACATAGGTATACATGAGCCATGGTGGTTTGCTGCACCTATCTACCCATAACCTAGGTTTTAAGCCCCACATGCATTAGCTATTTGTCCTGATGCTGTCTCTTCCCTCACCCCCCGACCCCATGACAGGTCGCCATATGTGTTGTTGCCCTCCCTGTGTCCATGTGTTCTCATTGCTCAACTCCCACTTATGAGTGAGAACATGCAGTGTTTGGTTTTCTGTTCCTGTGTTAATTTGCTGAAGATGATGGTTTCCAGATTCATCTGTGTCCCCACAAAGGACATGATCTCATTCCTTTTTGTACCTGCATAGTATTCCATGGTGTATATGGACTACATTTTCTTTATCCAGTCTATCATTGATGGGCATTGGGTTGGTTCCATGTCTTTGCTATCGTGAATAGTGCTGCAATGAACATACGTGTGCATGTATCTTTATAGTAGAATGACTTATATTTTGGTATATACCCAGTAATGGGATTGCTGGATCAAGTGGTGTTTCTGGTTCTGGATCCTTGAGGAATAGCCACACTGTCTTCCACAATGGTTGAACTAATTTATAGTCCCACCAACAGTGTAAAAGCGTTCCTGTTTCTCCACAGCCTCACCAGTGTCTGTTGTTTCTTGACATTTTAATAATCACCATTCTGACTGGCATGAGATGGTATCTCATTGTGGTTTTGGTTTGCATTTCTCTAATGATCAGTGATGTTGAGCTATTTTTCATATATTTGTTGGCCACATAAATGTCTTCTTTTGAAAAGTGTCTGTTCATATCCTTTGCCCACTTTTTGACAGAGTTGTTTTTTTCTTGTAATTTGTTTAAGTTGGTTATAAATTCTGGATATTAGACCTTTGTCAGATGGGTAGACTGCAAAAATTTTCTCCCATTCTGTAGGTTGCCTGTTAGCTCTGATGATAGTTTCTTTTGCTGTGCAGAAGCTCTTTAGTTTAATTAGATCCCATTTGTCAATTTTAGCTTTTGTTGCAATTGCTTTTGGTGATTTCGTCATAAAATCTTTGCCCATGCCTATGTCCTGAATGGTATTGCCTAGGTTTTCCTCTAGGGATTTTATGATTTGGGGAGTGATTTATTTTAAAATAGAGCATACATTCACCCATTCTCTGGTTCAATTTTCTTTCTATTGCATTGTAATATTAGCTAATAAATGATTCTCATTATAACAAATAATTAGCCAGTAAAATTATTATTATTATTTATTGAACAACAATTGTATTCTGTGCCCTGTGCTAAGTACTTTACCTACATTATTTAATTTAATCCTCACAACCACTTTTGAAGGAGACACTATTATTAGTGTCATTTGATAGATGAATCACCTTAGGCTTACAGAGCTTGAGTAACTTGTGTCAATGTGATAAAACCTTTTTTAAGAAAAAAAAAGATGGACTCTGAAACCATGCAAAAGTGCTTAACCACAATGCAGTACTGCTTCTTATGGCAGATATCATGGAGAAAGCTGAAGATGATGGGAAAGAGAATGGGTGAAAGAAATAGGTATGTATGGACATTAATTTTTTTCCAAAGTAACAATTTACATTTCAAAAATTATGATTTCACCATTGTATGAAAGCAACTCTTGCTCCTGTAAAATTAAAGCTTTCCCCTCCTCCCCATTGCATTGTTACAGACTGGTTGGTGTTCAAGTAGGAAGGAATGTGTTCTGGAGTGGATTTATATTTTATAAGATGGAATACGCCATTTTCATGCCCCATTCACTCAGTACTGTTCTCTATCTGTATCCTGGTAACACCTAAGTGTTTGTCCATTCAAGGATATCATCCAACTTGGGCAGGCCAACCTGTGTAAACCACACTTTCCAGCTGCCTGGTTATCATTACTAATGTATCAAAATCTTTTCTGGGAGCTTCTGTGCATCTTTCCACCCAGTGAACCATGATTTTCTTATTCAAAGTCTCATCTGCCCGGAAATCAGGCTTCTCAGTTAATATGACTGTTCTCCTCTGCCTTGTACTAGCCCTGCAGGCTTCACATCAGCCCTGCTCACTGATGCCAAAGACAGTTATGGGACTTTTGATTCAGAAAGTTTCCTTAATATCTCTTTCATGCTCATCTTCTTTAACAAGCAAAAATTGGGGGAAACATCAAATGAGACCAGGAACTTAACTCATTCTGACCCGGAGATGTCAGATTATAAGTAAAATTTCTTGATCCAAATGTCAAATTGAGCAGAGCAAAACCAGGTTTCTGAGTTTCACCATTATGACACTCATCCCCCTGAACCTCCTAGCACAGTGCTAAGGACGGTATGATGAGTGATTTCCTAAGAGGCTAAATATTATATTGGAATCAACATTGCTGCTCGTTTGCACAACAAACCGATGGCCAAAATATCCTTCTACATTTCCTCTCTCAAGTTAAAACCATAACCTAGGTCTAGATGCTTCCATTTGTTTTCTTCTTTCTTATATTTAAAATTTGTCTCCTCTTCAAGCTATTAGGCTTTTTGACTAATGAGAAGACAGGCTGAAAATTCTCCTTGTAGCTCACCTAGACTGGAAGGTCCATGGCTTCTAACCACTTGCTTTATCATACGAACAGCTTTAAGAGTGTGGACTATGGGAAACTAATGCCACCATCTTCAAGAAAACTAAAGTTTTGTATTGCCTATGATCCTTAATTATGTGCCATAGCAATTTTCGTCAAGGTTTGTAATGACCTTCTTCTGGCTAAATCCAGTCATCTGGCCTTCAGTCTCTGTCTCCTCTCTTTGTGGCTCTTAATGCTGAAGACCATTCATTTGAATCTTTTGATGAAACTTTCCCCAATAAATAATTGATTCCCCCATGTTTCTCTCTCCTGGTTCTCCCCGATTTCTTCGATTCTTTTCCTTCATCTAGGCCCTCAGTCCTTGAATATCAGCTCTTATTTCTCCAAAATCTCACTATATGGGTATTTAGCCTGTCATGGGTTTCAATACTATCATTATAAGGATGACTTTCAATTCTAACTCACCAGCTCAGTCCTGTATCCCTTATTCTGCCTTTTTTAAAGGTTAGCATATACTAAATCTAACCCATCATTTTCTCCTGAAATACATTTTTCTGTTTTTTTTTAAGGCGTAAAGTATAGATGGATGTGGACTAATGTGGTAGTGGGCAAAACAAGGAGAAATTAATGTACTTGCAAGAACTTCTCAAGGAATAAATACGGGATTTAATGGCTGGCAAGATGTAAGGGATGATTCAAAGATACACTGTCATTAGCCTAAGCAGGCTCCAGATCACTTCTGACTCCATCCTTTTTTCCTGCCTTATCCTCTTTCCCCAACTAGCCAAAGTGTTTTAACTGCTCTTATTTTTGTCCTCAAGGCCATCGTAGCTATAGACTAAATAAAGATTTGTTAAAAGAATGAATAAATGAGACAAATGAATCCCATTTTTACTGTTTTCTAAGGAGATTGATGTGACCTCCCAGTGGCTACTAGCAGCTTTGAATCCTTATTGTCTCAGTTCTCTCCTGATAACTTTTGAAGGCCATTGTTGTTAACTGATTGGTAGTGAGAATCTAAAATCTGCATGACACTTTCATCCAATCTGCATCAGAACTCTCCTGGAAGCACAGTTATTCCAGGATGTGGTCAATTTTGCTGCCACTTCCAGCTATACTCTCTCTTCTACCAGGACATTTTGTGGCCCCTGTAGTAGGCAGACTAATGATCCCTGAAAGATATTCATATCCTCATCCCATAGTCTGTGAATGTGCTAGGTTACATGGCAAAAGGACTTCATGGATGTAAGTTAAAGGTGTTGAGATGGGAGACTATCCCAGATTAACCAGCTGGGGCCAATGTAGTAAGCACAGGTGTCTTTATAAAGGAAAGTGGGAGGCAAGAAGGTCAGAGAAGGAGATGTGATGATGGAAGCAGAATTTGGAGTGATCCATTGTCAGAAGGGGGCTACAAATCCCAAAATGAGGGCAGCCTCTAGAATCTGGAAAAGGCATGAAGCTGACTGTCCCCTAGAGCTTTCAGGAAAAAGATGCAGTCCTCTCAGCACATTGATGTTAGCCTCCTAAGTCCCAGTTTTGGACTTCTGACCTCTAGAACTGTAAGATAATAAATTTGTGCTGTTTTAAGCCTGTAGGTTTATGGTGATTTGTTACAGCAGCTGTATGAATCTAAAAATCCCCTAAATCAACCATTTCTCACCCCTTATTGCCTAAAATTCACTTTCTGTTCATCAAGCTCCCCCTAGACTCTCACCCCTGGGCTGCTCTGTGCTCCCTCTGTTGCACTAAACTCCCACTGATCCACTTCTCTCCAAAACTTCCCACTGAGTGTTCTAGGCTTTCTCTTAAGTTGCACACAAACTCCCCTGTGTTCTCAAACTCTCCACCAAATGCTTCTCCTAACTGCTGGCTTTAGCTGTAATATGCTCTTTCCTGAGAACACCTTGAATATCCTTGAAAGTCCCTCAAGAAGATGCCTTTATTTTTCCTACATCCCAAGTATCTGACTTATAAAAATGTACTGCTTCCAAACATCACACTTCACCCCTTGTGGGTCCTTATAGACCACTCATGATATGTGGCCATATCACTCTTGATTTCTTGTCACTCTCATAGCCTTATGGCAACTCCCCTCTTATTTATTGAGGATTTTAAACTGGATCACTTAATTGGATCCCTGTACCAAGCTCTGCTGTCATTTTGGGAGATTTGAGAATTCTTAAGAACGCTTTGTCCTAGTCATTGCATTTCTTGATCTCTTACACTGCAGTAGCCTTTGCCTCCTCTCCACTCCAACCATTAATTCCCAAGGGCACACTCAGGGCTATTTTAACACTTAGAATTTCTCTACCTCTGAAAAATCCTACATTCAAATATTCTAGAAATGATTGGATTAAAACATTAAAGACAGAAATAACCAGATTGCATTGTCTAACTTCACCATATCTCATCTCAAAGGAAACACCTGTTCTTCCTCTCCTGATGCCCAGCTCAGTAAATGACAGTACCATCCAAAAAATGTGCCCAAGGCAGAGATCTGGACACTGTCTTTAACCCTTACCTCTGCCTCTCAATTTATCATCCAAACAGTTGCTATGTCCTCTTGAGTTTACCTTCTAACTATCTGTAAAACCTGTCCATTTCTCTCCAGTCCCACCATTCCCAGATTAAATGATCTTTCCTCTGGATTACTGATGATCTCTAACTGTTCTGTCTCCAGTGAGTCCTGTCATACCCACCAAACCCAATTCTTGTCAGGTTTGGGTTGATGATTAGAAAGACATGGTGATCGTGTTGCTTCTCTGCTTAAAATCCTTCAAGAGTTTGTAACAAAGTTCATATTGACATATCCTTAATGACTGGCTGCTGCTTCCCCAGTAAGCTTCACCTGGCATACCTGCCATGTGCTATCCCCTTTCCCTCACCACGCAAAACACAGAGCAGCCAAGGGAGTAGGAGGTTCAAGAGCACCACCTTCCACTGGTTATTGAAGGCATTATGTATTCATCCTCAAGTGGAAGCTGAAGCTGAATAGATGTGCATGATACTCTGAATGATTTTGAGATGTGGTCACCCATGCAAATCACATACTCACTGAACCAAATTCAGGACATTGCAGCAATCCCGAAAAATCCATTTGACCTCCCAAGTTACAGTTTAGTTGCAAATCGTTCTGTCCTGAAGACATAACCATGCTCTGCAATTTCTCAGATGCTGACCCTTAAGAAGTGCAATTCACAAGGAGGCTGATTCTATAACAGCAAAGAGCAGCACTGCTATTCTAAGGATGGGTATTTTCAGTGTGGCATGGGGAATTTCCTGAACAAACACCCACATCTTCCTTGATATTCCAGCATGCACTAATCCACTGTGTTTGCCAGAATAATTGCAAAGGGACTCAGTCACGTTCCAGGTTCAGCCTAGGCACACTCAGTATCCAACACAGGCTGGAGATGAAATAAGGAAACTCTTTTGGGCATAGCTGTAAGGTCAACAAATTGGAAAAAGCCACAATTCACCCTTGGGAAGGATTAAATATGCCGACATCCTCCAAATTGATTTACCTAGATCAGACCACATGTTAATGAGGCAGACAAGTTACTCTAATTCATCGTTACTATTCTAAATGCAGGGACCTTTTCACATTGAAGAGGCGGGGCAATGGATTCAAATGAGCATCACTCACTTACGGCTTGTCACTCACCCTTGCTAGGCCAAAGCCATTTATAATTGCTGTCATCTAAACTGCACTGAAACGAACTGGACATTCAAAGAGCGCAGCTCCCAAGAAACAAAGTGAGTTTTCTTCCCCTATTACCTGCACTGCTTCATAAACGCTCTTAGCTGGCAAAATGTGAGCATTTAGATTTCTTCTGGGCACAGACATTTTTCTAAGTGCTTTAAAAATTTCTATTATTTGAATGGTCTCCTTGAAAATGCCTCACTTTTCAAGACTGATTCTTCAGTGACACTGAAACACTATTTGTACCACAGGTACAAGAGCTACATTTCAACTTCATCCAAATTGTGAGTAGGAAAAGCAAGATATTTTTTGATGACGTTACACCTACCAATAAACTTTATTCATGTCAGAAGGTAAAGTTCATGCCTATATGAAAGTGAAATGTATCGGTGTGTTTATGTGATAACTCATCCACACAAAGTGATG
The DNA here is from genome assembly GCF_000001405.40 of Homo sapiens. Lineage (NCBI taxonomy): Eukaryota > Metazoa > Chordata > Mammalia > Primates > Hominidae > Homo > Homo sapiens. The sequence continues at coordinate 53,446,212 of NC_000015.10, forward strand.
TGGCATAATCATCTAACAAGCTACTTCTGTAGGTAAAGGAAAACGTAAGTTAATGACCAAACAGTAAATACTTTAGGCTTTGTGGCCCATATGGTCTGTTGCAGCTACTCAACTCTGCCATTATTGTATCAAAGCAGCCATAGGCAATACGTAAATTAACGTGTGCAACTGTATTCCAATCAATTTTTGCTATGGACTGCACTGCAATTTGATTTTCATATAATTTTTACCTGTCACAAAACAATGTTATTCTTTTGATTTTTTTTCTGTGGTTTAAAAATGTTAAAAACATTTTTCACTGGCAGGGTCATACTGAAACAGGTGGCAGCTGGATTTGGCCCATTGCCCACAGTTTACTGACTCCTGCTTTAACCTGTACTTGTGAAAATAAGACATATAACCTCTTTGCTTACATTTCATTTTTGAGTACTTTATCAACACGAACTCATGAAGATCAGTGGAAGCATGAAAACACAAAAAACAGCTGCTGCAGTGTGTAAATACTAGTAATTTCAGATTTTACTTTGGTAGAGTTAGAAGGAGAATATTCAAGAAGAAAAAAAAAGCAAGCAGCATCCAGACTATTTTCCTTAGATTGCTGTGTTTTTTCTTGTAATTTCAGTACTCTTTGAGTTAAATTTTTCCCAGGAGAATGTACTTCCATATTCCTAATGGATTGTAACTTTTCCTTTCTAACAAATGAATATTCATTATTCATATTCATAAATAATCCCAACAAAATTACTTTTTCTGATTACAAAAGTTGCATTTGTTTATTTTAGACTACCTGAAAAATGTATAAGATCGCAGATTACTTTTAGCTCAGGGAAAATTACTATTTAAAAAGCAAGAGATCGTTTTATCTTCTCTCATGCATCTGTAGTTGCAACTGCAGTCATGATGTAAAAATATTTCCATTGGTGAATCAAATGTTAATAAAACACTCGGCTATTTGGCTAGAAAACTTGGTTTAACCTTGCATGTGGATTCAGGGTGAAGCAAAGGTCTCTAATTCTAAATATTTGTTGGTAAATGTTGCTCCATCAGCTACTTGGAAATCAGTTTCCATCAGATTGGGTAAAGCCTGCTAACTAAACAGAGCAGCAATTAGGCCTCAGAAAACAGCCTCTGTTTTTATTCTTCTTGTACTTATACAAAGTCAATGTGTCCCTGGCCTCAATCCTCCTAACCTCCTTCTTTGGTATGAAATGTCTTTGGCTTGCAAAGCAACATCTGTGAGGTTATCAATGCATTTTGTGGCAGGCTCCCTGTGAACTGAAGGCCTGCACAGGTGTTCATTCTTTGAGAAGGCTCAATCCATGTGACTGTGGCTTTTTTTTAGCACTCTTGCTTGTAGGCAGGTAAGCTCAAAGCATCACCCTGTAGCTTCCGTTTAATGGGAATATGAACACTTAGAGTGAAGCTGTGGACTTACATAGCTTTCTTAAAGCAAATTCAGCTCTTTAAAGAAAAATAACAACTATTCTTTGCCTTCAAACCTCTCTCCTCTGCCCCCAACCCACACCCCCAAATCAGACAGGCCAGATGTTTGTGAAAACTGCCGTTTCCACAATCAAAAGTACAGCATTTACCATAGTTTTTATCAAAGATTTCAATTCCCCTCATCTTAAGGAAAATGACCCTTTTATTTTGTTGTGGACATAAAATTATGGCCCTGGGAAAATTGGAAGCATTTCTGTTGAGGGAAATCAATTTTCTCACTGCCATATATGATCAACATGTCACAGCCATCACCCAGATAATAATAGTAAAGTACAAGTAAAATGGCTGGTAATACTGGCTTTAAAGGTAGAAAAAGATAGAAGCAAGATAACACCCCCCATCCCCCCACCCCCCCTTTAAAGCATGTTTGCAAAAAGAAGAAAAGGAAAGAAAAATCTCTAAGGGTTATTTTTGTTCTTTAATTTTCTTCCTTCCACCTCACTTTCTTCCCTTTGCTAGTGCTTTCTAGAGTGTAAGTATTTTATTTTCTTGTGTGGACTAATCGGCCAAAGCATTAATGAAACTGTAGAGATATGTGTTCTTCCTGGAAAAGAGTAAGCACTTTATGTGTAAACCACTCTGGCTCCTTTTCAATCACCCTGTTAATGGGTGGCTAATTGTCAAAAGATGTGACCAGACTGAGATGACCCAAGAGTGTGTTTAGGTGGGAGGCAACAGGGAAAGTACAGAAGCAGCTTCTTAATTTGGATCCTGCAAACAAAAGGAAACATCAGATCTGACCTCGCTGCTGGAGTGTTAATGGCTTTCTCCCCGTCTCCCCCCTGCCACTTAGCATCTTTTGTGCCCCACCCTGGGAAGCTTCCCGGCAGAAGTGTGCATTAGCAGAACTCTACAGTTACAAAATGCTGCTTACTACAGACAAGGGAAAAAAACCTTCAGAGTGATTAAATGTTTTTTGGACAAACACATCCATAGCCATAAAAGTGCCATTTTTATTTCAGGCAGGCCTTTCAGTGATGTCCCTGCTGGGGCCACCAGCACAAAGGAGTGTTGTACCTATAATGTCATCGGAGCCCTTGAAGGAAGATCTAAGCACTGTCTTTGTCTTTATAGGAAATTTGGCCCCCACATGTAAATGTGCGAAACCGAAACTGCCTTTCATTTAGGCCAAGGTCATTACTGAGGAAACAGCAGACAGAATTTTGGCAAAATATCAAATATTTTCAATAATTCAACCATTTGAAAAAGAATACTGCTTGTTTCGGAATATAAATGAGAGTGAGTAGTAGAAATAAGAAATCCAAGCTAGGGACCAAAGAAAACTAAGCTAAGGACTCTCACAGATATGATAAATGGGCATGCACAAAGATGTTCATAGAAGTATTATTAAGAATTGGAAATAACCTACTATCTAGCAATAATGAATTTAAAAAGATAAACTGTGGCATATACATATTATGAAGCTATTAAAGACAATAGTTTTAGAAAAGAGAAATAAAACTAAAGATACAGAAAAAACCTTTGCAGATTTAAGTAAAATAATAATAATAAAGTTATAGCTATGGAAAAATGCATCCTCAGGAAAATACACTAAAAAGAAATACACCAGAATGTTATGGTTGTGATAGGACAGCAGTATTATGGGCGAAATATGTTTTCTCTTTTATTCCGATTGGTAGAGAATTGGATATTGTATTGATTTAGAAACAAACAAACAAAAAGTAGGCAGAAATAAGCCCTAAGAAGCCCTTTTTGGTGCATGAGAACATCATTCAAAAAGAAGCTGTACAATTTCTCCCTAGATTTTTATTAGAACTTAACATCACAGTTCTCCAATATTTAGGTGGTAAATTGGGAATAAAAAGGCCCGGTGGGCTCTTTCTAGCCCAAAGGAGGTACTCTGCTCCCAGCAGCAATGTCCCAGCGCCTTTTCCCACTCACCTTCAAAACATCGTGTGCCTGTTTGCTGCAATTTCCACAGAGAACATGACATAAAATTTGGAGACTCTAGACAATGCCTGATGCTCAATGACATCAAAAACATCTGGACTCAAAGAGAAAAAATAGTTGATTTTTCTGCCTTTATTTTATAACTTTTCTTTCCTCCCAAAAACCTACTTTCTCTTGTACACTGGATATATGCATAGTTCATCTGCAGGTTTACTCCTAGTTAGTTTTCTCTTTTTTTGAAGACCAAGAGTTGTCCAAGGTATCCATATCCCAGCTCATAGTCCCAAACTGAAAGGTTATATCAGGTCAGGATGTAAGTCGCACATCAGGAAAATGTCACATCTGAATTGAGGAGACCTGGGTGGCTGTTGGCTCACTTAGCACTGTGGCTGGAGAGGCTCTCAGCCCTCTAGACAGCATCATGGACCATGTGTTAGAAATGATCAAACTCAGTGGCTTATTGGAGTGGAATGGTAGGAAGAGAGGTGTTCAAAGAACACTTCCTATCAGTTAGTAAAAGCACATCAATAAAAATAAATCAATGCCCACTTGTTTTCTAGGAATCTGCTTCATATTCAGCAAAGACTCCCATTATGCTGCATTTCTGATAGACTAGCATAGAAAAGATGTGGTTTCAGCTAGAATAAAGTATCTTGAATAAAAGCATTACTCTGTCATTGGAATCTTCCACTGTGGACCAAAATGTGAAGCAAAGATAAACTCAGATATAAAATTTAAAAATAAGTAACGAGTAAGAGATAACACATAATAGACATTTGTAAAAAAAAAAAAAAAAAATGAGCGATACAGAGGAATGGAAAAAATTCTGGAATAAAAGAAATAATTAGAAGCAAAATTTTGACTTAGAATGTGGCTTTTGAAAGAAGGGGAAGACATTCCTTAATAAATGCCATAAATAAAAATGTTCTGTGGTTTATTAAGAAGTGGATTGTGAACAAATTGCATTGGGTTGGAGAACTTGAGTTTGATTCTTCACTTATTTATTGAACTGTGTTGCTTTGAGTAAGTTTTCCCCTCCTAGAGCCTTGACTTTAACAATAGTAAAATCAAATAATTGAACCAGATCAGACACACAACCCACCTCTCATTTCTGCCAATGTCTTGCAACAGACATTGCTAATCAATGGTGGCCCTTACCTGTGAAGCCTGGCTGAAGGCTCAGAATCCTTCATTTGACAGTGTTCCTGGCAGCCATTATTAAATGATAAGTTTAGATGTAATGGATAAAACTTTTCCATTACAGTCCAAAATGAATTCCTAGGTTTCTGACCCACCATGACCCTAGAAGCTCTTTTCCAACCCTCAGTAGAACAGAATTAATATGTTTTCCATTAGCTTTGTGAACACCCAGCTCCAATGACACTCCATAGGCTCCAGATCAACTTTCCTCCAAATGTACACCCAAGAAGTTCTGTGTTTCAAGAGTTACTGTGCTGAAAGTACCAGCTTATCCAAATGCTGCTTCCTTTTTTAGTAGCCAATTTGTAGAAATGGCAGATAGCAAATGTTTCTTTGGCTGGCGTGAGACACCTGGCAATCTCCACCACAACCATCTATAAATCACAGTAAGAGGGCACGCATTATCAATTCTTTATTAATTTCATTAATTCATAATTTAGAGTTTTAGTAGTTGTCATACAATTATATATGTAATTTTATTTTCTTCCCAAATCCATAATAAAATAGAACAATACTGACCTCTTCTATAGATCCAACTGGCCTATGTTCCAGAATCCAATTGAACTGCTGCATTCTGTGATCAAACTATGAAAACACATGCCACATCCCTCCTCCGAAACCTGCAGTAGCTCCACTGTCCCATTGGCCCCAGACTCATTGCCTTGTGCTTTACAACCCATTATTAGTTGGATTTGTCACGTGCTCTCATGTCTCATTATTTATATTCACATTGTTACTCCATTGGAGAGACCCGTTTGCTGTCTTTTCATCCCAGGTCCAGGACGAGGTTAAGGCAAGTGAGAAGACAAGGGTGCAAGTCAAAAGAGGCATACTCTAGAACCCTTTGTTACGTGTCTCCTTAAATGCTGTACCCTATGTGGCTCACTTGCCCTATACTGGCTTTGGCCATTCCTTGTACCATAAACTAAATGCAACAAAAACTTATTTGTATGTATGATCTGATTGTATCCTCTTAGCCCTCATAAAAAAAAAAGTTATTATTTTTCCCATTTTTACGGAATGAGAAAATCTAAAAATCTTGAGAAAAATTAAAAAGTTAGGGAGCATCAGAGTTAGAACTGAATATCAGCTCTTCTGAACCTGAGCAGAATTTCCAATCCATGAGTCTATAACTCTATTTTATGGGCTCTGTGGCAAGGCATGCCTTTTTCTTCCTCTGAAATCCAAATTTTAACTAAACTTTTCAGTTCTAATTATTTGATTTATTCCAAGTTTTCCCCATATCCATGTATTACTCCTCATTTGTTTTGTAAATGTTTATTATGTGTTATTATCTCTTACTTTTTCTTTTTTTGGGGGGGAGATTCTGTTTCCTTAACAGATGGGATACACCTTGAGGTGAGATATACAATAAAAGAAATTTTATGTTGTTGTAAAGCCTGAACTTGTCAGTGAACTTTATGAAGGTTTGGGAGGTTTGCATTGTAACCAACTTTTATAGATAAGGAAATTTAATGACAAGGAATAATGACAGCTGCATTTACTAGGGACCTCAGTGTTGTATGAACTATGCTAAGCAGTTAGCATGCAACATCTCCATGAATTTCATAACAACCCAGTGAGGAAGTCATTATTATTCACACATTAAATATGAGAAAACTGAAGCTTTAGGAAATACAGAAAATTGCATAAGGTAATTGCAGCACTTGTAAATGTCAGGGCCAGAAATCAAACTCAGGTCTGACTCCAAAACACATGCCTTTGAGTGATTAGTCCAGAGGTGCAGAACTGGTGAAGGGTCAAGTTGGAACCTGGGCCTGATAATCCTGATTTCAATCTAGTTCCCTTTTTATTGTCCTAGTATATTCCCACTTTCACAAAATAGCCATTTAATAAGTGGTTTTAAGTGAGGTGAAATTATACTAAGAATAATTTTAGTCCATGTTTGCTTTAGCCATTTAGATGTCTCCTTACTTGGAATTAGAGCCTAAACAGAAATATTACCAACGTCCAAACCTGCTGCTTGGTAATAGAGTAGATATGGTATCTTTAAAGAGTGCAAATATGAAGAAGGCTTAGTAGAATGTGGTATTCGTGTGTGTGCCTTGCATATTGGGAAGCATAACAAGGCTTGTGATAATTAAGTCCTGGTTGATCCCCAGGGGTCAAAGGGCAGTGGGTTTTAGGAGCAGTATAGCACAGGGATGGCAAATAAGCAGCATGGCTAATTTATCCCAGGCTTCTTTCCCATGGGGCTCTGCAGTGGCTTCTGATCCATTTCAGCACAGAACTCCAGGCAGCCACTGCCCACTGCCCAGGGCTGACTCTAGAGAAGAAAGCTATTCAGCATCCTCAGTAGAGTGAGAAGTGCATAGGTTATAGGTTTAGTTCCCAACCCTGGTGCTTCCACTTATTAGCTGAGCAGCCCTAGGCAAGTTACTTAACCTTACAGATCTTCAGTTCAGTTGCATTATCATCATCCAGAAAATAATAATGTAGAAGATGCCAGTATCCCCCACCTTTTTTTTTTTACTGAGTCCTGAATTTAATCAGAATAATCCTGACATTTCACAGATTTTTTTTCTTTTAAGATATGTGATGCCATCAGTTCATGGGATTTGGAGTCAGCCATACAGACCAAGATTTGAGCTGCAATTCTGTCACTTAACTTTGTAACCAAGAATAAATTGCTTAACTGCTTTGTTCAGTCTCCTTATCTATGAAAAGAGAATAACATCACCTCTACCACAGTTATTGTAAGATTAAAAAAAAAAAAGCACATGACAAAGTACATAAGCTGTCATTTACTTGATAAATATTGTAATCATTCCTGCAAGGCAGGTCTCTAAGAGGCACCTATGTCCATTCCGTTGGAAGGAGACATTTGGCCATGACACTGCACTTTGAGCTTGTCCTGTTTAGCACAGCCATTGTGCTAGCCACTGTTTACTTAACTGATGAAGTTACCTGGTTTTTGTCCTTGGCTACTTGCTAGCCCTTGTGCAATAGCTCCTGATTGGAGGCTGGATCCCTGCAGATCACGTAACCTGGTCACAGCAGAAGTGGTTTGTTCTCTCTGTCTCCCTTTTGTGCCCAGTGTTACAAACTGTCAAGTAGAAAGAAACTGAAGGGACTCAGGGGTCAGAGTTGGGGACTATCAGGACTCTTGTACTACCTGATCTTTTGCATCTTATTCAATAATTATTGATTACCTACCATAGGCCAGCTTCCTAGGGCACAAACATGACATGACCCCTGCCTCAGGGAGCTCAGAGCCTGGTGCTGCCATGAGAACAAGTTTTCACTTGTAAGAATAATTACTCAAAAACTAAGTTGGACATGCTAGAGATTTCTTGAAGAAATATATGTAGGTGTGTACGTACCAAGTTCAAGGAAAATACAAATGTATTTCCTCAAAAGATGCCTTTGAACTTGAAAGAAAGAGAATGCATCTTTTTAAAAAGTAGAAGTAAGACTAAACAAGGACATATGTAGACTTTTGATATGTGTGTGTGTGCATAACTTTTATTAAATGTATATGAAAATTGAAAGTGAACACTTTTATCAAATATATATGTATATATAAATAAATAAAATAACTAGAGTTTAAGAAACTTTCACAAACCAGACACACTCATGTAACCAGTACATGGATTAAGAAACAAAACATTATGTGTACCTTCCAAATCCCTCCATCACACCTCTTGTAGTCACTGCCTGTTAGGGTAACCAACATCTTGTATTGTATTAGCATAAAATAAATTTATATTTTGTATAAATAGCATCATATAGTATGCAAATTTAAAACTATTTTCCTATCAAATTTCAGAGTATTTTTTGATGCTTTGTTCATTAAACTAAACTAGTGAAGGTTGCTCCACTGTGTAGCATATGCTCGAAGTGAAGGATTCTCAAGCTTGCGTAAAAATCGCTGACTCTTTCTGCACGGGACGATGCCTTTGTACCTGGATGTCCTGATCTTGGAGGTTACACTTCAGAATGTGAACTCATTCATTAGAAAATGCTTTATTTGATTGAAGGCCAGGTACTTGCTTCCCAGCAACACAGCTTAAGTAAATGCCCAACTCAGACAGTCAACATTACTGTCTCAAAAATCTTTCATTCTGACATATTATCACACATTTGTCATTAGGGAACTGCATACTCACATATGTCCATAAATATTTGGTCTTGGTAGACCCAGGTTGACCTGCTTGAGAAACAGCAGGAAAAAAATATCTTATCTCTGTCCTTGGACAACGTACAATTAAATGAAGGGAAAGTTTGAATGTGGCCTCTGAGGGACTTTGTTTCCCTGAAAACAAAATCATTTTGCTCTAGTCAATCAATAACTTTACATGGTAAATGTGAGTCTTAGGCTCGGAAAGAGGTTATCGGCCATAACATTTCTTAACACTTTCATAATGTTATCAGGAATTAAAAAGTAACATTTATCAAATATTTACAAGTTGCGTGGGACAGAGCACTGTGTAAACGTATGAATCTGATAATAGCCAAGCTGCGTTTTAAAACAGATGCAGAAACATCTCAAAAATGTTTGCTTTTCAGTGATGCATTCTCCATCATGTAAAAATTTAACTATTGAGATGCTCTGGTGACACGTGGAATGGGTCACACAAGGAGGAATGTATCTCATGTGAAAGGTCAATATCAACACAGATGAAAGAGATTGCATTAGGCAGGTTATGCCACTCAAGGAAGGACACACATTTTCTAAATGAACGTTGAAAAAAAAAACCTATTATATAATGGAAAATGTGAGACAAATATTATTTACTTCAGTTGATTACATATGAAAAGTGTGTACTAAGGCACACACAAAAGCAATAGTCCCTTTGTCTTGCTGTCAACTCCTTTCTCCTTTTGTTGTCAGTGGTGGCACTTCTCCAGGTTCTAAAGGGGCAGAAATTCATTTATCTTTCTTCCTCCACAGTCCCCTGGGCACTTTGCCTCTGTATAGGGCTTATCCAGTCAAGAGCCCCCATAGCTACCTTCATCATAGTAGATCCTGTATTCTATTAATTAGAGATGGTCAAGAAAAAGAAAGATGAGGAGGAAGAGGGGGAGGGGGAAACATAAAGTGATAGGTGACAATCTTAAAGAAGAAAAAAGAAGAGTATTAGCTGAAAAAGGGAGTTACTCAGCCCTAACAATCTCCACATTTTCCCTTTATCTGATGAATTTAATGGTCCTAACCCTGCAATTTCCACATTTTCCCTTTATCTGGTGAATTAATTAAATGGTCCAAGAGATGGCTGCTGAGTCCTAACCTGGCCTCTGCATGCTGCTATCTTCTCTGTCCCTCCCTTCTGGGCCACATGTGAGGGCCAGGTCTTAGTCAAAATTGGAAAGTGTCTAGTGTGGTCTGAGAGGCTTAGAACAATGGAATGGCACTTTCCAATAAAAAAAAATGTTTTAAAGTAGATTCTGTTGGTAGGGCATTTTTTATTTGTTTCAACAGTTGAAAATGTGTGTGTGTGTGTATATATATATATATATATGCTTGACAAAAATGTTTACTTTCAATTTTCATATACATTTAATAAAGGTTATTGCTAATTTCTTAGCCCTTTAATCTGAGAGCTGTATTTAATTTTACATTGATGTGGATGGCTGCTGCCAATTCAAGGCTGCAAGGGTAATTGGTAATAAGGCCCAGATGCTCTTACAGAAACAGAACAAAAAATATTTCCTCTTAAAACATAATATATACATGTTTTTTATTAACTATGAGAAGAGAAATTGTGGGGTAAACAGACCCAGACCTTAAATATCATAAGACATACAGGTGTATGCTTTTGTTTTTTTAATTTCAGCATTCTGATGTGTGTTAAATATTGCAAGTTGTAAAATGTATTTGTTTATTTTTATTATGACAAGTTAATATAGACTATCATAAGCTTTTAAAATAAGGCTATACAATATAAGTCAGTTACTTTATTAAATTGGAGTGTTAATGGATATTCGCCCTGTATAAATATGGGTGCGAAAAAGGAGAGCCCTATAACTAATTGACTCCCTGCCCCAGGCACCCAAACCTCTTTCTGCAACTCTGGATTTGTCCCTCCAGGATACTACTGCCAAAATGATCAACACAAGGTCCCAAAATAACAATTTATTCTGCCCAAAGGACATTGTGCCCTCAGTCTCCTGGCCAGATGAATTGGCACAATTACATCCTTCTCTCTTGCTTTCCCCCTCAGGATATCCTAGGTGTCAGAGCTTTACATGTTGTGATGATTCAGAGAAAAAAATCTGCTAAGAGAGAAGGCAGTGCTACGAGCATCTTCTTAGATTCTTAGGTCCAAACTGATGGAGTGAAACGCAATTCCTCCGTTGGTTTGTTTCCTTCAAAACTTCACTGCCCCTCAGGCACATCCACAGATCAAGTAGAGGGCTAAATCCTTTCCTGACTCTTGACACAAATATATCGGTGTTAACCAACAATGACCCCAAATTGGCCAATTTCAAGTCTTCTCTTCCACCTGCCCCCTGTTCCCCCAGCAAGAATTAGTGACTTAAAGACCATGGTGCAAATGCCAGTTTAATCTACCGAACTGTATTTCTCTCTCTGAAGCAGTCTGCTACAGAGGAAAATAGACATTCATTTCTGCTTCAGGAAATTAAACTGTTCAACATGGTTTCTTGATGATGACTTCTTATTTGTTTTGCCTCTTTTGCCTTAAAACTCTCTTCTCTCAGTACTTTCCTTTTCACAGAGCTGGTTTTCAGAAAACTTCTTTTTATTCATTTTTCTTTCTGACTCAGAGGCACTGAGCTCTGTATGAACAAACCCTTTCATCAAGAAACCCCACAGCTCGCCCTGGGGATGTGCAGGAGCAGGTGTATATTTGCTTCAAAAGCTGTTCTCAATGTAAATAAGCTCAAGGTGGGGCTCTTAGCAAAATGCTGAGGAGGTGAAAGAGGAAGGTGGCTATTTATATAGACAGAACTCTGCATCCTGTCCCCTGTAAGGGACAGTGCCCATGGATGGGTTAGGATGAAAGACTCTAGCTCGCACACCAGGCACTTAACTAGGGCTTCTGACCATCAAAAGCTTCGTCCTAGGGAGTTACTCACCACTAGCATTGAAATGCCTTTTAAAAAGATAATGTGGTGTAAGGAGTGCAGAGGAAAAAAAGGCAGGGAAGATCTTTCCCAATCAAAAGGAAAAGAAGAAGCATTTACATAAGAACTCCTCAGTAGTTCTTTAAGACTAAAATCTTGCTCACATTTTGCAACAAAACATATGTTAAGGAAAATTTAAGGAAGGCCGTTCATTGGACTAAGCTCCTGTCGTAGGCCCCAACAGAACAACCCAAAATGGAGTCACATGTGTCAAAGTTCTACAACACCAAACTGAAAACTAAATTGTTCACTTATAAGATCTGACCTTCCCAGAAATCAGGAGATGATAGCCAAATTCCCAAACAGGCCAATTTTCCAAAAACAAAAAACAAAAACAACACAGTAGATTCATAGCACCCAATCAAAAGGAGCCCAGTCGTCTTGAGCTGGCATGACAAAGAAGCCCCCTCTGCTTTCACCCATACAAGGAAAGTAACCTGATGCAACCTGAGGTCAACTAGTCCACTTTCTGTACTGTGCTGCTTCCTTGCTCCTGGTCAAGCTGCCTCACAAAAGCCAACTGTTCTGCCACATTCGATGGAACTCCTGTCTATTGCGTACAATGAGTGATGCCTGGTTCATAAATTGCTAACAAAAGCCAATGTGATCTTTAACAGTCAGTGTGTTGAAATTTTATTCTTAGAAACACAGAAATAGGCCATATCTACTCACTGTCCATTTCATCTGTGGGACACTTGACGTGAGGGACATAGCTTTGCACTGAAATTTAAATATAAATGAGGACTAGTTTGAAGAATCACCTTCATTTTTCCATTTGCTGATTTGTTCAGACAATATTAATTATTGAGAGCCAACTGTATACCAGGTGTGGCAATAGGTACTGGGAACACAATAGTGAGCCAAACAAGGCATCTCTATCTCTCCTGGGACATAAGGAAAGACTCATTTATCAACTAATCACACAAATAAATATAAAATTACTAAGCCCTCCAACAAGAAAGGCATGGGACTAGGCAAATAAAAGCATTGTTTGGCTTAGTCAGGAAGATCAGAGGTCAAGAACACTTACCTGAGGAAGAGTTGCTTGAACTTGGATGTAAAGGGAGAATAGTACTTAAAACCAGATGGAGGAAGAACATTCGAGCAGCAAGAATACAATGGACAATGGCTCTGCAGGCAGGCATGGTGCACCTAACAAACTGAAGGTATGGCTGGATTGGAGAGAGCTAGGATGACTGGGAGGTAAGATGAGGCAGAAACAGACCATTAGGGACTGGGTCACAGAAGCCATCATTTAGACATGAGAAACTGTGGGCTTTGTCCTAAGAGCAATGGAAGACCACTGAAGAGTTTTACACAAGAGAATGACGTGATGTGATATGATATGATATGATACAATATGATATGATATATGATGTGATCAGGTGGGATTTCTCTGGCTGCAGCATGTTGGTTATGGCAAGAACAGAAGAGTAGGCAAGCTATCAAGAGGCTGAAAGAGACCAGAGATAGAGGTTATTCCATACATTAATTAAATAAGCTTGATACATATGAGGTTAACCAGATCCTGGTTTTTGTCTGACACATCACATACTTTTTCTTAGTGGCACTTATTTACCTTTTCCCTCTCCCTTCCTAATAGCCCTTTCCCTCCATTTATTTAATAGAGAATTTGATTTTGTCACTTGTAAGCCAAAATCACTTAGCCAACCTGTCTGAGAATCTTTATTTGTAAAAGGACTAATTATAATCTCCCAGCTCTCCTCATGGGGTTAGTTATCATGAATATAATCTGAAGTAATAGGTGCGAAAGTGCCTTGTACACTAGAATATATGAGATCAATGTAGGTTGGCATTACTGCAGTGTTTCTAATTATGCACAACGTTCACCTTCTCTGGAAGTTAAGAGAGTATTGATAAGAATATTTTGGTAGAAAAAATTTCAGATACTTTAATTAGGATACTCATCAAATCCCTAGCCAAGGCAATAATTAGTGCAGAAATAGAAGGGCAAAACAGGCAGAGATAAGAGGGAATTGGTTGACTGTGTAGCCACAGCTTCAGGTCTCTGATGCTATGAGAGTGCACTCCAATCCACTCACCATGGTAAAAAGCCATGTGCATCAGCAGCAGCTAGGACTTGTGCTCTCAGGATGTATACATTTATGATTGTGAGGAACTATAGAGACTCTAGGAACTGAGAGATGGTGCCATTGTTCCCCTTCCCCTTGGGGAACACTGTCAAGGGAAAAGCCTCTAGTCTCTCCGGAAAAGCAAACACAGCCAGAAAAACAAACAGCCGCACTTACCCTCCAACTCATTTGTGAAAGTACAATCAGGATTTGATCAAACAAATGTATTTTTATAGGGAAGGGACTGCCTCAGGGATGGAGGGTAGGAAGCATCTTCTGACTGGAGAGAGAAGAACATGGAAATATATAAAACTCATAAAGGGCTTTCCATCCAAATTCTGTGGGAGACCAAGTTACTTCAGGGATCAGAGGCTCTCAGACACATTTTCTGCCCTCTTACCCCTTCCTTACCAAATCTTGACATACTATCTAATGACTTTGTGGGTGGAAAAGCCCTACTTATTTTCCAGAGTGGGGATAGGCAGTCAAGAGTTCATTTACACAAGGGTGTGAGGAGAAAAGCAGGAAGTTTTCAAGAGCATTCTCTTCATCTGTAAGCATTGCTTCCACCACATCGAGAATCAGTCCTCACCTTATATCACTCCAGCAGGTGTCTTCTCTGGTCATTTCAAATGGTATTGGAAAAGTTCCCTCCAAACTGAAGGAGAGTGAATTCTAATGTGTGATAATTCTGTCTAGATAATCGCTATTCCCTCTCAGTCAGGTAGTACTCCCTGGAGAAATTTTGAGGAGGTACTCAATAAATCCAAACCACCCTTATAAGATGTTCCACTTTCAGTATGGGGAGGACTCTAAGAGTCTGAGATGGGAGAACCATGAAAATTTTACTTCCTATCTCTCAAAGAACCTTTGGGATTGTGTGTCTTAGTACTCTCTCTCTCTCTTTCTCTCTCTCTCACTGTGTGTGTGTGTGTGTGTGTGTGTGTGTGTGTGTGTGTGCACGCATGTATGTGGTGCACAGTCACCTTTGTTAAGAGATGGCATTTATGAAGGGGAGCTAAGGAAACTTCCAGAAGTACAAGAAATGGCTGGAGCCAAAAAAAAAAAAAAAAAAAAGGCAAGACTTGCAACAACAACAATAAAAATCCAACCAGTTGTATGACTGGTACCTACATTCCTGAGCTGGTTGTAGAGGAAAAAGAAGACTGGAAAGATTGGGCATAGTCAAATTATAGAGGGGTTGGAAAGCCAGTCAGAAATGGTGGGAGGACTAATTATTCAACCATTGCAGAAACAGAGAGTGTGACTATGTGCTGGACATAGTTCTAGGTGCTTGGGATATATCCAAAAGAGATCAACATTTCTCTTATAAAATTTGTGGTCTAGGTATGACAACCCACTATTATCTGCCATTGGTGCTTAATGTTCATGAACTAATTTAATATTTAAAACAACCCCATGAGATAAGCGCTATTTTTAGACTGCTTTGACAGAATAGGAAATTTGAGGCATAGGGAGGAGAAACATATTGCCCAAGATCACACATTTGGTAAATGTCTAGAGTTGTTTTAACCACTGCCTTCCACTAGTTGAAAGAGCTGAAGGATGGGAATTTCAAGGAGTGTGTTTTGGTCAAGGGGAGTTAGTGAGGGGCAATTGTAAGACTGCAGAGAGCAGTCGTCTTAGTCAACTCAGGCTGCCATGACACAGTACCATAGACTAGATGGCTTAAACAGCAAAGATTAATTTCTCACAGTCCAAAGTCAGGATGCCAGCATGGTTCGGTCTTGGTGAGGGCTGTCTTCCTGGTTTGCAGACAGCTGCCTTCTTGCTGTGTACTCATATGGCCTTTTTCAGGCACTTCTTATAAGGCCACTAATCCTATTGGATTAGGACCCCACCCTATGACCTCATTTAACCTTAGTTACCTTCCAATAGCTCTATCTGCAAATACAGTCACATTAGGGGTTAATTTCAATATATGAATTTTGGAGAGACGCAGTTTAGTCCATAGCACCAAGTGATATTAAGATTTTAAAAATTAGTGATTATCCATGCTTGCTACCTTCACGTATTTTTAAATGTAATCCTATCCAAAGCCTTAGGAGGCAGACAATAATCTATTTTACAGACTGTAGAACATGAAGTTGCAAGAATTTAAAGAAGGTTTTATAGTACTACTACATATGTTTATGACCCCTGAATTAAAACCCCAGGTCCATCTACTCTGTCCTGCACCACACTACCCCACTGCTGTTGCTGCCTCAGCCTTCATGCCTGACTGAGGCCTTTATGACCTTGGAGAAGGGCCCTTTCATCCTGCAGAGGAATTGGCAGAACTTCTTGGGTGCTAGGAAACAACACCTACCTGGGGAATATAGTTGGTAGAAGAGATGTAGAGAAGGAAGATTTTGGTGGAGAATATATCTAAGTCAGTTTAAGAAAGATGATTTTTTAAAGTTTTCTTTTTAAAGACTTTTTCAAAAGAATCTTCAGGGGGAAAAATGGTAGAGAATTTCCTGGGGTAGACTCAGCCATTCGGGGAAATTAAAATGTGTTGTCAACATAGGGAAATCTGAACCTCCTTTCTTCATAGCTACCATTCATAGGCTCACTTTCTTAACATGCCTTCATTCTCTCATTCATTTCTTCATGGTCTGCTGTGAGCATGGCTCTGTGTAGACACAGTGAGTGCTGAGGTGCTGAGGAAAATGTATTTGAAATTGCTGTGACAAACTTCTGGAAAGTGTCATGAAAAAGGAGTCTGTGGTTAAAATTATGAGAATGCATGAGTGAATGGTTCATTAATTTAAGTACACTTTCGTTTTTCCACCCCATTGACTTGGTCTTTTAGATAGAGCTGCACAGAGTTTGAATGCCTAGAAACTTGCCCCTCAGGTGACAAGAGGAAGTGAGCATGAGGGGCGTTCTCTCACTCAGATCTTGTGTACAGCAGCTTGGTGGGAAAGGTAAATCAAAGCCAGAGCTACATTCAACAGCTTATATTTGAACAAGTTAATGTGTTTTCTCTTAAACTCATAATAAGTAACACAGGAACATGGGTTTGATAACAGACATTGAGATATCTATGATTAGTGAGCTAATATTTGTCTGCTGAAACTCTAATGGCTCATCTTTGTGTTCCGACACTCTCAGATCCTACACTTAATTGAGTTCTCTGCACTTGGAGAATCACATACATGACATAATTTAATCTTCATAATGACATACTAAAGTGTGGCTATTTCCATGTTACAAATGAGGAAACTGGTGCTCAGAGAAATGAATGATGAATGGGTTCAGGCTCCAGTAAATGTATGGAGGACTATGCCTACATATGTTCATCATCTTCCCAGGGCTCAGCGAAGTACCCATTACACTACAGATGCTCAGTATTGCCTGTGAATTTACTAAAAGGTAACAGAGCCAGGTCTCAGACTCAGGTTTTTGGCTCTTTTGGCAGCACTTTCTTTAGCATATCAGGATGACTTCTTATTCAGTCATAATAGAGAATTATTTTCCTCTATTGGACACTAATACTGAAGCATTATATACACCTTTTGAAATATCCATTTGGATTTTTCTTTTTAGTAACAGAAGATATATATGTTTACTGCATAAAAATAAGGTGTAAAATGGAACAAGAACAAATACAACAAACGTATTTAAATCATTTGAAATCAGGCCAACCAGAAATTCCTGCCTCTGTTCTGCAACATCCTTTGCTATAATAAAATTTATATTCTGTTTCCCCAAAAAAGGGATGCCCTTCCAATTCACCTTCCTGAGGCTCAATAAATACTCCTTCTTAGAGTCAAAAATAAGACAAGATCTCTCTTTATGATCATCCAACGGGATCCAATAAGGCCATTCTTTGAACTATGAACCATAAATACAGTGCTGGGGATGGCAAGTCTCCCAATTCATACATTTTAATCCAAGTGTTATTAGGTAAAAACAAGCATCAAGTTGAGCCTGTAAACAGAAACAAATTTTTCCATCAACCATATGTTCTTTAGTGGAAAGAACAAGTTTGTGTGATTTGATTCTAACCAGCAGTGTCACCTTTTAGTGCCTCAGTTAACTCACTGTAAAAGTGGAGGTGCTCACACAGATGGTGACTAGGGTTAATTCTAGTCTGAGAATGCTATGTCTCAGTCTAAGACATTAAAAAAAGGAACATGTATAAAAGAGAGAAATTCACTTGTCAGCTTCTTCCATGACTAGTGAGAATTGGAGGGGTGTGGGCTGGGTGTAGCTAGGTATGTAAACAACTCCCATTCTCATTGCTAGTTGCTTTATGAACACAATACCAGTTGCTTTCCAGATGCCAATCATTGCCTCATTGGCTTTGGAGGCTGACGGCATGCACTCCAAAGAAGTCTCCACCAAAATACAAAATCCCAGAGTGCTTCTCTCCTTAAAATCACATCAAGCCCTGCCTTTGACTGATGGAAAAGAGAGTGTTCTGTTTTCCACTAAAGAACCTCAAGGAAACTAGAGGGTGAATTTCTGGTCACTGAAGATGAGAACCGGAGCTGTAATGGTCATTCTATCCCCCAGGTCCTGGCTGGTGACCTACCTGCAAGAACAGGCCATTTGGTTTTCCAAGGTCTCTTTTCTCCTACAAGATAGGACTTAGACATACTGCATTATAATTACTTGACCAAAATATATTCTTGTTCTCTGATTTCATTTGACAGAGTGATAGGTAAGAGATATTGGAGAAGAAGCTGCCCACTCCAGTAAAATCCATTGAGCACAGTAAAATAGTGGTCTACCACTTCCTTTGTTTTGCCATCAACTCTTGTCTCTCCACGGTTTTCTAAAGTCCCTGTGACATTGTGCTTAGCCTAAATGTGTCCCATGCCGCTCTTTCCTAATAGCAATGGATGGATTGTTCTTGAGGGAGTTCTTTGCCAAAGTTACTACCATCACCTTTACTCCACAATAGCCTTAATTTATTAGTTATTCCTTTATAATTATTTTAAAGAGCTCTGGCTTGATTTTTGTGAGAAAGGTGGGTGAAGATTGGCAAATATTGAGGAGAGAGAAAGAGTAACATGATATTATCTTCTGTAGAGAAATGCATTTTGGGTGTCAGGAACTGACAGGGGAAAAACACGCAGACATTCATGGCAAGAGACTTGATGAAAGCTTAGGGGACTAATCCTGACGCTCACTTTATTTTCTTTTTAATGGGATGTCAGTTCTGAAGAATAAACAGTCTTTCCTGAATCCAGAGTTATAAGCACTTATTTGTCTAGATAAAGTACAGAAAAGAAATATTGTGTGCTGCAGCCCATAAGTCATCTTCACGGCCTTTCAGGTAAACTACCAAGGATTTTTACTGTTCAACTCAGTGGAACACAAATTGGTAAACTGAGAGCTAACTGATCATGGCCATTGAAGCAGTCCAAAACTGACACCCAAAATTTCATCTTAATCTGAAATGCCAACATCAATTACCTACAAAAGTGCCACAGCAGGGGATACCCACAGAAAGGGCAATGTGCATCAGAGGCTTCAAGGAAGGCAACATTCCAGGGACTTATTCTCAATCATTCAAAGGGTTTTCCTTTTTTAAAATTTTACCTGCTATTAAAATTGAAAGCAGCAATTAAGGTAACTTTAAGTTCCAGAGTCCAGAAAATCTGAAGAATGATATTCAGAACCAAATGTATATATGGACATGAGTATATATTTTTGAGCTATTTCATCAGAATCATCTGGAAAGCAGAAACACACTTTGGCTAGACTGTTAGATGTTTCTAGACTCTGTTCCCATTAATTTCTTAATGAATTTTTTTTCTGTTTTAGTGACCATTATGTACCGAGCATTGCGTCCAAGGGCTAAGACCATAGAGATGATGCAGACAGTCTCTCCCCACATGAAGCTCAATGTCTAGTGGAAAGATAACATAAATTTAACTATGACACAGTAGACTAATGCCATGTTGTCAACTGGATTACAATCTCCATGTAACTGAATTCTTGATGAGTGTGTCCTCAACCCTGATTGTAGAAATGGGAAAAGGTTCTCGAACTCTGTGTCATCACCCAAATGCTCTACTTTCTCAAGGTTTTCCTCAGCCCTGCATACCCCTGACAATAGTAGAAATAGAGGCCCGTGTTCCATAGTCTAAGTCTTTAAAAATTATAAATCGAGCTAACAGACTGAGAAATAAATCATATTTCATCTCCATAGATTGACAAATAGAACTTAGTCTCCACCTGGAAGGCCAAGTTCGAAAGTTTTAGGAGTTCATGTGATGTCATGGAGTGAGTAGGCCCCAGCTCCTGGCTCCTTCCTTTTAGCCAATCCACCTTCCAGTCCCACTCTGGCTCCATCCTGCATTGTGAAGGGTCTCTGTGTTCACAGAACACTGAAGACTGGTCAGTCCTTCAGAGGATGGACTGGGGAAGAGCCCACACAGGCCCAGGGATCTGGCTCAGAGATGTTTCAGCAGGAAATTCTGTGGCCTTGATACATATAGCGTGCTCTAGAAGGGGTGTGCTGTCTTCAAGTGAGTACAACTCCATGATCCCACCTGCCCATCTCTTCGTGTGCTGCGGTGCAGGCAGTGAAACACAAGAGCAGAGTCCTCTGCTGTGTGGTCTAGGACAGCAGCTTTGCTTGTGCGGGCATGAGAGAGGTACCCACTCTTTCCTTCCTGATCTTGCTTCCCTGAGGAAACTGCTCCCCAGAGCCCTCTCAGAAGGCACTTGTTTTCTATCTTGCACTTCTTGAGGATGGGCTGAGTGTCTTCCTTGCTCCTCATTGCCACTTCTAGAAATTCCCGTCCCTCGGCCATCTTCAAAGCTTAAGCCCTGGGTCTATATTCCCTGATGGTTCTCTTTGTGACTTCCATCTACAAGCCCATAGTCTACTTACCTTTATTTCTTAAGGACTTTTTAGCATCTGCATCACTGCCACTCCCTCCAACACACAATCTATATGAAATTTTTGGTGATGTCAATTTTCACCTCAGTGTTCCCTCTAAGTTCGTTAACCTCTTGTCTTTCAATAATCTTGTCTTTCACCTTACTTCAATCACTCATTCTCATGGTTAAATCCTAGATTTGTTATTTCCAACAACTGCACCCCTTCATAATGTCTATTTCAAGCAGTTCCCTTACTTTTTCCAAGTAATTCTCTCTAAACTCTCATTCCCGCAGTTCTTCAACTACCTCACGACTTCCAATCCATTGATCCCATCACCCTTACTTTTACCCTGTCCTTTACCCATCTCATCTTGTTATTCCCTCCTTACCCAACTTAAATTCCATGGCCAATCCTTAATAATGTCTCTTACTGTCACCCCAATTTCCCTTGTTCAACTCTCCTTTTTTCATGCTCCCTTAGAAATCCCTAGCTCTGGTTAACTCCAATCTTCTTTTTACTTTGTGGCTGAATGCATAAAATTGAAAGTTTTGTGAAACACATTCACACTGCCTGATTTCACTTTCAATTCACAGCTTCTAACTTTATGTAGACCTTTGGTGCTGCCCACCAATTCTTCTACACTTTGCTTATACATTCTTTCTCTCCTACATGACTGCTTCATACCTTTTCTTCATTCTCAAAGCTTCCAGTCTTCTTCCCTGCACACTCTGATGTAACCTGGCTTCCTGTTTTAACTGAGGAGGCAGAAACAACCAGAATAGAGCTTTCACACATTACCCCTCCACATCTACCCGTGTGCTTGCGTTTGAATCCATATTCTTCATATTCTTGCCTGTTACTCTGTTTAAACTGTCTTTGTTTCTTGTTAAGGCAAAAATCCTCCACTCATGAGTGGCATCTTTTCCTCTCCTGCCTATACAAAGACCTCAATCCAACAATTACCGCAAATTCTTCTATTTCAGCCAACCTATTGAATAATTCCCATCAGCAAATAAACATGCCATTTTTCTCATCTTAAAAACTAAAAAGAATTACACTTTCTTGGTTTCTTGCCACAAACTCTCTCCACTGTTACATAGTTTTCCCACTGCCGTTTACTTGGTGCCTTTTTTTTTTTTTTTTTTTTTTTGAGACGGAGTCTCGCTGTCTCCCAGACTGGAGTGCAGTGGCGCAATCTCAGCTCACTGCAAGTTCCGCCTCCCGGGTTCACGCCATTCTCCTGCCTCAGCCTCCCGAGTAGCCACCACACCCGGCTAATTTTTTGTAATTTTAGTAGAGACGGGGTTTCACCGTATTAGCCAGGATGGTCTCGATCTCCTGACCTTGTGATCCGCCCGCCTCGGCCTCCCAAAGTGCTGGGATTACAGGCGTGAGCCACCGCGCCCAGCCTACTTGATGCCTTTTATTCCTGTCCTCCCATTATTTCTTGCACATGCTCCATTCAAACTTTGACATAACTGCTTGACTGATACAGGACCACTTATGACCTCTATGTGGCCAAATCCAATGGTTAATTCTCTACCATATTATTGACCTATCAGGGGCTTTCACAGATTTTCTGCAAAGATGGCCACCAAGAATCCTTCTAATCCATAATACTTACATCACTGTTTCCATCAAAAGGCAAAGCATATTTCTCTGGTGGAGCTTGCAACATGCTTTGACCAATTAAATACATTGGAAGGGATGCTGTGACAATTGCCAACCTAGGAATGTGTTATCTCAGTCGCTCTCTCTCTTCCTCTCTCGCTCTCTCTGTTTGCCCTCTCAATAGATAGATAGATAATCTTTGAAATGCCTGGTCCCTTGCACTTAATACGTTGCAGGGTACGCTCAATAAATAACTACTAATAAATCACAGATGGCAGAATTTTGAGGGGGCCTTGAAGAAAAAATTAGAAATCAGGAGGAAAGAAAATGAGAGGAAAGCAAAGGCAGAGAGGCATTAAAATTCATGAAATGTTTGGGATGCCAAGTGGCTCTTTGCATGTCAAATATTAGGATGGGAAGAAAGCAATGATGAAGGTTGAGGCAGATTGTGAACAGTCATGCATTTTGTGTTATCTATTCAAGTTTAGATGTTATCCTCTATTGACTACAGAGCTTATGTAAGTATAGCTTCCAGATGGAACTTTTTTATTTATTTATTTATTTATTTTTTAATTATACTTTAAGTTTTAGGGTACATGTGCACATTGTGCAGGTTAGTTACATATGTATACATGTGCCATGCTGGTGCGCTGCACCCACTAACTCGTCATCTAGCATTAGGTATATCTCCCAATGCTATCCCTCCCCCATCCCCCCACCCCACCACAGTCCCCAGAGTGTGATATTCCCCTTCCTGTGTCCATGTGATCTCATTGTTCAATTCCCACCTATGAGTGAGAATATGCGGTGTTTGGTTTTTTGTTCTTGCGCTAGTTTACTGAGAATGATGATTTCCAATTTCATCCATGTCCCTACAAAGGACATGAACTCATCATTTTTTATGGCTGCATAGTATTCCATGGTGTATATGTGCCACATTTTCTTAATCCATTCTATCATTGTTGGACATTTGGGTTGGTTCCAAGTCTTTGCTATTGTGAATAATGTTCGAACTTTTAAGTGCAGGTCTTATGTTGTTTCATTGCTCCAGGACCTACAATGGCTCCTCCCTATTTTCCACCCCTTTTAGTCCTTATCTTTCCTTTCTGACTTTCTTTCCACAGTTTATTTACAACTCCCAATTTGTCACCTAGCCAGGAGATACTGTTCACTGGAGCATGTGTTTTTCCCATGCACTCTTTAATGGTGCTGTTCTCCCACTTCTAATATCCTTACTGTTCTCATCCCTTTATAAATTCGATGTACTTTTCAAGATCTTGCATTGCCCCTTGAGGGTTCAAGAATCATTTTGCAATCATTTTAGCCCACAGAATTTTCTCCATTTTCCAAATCCCTCTTTTATTATGGTTAATACAAAAACATGGTGTGACATTTGATTGTTGTCCATATATGTTATATGTGTTTAGTCCTAAAATCCAAGTATAGGATAAACTTCTTGAGGGAAAGATTTATGTCTTATGATACATTTCCACATTCTTTGCAGTTTTAATGTAGCTGGGAGGACAGTGGTTGTGAGCTAGTTACATAGGGCAAACCCAGGGCATCTACTGTCAAAGGTTGGGGTTGGGAAGGGCGGCAGAGGAGGATTCTGCTGGTATCAGTGGTGCCAATGACTTATATACAGGAAAGTAGCTATTTTATTCTAAGATCTGTTCTAAATGTCCCCTTCTAAAAGGGCAGAGTATTGTCTTCCCTTACCTGCAGCATTCCATAGAGTAGCAAATATACAGAAATACAGCTCACAAAATGCAAAGGAGGAAACTAAAATTGTAACACTGGAACAACAGTGAATAAGGTTACTTATAAGGAACAGATGAATAAGGTTACTAGAGTGGGTATTTTTAAAAGCCCAGGTTTCTGTTCTGGTATCATAGATTGTGGAAGTAGAAACACCAGCAGTCAGAGCTGTGGAACAGCCAAAAATCAGTTTAAAATCTGAGCCCAGCACAATTGCTAAGGAAAAGCTGTGAATTCTCTACAATTGATATGAAAAGCCAATGATAAGAGGAAGCTGTGAGCACAGTTCAGCATGGCATGAAACAAAATCAAAGGACACAGAGCAGGCACACAATGTGAAACCTTAATAACAAAAGAAAATTTAAACTAGATTCCCCAGTCTTTTACCGATAAGAGTTGAAAAGCTAATACCAGAATTATACTGTCCATCATAATATTATAATAGATATAATTACAATGGAGATTCTTTTCTTGAGCAAAACACATATTGCTCAAGTTTGAATAATGCTGGTATACTGGAAAACATTTTGCACCGAAGGTCAGGAAACTTGACCTTGGACCTACTCATGCCTATTGCTATCTGCTCATTTATTCTTTCATGTATTCATTCAATCATTCCAACAAAACGTTTAAATGTTGTCGGAATGATTGAATGAATACGTAAGTGAGCTTAAGCAAATGTCTCAGACTTCTGGAATTCAGATTACTCATTTGTAAAATAGGGATAATAATCCTTATACTGACAACCTTATAAGGTCTACAAAGAATCTGATGAGATAGTGTGAAAAGCAATTAAACTACAAATACAACTGACATAAGTTTGTTCAACTTATTTAAATCTGGCCCAAGTAGTGTAGTAATTATCTTGGCACTACATCTGCAGAAAGCATCTTTTGATCTTCTAAGCCACTATTGAAATTATGAACAGTGCTCAATCATCTATTCTATGTGCTTTCAGCACACTCCATATGTGGTTCAATGTTACTTGAAAACTGTCAAATATCGATTGGGATTCATCTGATTCCATTGATCTTTTTACTCATCTAAATAGAAATATCAGATTCAAAATTTATCACATGGAAAAAAATGAAGAAAAAGAAAAAGCTTCTGTTGCTCGTAAACATATCCAGATGGTGGTAGAGAAGGCTGTGGTGGACTGCTTTTTTGTGCAGATACTACCTCTGTCTTCCAGAAAGCCCCGTCTTCTCTATTTGTGTCCAGGTGGATTCAAGTACACCTTTCCCAGGTGCCAACATTCAACATGCTTTATAAGGATGCCTACCAGTTCTTTCCCTTTCTGTAAAAGGGCCTGTTTTTAAGAAAACATTGCTTGGCAGTTGTAAACTCAATGGTTAGAATAGCCAGCATATAAGCACAAGTATATTTCTAGCCCAAAGATGGAAGAAGATAGGTTCTCTTACTTCTTCACTCTTTGGTGGTTTCTCAAAGAATGGGAGAATTCAGATGTTTAACCATCTTTCCTTCTTTGTTTGGCTTAGTTTTTCATCAGTGACCAATCTCCTTCCTGCATGTAAATGGGCTATTTTGGAGGCAGAAAAAAATTCCATAATTATGTGGAATAATTTTTAACCCCATTACAGTAAGTCTTCTACATCCTACCATCAATAGGTTCTTGGAAACTGCAACTTTTAAGTGAAACAATGTATAAGAAAACCAACTTTTTTTCTCATCAATGTTATAACAAAAGGATGTTATTTGAGGACTTGTTGTAGGTCATTTTGCTTAAAGTCACAGTTTCTAACAGTCTGTCAATATCAAGTGAGGACTTACTGTACTGTTTTTAGTGTATACATAAAGTCAAAGAAACATACCTCTCTCAGGACCTGGACAAAGTAATGGCCAGAAATATCATCAAATAAATAAAGGAGTTCTCCCCTGATCCAGTGCTCTCCCCTCACATGTGACATGCTTGTCTGTACTGAGCTTTAGAGTTTATGGAACATTGTCTCTGGAACACTCTCATTCATAATCACAATAACTATGTGAGGTCTGTTATCCCCAGTTTATATGGGATAATTCCAAAGGATGAATTGATTCTCAGGGGCTCAGTCAGTTGTATTGGAATTCAGGTGTTTTGACTCCCAGGACTTTGCTGGTGACTTTCCAAACGATCTCGTATGGCCAGGAAGGTGAACCTAGCACTGGGTGATAGACATATTGCCACCTTGGTGCTCTATGTGAGTCATCTTATCACCAATTGCATTTATGGAAATACATGAAAAATTTCCGAAATTTCACAACTTATTTATTACTGTCCTTATCATGTGGGTACTTTGTCTATCTTGACAGGGTGGACTGCATATCTTGACATATTGTGAAACTTCTTCTAAGTTCTCTTAACCCATCATATGAAAAACCATACCTTCCCAATCCCTGGGCATTTAACAATGTGATGGGGCTGTTCTACAAGGAGTGCACTCTGAGTTCCAGTTGATAGAAATACAGTGTTTGGAATGTAGAAGGGGACGGTGCTAGTCTATGCTGCTTAGATCACACCTCAAACACAACTTTTACTTCAGGACATTGATAAAATAAAATAGTGTCTGTGTTCAGAGGATTGTGTCTCCACCATTAGGAACTAGGGATTTGGGCTTAGGGAGAATATGATTGCTGCCTTCACGTTGGGAAAGGCTGTCAGAGGGAAGACAGATTAGGCTCACTGTTTGCTGCCCTCCAAAGCCAAACTAGGGTCAGTGGGTGGAAGCTACAGGGAGGTGGACTGGGGCTCTGTGGAAAGCAGAGCTTTCCACATTATGAGATCAGTTCATGCTGGAGTGAGCTGCCCCGGGAGGTAGGAAACTCCCAGGTACCAGAGATATGCAAGCAAAGACTGAGCCACGCTTTGGCAGAGCTGTCGCTGCAAGAATTCAAGCACCAGAGGGAGACAGAAGGAAATAATGTCTCAGATCCCTTTTATTCCAGATGTTCTCAAAATGTTCTCCCAAAATTCATGGCAGAACAACCTGCCTAGAGGCGTCTCTTATTTTTAGATCTTTTAAACCAGCTTACTTAAACACCTCCACCAACAAGCAAACAGGAATTTGTTGTTTGGGGATATTTCTTTGGGTTTGTTCTCAATTTTTTTTATTTCCTCCCTTTTAAGAGGAAAAAGTGTATTCCACAGTGGAAATGTAAACATCCTCAAATTGCTTGTAAACTCCTTAAATTTAAGGGAAGTTTTCCATTTTTCTTTTTATAGAAAACAGTATCACCCTGGTGGGGGATATTGGGAAAGATTATGAATGTGTCGGGGTAGAAAGTATATGAGAAATCTCTGTACCTTCCACTCAATTGTACTGCGAACCTAAAACTGCTCTTAAAAAAAAAAGTCTACCAAACAAACAAACATAGTTTGTGCAAAAGGACCTTGACCCTGCCACATTTCTGAGAAGGGGATTGCGATGCTCTTTCATGAGTTTTTCTGATATTTTTTATCAGCAGGCAAGAAATGGTACATCAAACTTCATAACTGAACTGAGTGTAACACAGGAAATGCTTTCGAAGATATGAACAGGGTGTAGGAAAATAAATTGTGCAGAACCCAGGGTCTCATAGTAGTGGATGCAATTACCACCCTATTCCTGAAGAAGTAAAGGAAGGAGCGGTTTTCAAGATCCACTGAGGGTCCTTGTATGGAAAGGAGGACTGTCTGGAGTGGGGTCATTGGTAGAGGAACCCAGCCAGCCCACTATGATATTGCAGGGAAGGAACTGAGGAAAACGTTTCTTCATTTTCCTCCCAGCCTCTGTCACTTACTAGCACCTCCTATGGGCAGAGTCAACTGGAAGCCAGCAGGCAAGGGCACCTATTGGTGCTGTCCACATGCCCTGACACACACAGAGCATGGGATAGGGTGGAGAGTAAATATGGAGAGGCAAGTGGAAAGTATCTAGCACTGTCCTTTCCCATAGCACAAATCCAGGTACCCATTTATTATCTGTTATACCTGTAGCCTGGAATGGACCTCTCTGCAGAGTCTCTGTAATTGACTAAGTCTTGTAGTTGATTCTAAAATAGGATTAAAAGCAGTCATTGTTTTCAAAGAAGTTTTATCTTCTGATTATAGAAACCAAAAAAAAGGTATCAACAATAAGTATTTTCATGGCAATCATATTTGGGTCCATTTGAGAAAGGGTTTTATAACGGAAGATTTTCTGATACTCCTGTTTCCCAAAAAGCTTTACCAGAATTGAATGGCTCCTTCTCCCAAAGAAGCCACAAGCTTCTTATTGTCTCTTTCTCCCACAGCCATGTTGTACTGTCTTTCATGTGAAATCTGTGCTATACTTTCTAATTTTATTATAAATGCTCATATTTGATAAAACATTGCATTGCTTTTAAAATAAAAACATTTCATTTTATTAGATAGGATTGCATGTAAGGAAGACAGTTTCAGTATTGGTGGCAGAGCCTATAACAAGTTGCCAATAGAAAATGCATACTCTGTTTATGGGATGTGAAATACCACAGTGTTGGGGCAATCAATGTGGCTATGCCTGCATATAGGGGGATGGGCTCAATGGGTATCCCAGATTCTGTGTACATATTTCCTCCTCCTCACCCAGAGGAATTATCAGAAAACTAGTGAGTCTGGTATTTAAACATAAATTCTTCTGTAATTTGGTGCTCTTCAGTGGAGGTTTTCAGAGCTCAATTTCAGTTTCATCTCAAAGTGGAATTTCAGAGTTACTTGACAATAACAGGTTTGCTCTTGAAAAATGAAAATGGAAAGTGAAGTCTGGATTCCCCCAGCCCCACCCCCATCCCTTTTACCCTGCTGAGGACTTTCAGCCTCTTCCAGAGTAAAGAACATGCTCAGCGTTGATGGAAACGCGGTGAGCTACCTTGTGGAAACGCTTTAGTGCAGTTAAATGTTTACTGTAGCAGAAATGTCCAAATCACCCAGAGAAATTCATAGCACTAAAAGCATTAAAGCTTGCATACTCTTGTGGATTCATATATTCAGCCTCCTGAAAGATCTAACGTGCATTTGAACTCAAATGCAATATATACAAATAGGCCATGAGGTAGTCTCATATTTTGAACCTGGATTTTCTCGCACTGCATATAGGAGGGTTTTCTTTTTCATTCATCTGGCTAGAGGATCTGGATAAGATAATCAGAAACAGGCAATGCGTGGTGGCTCATGCCTATAATCCCAGCACTTTGGGAGGCCGAGGCAGGCGGATCACCTGAGGTCAGGAGTTTGAGACCAGCCTGGCCAATATGGAGAAACCCTATCTCTACTAAAAATACAAAAATTAGCCAGGCGTGGTGGCGGGTGCCTGTAATCCCAGCTACTTGGGAGGCTGAGGCAGGAGAATCGCTTGAAACCAGGAAATGGAGGTTGCAGTGAGTTGAAATTATGCCACTGCACTCCAGCCTGGGTGACAGAACAAGACTCTGTCCCCCCCACCCCCCCAGAAAGGATAATCAGAAACAAAAGTGTATTGTGATATTCCATAAAAACTATCTAGATAATCTCTTAAAAAGAAATTTCCCTCAAACGATAATCATAAGTCCTTGACTTTGGGGACTAGGTTGGAAGACATTGGTAGAGCTGGGGACTATTTAGATTCTGATGGGGTAAGTAGAGATATTCTGGATTTCTAAAGTATAAAAGCTGTTTGTAGCTAATAAAAATCTAACTAAAAATCAAATCTTCTGTTTAATACTTTGGAATTCAATGTCACTTAAGTTAGTAGAATTCTTTAAAAAAAATGAAGATAAAAGGTGAAACCAATAAAAATATAATTCATTGCCAGGAATTAGATAGACAAGTAGTAGAATATTTATTAATTTATGGTCTTAGTTTAAACAAATGGTTTTTCAGATAGCACTTCTCAATTACTCTATGCTAGTTACATTTTAAGGCTAGAAAAAGATTCAGTTTAGATCATAATATATGAACCTCTTGTGATTTACTTTTTGATAAATATTGCCCAGTGAAATTTTTTTTCAGATGCAACATATTGGCTTTTCCCAGAAAATACTCGAAGCAGATGCCTTTCCTAAGTAAAGCTGAAATATGTACAAATTTATCAAAAGGACATTCTCAGTTCAAATAATGAAAAGCTACCCATTGGTCAAATAATTGAAGGTTGGGCAGAGGGAGAATCCAGAATATATTGCACGTTACACCAGTCCTTGCACAAATATATCTTGGGAGACAGCCTGCTCTGTGCTTTTGCAATAGAGTTGGTCTGGAAAGTGACATAAAACCTTCGCTATATCATGTGCATTTTGTACACTTTACAGTGTTTTGGTAATACAAATATGGAAAGGGTTTGTCAGAGTGTGAAAATGACAAATGATTACATATAAATTTTTTCTTATGTTTCAGGTGGGAATAGAAGGCAGAGGAATTGTGTGCAACGGTCACACTTTTCTTAAATTCTTGTCACCATTTAACCAATAAGATCAGTAATTACCCTGTTTGGTCTCTGTTTGTCCAAAGCTGTCCCTCAGTGGAAGAAAAAATAAAAACCATAATATAGGTAGCAATTTGTAAGGAACAGGAAGCAGTTTCTGTGTTTAGGCCAATGGTAAAATGCAGCTCCTTTCAGAATCTTACAGAAGTACACAGGGCAGGGACTGGATAATCGCTGGACATTCTTAGTTCCCAGGGTCATATTTCTCACACGGACGGCCGTGGGCAAAACGCAAAAACCTCATTATATGTCAAGACGTCCACTGCTTTAAAATTCCTCAGTAGTACTCCATCATTTGAATATGATGTCCTTATCATTCTGAGTGGCATGCAAGACACTTCATAGCCTGGCCCTTGCTCTGTCTCTCCAGGCTCATATCCTGACACCCACATGTCCGCCAATCACCATAGGTGTATCACCATCAATTACTGTAGCTCCTAAGTGAACTATGTCCCCAAGTCTTCCTTCCTTTCTTTAACTCATTCATTACATATTTCCTGGGTACCTGCTACATGCCAGATAAGACCAAATGATGAGCAAGTCAACATGATCCAAAGGCTTGTGCAATTTATGGCCTGGTGGGGCTAACAAAGAAAAATAACAACCCCCATCTCTGCCAAAACAAAAAATAAACATGAATAAAATAATTACAAATTGTGACAGCTGCTTGGACGGAAAAAACTTGAGTGTTTACATAGAGACTATCAGGGAGGAGAGGAAGGTGGTGACATTCAGGGGGTACCAGGTGAAAATCCATGGCAAAGACTTCCAGACAGAGGAAACAGCATGTGCAAGTCCTAATGTGAAAAGGGCTTTTTCAGGCTCACGGAATTGAATAAAGGCTAATGCAGCTGGAGTGTGGTAGTTGTGGGGGACACAGTACCAGGTGAGGATGAAGCGAGAGCCAGGCATCAGATCATGCAGGGCCTTGTAGCTCATAGCAAGGGGCTTTATTCCAAGTGCAATAGAAGTCATGGGTTGGATTTGAGCAAAGGGGTAATGTGATTTAATTTACATTTTTAAACAGTTGCTCTGGCTGCTGTATGATAAGTGAATCAACAGAAAATAGGGGGAGCCTTTATTTAGAAGGCTATTCTGGAAGACAAGAAAAGGGATGATAGTGGATGGATTCATGAGATATATGGAAGTGGAATTAACAATGCAATTGAGGTTTTGTCTTTCTGACTAATTCCTACTTCCTTGAAGGCTCAGTCCAAGCATCACCTCCCCTACAAAGCTATTTTGAAGGCCCCCCAGTCCTCAAAGGGTTGGAGGCTCTCTTCTGTTTTCCAGGCAGCCTGTACCAGGCCTCCACACGTGACACACCATAATATTGACTTGCTTGTCTGCCTTCTATAAGACTGTGAACTTTGTTAGCACAGAGGCTATGTCTTGTCCTTGTCTGCATCTCCAGCCTGAGCACAGAGCCGGTGCATAAGAGGAGCTCAATGGCTGGCAGGCGCATGGGTGAATTGTGCCCTCTGGCCTGCTGGAGAGCTCTTCACATGACACGAACCCCTGAGTGGGAGCCAGACCCAGGCTTTGGGATTGATTCTGATATTGAAAGACCTGTGGAAGAGCTACTGCATACCAAGGACACCTATGTCCGTGAAAAGTGACCA
Source organism: Homo sapiens (assembly GCF_000001405.40). Lineage (NCBI taxonomy): Eukaryota > Metazoa > Chordata > Mammalia > Primates > Hominidae > Homo > Homo sapiens. Next base: position 53,478,319 of record NC_000015.10, read on the forward strand.
AGAAATCTCAGACAGGAAGGCAAATTGATTTTTCCAAGCCATTTCAGAGGAAGGAGTTCTTGACTGAGGTGGACTCTCTTGCAAGTACTTCGAGTTCCATTTCTAACTCTGCTGCGACAATTACATTTCAGAAACACTTGCTTGGAACGTATAGCTCAGCAGACACTGTCATTTTTGACAAGGGTTTGCATTTATCAGTTGTGTTTCTGGGAGCTGTTGGACAGAAATCATAACCAAGCTGTCACTACAGCCTCCCATTACCTTCAAACAGATTCCTTTTAATTCACCTCCATGTAGATTTAAGCGTCTAACAAGCATCAGGTGCCTGGCTGTTGGAGTAGGGATGAATGTCAGGATATTTATAAAGGGTCTCTGTTCCTGAGAACCCACAGTTCTCTAAACAACTAAATAAGCACTTGTAATTGAGGATAGATATATGTATATGTATTTATACATGTATAGTCATGCACCAGTCAACAAACGACCATATATACGATGGTGGCCCCATAAGATTATAACGGAGCTGAAAAATCCCCATTACCTAATGATGTTGTAGTTGTCATAACATCCTAGTGCAACATATTACATTTTACGTATTTAGGTACACAGATACTTACCACTGTGTTACAACTGCCTACAGTATTCAGTACAGTGACATGCTGTACAGGTTTGTAGCCTGGAGCAATAGTACACCATTATAGCGTAGGTGTTTTGTGGGCTATACTACCTAGGTTTGTTGATGTTTGCACAGTGACAAAATTGTCTAACACTACATTTCTCAGAATGCATCCTTGTTGTTAAGCAATGTGTGACTGTATATGTGTGTGTGTATATATATGTGTGTGTTTGTGTATAACACTATGTATGTATACACACACACACACACACACACACACACCTGGTGGGAGAAAAAAATAATGGGATAATTTATTCATTCTTCTGGGAGAAAGAAAAAAGTGTGTATTTGGTCAGGGAGAAGCTTAACTTGACTTGGGTTAGTAGGAGTTTGTTATCAGTCTCTCTCTGTTAACTTCCCAGAGGCAGGAAAGCCCAAGGTTTAAGGTCTTTAGCACCAGAGCTAGATAGCCTGGGTTCAAATCTTCTAGTTATTTAACTACTCTTCACCTCAGTTTACTCAACTGTAAAATGGGATAATAATAAAGCATATCACAGAGTGTTGCAGTGAGAATTAAATACGTTAGTACCTATGCGCATGGAAAGGTCATTCCAGAGGGAATAGTATGCACAGAGGTGATGGATGTCCCTGGAATGTCAAAGAAGAGCAAACCTCTGGTGTGAACAAAATACAGGGTGTGTTTGCGTAGGAAGATTAGAGGGGTGATTGGAAACACAGTTTGTGGCCCAGGTCCTGAAGGGTTTTGTAAGTCATACTAAGAAATTGGATTCTAGGCCATAGGCAATGAGAACTATCAATGATTTCAAACGAGGGAATGGTATGATCATGTCTATGTTTTAGAACAATCCTTCTAGAATAAATAGAAAGTTTGGACCAGAGGAAGAAAGAAATGAGAGGCAGAGTCCAACCAGATGGTTACAGCAATAATCCACGTCAAATGATTTAAAATCTGGAATAGGATGGTAGTAATTGGGAAGGCTAAGCTGCTAAATTTAAGGTTTTCCAAACATTTTGATTATGAGACTCTTCCTTCCTTATATAATTTCCAAAAATTCTTCAGGACTCAGTTTGGGAAATGCTGGCTCAAAATTTACTCATTTTGTGGATGTTTTGTTTCCTTACATCCTTCTGCATCTTAGATTATTCCTGTAACCTAGCAGGAATCGTGATCACAAATGAAGGAACTTGTAAATTATCTGATGATGGACAGTTTGACAGATCAATAAGTGAGCCAGTCTTCCATAGAAACCAAGCTTATTCTGAAATCTCTGGATTTTCATATCAGCCAGCCTTCTGCCATAATGCTCTCTTCTCTTGGCTGCTCAAGAAATTTTGTGGGGAGAGTAGTGTGATAAAAGTTGTATTTGAAGAATATTAATCTGTTGTCACTCATTTTAGATTGGAGGGAGAAAAACATAGTGCTCTGGAGGCTTAGCATTTCTTTTCATTGCATTTTATGCAGTTCTTTCTGAAGACAAAAAGAATAATAAATCCTTAGACTGTGCCAGGCATAAATCTAAGTGCTACACACACACACACACACACACACACACACACACACACAATTTAATCTTTACAATAACCTTATAAAGCAGACACTGTTGTTAGCCCTATTTTGTAGATGAGCAAACTGAGCTACAGAAAAAGCCAAAGTCACATAGCTAACAAAGAGTAAAACCAGGAGAGTAAATAGCAGTAGCTGGGTTTAATAAATGTGGAATGAATGTGTGGGTGAAAGCGTTGAGGAGTTAACAGAATGAATTCTGATAAGAGACTGTGATAAGAGTTAGAAAAGTGAGAAGAAATTACACATTTAGGTTAAGGACAACATCAGGAGTCAAAATGGGAAAGGAGTCCTCTCGTTAACCTGGACAGTATTCCAAAGAAATTACTCTTCAAATGAGAGAGTTTGAAGTAGAGGTAGTAAAGCAAGTGAAATTTACTCAAAATTACAGAAAATATGGCACATTCGGAAAGTTAACACATTTCTCTGCTGTTAAGATCAAGCCCCTGTATTATTATCTGCTCTTATAAGTGGCGTTTGAAACAGATGCCATTTCAACTGCAAGGAGTTTACTGAGTGAGGCCCAAGAAATGTTTTCAATTTGCTGGATGTTGTGACTTTGAGAATAGGAATGGCATCTGTATATGTAGAAAGGGTGCAGAATGTGTGGTGCCAAAGCCTCAGTGACACAGTTCTAAACAAGACATCAGCCCGTATCTGAGTCTATCGGTACGCTCTTACCTAGCTTCTAGGTACCTAGCCCTCTGTGTTAGGTGCTAATGCCTAAATACCATTAATCAAAAATAGTACTAGAGCATATGCTAGTGCTAAGTATTAGGAACCCAAAATGAATAAAATATAATCTCTAATCTCAAAGATCTTCTAATCAAGTTGGAGGAAACTAACACAAACTTAACTTATACCCAGTATAGGATGATGATAATATGTGAATTGTATGATAAAAACCAACATAAATTTGTTTTACAAATGTACAAAATAAGATTGAGTAAGAATGACTCAATAGGGATTTAGGACCGGGGGAGGAATTTTAGGTGGCTGTAGATAGATAGGTAAACAGTAGATGATGAGGAGACAAGCATTTCAAAAAGGAGGGGAAGCAACAGTACCAAATGCTGATAAAAAATCTGGGACACCGTGAAACAAACAAACAAAAGAGACTTTGAGTTTCCCCACTTAAAAAAGATTGTACTGACCTGGATTTATGAAACTAATTACCCACAGCATATAATGATAATTACAAATGTATTTCTTCTGAAAGCAGAGTCTACTCTTCGCTCTTCATGATTTAACTCCCCTAGTCTTACTACTTTGGGATTCTTTGGTCTTCTGAGTTTTAGAAACCTCTTAGGCTTCCGGTTCTTTTATTCCCAAGGTTGGCATCAAGAAGCATTCTCAGTCATTTGTTCAGACAACATAGAGACTCTGCCTCCTTACTAGCTTAGAATTCTGGCCCTCTCTGACCTGTCTTTGACCTCAAATAAGGTGCCAGTGTCTATCCAATTAGGTTCATCCCTGTGCTAAAGAGGTAGGCCCGGGCCAGCATCGTCTTTGCGCTGTATTTTTATCTGAGTACATAGCTCATGTATCGCAGCAGGCAAGCTGGTGCTGACATACAGCACACCCTGATTGCCATCAGTCTGCTCCCAGAACCATCTACCCAACCATCACAAGATATCACTTTGGGGCTGACATCTTTGGGGCCAAGTCCCAGCCAGGAGATGTATGTCACCCAGGGATGACAGTCTGATCAAAATGCATGATGGATAGGGCATAACCATCATCCCATCACTCATGAGCAAGGAGGCAAAAATTGTCAAGGTAGTAGTGTCAAGTGTGGGGAAGGTAATTTCTGACAGGTGATTAATGCCAAGGAGCCAGCAATCATCCAGGTACTGCCAAGAGAAATGGGCAGTTATATATATATATTTTTCTATGACAGTGCCTCTCTTCCCCCACTCTTGACCTCTGGTTTTACAATATGTTACATAAAATCTTCACAGATGACTTTTTCTTCACCAAATTCTAAATATTTTTGCCCGCAAATTCTAAAGCCTATATTACATACACTCTGTACACACACATTCACACAAAATGTAATTCTAACGAGATCCCATAGTCCCATCATCTTTTGCAAAACAACCGAAATAATCCCCAGTTAATGTTACTCTGATAGGTCAGTCTGTCTGGAGCCAAATCTGGGCTATAATGATGACCTAGAGCAAATGATTGTATCTCTGTGTTTAAGCTTCCTCGTCTGTGAAATGAGATTGTTTTGAGGATTAAAGGAGGATCTCACCTTTGTGGTTTACAGTCAATGCTTAACAAGTGTTTGTTAGGTAATATTATTATTGTACTTCTGCTATGCTTGTTACATATGAGGGAAAATTTTCAAAACTGCAAAGATTTTGTGTAACAAAGGACAGTGGGAGGAGGCAGATATGATGAGCTAGAGCAAAGGATACTTGGACACTTGAATGGGCCTGGGTCCTTTGCGTTGGAACAGGGAGCAAAATAATAGCAGGAAGCAGGGAGCCAAAGCCACCCTTAAAACTGCTGGAAGCTGGTCCTCCTTTTTACGCAGGCCCATGTAGAGACCCCATTAGCTTATTCAGTTCATGGAGGACTTAGCAGAGGCAACAGAAATCCTGAAGGATGATCACAGGACTCGTTTGTGTGGCCCACAGTCATGTGTAGACTCCCAGTGAAAACATGTGTGGATATTCTGAGCATGCAGCACCCGGCAGGCAGCAGTGTGTCTCAGAATTCTGGCCTTCTCTGACCTGTCTTGGCTTTAGGCAAGAGATAGAAGTCACATTGGTTATTTCAACAGAGAGAATTGAATACAAAGAATCGTTAACTTTGCTTTGAAGAATTAAAAAGGCAAGAAAGAAATCCAAGGTACTACAGAAGTAGCAACCAAGTCCCTGTGGACTTGGGAACAAGGGGAAGCAGAGGTTACAATTATTCAAACTTAGGCCTCTGGGGTGGAGCACCCCTCAGCTGGTGCTGAGATTTTTGACTAGGTGTGATGTGGCTGCTTTTCAAATGTTGGAAAAATTGATGGCAAATGGGATTCAGCTGCTGCTTCTAGACGAACACTTACTGGGGTGAAGAAATGAGGCTGGGGTGCTGCTGACAAGAGACAGTAAGGAGCAAGTCCCTTCTCCATCCCAGAGCCTCACAGACTCTGTCTGGTGCATCTTATTGGATGCATTTTACAGGGGCCTGTGGCCAAGCAGTAACAAAGTTTACATGGTCTCAGCTCCTGGCTCATACAAAGCAGGATATAGAAGGCTGGGTGTGGAACTGAGAGGAAGCAGCTGAATCGAATCTACTCCTTCACCTCCCCAATAAACGCTGACTACCTACTGTGTGTCAAACATTGAAGGCTAAGAAGCACTACTTTGTCCTCTAGGGACTCAGGGAAGGAGAAGGAGAGTAAAGGAAACAGAAAGTGTGACTTGGACTGTGACTGAGAAATATAGAACCTAAAGTAGAGCACCTCATTCAGCCCGAGGAGGAAGGATGGATGGGGAGAGAACAGCCCAGAGCTGAAAGTTAAAAATGAGTGGGGCCTGTAATCCCAGCACTTTGGGAGGCCGAGGCGGGCGGATCACAAGGTCAGGAGATCGAGATCATCCTGGCTAACACGGTGAAACCCCGTCTCTACTAAAAATACCAAAAAAATTAGCCGGGCGAGGTGGCGGGCGCCTATAGTCCCAGCTACTCGGGAGGCTGAGGCAGGAGAATGGCATGACCCTGGAAGGCAGAGCTTGCAGTGAGCCGAGATTGCGCCACTGCACTCCAGCCTGTGCGACAGAGCGAGACTCTGTCTCAAAAAAAAAAAATAAATAAAAGAATAGGCCAGGCGCAGTGGCTCACGCCCGTAATCCCAGCACTTTGGGAGGCCGAGGCGGGCGGATCACTTGAGGGTCAGGAGTTTGAGACCAGCCTGGGCAACATGGTGAAAACCCGTCTCTACAAATACAAAAGTTAGCCTGGCGTGGTGGTGCGTTCCTATAGTCCCAGCTACTCGGGAGACTCAGGCAGGAGAATCGCTTGAATGCAGGAGGCGGAGGTTGCAGTGAGCCAAGATCATGCCACTGCACTCCAGACTGGGCGACAGACCCAGACTCCATCTCGAAAAAAAAAAAGAGTAAAAAAAAAAGAGTAGGGATCCGCTATCAGGGGTGTCCAAGGGAGAGAACATAGTCATGGGTTCTTAGTTTCTGTTTCTGGTTCGGCCGGTAAAGCCCCTTCCTCATCCCTCTTTTCTGCTTATCACTAGAGACAGAAACTAAAAGCCATGGCTTTAGGCTGCTAAAAGCCTAAAACAAAACAAAACAGAACAATAACAACAACAATAAGATAAGGCAGATTATCTTGACATGGACAAGTTTGCACTAGATGAAGGAGGAGAGGAAAGTCTGTAGATCCTGATACACCGAACAAGTCAGGAGGAGCCTTATATGCCAAATATGGAATTGGGATTTTTCTCCTGAAGGCAATGAGAAAATACCAAGAATTTTAACCTGACATAATCAGATTCGTGTTTTGATAAAAACATTTTGAACATGGTTAGAATGGCATCTGAATGGCCATTGGGAAAACACTGCTGTAGGCTAGAATTGTTAAATTTAGTTTGCGTAATTAATATACGTACAAAAGAAAGATAATAATAAAAAGTAGACAGTGAGAAATCTCACTCTCCTGCCTCCTAGCAATAACCATTTTTATTTTCTTCATGCTTTCCTTGTTGCTTTATTTCAACACAAGTAAATATGAGCATTTATTTTTATTTTCCACCCCTTTTTCACAGTCTTTTCTTATTTGAAACAATGCTAGAGGAAAGAGGCTCCAAAGTGGGATTTCCGGGTCAAGGGTCAATGGATAAATGCTTCAGTAATCTTGGTAGATGTTTCCAGATTTGGTGGCTATTTTTTTCTTTTTAGATGTTGTACCATTTTGTACTCACACCAGCGTTATGGGTCAGTGTCGCTACCCACAGCCTGGCCAACAAAGCATGCTGTAAAAACTTTGGGATTTTTTTGCCGCTCGATAGTTGAGAAAATGGAATGTCAATGTAGTCTTTAATTATGAGTGAAATTGTGCTTTTGTTTCAGGTATTTAAGGGCCGTTTACATTTCATTTTCTTTGGTCTATTAATGTTTTTAAAGCGTTTTTCTATTCGGTTGTTCCTCATTTATTTTCTTATTCCTAAGACTCGCAAATATTTTTTCTCAGTTAGTTGTACCTTTTTGAAGGTTTTGGTTTTTGTTTCGTTTGCCATATGAGTCATAGTTTTATACTGTCAGGTTATTAAACAATTCATACACGTTTTCTATAAATACATTTATAATTTCATTTTTACATTTAAAACTTTGATGCATTTGGAGTTTGTACTGGTATAAATACAATGTTTCCCTTTCCAAATGGCTATCCAGTGATCCTAACACCTTTTATTAAAATGTCGATCTTTACCTCACCGGTTTAATGTTTCACTATTATCATATTATATGTCATATTATTAATTATTCTATTATAAATTTTATATTATCATATTATAAATTTCCCTATATATTTGGGTTTCCTTTAGGAAATGTGTTTATTAATCTGTTTATCTATTCCTGAGTCAATAAGTTTTACTTATCCATGCTTTATATAATATTTTAATATCAAATGTTAATTGTACTACTAATTACTATTCTTTTTTTAAGAATTTCAGGTATGACTTGTTCTCAGCGAACCAATTTCTTCTGTAAGGTTTAGCGTCATAAATGCCAAAATGTCTCTTTTACATATTTTTCTGAAATGGTTTACATATTACCCTAGTTTTTGAATAGAAATTATTATATAATATATATCTTTCATAATGACTCAGAGTCTTTATTATGAACATTAACTCACAATTTATTAAACAAAATAAAACTTTCAGACATAAAGGTCTATTTGACTCTATGTTAAGTGGCCCCAGATTGCAAATTTGCAGAAGCTGTGTACAGCTCTATCTCCTCCCTTGCTCCTGGTTGCTTTTAGGAGACCTGCCCGGAGCCTCTCTGCCCTCTTCTAACTGCGATCTAAGTGGATGGCTAAAGAATTCTCTGATGAAGAAAGTGGACGAGCTCCTGAGTGCTCATTCATACATACCCTGTTTGGGTTCTAGCTCTGTAGCAACTCAACAAACCCTGACCTGACTTTATCTTCTCTTTAGATAGATTTATCAGGATAATCATTGTATCTGTCCAGATTTGGGTACCTTTATGCTACATTGATGATGTCTCTCTTTCCTGAATTTCCTTCTTTTCAGGTTCCAGTTTATGAATTCAGGTGCCATTCAGGTTGTACTTACTAACCTGTTGCCACCACCAGCACTGTATCCCATCCCACTGTATACCTGACTCTAATCTCCCTAAATACTAAGACCTGTATCAGCTCATAGCAGAGGCTCAATATTTCCTACATTTGAACAGTTTTATGGAATATAAATATGAAAACTAACTATAATCAAACCTGCTGAGTCTGACTACCAATTGTTCCAGATGCACAAAAGTGGGTAAGAAGTCTCAAGACAGGGATATTTAGAAGTGTCTCAGTCCTGCTGTCTCAGACAGTTAGTTGGAATGACCCTTCCTCTTCTATGTGCATTGTAACTGCACTTAGGAACTTCCTTTACATTTACCCAATATCCCTGTATTATTACTAGGGTTCAGGGCTCTGTCTACAAAAGGCCTTCAAAAGGGGTCACTTTAACTTCTGCCAACACTCCTCACCCTGGCTGGTTCCTTGTCTCTTCTGCAATTTTCTTTGCTGCAGTTTCATAAAACACAATCCACTGACGCTGTCTCCTCCCTGTGCATTTACTCCTTTCCAGCTTAGACACCACCACACCATGTTCCCTTTGGCTCTCAGCTGTTTCTTTGGGGCTGCCTGCCCTCCCAAGACCAGACACTTGGCTCCCAGTCCTCTCACAGTCTCTTTACCTACTATCTGCCCCGTGGGAGACTGATTGTACTGTTATGTCTTTCTCTTTCTCACTCTCTATATCATAAAAGAGTTATTTACTTGAATAGGAGGCCCATTGCCCCAGGAGACAGACCAGACATCCTTTCTATGGTACTTCAAGTTTTCTCATTTTTCGTTTAGTAAAACAGCAGGATCCTGAGGCTGGTTTTTAAACATGTTACTCTCCAGATGAGTTTCTTTGGCCTTAGTGGCCTCTGTTTGGACTGCTTTTCTTTATTTTCTTTTATTATCTCTTCAATGACAGAGTTGCAAGTATCACTAAATTGTACTTTCCCACAGCAATGCCCTGGTTTCTGTGTCTAATGCCTTAATAATAATGGGCTTCAATACTTGATCACCAACAGTACCAAGGGTTTTCCTGGATCCCATATTCTCTTCTCAAATTCTAGGCTTCACATTTGCTCCAGACTTCGCTTTAGAGACATAGCTTGCTTTTTGATTCTCAGGTAACCTAATAGCAATTAAATCAGTTTAGCTGATTCAAAACTGATTTTGATTGATAGATGACGGATGGGTGGATAGATGACAGATAGATAGCCAGCCAGATAGATAAGTTTCTCTAAATTAGGGTTTCTCAACATTAGAACTATTGATATTTTGGACGGGATAACTATTTGTTGTGAGAGGTTGTTCTGTTTATTACAGGATGTTTAAGAGCATCTCTGGCTCCTCTCTACCTACTAGAGAGTAGTATTTGCCCTATCAAGTTAGACAGCTGAAAATGTCTTCAGGTATTGCCATATGTTACCGGGTGGCAAAATCACTCCCACTTAAGAATCACTGCTCTAAATCCATTAGACTCCCAGTTATTAGTAAATAATCATGACAAAATCATTAATATCTTTAAAGCTAATGTAATTAAGTGAATACTGTAGGCCAGGCCCTTTGGAAAGTACTTTTATACATAAACTTGTTCCAAGCTTAAAACAACTCTATGAATTAAGTATGAGGAAAAAAGGATTTTAAAGTCACAAAGCTAGCAAATGGTGGAGCTCTTTTGTTTAAACCATTAATCAATTCCAAAGCTCATGCTGTTTACAATTATCTTATACATTTTACACCTTGTCTTCTATGACATAGCTATTTCTATCGATATGGACATTTGGCTTAGAAGATGAAGGGTTTTTTTTTTTAATCATTTTTTCAAGTTCATGAGTACTGAGAGTGAGCATGGTGCTTTGTCCATAGTAGACATCGAGGAACGTTTGTTGAACTGAGTACTTTTTAATTTGTTCTGAAAATGAAACATTCCTATTGTTGCGCTTTGCACACAGTAGGTTCTTAATAACTATTTTCCAAATGAATATACTATAATCCAGAAAAAACAGATGGCTCACCCTCTATTTGTTTTCTGTATTCTTCTGAACTTTTATAATGGGGGGTAGGGGAGTGATGGGATTCATCTTTAGATAGTATTTGTATTCCTTTTTATCTGTTGACTTTGACCATTCTGAATCTTTTTCTTGTATTTATTATTTTCTTTCCAATCCAGTCTTGATCAACAATCATAACCAGAGTAATGTTGCATTACTCGGCACCATAGTCTGTGGAAGTAGAGCCATATTACAGATACTATTTAATTTATCCTCTAATTCTTTAGTAAGAAGAGTAGGGGATATTATTTTTTCCTTTTAGTAGACAGGGTTAATTGGAGACATCAAATAACTGACACACCCAAAGATTATTAAATCAAATCCTTGACTCCTAATCCATAGAATTGCCATTACTAAAGTAAACTTCTCTGTTAAGAAACAATAGAACTCCACTCTCAAACCCCTCCCACCATCCAATTTAATCAATGAACACAGACTGTTTCCTATAGACATACCCTGTGGAAGTGGAGGAAAGCACAATTATTTTGTGCCTGTGTGATCCTGACTACTCTGCCTGTCACTTTAAATTTAAGTTTGTAAGCCTACTCGGAAGTAGGTATTAAATGTATCTCCATTTTTAAATATGGGGCTTAAAAATGTTAAGAAACCTGCCCCAAATCTACAGCTAGAAAGTAGCAGTACCAGGTATTAAAAATGGCTGTGGTTTCAAAGGAAATTCTACTGTTGCTATTTTTAATTTAACTCACACAAACTGATATGGTTTGGGTGTGTCCCCACCCAAATCTCACCTTGAATTGTAGCTCCCATAATTTCCATGTGTCATGGGAGGGACCCAGTGGGAGATAATTGAATCATGGGAGCAGGTCTTTGCTATGCTGTTCTTATGATAAAGACTAAGTCTCACAAGATCTGATGGTTTTATAAAGGTGAGTTTCCCTGTACACACTCTCTTGCCTGCTGCCATATAAGACGTGACTTTGCTCTCCACCATGATTGTGAGGTCTCTGCAGCCATGTGGAACTATGAGTCAATTAAACCTCTTTCTTTGATAAATTACCCAGGCTCGGGTATGTCTTTATTAGCAACGTGAGAACAGACTAATACACAAACCCTTCTCTAAATAAAAAGCAGTCAAAATAAATCAGTGCTTAAATAAGATTTCTCAATTCCCCACTGCTGTTTAAGAACCAGCCCTCCCATTGAAGCACAAAGAGAGGTAGGAGAGTTTATCTTTAGGGTCCACATGTTGAACATAGGAAAGGAGAGCATAAACTAAGCAGGCTCGGGAGGGCTATAAGATGGACACATACTTCCTCTTGCCTTCTCCCCAAGAATACCAAGAATTGTGGACTGTTACAACCCTGTATGGAAGGGTTGCCACCTTGAACTCCAGAGGCTGTTATACTTTTTAGTGGAGAAGTGATCCCAGGAGGCTGCACATGGTGCTTTGGGATTCTTAGAGATGAAAAGTACTATATACATGTCAGATATTATTACACAGCACTTATAAAAAATGTTTCCACTTATTGGTGTGGACTCACTGTTGAACAGTTTAGAGTTGATAGTTATTGCTAGTAATAGCAGTCAGAATAGCAGTATAAATGGCCCTTTTTGCTGTACTTTGCTCCATATTTTACTGTTTTTTATTTTTCCTCTATAATCCAGGGTGGCCTAGAACAAGAGGGAAAAAATATTTGCTGACAAGGTTTAAAAATAGAAAAATGACTGCTTTTTTATTGTGGTCAAGATCAACAGCAAGGGAGGAAATTACATGAGTGTATCATACACAAATTTAGGCCACAGGAAGTTTTTAAAAAATTATAAGAATATGACATTTTTACTTTTAAAATTCATATTATAATGTAAATCCTACCATCTTTTTACAGTGTGACCTTTGTAATTGGAAACATGCACCTTTTTTAAGCAGATAATGCCATAATAGGAGGCTGGTATGTTTTTAATCTAACTTTAAACTCTTTAAAGACAATTGTCTGGTCCCTGAATTATTTGGTTTGGTCAATTGTGCTAACCACCAATGCCCATTGGCCCTCCTATTTATTCTTCTGGCTTCTGTAGGAAGCCACTTGAGAGACATGCCCATCACCTTATCTTCATGTCATTGAATTCTTCACAATCAGCTCCTGCTCAGCCAAGCAAATAGTGCTACCTCAAGCAGCAAAATATCCCTATTCTTCTCACTTTGGTTTGGCTACAGCCTGGATTTTTTGCTCTAATGTTATGAAAACCTCAATATAGCAAAGAAATGAGATTTTCCTCTCTTCTCTGAGACTTGACAAAAGCTATTCTTCCTGCTCATATGTACTGGCCACCACTTTTCAATTACAAACTACTGTCATCTACATAAGCTTATGTAATTCTCAAAACTTCTTGAATTAAACATGATTTCTACTTTTCAGAGGGAAACTGAATTCTGAGAGGTTAAATACAATGCCCCAAGTATACACAACCATTACATCAAGTCAGAACTTGATTTCAACTTCAGGCCTCTTGATTTCAAATTCTAGGAGCTTTCCTTTATGTGAGGAGTTGGAACACTTTCACACTTTCTGTAAATAACTAGATAGTAAATATTTTCAGCTTTGCAGCCCATAGGGTTTCTGTTGCAACTACTCAACTCTGCCCTTTAGAGAGAAAGCAGTCATAAACAATATGTAAACAAATGTCTGTGTTCTGATAAAACTTTATTTAAAAACCAGGCAGCTGCTGGGTTACAGTTTGCCAGCCTCTGCCGTATATGGCGCTTTCTCTGTAACTCTATTCCGTTTGGGATTTAGTTATGGACTCCCTCTTCTCGCTAAATTTTTACATAGTTTATTTACAAAGATTAGAAAGGAAGAGAAAATAACTCTATGCGGCCCCCTAACCTAAGCTACTAGCTGACAACATTTTCCAGTATAATAGTCAATTTATGGTGCAGAAACAGTACTGGACTTAGAGTGAAAAACTTGGATTTGAAATTGGGATCTATACATTAATAACTTCAGAGCTGTGTGAGTTTGAGGACACCACTAACTTCTCTGAGACCCAGGCTAATGGAGAAATGATTTGAAAAGTTATTTCATGGGTGCTTATAAGGATGAAATGTGGTGCATGTGGCAGTGATGAAATCAGTACCTGCTACAGAGTAGGCTCTTATTTTAGCCAGTTCAGGCTCCTATAAAAAACATCATAAACCGGTTATTTTATAAACATCAGAAATTTATTTCCTACAGTTCTGAAGGCTGGAAAGTCCAAGATCAAGGCATCAGCCTATTCAGTGTCTGGTGAGGTCCTGCTTCCTGGTTCATAGATGGCAAAAGAGCTCTGTGGGGTTTCTTTTATAAAGGGACTAATGTCATTAATGGCGTATCTGCCCCCATAATCTAATAATCTTTCAAAGGCCCAACCTCCAAATATACTCACAATGGGGATCAGGTTTCAACATATGAGTTTTGGGGGACACAAACATTTAGTCTCTAATAGTCTTCAATAAAAGACTATTGAATCTCTGTATTAACATAATGGGAGCCTTCTGTTTTAAGATTCCAGGGTTTAGATAAAGAAATATGAAGATGATATTGGTTAGGTCATTTCATGTATGTTTGTGAAGTCATTAGTTTATTAAATCCAAATAGAATTTGGGGCAAATAAAAGATTGCTGTTTATAGAGTTTGGTGGTTATATATTACTATATTCCCACTACAAATGGTGTTTCAGCTATTGATTTTAATCAGAGGTGTGGTAGCCTTTGTGGTTGTTTTTTCCAGCTTTCATTCTACTCTGAGATAATTAATCTAAGAGAATCCTGTAATCCTATTTGTCTTGCCAGTGATTGGTTTAAGGATAAGCAGAACTCCATTTCTGGTCATTAAGATAAAAGAAGGATTCTACTGTTGAGGGCTTCTGGAAAAAGTTTTCTCTCTCTTAAGAAAAAGGCATGTAAAGAGACTGCTCTTTTCTTCTTCCATACATCCTTCTTGCTGGAGGTTTTTTTCCAGGATAGAAACAGCCATCTTGCAACCAGGAAGGGGCCAACTGAGGGCAAAGCTGACACACAGAGGATGGCAGAGCAGGATGGAAAAAACTGGAACTTTTGATGGCCCTGTTGAGATTCTGAAGCAACCAACATGGGAATCTTGTTATGTTAGGTATCAAGATCATCCAAGGTATTGTTTAAGCCCATTTGATTGGATATTTGATTTTTTCCCATCCTAACAGGATTGTTGTCTTGATTCTGCCACTCTGATTAACTGAATGATTTCCAGAGAATCATCTAACTTTGCTGATTTTTAGTATTTCTATTCATATAATGAGGGAGCCAGATAGAAAAATTAAACCTTAAATATATTTCCGTCTTTTAATAATCTGTAGACTTATGATAATGCACAGAAATGTCTTTTTAATTCTTTTTCACAACACGTTTTAGTCTAGATCTGTTCTGTACAATACGTTAGCTATTAGCCACATGTAGCTTGTCCAGGTTGAGTTGTTCTATAAGTGGAAAATATGTACAGGGTTTTGAAGACTTAGCATGAACAAAGGTAGTGTAAAATATCTCATGAATCATTTTTATATTGCTTATATATTGAAATGATAAAGTTTTGGTTACATAGGGTAAAGTAAAATATATTATTAAATTGATTTCACCTATTTTAAAAAACTTTTTAATGTGACTACTAGAAGATTTATAATTGCATTTATGTTCACATTACTATATTTCAGTTGGGTAGTACTGGTCTAGATTGTACTGTGTGTACTACAGCTCAGCAAAAGCACTCTCACAGAGGTCAAACTAGATTAAATCTTAACAAATAATTTATTAATACAAAAACCTACAGAATTTGCTCCTACACCTTATTTCAAGGACAAGAGATAACTATTCTTTCTTTTATTGCAATTAATCTTCTCATTCTAACAAAAGAAGTTTGTGAAATCTCAACCTAGGAGCAGGTTGAATATGGCATTTGGCATAAGTAGAATAGAAACCTGAAAGAAAATTCTCTTAAATGTTGAAATACTGAGAAACTGCAGGTAGATGCAAGTTTGTCTTATCTTCTCATCAGTGGAAGACATTCAGGTTCTGATGATGAGGATGCTCTCTCAGTACAAAGAAACAAATGGTGGAGGAGCAGTTTCCAGGGAATGTGCACCTACAGCGAGCTCTGTTTCAGGTCAGGCTCTCTCAACTTTGCGTCCTTGTGCCCATCATGCTCAGACCACTGACGTGGCTTCAGGATCTAACTTCCCCTTTTTGGCATATACCATGTAGTAGATGACCACCTACTCAGCCTTACACACAATGTCTATGAATATAAGCAGCTGCAGGCTGCTGACTTTCTACTTAGCTACTGAATTTCCACATTTTGTACTTTTACTCTAGATCAGGATTTAGCAAACTATAGCCTACAGGCCAAATCTGGTGCATCACTTGGGCCTGGAAGCCTAATATATTTACTGTCTGGACCTTTGTAGAGAAAGCTTGCTGACCTGTGTTCTAGATATCTTTAAATGAAAATGACAGGGAGAGAGAGAGAGAGAGGAGAAGAAGACAGACAGAGACGCAGAGAGAGGGAGAGAAGCAAGAGAGAAAGAAAGAAAGAAAAAGAAAAGAAAAGGAAAAGAAAAGAAAGGAAGGAAGGAAAAGAAAGAAAGAGACAGAATCGATTTTATGAGCAAAGAAGATCCAACCAGGTTACTAGAGAGTACTAGATAGTTAGCTGCTACTGTATTTAAGTTCATGCTTAAGACAATGTGCTATAGAACTTTTCACCTCACCCTGGACCAGACCAGTGCCAGAATAGGGTTACAGTTGGTATCCCTGATATCATTCAAGACTTAAATAGCAACTTACTTATCTCAGTAACTCTGTATCTTTTATTGGTTGATTTAAGTTTTATACTTTTTATTTACTTTTTTCTTTTTTAAAGATATCTTTGTTTTTTTTGTTTTTGTTTTTGTTTTTTGTTTTTTTTTTTATTATACTTTAAGTTTTAGGGTACATGTGCACATTGTGCAGGTTAGTTACATATGTATACATGTGCCATGCTGGTGCGCTGCACCCACTAACTCGTCATCTAGCATTAGGTATATCTCCCTATGCTATCCCTCCCCCCTCCCCCCACCCTACCACAGTTCCCAGAGTGTGATATTCCCCTTCCTGTGTCCATGTGATCTCATTGTTCAATTCCCACCTAAGAGTGAGAATATGCGGTGTTTGGTTTTTTGTTCTTGCAATAGTTTACTGAGAATGATGATTTCCAGTTTCATCCATGTCCCTACAAAGGACATGAACTCATCATTTTTTATGGCTGCATAGTATTCCATGGTGTATATGTGCCACATTTTCTTAATCCAGTCTATCATTGTTGGACATTTGGGTTGGTTCCAAGTCTTTGCTATTGTGAATAATGCCGCAATAAACATACGTGTGCATGTGTCTTTATAGCAGCATGATTTATAGTCCTTTGGGTATATACCCAGTAATGGGATGGCTGGGTCAAATGGTATTTCTAGTTCTAGATCCCTGAGGAATCACCACACTGACTTCCACAATGGTTGAACTAGTTTACAGTCCCACCAACAGTGTAAAAGTGTTCCTATTTCTCCACATCCTCTCCAGCACCTGTTGTTTCCTGACTTTTTAATGATTGCCATTCTAACTGGTGTGAGATGGTATCTCATTGTGGTTTTGATTTGCATTTCTCTGATGGCCAGTGATGATGAGCATTTCTTCATGTGTTTTTTGGCTGCATAAATGTCTTCTTTTGAGAAGTGTCTGTTCATGTCCTTCACCCACTTTTTGATGGGGTTGTTTGTTTTTTTCTTGTAAATTTGTTTGAGTTCATTGTAGATTCTGGATATTAGCCCTTTGTCAGATGAGTAGGTTGCGAAAATTTTCCCCCATTCTGTAGGTTGCCTGTTCACTCTGATGGTAGTTTCTTTTGCTGTGCAGAAGCTCTTTAGTTTAATTAGATTCCATTTGTCAATTTTGTCTTTTGTTGCCATTGCTTTTGGTGTTTTGCACATGAAGTCCTTGCCCATGCCTATGTCCTGAATGGTAATGTCTAGGTTTTGTTCTAGGGTTTTTATGGTTTTAGGTCTAACGTTTAAATCTTTAATCCATCTTGAATTGATTTTTGTATAAGGTGTAAGGAAGGGATCCAGTTTCAGCTTTCTACATATGGCTAGCCAGTTTTCCCAGCAGCATTTATTAAATAGGGAATCCTTTCCCCATTGCTTGTTTTTCTCAGGTTTGTCAAAGATCAGATAGTTGTAGATACGCGGCATTACTTCTGAGGGCTCTGTTCTGTTCCATTGATCTATATCTCTGTTTTGGTACCAGTACGATGCTGTTTTGGTTACTGTAGCCTTGTAGTATAGTTTGAAGTCAGGTAGTGTGATGCCTCCAGCTTTGTTCTTTTGGCTTAGGATTGCCTTGGCGATGCGGGCTCTTTTTTGGTTCCATATGAACTTTAAAGTAGTTTTTTCCAATTCTGTGAAGAAAGTCTTCTGAAACTATTCCAATCAATAGAAAAAGAGGGAATCCTCCCTAACTCATTTTATGAGGCCAGCATCATTCTGATACCAAAGCTGGGCAGAGACACAACCAAAAAAGAGAATTTTAGACCAATATCCTTGATGAACATTGATGCAAAAATCCTCAATAAAATACTGGCAAAACGAATCCAGCAACACATCAAAAAGCTTATCCACCATGATCAAGTGGGCTTCATCCCTGGGATGCAAGGCTGGTTCAATATACGCAAATCAATAAATGTAATCCAGCATATAAATAGAGCCAAAGACAAAAACCACATGGTTATCTCAATAGATGCAGAAAAGGCCTTTGACAAAATTCAACAACCCTTCATGCTAAAAACTCTCAATAAATTAGGTATTGATGGGACGTATTTCAAAATAATAAGAGCTATCTATGACAAACCCACAGCCGATATCATACTGAATGGGCAAAAACTGGAAGCATTCCCTTTGAAAAGTGGTACAAGACAGGGATGCCCTCTCTCACCACTCCTATTCAACATAGTGTTGGAAGTTCTGGCCAGGGCAATTAGGCAGGAGAAGGAAATAAAGGGTATTCAGTTAGGAAAAGAGGAAGTCAAATTGTCCCTGTTTGCAGACGACATGATTGTATATCTAGAAAACCCCACTGTCTCAGCCCAAAATCTCCTTAAGCTGATAAGCAACTTCAGCAAAGTCTCAGGATACAAAATCAATGTACAAAAATCACAAGCATTCTTATACACCAACAACAGACAAACAGAGAGCCAAATCATGAGTGAACTCCCATTCACAATTGCTTCAAAGAGAATAAAATACCTAGGAATCCAACTTACAAGGGATGTGAAGGACCTCTTCAAGGAGAACTACAAACCACTGCTCAAGGAAATAAAAGAGGATACAAACAAATGGAAGAACATTCCATGCTCATGGGTAGGAAGAATCAATATCGTGAAAATGGCCATACTGCCCAAGGTAATTTACAGATTCAATGCCATCCCCATAAAGCTACCGATATCTTCGTTTTTTAACTGCTTGAATTGAAGGACTACTTTATTTACTTTATTTTAAAAATTACTTCATGTTATTAACAGTACAATTGTGACTGCATTTTGCAAGTTTTTATGTATAGTATTTTGCTGTCACTTTCTAAATTTGCTATGCTGCAGCTCTAAATTTTTCTTTGACCCAAAAATTATTTATAAGAGTGTTTTAATATTGCCGAATAGATTAGATAATTTACAAACTTATCAATTGCTTATAAACATGGTATATGCTTTTAAAACACCTGCCTTTTTAATCATATAATCTTTCTCCATTAAGTTACTAATGTGATTAATATATTTCAATGGGAAAAATCCTTACATTCCTGTTAGATTTAATTTATATTTACTTATTTATTAATTAATTTACACTTAAGTCCCTGTATTGGACTTAATGTATTCCAGACACTGTTTTTTTTTTTTTTTTTTTGCTTGAGAATATTTGCATAGTTCTAAACATTTGATAAATATAAACTCAACACATATTTCATTTAGAATTTTTGCCTCAATATAAATAATTGAGTTTGCTTTGAAGTGGCAAGTATATGTTATATATGCATGTGCTATTATTAGGCTCAGTAACAACACTATTGAAGATGTAGAGAATTAATGAGAAGGTTTTTGTTTTTGTATTTAAATTGCACACAGCTGCTTCTGGAAGTTTCAGTACAACTCTGGAAGGGTTGGTAGAATTCTAGTTTGGTAGACTTGGTGTTTTATGAAGAGGAACTAGTTTTCCGGTAACTTTTAAGAACTGTTCTTGCCTGGGCAACATAGTGCGACCCCACCTCTAAAACAAACAAAACGCACACAAATTAGCTGGGCATGGTGGCAGATGCCTATAGTCCCAGCCACTTAGGAGACAGGCAGGGGGATCACTTGAGCCTGGGAGGTTGAGGCTGCAGTGAGCCATGATCATACCACTGCACTCTAGCCTGGGTGACAGTGAGATTCCATCTCCAAAAAAAAAAAAAAAAGAAAGAAAATATTGTTCTATGATTATTTGCGTATTTAAGTTTTTATTTCTTCTTCAGTTAACTATAAATACTTACATTTTATTTTCTATAAAACTATCAAATTATAAGTAGATTTACACACACACCCAAACACAAACACATAGACTCAAAGATTCTGATAGAAATTCACTGAAATTTGTTAAGGATAATTAACATCTTTATAATTTTGGTTTGTCCCATCCAGCAATGTGGCATGCATTTCTCATCATTTTTTCATTCATCTTTTGCATTATTTAGTAACATTTTACAGGTTTCTGTCAAATAGCTTACAAACATGCGGTATTAAGTTGTATTTATCCTAGTTTCCTTGTAAGCGTTGGTAATGTGAATGAGGTCTTTTTTTTTTTTCGGTTTTCTGGTTGGTTAGTCTCAATGTACAGGAAAGCTGTTGTTTTGTTTTTTTACCTTACATTTGGCCATCTTATCACACTTTGATTTCAGTTCATTCTCTTGGAATTGACTTATATAATTTCTAGATTTTGTTAGGTGTTCTTCCTTTTCAATATTTATAGTCCTCTGTTATTTTGTTCTTTCGCATTTGCTGGAACTCCAGAATCATTTGGAGGAATGATAGTGACAGCTGACCACAGCCTATTTGTTTCTGGTTTAAATTGGATGCCTTGAGTGTGTGTGTGTTAGTTTGTTCTCACGCTGCTAATGAAAACATACCTGAGACTGGATAATTTGTAAAGAAAAAGAGGTTTAATGGATTCACAGTTCCACATGGCTGGTGAGGCCTCACAATCACAGTGGAAGGCAAAGGAGGAGCAAAACCACGTCTTACATGGCGGCAGGCAGGAGAGTGTGTGCAGGGGACCTGCCCTTCATAAAACCATCAGATCTTGTAAGACTTATTCACTATCACGAGAAGAGCACAGGAAACACCCAGTGCCATGATTCAATTACCTCCCACTGGGTCCATCCCATGACAAGTGGGGATTACATGAGCTACAATTCAAGATGAGATTTGAGTGGGGACACAGCCAAACAACATCACTGTTGTTAGGATGAAATTTGCTATATATTCTAAGTTTTATTTATTTATATTGAGAAATTATTGTTCTTTCTGGTTAATTAAAAGGTTTTGTTCTTTATTGTTGTTATATTTGCTGTTATAGTTTTAAAATTTTATAACAGGAATGGCTGTTGGATTTTATTAAGTGCTTTCTGTCATCTATATTAAGAGCAGTCACTTGGTTTCTGTTTTCTTCTAAATTATTAGCAAGGAAAATAATTTCCCTGTCTCATTAATGTTATGGAATTCTCACTATGTGCTGTTTGGGTAAGAAAGAATCTAGCCCTTTCTAATGTTGCAGTCTTGAGAATTCCTTCTTCTTTGGGAAGCCTCCATCTTTGCTCTTAGGGCCTTCAAATTGTTAGATAAGGCTCACTCACATTATGGATAGTAATCAACTTTACTCAAAGTCTATTGATTTAAATGTTAGTCACATTTTCTTGTTATCATTTCAATAGTTTTTGGGGAACAGGTGGTGTTTTGTTACATGGATAAGTTATTTAGTGGTGATTTCTGAGATTTTTGGTGCATTCATCACCCAAGCAGTGTATACTGCACCTAATGTGAAGTCTTTTACCCCTCATCACCCTCCTAGACTTCCCCCAAGTCCCCAGAGAACATTACATCATTCTTATGCTTTTGCATCCTCATAGCTCAGCTCCCATTTATAAGTGAGAACATATGATGTTTAGTTTTCCATTCCTGAGTTACTTAACTTAGAATAATGGTCTCCAACTCCATCCAGGTTGCTGTGAATGCCATAATTTCGTTTCATTCCTTTTTATGGCTAAGTAGTAATCCATGGAGATTATATATATATCTCCATATATATATATATATCTCCATATATATATATATATCTCCATATATATAATCTCCATGGATTTATATATATATATATCCATATATATAATCTCCATGGATTTATATATATATATATGTATATATCTCCATGGGTATATATATATATATAACTTTTTCTTTATCCACATTTTGGTTGATGGGCATTTAGGCTGGTTCCATAACTTCACAATTGCAAATTGTGCTGCTATAAATATGTGTGTGCAAGTGTCTTTTTAATATAATGACTTCTTTTCCTCTGGGTAGATATCCAGTAGTTGGATTGCTGGACCAAATGGCAGTTCTATTTTTCATTCTTTAAGGAATCTCCACACTGTTTCCACAGTGGTTGTACTAGTTTGTATTCCCACCAGCAGTGTAAAAGTGTTCCTTTTTTCACCACATCCATGCTAACGTCTATTATTTTTTGATTTTTAATTATGCCCATTCTTGCAGGAGTAAGGTGGTATTGAATTGTGATTTTGATTTGCATTTCCCTGATCATTAATGATGTTGAGCATTTTTTCATATGTTTGTTGGCCATTTGTATATCCTTTTTTGAGTATTGGCTGTTCATGTCCTTAGCCCACTTTTTGATGAGATTTTTTTTTTTCTTATTTGTTTGAGTTCCTTGTAGATTCAGGATATTAGTTCTTGGTCAGATGCATGGTTTGTGAAGATTTTTCACCTGTTTTGTGGGTTATCTGTTTATTCTGCTGATTATTTATTTTGCTGTGCAGAAGCTTCTTAGTTTCATTAAGTCTCATCTATTTTCTTCGTTTTTGTTGCATTTGCTTTTGGATTCTTGGTCATGAAGGCTTTGCCTAAGCCAATGTCTAGAAGGGTTTTTTCAATGTTATCTTCTAGGCTCTTTATGATTTCAGGTCTTAGATTTAAGTCTTTGATCCATCTTGAGTTGATTTTTGCATAAGGTGAGAGATGAGGATCCAGTTTCATTCTTTTACATGTAGCTTGCCAATTATCCCAGTACCATTTGTTAAATAAGGTGTCATTTTCCACTTTATGTTTTTGTTTGCTTTGTCAAAGATCAGTTGGCTGTAAGTATTTGGCTTTATTTCCGGGTTCTCTATTCTGTTCCATTGGTATACGTGCCTGTTTTTATACCAGTACCATGCTGTTTTTCAGTGACTATAGCCTTGTTAGCACAGTTTGAAGTTGGATAAGGTGATGCCTCCAGATTTGTTCCTTTTGTTTAGTCTTGCTTTGGCTATGTGGGCTCTTTTTTAGCTCCCCATGAATTTTAGGATTTTTTTTCTAGTTATTTGAAGAATGATGATGGTATTTTAATGGGAATTGCATTGAATTTATAGATAGTTTTTGGTAGTATGATCATTTTTACAATATTGATTCTACCTATCCATGAGCATGGATTGTGTTTCCATTTGTTTGTGTCATCTATGATTTCTTTCAGCAGTGTTTTGTAGTTTTCCTTGTAGAGATCTTTCACCTCTTTGGTTAGGTATATTCCTAAGTATTTTTTTTTTTGCAGCTGTTTTAAAAGGGGTTGAGTTATTGATTTGATTCTCAGTTTGGTCACTTTTGGTGTATAGCAGTGCTACTGATTTGTGCACATAGATTTTGTATACTGAAACTTTACTGAATTCACTTATCAGGTCTAGGAGCTTTTTGGATGAGTCTTTAGGGTTTTCTAGGTATACAGTCATATCATTGGTGAACAGCAACAGTCTTACTTCCTCTTTACCAATTTGGATGCCCTTTATTTCTTTCTCTTGTCTGATTACTCTGGCTAGAACTTCAACTACTACGTTGAATAGATGTGGTGAAAGTGGGCAGCCTTGTATTGTTCCATTTCTCAGGGGAAATACTTTCAACTTTTCCCTGTTCAGTATAAGGTTGGCTATGGGTTTGTCATAAATGGCTTTTATTACCTTAAGGTATGTCTGTTCTATCCCTTAATCAAATTTTTAAAATATCTTCACAGCAACCTCTAGACTGGTGTTTGACCAAACAACTTGGCACCATAGCCTAGCTGAGTTGACATATAAAGTTACCATTGCAACTGACATACTCATTTTTTTCTACTCTAGAATATATTTGCATTCAGTAGATGAAAACATTTAATGCTGTTATGCTTATCAAATATTTGACTTGTATTACTCCCTGTAGTTTCTTATATCTTTTGCCTTCCCCCATTATTGTCAGCAGCATTTAGTGTCTCAGGGGAGCTAGAACAAGATACACAAGCAAAGGAATCACCTTTGGGTTTCAATTAGAGTTTTTCATTTTAAAATCTATAATACTAGGGTATGCTATTTATGTCACAAACAACAAATCTTAGAAAAAAGACAAAGCAGGCTGCCTTGTTACAGAAGAGGTAAATATTACATAGGGAAAGCAAAAAGAAGAAGAAAAATAACTTTGTCTTTAGGAATCCATGCAGGTGGATTCCTGAAAAGCAATTCTGTATCTCACCCGAAGTCTATTTCCTAGTTAGGTGTGGGGTGTGGAATAGAAACCAGAGATAGAGTTCAGAATCCAAGAGCAGTGGTGAGCTCTATTTGGGGTTTTGAGGGGGAAGTCAAGAGAGTTGCAAGGCCCACAGAATGTTTCTGCAACTATCATGACACAAAAGTGGTTCAGCAACCCAAATGCCTATCAATGATAGACTGGATAAAGAAAATGTGGCACATATATACCATGGAATACCATGCAGCCATAAAAAAGAATGAGTTCATGTCCTTTGCAGGAACATGGATGAAGCTGGAAGCCATCATCCTCAGCAAACTAACACAGGAACAGAAAGCCAAACACTGCATGTTCTCACTCAAAAGTGGGAGTTGAACAATGAGAATACATGGCATAGCGAGGGGAACGTCACACACGGGGGCCTGTTGCAGGGTGCGGGGCATGGGGAGGGAGAGCATTAGGATAAATACCTAATGTATGCGGGGCTTAAAACCTAGATGACGGGTTGATAGGTGCAGCAAACCACCATGGCACATGTATATCTGTGTAACAAACCTGCACGTTCAGCACATGTATCCCAGAACTTAAAGAAAAATAAATAAATAAAGATAAATAAATAAATAATAAATTGGTTCAGTAGGCATGTCTGAGATAGCCATGTTCCATCTCTGTGAAGAGCAGGAGATTCCATTTTTTTTCTGTCCATCTCAGTGGAGCTTGGAGGGAATGGGGAGCAAGCTAGATCAGAGATGAATGTAAGTGAGGAAGCAGCGGAGACATATAACCAAAGATGACCACAGATGAGTGAAGACCAGATACAAATGAGGCAGAACATTTCCCTCTCTGGACTCTAATGTACCTGTGTATAATATTGTCTATCCGTCTAGCACAGACATACTGATGACTGATTATCCTCAAAGACCCACACCCTTATGTTACTGGACTAACATATATCACTGTGTTCCTAGGAAAGCCCTGATTTATGCCAGTTGCCTCAAGCCTAATTGCTAAACAGCAGTACTTCTCACTCTAGAAAGTGTCATGGTTTGCACTAAAAACTCTATCGTGACTTCACTAAGGTCTCAGAACTGAGATGCAACACAGGAGGAAAGCGCTGAATCAGTTGAGGTTAAGAGTTTTCTACCTGGAAAAATAAGAAGTTAAATCTAAAATGGAAATTAAATTCATTAATAGAGAAAATAATTATGTTTTTGGCACTCCTGATAGTGTGTGCTGACATTTCAAATCTTTCCTAATTTAAAAAGCACTCAAACCTGAGAAGTTTACACACTCAAGTCCATCTCACTAAGATTACTTCAATATAATAGGATATATAAAGTTTTAATATTTTATGTACTTAATTTGTCCCTCAACTTTTTAGAGTGCCTTTATTCTATTAGCAAATATAGAATTCACTAATTTATTGTTATAATATGGTGGAGAGCAAGGGATGCTTTACAAAAGGCTTCACAAGCCCTGCTAAGGGAATTTGGAGGGTGTTCAAGGAAGTCAAATAATAGGTTTGTGTTGTAGAGTTGGCTTGAGCAGCAGTGTGGAGGATGGACTGGAGGCAGTCAGGAGTCCGCTGCTGCAGTGCAGATGGGAAATGAGTCTGAACTGAGGATGTAACCAGGGGGAGGCCAAGAGGACAGACTCAAGAGCCATTTAGGAAATCAAATAAAAAATTTTTGGAAACAAATTTTATGCTGGGAGTGAGGAAAGAAGAGATTTGTTGAGTCAGAGAATGAGTTCAGTGTGGAACACGGGGCTGAGGTTCCTGGGGGATGATCAGGAGAAGATGGTGGTTATGCAGGTGAATATGTGAGCTTGGAGCTTGAGGTGAAGCTGTGCATGAGGGGGTCTGTGCTTTGGAAGCATCTGGTTTTAAGAAAACAGGAGGCATTGAAAAAAGAGGAAAAAATATAGTGATTACTATACTTTCTTTTAATCTTACAGTAAATGTAAAAATTGCCAAAATGAGCTTTATATTGAAGTCAGGCTAGAGGACAGTATTCTGAAATAAATAAAACTCAATATAACACTTTATGAACTTTTTCATTGGAATTTATGTTGGAATTTACCTTACACCAGTGTTTTTTCAACTGGGTGCAATTTTGTCCCTCCAGGAGACATTTGACAGTGTCTGGAGACATTTTTCTGCTTGTCCTAACAGTAGGGGGTAGGCAGTTACTGGCATGTAGTGGTGGAGGCCAAGGATGCTGCTAAATATCCTGCAACTTAAAGGACAGTCCCCACCAAACAAAGGACTCCCTGGCCCAAGATGTCAATAGTGCTGAGGTTGAGAAACCCCTGCCTTAGACAATCGAGCTTAGACAATTTTAGAAAAAGAGTTCAAATCATCCTTAAATTGTTTTCCTGATCAAGAAACACCAGAGAAGGACTTTTGCTGTAATGCGTCAAAGAACCTTGATATTCTGGCTGGGAAGTCCATTCCATTAGCCTTTCAACTCAAAAGGATGTTTCCCTGGTTAAGAGCCCTTACGTGCATAGGAGTACTCTGTGACCACACAACATTGAGGGCGCCAAGAATGTATGGTATATTCACTCAGGGAACCCCACAATGTAGGCTAGCAATCAATGCAAAGATAACAAGTTCAATACCATGGGAATAGATGGGAATGTACATACCACCAAGGACATCTAAAACATGAAGCTTGAAAATGGCCATTAAATCTGACTATTGCATTGTTAAATATGAGGACAGAAAGATGTGAGTGGTCAGCAATATAACATAATGGTGAAGGCCACACATTGCTGAATCTGACATTGCAAGACTCCTGGTCCATGTGATTTGGTGCCTAGCTGGTAGAGAGTGTTATCAATGGAGCAAAAGAACACCTAGATCCAGCCCACTGTTTCCAAAGTGACCCTCCACTAAGGGCTTCCAGGAAATTGATACAAATACATTGATAGTATTAATGCCAGGAATATAACACCTATAGGTTTTTTAATCAAATCAATAATTTGTTGATCAATATTTGTTAAAAGTGATGACATTGATTCTACTGGTTTCTGTCATAACGAACGAGAGTAGATGAAACGGATTCATGATTTTTAAAATGCAGTCCTAATACCCCTTATGAAAAACTGGGAACCATAGATAAGAAAGGCAGTTATAAAAGACTGAATGATTCCAAAGAGTCAGAAAGCAAAGGCTGCATGCTTAGAAACTATGCTGTAATGTTTAATTCCTTTTCCCACTGTTTACTAGCTGTGTGGTCTTCAGCAAATTACTCAACCTGTCTGTGTTTCTGTTTCCTTTTATACCTAATAAGGATAAAATCTATCCTATAAAATAGCTGTGAAGATTAAGAAACTATATGTAAAGTACTAGGCACAGCACAGCCATAAAATGTTCAGTAAATGTTAGCTGTTAGAAGAGTATGTATTTAACAAACACAAATGTATATGAACGCAAAATTTAAATGAATTTTAAAAGATAAACTACAAGATGAGAAAAAATTTCACAGCTCCAGTGTTCTACTTTGGAGCTACTTTTGTATACTATTATGCTTTTCTTCTGACAACACTTTGGAATAACTTTTTGAGAGGCAAAGAAGTAGGTGGCCTTCTAGGTCCCTAGACAGCTATGCAGGCATAGAATATTTTTCACCAATATTTTTAGCTGATATCCAAAAGTGACCTTCTGAACAGCCAGATACTCAATATTGTATTCAGCTGTTTAATGTTTCATCATCCCACTCATTAATCACACATAACACTCATTAATCAAGTTACAAAGGAGGATCATTACCAACCGGGGCCATAGTGCAGGAAAATTCCTGCCTGCAAGCCACATCAGTAGGCTTTGCATTACTCCAAAGACCGGGTAGTGGCCAACTGGGGTAGAACAGCATCAACTGGGTGACATTTCTGTGGAGTTCAGAGGAACTGTAAGACCTGGGTAGTTTCTTAAGTTACAGCCCTAAACAATCAGAGAAATGCAACTACAGGGCCATACACAAAGAAGGCTAATAGAGATGAAATACTAAAAGATTCCAGATAACTCTTTTTTGTAAATAAATTAAATATGCCAACATTTGCTATAACAAAATTTGTAAAGTGGGAATTTACCCATTATTTCAGATGAATTAAAGTTCCTAATTTTAGTGCTTTTTAAAAAATTATATTTATAGCATGATCTCGGCTCACTGCAGCCTCTGCCTTCTGGGTTCAAGAAATTCTCCTGCCTCAGCCTCCCGACTAGCTGGGGTTACAGGTGCCTGCCACCATGCTCGGCTAATATTTTGTATTTTTAATAGAGACAGAGTTTTGCCATGTTGGCCAGGTTGGTCTCAAATTCCTGGCCTCAGGTGATCCACCTGCCTCAGCCTCCCAAAGTGCTGGGATTCTAGGCGTGAGCCACTGTGCCCAGCCCACGTTATTGATTTATAGAGAATAAGGATTTAGCTTTCCTTTCTCCCATCCATTCCCTTCACACAATTCCCTCATCCTCCTGATAGTTTCATTATATCTTTTTGTTAGAGTAATAATTATTTGGTAATAATTAGTACTAGAATTACTACAGTTGGGTCATGTAATACACTATGATTACATTTCTTCTATTTCTCCTTCTTTTTTATTCGTTTAGTTTTCTGTCATATACAATACTTCACTACTTCATGACCCAAGCCCATTGACAGAACTCTAACATTACTCTCAGTAGAGTCAGACTTACCGAGTAATCTGTCAGTTCCGTTGTTGTCCTGGAGACGTCCCTATGGGAATCCTCTACTTTCTGCTAAAATCTAGACCAGCTGCTTTCTAGGCTTGAGCACAGCAGTAGACATGCCATCTGCCTTCCCTGTCCTCTGTGGACATTTCTTCATTCCCATGTTGCATATGCTAAACTTTTCTGGTTTACTCCATTTTGTAGGTGGATCATATCCTCCAGCAATTTCATGGGAAAGAGTGCATGGAAGAAATAGATTGCCTAAGTATAATTCTAGGAAGGTGATGGTTTTCATCAGGATATTTAAGTCATTGCCACATTTTCTTCTGGCATCCAGAATTGCAATTAAGAGCTCTAATGCCATACGGATTCCTAATTATTTGTATTGAGCAAAAGTTATCCTTCCTTTTCTAATGTTAAGAACATTTCTTTTGCTCTAATATTCTGAAGTTTCACTAAAATGTACCTTGATATGGGTCATTTTTATGAATTTTGCTGAGCACACCATAGGTTCTTTCAATCTGAAATTTGGTTTCATCAGTTCTGGAAAGTTTGCTTGATTTTGTTTTACATAATTTTCTTCCCCCTGATTTCTCTGTTTATTCTTTGTAGAGCTCTCATTAATATTATTTTTCACACAAGACCCCCTCTAATTGAATTAGTCTTAAAATTTTCTACTGCCTCTCCTAATTTTTCCACTTTGTGAGACATTTCTTCAATTGTAATTTTTTTTGAAACGGAGTCTTGCTCATTGCCCAGGCTGGAGTGCAATGTGCAATCTCTGCCTCCCAGGTTCAAGTGATTCTCCTGCCTCACCCTCCTGAGCAGCTGGGATTACAGGCATGAGCCACCGCGCCTGGCCCTCAGTTGTATTTTTTAAACTCTTTTTGGAAAAAAATGCTAGCCTTGGAATGTGTGTGTGTGTTTTGTTTACTGTGGAATTCTCAATGGCTAGAACAGTGCCTAGTACATTAGAAACTAAAAAAAAAAAAAAAAAAAAAAAAAAAATGTTGGACTGAAAAAGTAAATGCTATCACATATGTTTAACTTTTGGAATGTCTTCTTTCATGCTGTTAAAACCAAAACTACCCATTAAACAATCACTCTCCATTCTTCCCTCCCTCCTGTCCTGGCAACCACCATTCTACTTTCTGTCTCTATGATTTGACTGCTCTATGTTCCTCATAGAAGTAGAATCATACAGTATGTGTGTTTTTTGTAACTGGCGTATTCCACTTAGCATAATATTCTCAATGTTCATCCATATTGTAGCATGTGTCTGAATTTCCTTCCTGTTTAATGATGAATACTGTTTCATCGTATGACTACAGCACATTTTGTCTATCTATTCATCCATCAATAGACACTTGGGTTGCCTCCACCTTTTGGCTATTATAAATAGCGCTGCTATGAACAACGACATAAAATATCTTTTTGAGATCCTACTTTCAGTTATTTTGGATATATACCCAGAAATGGAATTACTGGATGATACATTTTACATTCCCACCAACTAGTACACAATAGTTCCATTTTTTCCACCTCCTTACCATCTTTTCCGCCTCAATAGTGGCCCATCCTAGTGGGTACGAGATGGTATCTCATTGTGGTTTTAATTTGCATTTCCCTGGTGATTAGTGATATTGAGCATCTTTTCATGTGTTTATTGGCCTCAGGCTTGTTGTTTTTTCATAAAAGAATCATCTGTCTTTTCTCCAGGGCTAATAAGAGCAGTTACCAGCATTTTTGGAACAAAGCAGACGGAAGCTGGGGTAAGTGTGTGGCCATCAGTGTACAGATTTTCACCCATCCCTCCTCTTTCAGGATGATGCACCTGCTCTTGGCTGGCCTAGTGTCCCTAAGTCCAGAATCCCTCTTGTTCAACCTGTTCAGAGAGGGAACATCTAGGTGTCTGCTGGGTGAGGGGAAGAGTAACTGCTTGTATGCTAAATGGGAATGGGATTCAAGGAAGTTAACTGTTTCTTTCAAACAATTTTCCTGTTTCAGCCACACTTGTACCCCCACTTTTAGAGGTCACAGTTGACCCATTTCCTAAACCTTTAAGGAGCTCTGCAATACCAGCAGGCTCATTTCTTGGCATTGTCCCCTATGGCATTTATCTGCTTTCAGTTTTTAAATTTTTGCTGTTATTATTTCTTTTCTTCTTATTTTTCTCCTGGGTTTATGTTTTTTGTCCCATCATCTCAATGAGGCTTCAGGAGAGCATGGAGATGAATGTCTTTAATTTACCATTTTAATGGAAAATCCCCATAGTTATTTATTATTATTATTCCTAATAGTATTTTTATTTTCACTTAAAGATAGGAGGAAAGAAGAGGACAGAAGCAGAGACAGAGTTCTAATGAGACATTTCACCAAGATTTATGAAGGTAAGAATAGGGATGGTCTTCCCTTTCCAGGTACATTCTGTTGGTATTTGATGCCCCGACAACACAGTCAGGTCTCCATTTTAACTCTTCCTTGATTAATATTTTCTGCTCAGTTTATCCATTTTCAGATTCTTGTCTGGTGAGAAAACATTGTGAATACAAACCATTCTCAGTGCAAAGGTAGAATCTGACATACATATTTGCTTTACAGAAAACCTTTCAGCAATGCATTGACTTTCTGTTTTAGGACACCTCTTTAGAAGTACTTAGGTGTTTTGGATTGGTTTCTTTCTTCTTTCTTTTCTTTCTTTCTTTTTCTTTCTCTCTCTCTCTCCCTCTCTCTTTACTTCCTTCCTTCGTTCCTTCCTTCCTTCTTTTTTTCAGAGTCTCACTTTGTTACCCAGGCTGGAGTGCAGTGGTGCGATCTCATTGCAATCTCCGCCTCCGGGGTTCAAGTGATTCTTGTGCCTCAGCCTCTGGAGTAGCTGAGATTACAGGTGTGCACCACTGCACCCAGCTAATTTTTGTATTTTTAGTAGAGATAGGGTTTCACCATTTTGGCCAGTCTGGTCCCGAACTCCTGGCCTCAAGTGATCCACTCTCCTCGGCCTGCCAGAGTGCTGGGATTACACGTGTGAGCCACTGCGCCCGGCCCTGGTTTGGTTTCTTTCATCACACTCACCTAAGGCTACAGAAATATCCTTTGTAGTGTCATTTGATTGTATACATACTGGCAGAAGTCAAGAGGGAAGCTACTTGTTTTTTTGTACAACCCTGATGGACTATGGCCTATCCTACTCTGACATAAAACATTGCCAGAAGATTATCTTCTGGGACCCAGAAAAATAACTACTTGCTATTTATTATTACCCACTGTGCTGAGGAAAGCCCTAACATCTACAGAAATTACCAAAAACTCTGAAAGTAATCCTTGATTTTGGGAATTGCTCAAAATTCAAGTTAACATGAAACATTTTAAAAGAATAAACTTTTATGCAAATAACCAATTTAGCTTGTTTATGCAAAACTGCTTTATCCAATCTGCATAAAAAGCCTGCTTAAGCACTGGAATGCCATTATGGTTGGCCATAATTAAGATTCTAACCAGGTATTTTTTGTATGTATAGTAATTTCAGTATTTGTAATACTATATTAAATAACACGTGTATGATGCTTGCAAAATTGGAATTATTAGACTCAATGTATATATGAGGAAACTGAGGTTCAGAATATTACACGAAAGTTCTTTCTAATCTCAAACAGCAAGTAAGAAAGTGAAGAAGCTGGGACACAATATCAGTTCTCTGACTCCATATTCAATGCATGGGTCTATTTCTCAAAAGATTTGCACTGAACTACATAGATGTGGGAAGAAAGATCAAGGATGTAGAAGGACACAAGAAATGAGGGGGAATATAAACTAAGATTGAAAGACAGTAGATGCAGAAACCTCTCTTCACCTTCCCAAACCACTTAATGGCCTCTTCCTAGCCTGGAAATGTAACTGCTATCTGTTTCACCTGGGCCTGGAATTGTGTGTGTTTGCTTGGTGTTTTCAACATGTTGACTGACCCTATGTAACAAGAGCACTCTGAAGATGTTTGCAGAAAGGCTGCCTGTATTTGCTATAACATGTACTAGTTCTAGCAAAACACCAGGAATTGAGGAAAAGCCTATTGCCCATCAGTTTCCAGTATTAATGAAAAACAAACTTATTTCTATAAGGGGGTTGGGGGACATCCTGGTTTCATTTCCACCCAGGCACAGGAGTAAACAGCTTTCTCAAGGCAGTGACCCTCATCCACACAATGGCAACACTCTCAGCTTTAACCCACATGTCTTGTGTCCAGGTCTTCTGCCTTCACTCTCAGGCACCCTGAGCCTCTCTGCTCTGACAGAGCCCTCATTTGATTTGCACACAGAACCGAGTTGAATGCACTCACTTATAGTTAGGACAATCAGAGAACATGGCTGCATTTTGAAGACTAAGAGAAAACTCTCAACATATACTCAATCCTCTGGATTCTTAGATGTTTACAAAGAAAAAGGGGACAGCCTTGTATTATTTTCCTAAAAAACATAGGCGATAGGAGACTAAAGCAGATTTCTTCCTTTTTCTTAAGAGAACGGCTTTAGTCTGAGAAAGGGTAAAGAAGTAACATCCCAGTAAATAAAAAAAAACAGCAACCTACTACTACCAACATGTATGAGGGCAGACTACGACTTCTGTATTAAGGGGAATGATGAATGTTTTCACATTATGGGAACCATTTTAAGCACAACCTTAAAATAGTGCTTTAGAGATAGGTGAAGACATCGAGAAATTTGTCTCTACATTTTAAACCTTTTCTCTCCCACAAGGATTTTTTAGTAAGAATATGTTTGTACTAGAGCTAAGAGAATGTGAAAGAAAATTTCTAGCCTTGAGTGTTGCTGCCACCTACATGGTGGGAAGACTACAAACAAAATCTAACACCTTTCAGACAGGCATCAGCTGCAGTATGTTTTCTATGAAAATGTACTTTAGAAATCCCCAAATTTGTTTATTTACTTCACTATCCTGAAGGCATGTTAGTATTTGTTAGTTTCGCCTCATTTTCTATCTCAAATACTTGCAGACATTGGAGTAAATGGTTTTGCTTAGACTGGTGTGAATACACTGATTATTTGAAATAGAAGCCGATTCAAAGAATTCTTCCTTATTATAAAAAAATCCCAAGTGCAACTTGATCCCCATAGCTATGTCTTAGGGAAAGGATGAAGGTTCTTAATCTCACTGTACTAGAGGTCCTCCCTCTTTCCTACCCTAGCAGATTCTAAAATACAAAAAAAAAAAAAAAAAAAGAAAATGAAATGAAACATTGTTTCCTCAATTGATTATATAGTAACTATAAATTGATGCTAACGGGGATAACATAGATGTCACAATTCTTTTGATATAGATCAGAGAGGTTATTTCTGATAGGAAATGTAGTTGACAGTACAGAATTAACCAGAAACCTCTTTAAAAGCCTAAAGGAAACCTGTGATATGTCAAGAACATCACAGGCTGTCTTTTTATCTTGGAAGGCATCATCCAAGGCCACGATGCTGTTACTGAGGCTGTGTGAAAACACCTTCTCCCTAGAAAATATACATGCAAGATCGAAAACCTGATTGATGACTTTACAGATAATTGCAATTAAAATGATTGCTAAGTGAATAAATGATGAGTTTTGGAAGCATGTGCCAACTAATTATTCCTATTACACAATGTTATGAATATTGGCGTTTTTCTGGCATGCACTTTGTAGATTTAGGCATAGTGTACTATGGACTAAATAAGGACTAATTATCTTTAGTGTTAAAAGCTTTGTATCCTTGAATAAAAATCATTGCTATTTTTCCAATAGCAGGATGCTGAAGACAAAAAAAAAATGACCCTAAAATTGATGTTAGGAAAATATGCTCTGTGCAATGAAAAATAGGCATTTGGAGGAACAATGTCAATGGAAGAATAAAATATGCTCCCGCTTCACTTCCACCCTTGAACTCCTCCTGGTTTTGTCCCTGCCAAGAGGGGAAACATTCATGTGGTCTCTTGACTGACCTCCCCACACCCCTTGTGGGGCTGGAGGTGGAGGCTGGGGTACTGGTCTGAACTACTCTGTGTGAGAAGCCTTGCATATAACGGGTGCCTAATTTCCCTCAGTATACCTCTAGAAGTAGGCCATTTCGGATATCTTCATTGGTTTATGGCTTTAGTTTTCACATAGTATTACAATAACTATTATTTCTTACCATTCGCCTCATTATAATCATGCTTGTAATGATGCAATTGTCACAGTCCATTTACCTGCAGTGTGCTTTCTGGGGTAAAGGTGAATTTATCTTAGACTTAACAAGCAGAATCCAAGAGTAGGTGCTGGCAAAACACAACAAAACAAACAAAAAACAGTAATCAAGATAAATATATTTTAATACAATATTTATAAAAATTAAATTACTGCAAAAACTCCACAACATCAACATTTTACATAAAGATGGTATCTGAGAAGGTCAAGATGAAGGTGAAAAGAGTAAAGGAGTTGTACTAGGACAGGCCTCCCATTAGACACATGCTGTCTTCCAGGGGTCCCAAATTGGATGGGTGTTTCCAGTGGCATGCTCTTACAGACAGACCTGTTAATTTCCAGTTTACCTTCTCCTACCTGCCATCTGTAGGCTCCTTCTTGAGCAAACTACAGTGCGAGGTGATCTGGGGACTATTGTACATGAAGCCATGCAGCTTTGTCTGAAAGATACCTACTCAAGTAAGTTTTAATTTTGCAACTCTTTTGGTTAAGCTAATTTTTTAAAATTACAAAAAACACTAAGTATTATGCAAATGTTTACAAAGCAATGACTTTCTTAGGAAATTAAACACAACTTTTGGCACTTTACATATAAGACAACATTTTGTGGAGAATAAAGGAGTCTATAACACCGCTTTTATATAACTGAGCAATCAAAATGTATGAATATAAAATTTAAAAAATTGAATGAGTCCACTCTGTGAAAATAAGGCTTTAAAATCAGTTGGAATTAATGTAACCTGAACTTTCATTTTAAATACATGGCATAAAATTTAATTTTAAAATACTCAATTATTATAATGTGCCCTCTAAGGATGGAAGAGAAATAGTATCTTTTCTAAAGTGTTCATTATAATAATTATGAAAGGATTTTAAAAATACAGAACACTGGAAAAAATGTATGAGAAAAGAAATAAAAGTCACCAAATGCTATCATCTAAAGATAGAATATTAATATTTAACAAACTGTATTCTACCATTTTTCTAATACCATCATGTTCAAAGCAGCCTTAATTTAGTTTCTAAAATAGTAACAGAATGTTTGATACCTGGGGCTACTTTTTAACTGTGTGTTTCTAACATTATACATTTTTCCTTATATTTGAAGTGTTTAATAGTGCTCACATTGCTTTCTAGCACCTCTGGATGAGCCCTGTGAGAAAGCTCTCCAACACAGGGGAGGGAATGAGGCTCTGACAAGCACAGCAAGCACACACGGCCTGGACACGCTGCCGAGGAGCCTCTGCTTTTAACCCTCCAGGCTTTCCAGGTACTTTTTCCTGCAATATACAATGGAGCCAATGTGAAACTCAACAGCAAGTCAAAGAATCAAGGCTTGCAAATGAAAATATGATATTCCTTTGGGGGATATGCCATATATATATATATATACACACATATATATGTGTATATATATGTGTGTATATATATACACACATATAT
The DNA here is from genome assembly GCF_000001405.40 of Homo sapiens. Lineage (NCBI taxonomy): Eukaryota > Metazoa > Chordata > Mammalia > Primates > Hominidae > Homo > Homo sapiens. The sequence goes on from NC_000015.10 coordinate 53,515,077, forward strand.
ATGTATGTATACACACACACACACACACACAAATACATTCATAAATATCACCAAGATGATTACCAAAAAAGAAACACAAGACAAAATTTTTAAATAAATTTTTTATTACAATGACAGGAAGACTCCGGATACAAACACATTTGCTAATATAATCACTCCACTGGTTACCTAGGCCTAGACGTACAAAAGGACACCCATATCTCATCAGGAGAAAGACAATTTTGAGTTTCTGGGTGTAGTACCAAGTGGTTATGATCACCACGTACGTGGTCTATCCAGTTAACTGTGTGGCAATTTGCTATTTCAAGTCCTCTCATAACAGAAATTACTGAAATATGTGGAACACCAGTCAATATAAAGAATTCATTTTTAAACAGACTAGTGAATTTGTGTCATAAACACACTTGCGTATGGATATTAGGAGAGCATTGCTTGAATATCTCTAAAACTATTTTTAGGAATTAAAAGCTTTCATAGTTAATGGTATGATATTGGCCTTCAGAATTCATATTGATAAAAGCAAACCTTAGTCATTTAACAGGAATGTTTAAATTTTAGAGATTCTAACATGCGATGCCGAAAAATCCTAACATTTCCACTTAGTAATGTCAGGGTTGTGCCAGTTCTAATTTCCCATAGCTAGTAACATCAGAAAATATTTATCAGAGATTCAATATTGGTTTCATTAGAACTGATAAATGCTAAGTATGGCAACTATTAAAACCTATTGTTATTCTTGTTTCTAAAAGGGAATAATAGGATGTAGCTATAAAAATAATGAAGCTTATTTTTCATAAACATATCATAACCTGAGCGTCCAAATAGATTTTAACAATTAAAAATGCCTCATTTGAGAGGACATACACTTATTTGATATTGCCATCCTTCAAAATGCTTTTGGGAGTCCTTATAATGTCCTTGACAACTGGTATACAACAAGCAAGAAAATATAATCCATCGCCTAACTTGCTACCTTCCTTTATTTTGAAACTTGTTTGAAGTGGCTTTTGACTGTTTCTAAAGGAGGGGGAATATATTTATCAATCAGTTTTCAAAGGATAATAATTTTCCATGATTATTCATATTAATGCTATGTTAGTTTCTAAACTTCAACTCAAATGTAATTTCAAGCAGTAAAATCATATTTTAGGAAACAAAGAATGCACACTTTAATCTACTTTAAGGGAGTCACACTCATTTGACATCTTTATCCTGGTATGTTTATTCAGATCATCATTAATTATAAGTTCCTTAAGGGTGCAGCCCACGTCATTTCAATTACACAGTTCTCTTTTCTAATTTCCCCATCTCCTGTCTACTGCATCCCAGCATAAGACCTGAGGCTGGTCCCATGCTCAAAAATGTTTCTTTAATTGAAGTGACTTGAACTTCTCTGTTAGATACATACATAGATATAGCTATATATCATATATTTAATGCTTTATATCCCTTTTTCAATTATATAGTTCTCTTTTCTAATTTCCCCCTCTCCTGTCCACTGCATCCCACCATAGGACCTGAGGCTGCTCCTATGCTCAGAGATATGTTTCTTCAATTGAAGTGACTTGGACTTCCCTATTAGATACATAGATAGATAGATATAGCTATATATCACATATTTAATACTTTATATCCTTTTTTCTATGGATTAGGCAATATTTATATACATAAGATATGTAGATTAATAATTTTGATGATTTTCTGTAAATCGAGGAACTGTACAATATAAATCATAGTAAATAGATCACCAAAGGCTTTAATAGAAGAGCACTTTATGTCTATTCCTATTTATGCTGTTTGATATATTTCAGTTTTAGAATTCCTGCTAGTCAAGCTTCTTTCTGGGAAAAGACCTACAAGAGTTTATACTTAATAAGGATCAATTGTGATATGCTGTAAGTTGATTCCCCTTCCCTAGTTCACATCTATATGGCCAACAAGATCAACCTTGAGCTAAAGACATTAGCCTCAATGTCATTAGAAGTTCAAATTAACTCAACAGTACAAGGTTGGTCACTGTTATACTTTGTATCTCTTATTTGGGCTAATTGATAACTAAATGGAACTGGGTATTTGTTGACAACATTTCATGCTTAGGGATGAGATTTACTGCAGTAATTGATCCGAATTAAAGCATATCCACTAAAACAAAATATCCTAACCAGACAAATCAAAGTTGGTAAAATTTTAGATTAAATACCTTGAAGCAGTATTAAATTTGTAAGTAAGTATTGTGTACTACATTGGTTTTAACATTGTTTATTATATAATTCAGGGACTAAAAGGATAGGAGAAAATTTAAAGCAGTATTAAATTTGTGTCTGTGGACTGGCATTCCCTGTTGGAAATATTAACAGAAAAAGTAAGAAACAGGAATAGAGAATGATCTAGGCAATATTTTTCTAAAATTAGATGAATATGAATATTTTCAATCAGTATGTATTGCATTGTAATCAGCATGTATTAAAATCACTTTAATACATGTTGGCTAAAGTATTAGCAAATCCACTACAGCCTAATAACTTGACCAATAACAACAATGCTTTTATACAGTAATAAACAAATGGCATCTTTTGGATTTCTTAATTTGTCCAAATTCAGCTCCTACTGATGAGATTCCATTTAAGACACCTTGCAGGGGCAGACCTTTGCTATCCATGAATGATGCCTTGGCTCACCTAGGAAAAAAGCAGATATCTTGGGTTATATGGTGAAATCTAAAAAGAGAAAAAAGAGAAAGACCAAGAGGAGGGGAGGGAGAGAGGAAATGAAGAATAGATACAGAAAGGAAGAAGGGAGAGAATGAGGAAAAAAAGAAAGAAAGGAAGAAAGGTATTGCTTATAATTTCTACATGTCTTTTCCATCCTAAAATAAGACAAGTTAATATAATAAAAATATACTTGTCTTATAAAGTAGGTAAATACACTTTAATTGCACACATTATTAATAGCTTGGGGATTTTTTTTTAACTGCCAAGGAAGATGGAAGTTTTCTATAAGAAAAATTTAGTTTGAAATTAGTAAATTTCCATAAATTTCAAACAGCTTAATTGTTCTTAGAAAAATCCACAACTGCAGTTTTAGGGTCAAAATTTATTAGTTGAAATACTGTTTGAGTTAGAGAATCAAACAAGTATTTATTTCTCAGATTACTTGGATGATTGCCTTTGTAGGCTAAAAAAAGCCACTCATTTAAAATCAAATTGACTACCAAACTAATTGGAACATTGTTCCTTAATAACTATTTTAAAACACATTTATATTAATGACATGTCTATGAATAGTAACTTTCACTCCTACTGGCAAAAACTATGGTTTAGTTAAACCAGTACTGTATACTAACTGTGTGTGTGTGTGTATTAATGTATAATTTTGCATTCTTTAAAAAATATGTTGATGCTTGAATTTTGCTTTTGGGTAAATTTTAAGAATGTCATATTGTTAAAAACAACTCGAAGAAAGTGCTTATATCTTCCTACTGGAATTGCTCTTAATTCTTCTAGATTTTTTTTAGCGCTAACCATAAGAAGTGTGTTCTCAATGGCCATGATTGATCGGCTGCTCACACATTCCACATTTTTTCTGCTTCATGCATCATCATCAGCCATCTCCAACACTCCAGTCCTGAATCTGTCCTACTTTCTGTTACCTGATTTTTGCTGGTGATTCATGAGCCAGAATAGAAAAAGAAAAAAAAAAAACTCCACCTTGGCTTTTCACAGTATAGTATCCCCTGGAAACTCTGTGAGAAATCTAGTTTTGGTCATCAGACTCATGCAAATGTAATATTGATTGACAATGATGTATATAGATCTACATAGATAACCTGCCTTATAAAAACCACAAAAATGTTCTATTAATGGCAGAATGCATACTGATTATAAACTACTTCAGAATGATGTGGAAACACTTACGTAAATGCATTTTGTTGGACTTCTAATTCTCTCTTGTCACTATTATTTTCAGCTGAAGCTACTTTGGAGTGCACTGTTTCTAGTGCACTAAAAAGAAAAATTATTAATTTTCCAAGCCAATATGGTGACAAAGGCTTAAGGTTTCTCATTAACACTGTCATAAAAATTGTGAATGTCACACTAAATTTTCTATCATCGAATGAGTTTAAAGATGAGGAGCTAGAAATCCTTAAAAAATTATTCTGAAGAATGAAAAACAAGCTTTAATCACTGTAAAAGAAACAGTAAGAAGTTAACCAGCAAAAGGCTCCACTGAACTATTTTTGTGATAACATCTTTCAGATTCAGAAGCAACCAGGCCTTAAAGAGCCAAAGAAAGAAAGCCTAATGGCCCTAAAATCTCAAAAGAGGGAGCTGAAAGTTCATGATACTGTCTCAGTGCTTCTATTACTAGACATCAAAGTTATTCCCACAGGTTTCAGGAAGGTATAAATGCCAGTGAAGGAGCAAGTAGACTTCACAGAGTCTAAGCCGGAAACTTCAATCTGGGATTCACCTGTGAGTGAAAACTCTTTGCTAATGAATTATTCCGAAGACAAGACACTACTCAGAGACACTTTTCCCTATCAGACAAGACCTCCAGGTTCACTAGCAGGGTCAAAGTAATAGGAATGCTCTGGTCTAAAGGTGCTTTGCCTACCTTAATGGACTCCAGGCACTCACCTGGGTATACAGCTTGAACCCATAAAGAGATCACAATGGCATGATGAATAAGGTAGAGTGCTCTAGAGACCAGGTGAACAATCACTCCACAAGCCATCTAAATTGTGACCTATATGCAGACTGCAGCCCATTTACAAATGGGTCATCCTAGTCAATTCAGTGCTGGAGAAGGAGTGATGCCAATATAAAAATAAACAATCTACATACTGAGTTCAAGCCCATTGTATTCAGAGGTAATACACGAAGTGGTTATTTCTATTTTATATAAATTCAAGCAACTTGGCTTTGTTAATGACATTTTAAAACTCTATCAACATCTAAATATCAACTTCACTTTTTCCAAAAACTTTTTCTGTGCTTCAATGTCCCTTTTGCTTTCTGCCTATGAAAATACGTTCGTATTCACAATATAAAACCAGAAGAGTTTAAAGTAAAATGATGTTTACAAGGTTTGCAAAGAAGAGAATTTATGTGGAATGAACAATATACAAAGCAATATACTTGAACTGTGTTTGCATGGAAAATACTTTTTTTCATTTTCTATATGCTGTTCAAACAACTGAGCTATTCATTAAAATGATGTAATAATTATATTAGTCATTTAGCATTGCATAGATAAAACCATGTAAGTTCAATATCCATTAAAGTTAGAAGATTGACCACATTCAGCTTTGTAACTGGGGGATTTTGCAGGTACATAAAAATGTTAAAAGGAATTTTAAATGAATGAAAACATTCCAGTTGAAAATGGTAAGAATGTGCATTCAGAATTAAATGCACTCTTTTCCATACAGTGACTAAGGAATACACTAATGCAATTGTAAGTTTAGCTACTGAAGCACCTCTTCTGGTTCGAGGACATTTTCCCAAATCTCACCACCTAAAAACCCCAAATTTGTTTCTTCTTCTGACTGAGGTAGTTAATATTTTCCAGAGAAACACCACTCACATGTGGTAAATAGAGGTAACTAAACCACTAGAGTAATGCTTATGGTTTTGGAACCCCTACATTTTGAAAGACTTGATATTTTGAAGTTAACGTTTGGGCTTTGAAAAGTGAAAAGTCATATTTTTATAGTTCAAGAACATCCCTCTCTGCCACCAAATTCACACGAGAAACATAAAACTTATTTTCCTCCATGTTCAATTTTAAGAATTTTGCCCATCGAATACTCATGCTTCAAGGAAACACACTCTCTCATCAAAATCTTTCTTACTAAACAAGCACCTCTGTCAGAAGTGTCTTAATTTCTTATCACAGAATTTTATCCACACAAGGAGCAATAAATAATTCATGTCACTGCCTCTTTGTTGTGTGTCCCTGAACTGCACAGAGCTGGAAGGCTGACAGCTGTGTCAGGACAAGCACCAAAGATCTGACATGACAAGTGACTAACAAGTTTCTTTCAGTTCACAGTGAAAGAAGACAATGGCCCAAAGTGCAGAAAGAAATCCTAAAACAAAATAAAACTGCTTCTTTCTTTTTAGCTAAGTGTTTGCTATGAGCTTATTTCCAACCCACAAGCCCTGGTCATTTTATAGGACTGCCCAGCCCCCTTTATTCCTCACACTGGCTTGGCCATTTACTCCTGGCCACGGATCAATATGAGCAATTCTTGGAGAAATACGATGTCTCCATGACAACCAAGCCACAAATTCTCAGTGGAAGGCAGTGAGACCAGTAGTGAACTCTCCAGAGGTTTCTAGGCCTATAAGGCAAGATGTCTTAAAATGCAGGAAGGGACAGAGGAAAAAGCCAGAGTAATTCATTCTTTATTACCAGCATAATGATGTCCGATGTATAGAACGGTACTCACTTTTTGAGTTAAGATTCTTTATCAGCACCTATATTTTCTAATTAATCTTTCTTTCTTGATAAACACGTTTGTGTGTATCAATCAGATAGAGAATGTTATATTTGAATCTCGCTCCCATTCCATTCATATTAAGGGATGATGGAAATTTATTCTACTTTTGAAATGATATAAAGCTGATCTATTCTTATCAAAAACAATGGACATTTAGGTAAAAACCTGATTCACAGATTTACCTGTCTGACAAAATGAGTAATAGAAAACTGTATTAAGACACTTTTAAAACCTAATAAAAATTTGGCAACATTAGTCAAAACTAAAAGTAATGGATAAATAATTTTTATTATAGAAATTTAACACTACCATTTATTTACCCTCTCCCTTTTAGAGTGAGACTCATCTACATTTTTCTTTTGGCTATTATGGCAAGGGGTGGGGTTAATTTGCTCATTAAACATTTCTGTCACTGCTAAAGATGCCATTTCTCAGTTCCATGGGATCTGAAAGCAGAAGTGTGGTTGAGAACAGGCACAGGGCAGCAGTCCATCTTCAGAGGAATCTTGGTGGAGTGAAGAGGACTGATATACAATGCCATCGCCACTGCGCCTATTGGGGTTCCGAGATGACTTAGGGGACCTGACATAGATTGCAGGCTGCACCTTTCACTGAAAATTAAATCTCAGTAACTCTCCTTGGGGAAGGATCAGGGGACTGTTTGTTTGCAGCTGCCCCCTGTCAACAAAGGCTACAAGATTTGGAAATCTCTTAACTAAGCTGACAGGCCACAGAGAGGATGAATCAAAAATATGATACATGGATCAGCACACAAAGATGTGAGAGGGTAGAGGGTACACAGGAGCCAGATAAAACAGGAATCACAAATATTAAGTGGAGGAGATATTTAACTCTTTCATTCATGATAATAAGGTACCTTCTAGCACCTTATAACTTTGTATTTATCCAGGAATGTTCATTCGACTTTTACAAGATTTTTTGATTCTAATTAATTAGTTAAGGCTAGGCGTGTTTCAAAATGAAACAAAAATAGAAACAGAAATCCTTGTATAAGTGTTTCTAGCTGTATCCTTCTAGTACATTTCTCTTTTATTTCTATAAAGGATATATACAAATATGTAACTTTGACAAAGAAAAGCTTTTATTGCATGAGAGAAGGGTTACTATTTTCTAGACTTTATTTTCCCTAAACATTTGACAGTATTCATTACCATCATGCTAAAATCCTGTCATCCCAGTTACAGTCCTGTTTGTTTCTAGAAAGGTAAATAGAATTGTAATGATGACAGTTTCTCTTTTCACCCCCGTCTGTCCACTTCCGCTCCCCTCTTGTTAGTTTCCATTATTTGAAATATTTAAAATGTTGCCATTTCTCTATAGTTTCCAATCTCTGGCTCTATTAACCATTTAGCCTAAAATTGATGATAATGAACTAATAGTGTCAGCTTCCCTTCTCAGTCATAAAGCCTTTGTACTTCCTCCAACTGAATTCTTGATGAAAGAGGAAAAGATAACAGCTCCACACTGTGACCCCTGGAGGTGACCATTAATTTGACAGTGCAGCTGCTAAGAGAAAACAGCATTACAATGTCCTCTCCCCTCACCCCCTTCCAAGGACCCCAAAGCTGTGTCAAATTTATCATTTTATACTTGACTATTTTTAAATGGCTTTCACCTGGACTCTCAGACTCTTCCAAGGCACATCTGTCAGGCATGTCCTCCACGTCTTGGAAGTTTGCCGAGTTTGAGTTGCTGTCATGCTTGACCGGGCTGACTGGAGCTATTAAAAGAGAGAGAGAGAGAGAGAGAGACAGAAGAGAGAGGATGAAAAAGTAGTAGCAAACACCATTAAAACATTTCCTTTCAGTTCCACAGATATTTCCAGGGACACACTATGTAAACACAAATAATAAATTGAAATAAAATGTATCCTCTAAGTATTTATTGGCAGACATGTAATTAGTTGAAAAATCTATAGATGTGACTTTATCTTAGAAGAAAAATAAGTTCACGGCATCAGCTTAAAAGCTACAAAGTAACAAAGTGATCTCTTCGAAGTAGAAATCGTATTTTTAATGCATAAATCTAAAACAATATAGTCAATTAACAGCAATAGAACACAGAGAGAAGAACATCAGGCTAGTCAATTAGAAAGACCAGCTCTGTACTGGTGGCAATGTTTCCTCTCACTGCACTAATCACAGCTAATGAACATTTTGTGTGCATTTTGGCTCTCTTTCATTAAATTAAAAACTATGGTACCAAACACCAAAAAAACTAGTACTATAAAAAGTAAATTTTAAAATGTAGCATGAATATACACTGAAAGTTATAATAAGAAGGGCTATTGTTTCAAATGGTAGGTCTCCAGACAACCTATCATGAGATATTGTAGAATTATGACCAGAAATGGAAACTAGTACAGAAGTCCAAAATTTTCTATAAACCCATGGTACCGACTAATTCTGTTTGAGAAACAGACTGAAGTTTCCACTTTTTCCACAAGTTGTAATACTTGCTCTATGTTGTCTCCAGGAAGTAACATATTTCCATATTACATTTGTTCTAGAAAATATTTGTCAGAAAAAGTGGGCCTTGTCTTCATGAAGAAGCTCAGTGAAAAAGCAAAACAAGCCTGCAATAGCATAAATTAGGTCACAATTAAGCCAAATGTTCTAAATATATGGATACTGTTGAGTACAATGGAATTTTATTTATTACAAGTTGCTGCAATAAACACGACTACTGATTTGATAACACATGCAATGTATTTATAAACCATAAATGCAATAAACAAAATATATATTTACAAATCACACATAAGATATGTTTGTTGGCACAGGGGAGTGGGCCTAGACACTGTTTCTAAACCTCTGTTACCAGACAAGAAAGCAATGCAGAGGCTGAGACTGTGCTACTTCACACATTTGGTACGTGACACAACGGTGTCCCACCCAAGGTCCAGTCAGCATTAGTAGTGTTCAGACCTGGCACACTCCTCCACTTATTTTAATGAAGTGTGCATAGCACTGATGTTTGTAACCTGAAGACCACACGGACAAACTTTAGAGAAGACTAGTAACATGATTCTGGTTTAAATATTCCTTCTAGATTGTTTCACCAACTCTCTCAGGACACAGATATGACTTCTCTGTTCTATCAAAGTGCCAGCATAGTTAGAATTTACTACGTTTCTAAAACCTTTTTTGGGAACAAAATATAAGAAAAGCATGAAATTGCTATTTTCAATAATAAATCTGATCTTTTCATTTTCATCCATATGTTTCTGTGGACTTCACATGCAACAGTGTCTAGGCCATAGAAGGTATTCTTGAAGGATCTGTGAAATGAATGAATGAACACATGAATGATGCAGAGGTACCATGCTAAATGTCCTTCTGATCCAAGAGGATATGTGCTTTCAATTATCTTTTCAATGGATCTGTTCAATTTCCTTGTTAGGCCAACTTGAGACCAAGGATGCATGTTTGCAAAATGGTGATGTGGGTTAGTTTGTGACATGGAAGGAGAGGATGTGTGGCCTAAGTAGTTATTGATGCAGCTGAGTTTAATTTTCTTAATTTTCTTCAGTTTAGGTCATACTTACAGATTATTTTTGAATCCATAGATTTTTTGTGAAATGTTTAAGTGGTATAGTTAAATGTATCAGTTTCATTCAGAATACTATTATGTTGGTCAAGATTTCCTGGCCTACTTTAATGATTTTTATCTCTATATATCTTTCTTGATAATTTTCTGAAATATTTATGTTGGTATTTATAAAAGGAAATAAATCATATAGCTAAATCTATTACTAAAAGCCAATGAGGTGGCACCTCTATTGATTTGGGCAAATGCATTGCACTTGCCATCCAACACACTATTCTTTCATAATTTAAAAAATTCCTCCATTCATTCATTTATTCATTCCTTCAAAAAATATTTATCAAGCACCAAATAAATATTCAGAAGATACTGTTCTAAATCAGGGACCTCACAGAGGAAGAGGACATGGTATTAGACAAAGTACATGTCTGCAACCATTCTTTGTGGCAATAAAGTGGTCCCAGAATGAACTGACATCCCAAACCCTTCAAAAAGGCCAGAAAGTTAGCTGTAGTTTTAGCTGCATGATCTTCATTAAACTCACACTAGTAGGTACCATGCTACAACTTTGCTTCCACCTCTGATTTTGGAGGGTGTGACTTGTGTGGGGGAGGGGAAATAAAGATGGTTATTCTTCAGATATTGAACTTGGTTACAGATTAGTTTCCAAATTTAAAATGATACAAGATTTGTCATTTTTACTGGATAGTTCCTAGGGCATCCAATTAAATTTACTGTAGAAGAAATAGCTACATTCTGCCAGTTGGGAATAGAAGGCACTGGAGAGGTTAATTACTGCCATTCTACTTTTTCCTTGTTTGTTTGATAGGCTAATCCTTGCAATTGTTCTTTTGGGTGTTTCCTGTGATGTTTCATCACTGAACTCTGACATGATGTGTGACCAAGGCTTCTCTAATGAATCACTTCAATAATGATGAATCAACAAATATTGCTCTAGTGTTTATTATGGGTAGAGCTCTGTGCTGGACTGTGAGGGGTAAAGACATGAAGGCACTTTTAATGTGCCCTCATACAACTTGTGCTCTAATTGAAGTGTGATGAAAAGTAACTAGTAGGAACACCGGAGAAGACATTCTAAGAGGGACATGGTTTTTAGTAGTGCAGAGGAGAATTCCTCTACAATAGAGTAGTCTGAAGGTAAAATTTGAATTAGACATCCTTGAGTAGGAATGTGGAAAACCCAAAGGGAGCTCATTCAAGGAAAAAGAAAAGGGTGTGAACCTAGGCATGACCAAAGATACACATTAGCCTAGTGCCACAGATATAGTTGTTAAAGCTGCTGCCTACTTTGGTATGTATTTTTAATGAATTCTCTTTACATGTCTCTTTGAGCTTTTTCTAAATTGCTGCTGTTAGCTAATTCTTCTCACCTGTGAAAGTTAGCTATAGACAGGTTTTTCCTTGCTTTAGATAGTCAATAATTTGATCTTTACTCATGGTGGGCCCATTTATCACAGTAAGTTGTCCTTTTACTATACATATTGACTTTTATTTATCAATACCAAAGTCCATTTGTAGCTCATCACTAAAGTTCTTGGATATTTTCAGTAGTTTTTGAAGGTGCATTTCAGAGCTTGGCAGAGAGATACTTTTGACATCAATATAATGCAAATGGTTGCTAGACTTATCTTTAGCTTAAAATCAACTGTTTATTTCCTCTGTAATGGATTCTGAAATAGTCCACATTTGAAGGTAAGGGGCAAAAAAGGCAAACTCTTCTTGACAGTTCTGCCACTGAAAGATGTAAGGCTATTCCATTTACTCATCACATGCCTCAAAATATTGACGACTGAAGGGCCAGTGTTCTAAATATCTTTGCAATATCTTTGGTAGCTAGAGAAGAGAGGAATCTATGAACTTCGTATGGATGTGTTTCACTATGGTGCATTTAACTATTAGTGTAATTCTTCTAGATCCTAAAGAAATGAATTGTTTGGCCAAAGAGAAGATGAAACCAATAGTTTTTAAATCACATTCAAGAACACTGTAAGAGGAAATTCAGGAGATAGTATGAGGAAGACTCTATAGCAGGATTTGTTGTTAAAATTAGAAAAGTGGTAGCAGGGCCATCGGTGATAATACTCCTCCACCTGCTCTGTTCTCTATTTTGGTTTCAGTCATTCTCTAAAAATTCCGTTCTTCCTTTTCTCCTCACTTGCAGAAAGATGGTATTAGCTGTTAAAGGGGGCTAGGCCTAGGCAGCGAACAACTCCCCCCAGAAACATTTCCACATCCCCAGCAAGAGAGTGGCCACTGGAAAAAAGTCTCCATCCACGTCCACAAACAGTGGCTGGATCTTCCAAGCTAGGCAACTGCTGTTGGACAGATGGAGCCCATTGAAAAAACCCTATAATTTACAGTGTGAATAAAATCTGCAGTCCTAAATAACATTTTCAATACAATAACTTATGAATGATTTAAAAATAGATCTCATTCGTCATCTGTATAGGCTTTTTGGAAGTAATGAGGATATTTATAGGAAAATCATTAATTAAAAGATAGAGCAGTTTGAAATATTGGGCAACTGAATAGAATAAACCACTGCAGTACCAGACCAAAGCCAAACAAAAATCTTAATTACACATTAATCAGGGGCACAAAAATAATGTACAGGATGCAGAGGTCAGGAAAGACTAAAAGATAGCTCAGGCCTGTGAAATAAGCAGTGAAAAAGAACTCAAAGATTTGAATTCAAAGTTACTAGCTCAATATGGTAGCCAAGAGTTGAATGCCATCCTGCTTTATAATTCAGATCTCTCTCCAATTTTAAAGAGTCACTATAAAATAAACTAAAAGATAGCATTCTAGAAGTATGGAAGTGAGAAAAGCTACATAAAATTCAGGTAGAAGAAAATATTAATGCAATACTGGCAGATCTCAAAAGACTGCAAGATATTTTAAATCAGAGGGAGGCATAATCTATGAAAAGATGTTAAGTGGTAACACTAAATTTGTAAACAAAGATGATGTCATTTGAACAGACTCCAAATTCAGTTTACAAGTGGCATCTCTCTGGACAGATGTCTTATCAGGAAAACTTATCTGGCTAAAGAGCTGTGTACACATCACCCTTACTTTAAGAGTATCTATTCAGATAATCAAGTGCTAGGACTTCCTGATTATATTTGAATAGCAATAGTTACATATTGCATTAGACTTTAGGCTTACTTTGTCTTCAGTGTGAACTGGAAATTGGGGAAGAATCATGTAGAAATGCCCCCAATTAAATTAGGTATCTAACGCTTCTTTATAACTAATAACTATTTTACAGACAAGTTTAGCAAGATGAGTTAAGGTTAGACTTATGTGTTTTGCCATCTTCCTGCAGTTGTAATCTAATATGGAATATTATTTTGTGGGTAGCATTTTCTAGAATGAATCGCTTTAAAGAGGATCTATTTTTCAACTAATAAAAAATGAATTTTCTGAAATGTTGTGAAGAGTAACTATTATTTTTGTATTATTACCTAGATGTAGAGAATTTAAGTTATTATTTCATTTAAATACACACAGAGAGGATTAAATTATTGACTATTTAGGCTTAGGGGAAAAATCTGTCTATAGCAAACTTCCACAGGTGAGAAGTATGGCTAGACCCCCAGCCAAGTTTGGGGAAGATAAATGAGAAAGAGGTATCAATTGCTTACGGAATCTGTTTAAACATTGCTGTATTCCTCTCAAATTGTTCTGTTATTCAGGACTTTGAGCAATGGGCTGCCTCAGTAAGGCTGATAAGCAAGCAGATACTGCACTTCCAGCCTAATGCAAGGCACAATAAAAACTTTTTAAAAATCAATGATTAATTTCACTTGCAGTTTTAAGGGAAAATCTCAAGGTCTAGTTAGGGTTTACAGCTCAAGCTTAATCAAAAATGTCCAAAAACTTCTTATTAATGCCAAAAGGAAGTCTGCATAAAGAAGGAAACCCTGTCTGACTTATTTTTGGATGGAAAATAATATTCCACACTGTTTAGCCCATATATATATATATATATATTTTTTTTTTTTTTTTTAAAAGAATATAAAAAATTTCATTAAAGAGGTGAACTTATGAGTTCCCAGAGAGGGAATGTGTTGTATTGTTAAAAACAAAAAACAAAACAAAACAAATCCTTAAACAGGTTTCAATCTTACCTCTGCTCCTAATAGTGTAACCTTGGGCATGCCGTTTCACTTCCCTAAACTCAGGTTCTTTCCTTTATAAAATGAGGGAGTTGAAGTACACAGCCTCTTTGATACCTTCCAGCTTTGAGACTCAAATATTCTGCCAGCTAAGAATCCAAGACCAACCAACTACTGAGTATACAATTGAACAGGATACTAAGAGGGTAAATGGCCACTACACTAGTGTTGGAACTAATGAGGACTTCTGAGGCCCTTTCTGAATTAAGGAAGATTGGCATTTTCCTAAAAGAGAAAGTGTTCCTTCTTGGTTTCAGTTTCTCAGCGATAAGGAGGTTCTCAATGATTGCTGAACGAATAGACAAGGTTATGGAGCAGTATGTGTTCCTGTGGACTCATACTCTCCTCAATCCAAAGGGAGAATCAGTATACTCCCAACTCTTTCTATTCCTTTTATATGTAAGGATGGGGTCCATGAAGTCATTTTGTCTTACTCAAACCAGGCATGAAAGCCAACTCAAATCAAATTATCTAAACTCTCAGAATCTGAAACAGATTATAAGGATATAGGATGGAAGGAGTATTACAAAGAGAAAACGTGTAGGTTGGGAAGTAGAAAAGGAGAGTAACAGGGAATGGTACAACTGCATTCCTTCCTCCTGCTACATTTCCTCGCTCCCAACCAGGTAATTCTAAGAGTTCCCACTGGGAGGTTTGCCTAGATTTCTTTATGTTCTCCTTTGGAAAACCATTTTTTGTGGCAAGCAGTGTTCCAAGGAGACAGCTGGTGAGTAGATGAGCAGACACTTAAAGGAAATTTCAATAATTTCCATGACTTTGGTCTCTGAATATTACTGAGTAAATCTCTTCTTTACCAAATTGTAGATAAATATACAAAATAAGAAACATTACTTCTTATTTTGTATATTTATCTACAATTTGGTAAAGAAGAGAATTTCTATATACAAGAAGTTAATTGGTCATATCAGTAAGCTGAATTCCAGTTTTTATACCATACAGATAATGAAGAAAAAGAGATTCAGAAACATCTGAAAGGATCTGTTCATCACTAAAAGAAGTATGGTGGTGAATGATTTCTAAGAATGTATAGAAACTAATTCGCACTCTTTATGCAATTTAGTTTCTGCAAAGTCGTTTGTTTTCTTTTTAAGGACCAAATCCTATGGTAAATACAGAAATGTATTAATTTTACTTACTGTTCACAAGTTCAAGAAAATACTAAGTTGAAAGCAGGAATACATTCCAAAGAAGAAAATAAATAGATACCCACATATTGATAAATTGAAGAACAGTCAGTAAAGGGAAAATTCTAGGAAGAATTTATAGTAAACTTCCCAGCTTGTATTTAAAAATTTAGAAGGAGGCCAGGAAAACAAGAGACCCTTCAATCAAAAGAGCATCATGCTAGCATTTGAGACTAGAGATAAACATGATTTATATATGAACTTAAGATAAGGATTCACATCACAGGGCAATTTAAACCAAGGAAAAGCACCAAAAAACATTCCCCTCTTGAATCAGTAGGAGAAAAAACTGTTAAATGGCACTAGCACTGGAATTTGTAAGAGCAGCAACCTTTCCACAGACTGAAGCTAAGACAACACCATCAGTGTGGGGAGAATAGTTGGCAGGCAGTCTCAAATTCCCAGCTGACAGCCATCTCTATCTCAAGGGAAAGCGTTTGTCTCAGATGGTTAGTCAAGTGTCAGAGCTCTTTCATCTCCCAGATAGGAAATGGAAAATAAGAAAATCACATTATCTAGACTACGTCTCCATTTTCTAGTTCTTTGTCAACATTAAGAAGGATGCAAGGAAGAACATGTCTGAGTTACCATATTTCGTATCATTAGGCTGAGTTACTCTGAATGTGACTTATTTTTATTTGAATGACATCAAAGTGGTATGTTAGCTACTTAAAAACATATTGAGATTGAACGAAAGACATGCTTGGATGCTAACAAGTATTTTACAACTATATGATAACGCAATCAGTAGTGAGTATCACTTTCTCACACCCCCACACCCTCCATATGCATTTACACAAGACATAGAAAGCATAGGTGGTCTGTTGGCATCAGCTGGTTCTTACTGTCACACATCTCAATGTAGGCACTCATTTAAAAGTATTAGTTTTATTGAGAGATAAATAACAGAAAGATGCCTTCTCAAATCCTCAAGCTGTCTCACTGCATAACACTGAGTATTTGGACTAATATCTCCAAGAGATGGTTGCTGAAAATATGGAAGTGACCTTGATAAGTAGTAGAGTTTCATTTGATATTACATAAGCTACTGACATCTATAAATAAAGGATAGGAGAAACACACCTAAAGAAAGCCAAGTTTTAAAGAGCAAACATGCACGTGGATAAAGGGAAACTAGTAAATATAATCTAATGATACTTCCAGAAAGCTAGGTTCCATACAAAAGAGATGTTATCATATTGGAGAGCTAAGAAATAGGAAACAAAAGGTTAAGAGATGAATAGATATTTCTAGATAAGACAGTTTCCTAGATTAGTGTAAAAATCTCTCTCTCAATATAGTTTTACACATTGTTTGGAAAAATGCATGGTAAATCTCTAAGACACTAAGGGTTCTTGAGTTGTGAAATGTTAGACCAATTAGATTAGTTATAGAAAACAATCGTAAGGCAGAATGAATGAGAATAAATGTTGCATACACATTTGAGTAAAGTTTGGGAAACATTTAGAGGAAACACAACCCAAAGTATATGTAATACACTAATCGTTAGAGAAATGCAAATTAAACTACAATGAGACATCATCTCACTCTAGTCAAAATGGCTTTTAGACAAAAGACAGGCAATAACGAATGCTGTCAAGGATGTGGAGAAAGGAGAACCCTCATACACCGCTGGTGGGAATGTAAATTAGTACAGCTACCATGGAGAACAGTATGGAGGTTTCTCAAAAACTAAAAATAGAACTACCATATAATCCAGCAGTTCCACTGTGGGGTACATGTCCAAAACAAAGGAAATCAGTATGTCAAAGGGATATCTGTATTCCCATGTTTATTGTAGCACTATTCATGAAAGTCAAGATGTGGAATCAACCCAACTGTTCATCAGTGGATGAATAGATAAAGAAAATCTGGTACTATACAAAATGGAATATTATTCAGTCATAAAAAGAATGAACTTCTGTCATTTGCAACCATATGAATGGAACTGGAGGGACATTATGTTAAGTGAAATAAGTCAGGTACAGAAAAACAAATATCACATGTTCTCACTAATATATGACAGCTAAGAAAATATTGAACTCTTAGAGATAGAGAGTAGAATGATGGTAACTAAAAGAAGGTTAGTGGGAAGCGGGGGATAAGAAGGGATGGTTAATGAGTACAAAAATACAGTAAGATAGAAGGAATAAGATCTAGTGTTTGGTAGACTATAGTTAACAATAACTTATTGTACATTTCAAAATAACAAAAAGAGTGGAATTGGAATGTTCCTAACACAAAGAAATAATAAGTGGGTGAAGTGATGGAAACCCAGTTACCCTGATTTCATCATTATACATGTATACGTACGTCAAAATATCACATGTAACCCAAAAATATGTATAAGTAGTATGTATTCATAATAATTACAAATAAAAAATTTAAAATAACCCTAAGTATACGTAATAAGAACATGGCACTGAGCTATCATTTGTTATGACTCAAGGACATTGTGTCAATGTAAAAATGTAGGCAAATGGCTAACAGAAGGCTGGTGCTTTCGGAAGGAGACGAGCAACACAATCAACCAACCACAAGGAAACCAAGTAAGCCCATGAGGACTCCACACTTGGAACACTGTGTGTGTCTCCAGTTACTGTTGCCCATGCAGAAGACAATGGAATTGAAGAGGCCATCCAAAGGTCTGGGAGGAAGTAATGGGGAGGACAGTTTATTTATATAAGAGTATCTCAAGAAGAGATTAAGAAGACAAAGACGCTAGTCTGAAAGTAAATCTGAAGAAGAGTATATTTGTAAAATTGCTAAAAAGTTATATATACCTATGACTGTCATTTTCTCATTTCCCATTCCTTCAACCCATTAAGATATACCCTCCTTCTGTTTGACATTACCAGAATCACTCCTCTATTTTAATTATCCAATAATAGGTATCTTTCCCTCCAGCCATTCTTTAAATTAAGACAAGTCATACCCCTAAAACCAAGGTCTGATCATGTATTTCCTAAGTAGAAAACCCACAAGGACCTTTGTTCACTCAGCAATGAAAGATTCTGGAGCCATGGATTTCACAGCCTTTTGCAATATAATCTCAACTCGCATTTAGCGATTTCTCACTAGATGCTACCCCTCTCTTTATCCTTCCAATCTCAGCCTCTGATATCATCACTATAGTTAGAGGAGACTGCTCACTGTCCCCTGGATATGCCATTTATTTACTGCATTTGTGCCTCCGCACAGATGCCCAGTTTGAGATATCCCCTCTAACATCAATCTTCAAATCTCTGCTATCTCAAATACTTTTTATTGAAGACTTAGCTGAAATTTCACCTTTCTGTGAAATCTTCATCAATCTGTCAGTTAACATTATTTTTTCTCCTCTTTCCTGTATTCCTTAGCACTTTATTTGGCCTGTGTTATACTTATAATCCCATTCTTTGGGTCTCATTTCTGACTACCCCACTGGGGTAGGGAAGCAAGACATTTTAGACACATTTTGAGACTTTGAGGCTGATGTTATGAGGATAACTTTGCCTCTCTACAATGGAACCTCTGGTGCTGAAATCAGAAGACTGAGCTAGAAAAATCAGAGGCCTGACCCAGTGTGTCAGTTTCTGTCATCTTTAGCTTATCTCAGACACCAGGAAATTTATAGATTATATGTTTGCTCCACTAACATGATGAGTCTAATGCTCATGGGACAGCTAACTTCCAGGTAGTGATGACTGAAGAAGTCTACTTTATTTGCACTGAATGTTTATGTAGCATTGGGTGGATCATATTATGCAATATCTCTAGGCCAAAGCATCATTTTCCCAACACTCACTTTCCTAACCTTTAGATAACTTTATAAAATAATATGAGTCATGCGTTGCAAAAGATTACACCTTCTCCCTACAACAGAAGGGGAAATTCACTGATTTCCACTCCCTTTTCCTTATTCTCATAAATCATAAACTTAAATTTACCCTAGGGATTTTATTTCTTTGAACTCAATGTACAAGCATAAAACAAATTTTGTTCTCACAGGACATCCCATTTTTGTTTCATTAGTTCAAGGAAAGGGTCACTCAATTTTTAAAGCATTTGGTTTGATCTTTGCTATGATTCATGCTACCTAACATCCACAGACACACTCTATATACTGAAATGTATCTTATATATAAAATGTGTCTCCATGGACCCTATAATGGTGGTACTCTCACGTAAAGTACTCAAAAGCTGTATTATGGATACATGAGTCTAGGCAGGGTAACCAGAAGTAGAAAATAAATTAATTTTGTTGAATATTTAAATAATTGTTGTTTTGCCCAAGTTCCTATTACACGACAGATTTCTGTTTCTTCTTATGAAAGGTAAAATACTTCCCTGGGGCTACGGGAGGAAATGCTTGAAAAAATTTCACCAAATATAAGGCCTAGATTATACTAGTTCTATTTTATACATTTTTATTCTATGTTCAGCCATCTCACTGATATTTCATTCCACAGAGAGGGAGGTGATAAAATATTTTTTTAAGGTAATAAAGGAAAAAGGAAATAAAGAGGATTTGTCATAATTTAACTAGATAAAAATAATTCTTGTGATCTTAATGTAAGAATAGACTATGATCTCTAAAAGAATACTGAATTATGGAAACATGATTTTTACATAATAGAACCATTTACACATAGAATTTAATCCTACTAAACAATAATTCTTAAGGCTCTATTGGCTTATATACATTTTTGTCTCTAAATCCTTTCCAGGGCACCGTTAAGTTATTTTAAAATATTTCCTCATTGTATTGCCATGGAAGAGATTCTCCCTTACCTCTTCTCATGACCAAAATTCTATTTCCCATGCTGGGTATCGACAGGGAACCATGATCATCAACCTTTGCAGAGAACTTCTCTTCATGAGTTTAAGATCACAGAGATTTATTTGCAAAAACAAATAGGGAGAGAGATTCGGCTTAAAATTTTTTGCCAGATTATGGCCATTATTTAGTCTTAAAACCCTAAAGGTCTTAGATAGGAGGGTCAAACCTAGTACAGCACTGTTGGAGCCTGCAAATGGCAGCTGAACCTGGGAGGAACCAGTTATTTCCAGGGCATTTCTCTCCTATTTCCCACAGTAAAAAAGTTGTCCAATTTAGAGGCATTTGGTATAGCTAGAGTAAGGAGGTAAACAAACATGCTTTAGAATTCCATTTCATTGACAAATCTGAAACACAGATCAAATTGGCCTTATTCCAAGACTAAACAGCCCCCCAAATCATCTCATTTTGTACAGCAGAATCTCAGAGCTTCCAACCCACCTATGGCACAAGATCCTGGCCTCCAGTCAGCCAGCTAGTTATCCATGGAAGTGGCTCAAGGCTGACACTCAGATTGACTGGTTCACACTAATTTACTTCACACAGATTCCATTTATCTCCTAGAAGATCCCCTGGCAGCAGCTTATAATGGCATATCCTAGGATGCCTGCCTGCATGCGTGTTTAAAGCAACAGCGCTTGATGAATCTGAGTCCAGAAAACAGTTCACAGATTGAGGAGTAGGTGCAATCAGAAAACATCAAGAGGCACAGCTGGGACTTGGTGGCTTGCTTGACTGGTCAGAGCAGCTGAGCATTAAGCGTGTCTGCTTTTCTGCTGGCTGCTCACCATCACCAGGACAAATCAGAGAGCCACCCCCTTTTTCCTTTACCAGTCACCCTCCAAAGGAAAAGAGAAAAGAAAGTATGTCACCATCCCAGTAGCGTGTGCAGCTGTAGAGAAAGCTAATTTGATCATTTACCTTTACTTCTTAAATACTTCGATATTATTCTCAGTAGAACTACAGCTGGTAGTTCTAAGGTTAAGTTGTTGAATGGTTGGATTGGCAAGATGTAGTTAGAAAAAGTGGAAGAGAACTTCAACTTATTTTTTTTACTTTCAACAATGAGTCCCAAAGAGCTGTCTGAAACGCTATGATCATGGGGCTCATCGGTCGACCTCCAAAGAAAGGAAGGGTGCCTTTCTGGTTACTCTCCTACATCTATAAGAGAGCTTGGGGAAATATACAAAAAAGCTGGATATTTATCTAATGAGTAAATGGGTGGATGAATGTATGAACAAACAAGTCACTGTTCTCCAGCTGACGTTTTAGAAGTGTGGTGAACCATTGCACAGTAACATGGTCAGCCTCCAAAGGTGGAGAGAATTGAGATCTTTTAACGGCATTGAAGCTAAAAGTTTTAAACAATGACAATTCACTGAGAAATGTACCAAAGCAGTGACATAGCACATTTAGTACTTATAAGGTTAAACACTGGGCTGCAGTAGCTGCTTGACCGTAAAAAGTAGGATTAAGGCTTTTGCATGAGCCTTGACATGATCCTGTTGTCTGTCTGCTGCCTTAAGCTTTGAAAAACAGCTGGGATCATCTTCTTATAAGCTCCAGCTCAAAGATGTTTAAGCAGTCCCCAATCCAATTAAACAGAGGTAAATAGAAGGAAGAATTGTACTGAGCACCATCATCACCTTTTTTCTTAATGAAAAACAGTGTAATTGCGGGTTACACAGCTCCTTAATCTCACATTAAATCTAATAGATTGCTGACTTATACTGAGCATGACAGTCCCAGCTTTCTATATTGGTGTGCTTAATTTTAGGTCATTATCCTTTATTATGTGACTTGTAATCCTTAAAGCCCATGATTGTGTCTGGATATTTGGCAAGGATTGTATTTGGTAATACAAGGATTCTGCTTCTAAGAGTGATGGTTTAATTGAATGACATTGTATAATTATTAGATGTTCAGAGAATTACATATATTTCTTTCCTTTTTTAATTGGCTGGTTTCTTATAAGTGTTTCCTTCAACAAACATTGTTCAAGATTATTATTGAGTTTTAGGGGCTCTTCTGAAAAGGACAGCTTTCACAAATGAAAGACAAGTAGTTTATTGATATGGAAATGTATCTAAATGCTATTAAAATGCCCAGTTCAAATACAATCCTGGCTCATCTACAAACTGGGAAACCTTGGTCATGTTACTTTACCTTTCTGTCTCTGTTTCTTCATTTATAAAATAGCAATAGTGATGGTGCCTACCAGGGGCAAGAAACTGTTGTTACAATTATATGAGTTAAAACATGTAAAGTGCTCAGCCTAATGGCTCAAATGTAGACAGTCTAAGTAAATTCAGTATTATTATTATTTGTATATCTGTCTTTGTCTAGAAATATGCATAAATGTAAATAAGATGTCCAGCCTTAAGGTCAAGACATTTTATTTTATTTTACTAGCAATGTAGTAATATCTAAAATTTCTCTAACCTAGTAATAGAAGAAATATTTTAAATAGCTATATTATCTTGATCTTCATTGAAGACTGTAGAAATCTACAAGTTATTGTTAGTGGCCCCCTTTTATTTTACCAGTTTAAAGAGGCATGTCCATTTGTATCTATTAACTAAATAAAAACCTGTCCAAAGTCATCTGTAATTCTTTTTTCTTATCAAGAGTGCTGAATATGGAAGGAAGTAAAAGTGACTTCTGACAATGCTGACCAGATAACATAGAACCTCATTGGAAAGTTATTCTAAATAGCTTTTTTAATTTTTTGCTGATAAATTAAATAAAAATTAAATGGAATGGAAATGATGATATGGTGATATACTTTACATATATATTAGCCTTTTAGAGAACTGATTTGGGTTTGGAAATTTAAATTATTGTATGTGCACAATCAAATTTCAGCTTATGGATATGATTAGATCATAACATTTTAAATGAGCAACTATAATCTTTTATATTTCAAAGTAAGAACAGGTCTTGCACCATCACTTGTGCATGGTTCTTGATTGCTGCTTTTTTCCTGGTTTCCATTCACACATTAAGATTTAAGAAATGCTAGTATTGAAACTGAAAGTCTAATGAAGCTCAGCTCCGTCAATGGCAAACACATTAGTGGAGGAGGTCATTTGACGGTGTATACATCTAACACACAGAAATAGTGGTTTACTTGTTATTAACATTCTTCTTTTTCATTTCTAGGGTAGAAAGCACCATAAAACCTCATATAAAATAACATCAAAAAATTCTCTTTTTCTTGAACACCAGGTTAACATTGGGTGATGCGGAATGCATTATTATATCCATTTTAGTTAATTTTAAAGGTGAAAAAATAGACTTATTTTGGTTTATTATAAAAAGTTTTTTGCTGTGTTTTTATCTTGTTTGACCCAATATTTATACTGCTACCCGCCCTGGCTCACCCACCCCTAGACACACAGCAGATCACAGAATGAATCAGATCACTGCATGGTTCTGATCCTTCTATAAAAGCAGCTGAAATAACTGGATCAGAGATTTCATGACTGGTCTCAGTAAGTACATTTAGATATAAGTAGTGCCTTGCTTTTGGTCTTTACAACACATACTCCATGAAACTCATTAATTTGAACTTATAGATAATAGCAATATTCTATATTTGAGCAAATTTCAAAATAGTGATAGAAAAATAAGTGGGTCAAGTTACTCATAAGGGAAAAAAATAAAATTGTCAAAAGATTCTGATGACAACACTTTACCCCAGAAAATAAAGTAACATACTTAAAAATTTAAGAGAAAGAAAAAATTGAACTAAGATTTTCTATCCAGCAAAATTGACTTTTAACTAGAAAGGCTGCAAGTTAATATAAGCATGCAATAACTTAAGAAATATTGTTTAAATATGCCTTTCCTGGGTGACCTACTAAAAATGAGCTTTAGATAACTAGAATAATTGAAAAGCCATCAGCATCAGAATAAGAGGTAAGCACTAAATATACATTTACCTGTAGAACTAAAATCAAATGATGGTTATAGAAATATGGCTGTATTCTCTGACAATTCATAGAACAACTATGAAAAATGCAGGTGATCAGAGGGATATGGAGAGTGCATAAAAAGCAGGATAAGCTGAGTAATTACATAGTAATACATATACTTAGTAGTATATGTATTACCTGAGAGTAAAAG
Organism: Homo sapiens; assembly: GCF_000001405.40. Taxonomy (NCBI): domain Eukaryota; kingdom Metazoa; phylum Chordata; class Mammalia; order Primates; family Hominidae; genus Homo; species Homo sapiens. Next base: position 53,539,503 of record NC_000015.10, read on the forward strand.
AGTATCATTTCAAATTAGATGCTGGAAGAGAGAAAGTAAAAATGTTAGTAGCAAATTATTTCATTATTGCTAATAGTTGAGGGCTAACTGGCAATGAGAAGAAAGGTAATACGTAAAGGTTTTAGCATAAAGGTAAACATTAGGAAAAAAAAAAACTACCAAATACTCCCTCAATACCTACATACAGAAAGTGAGAGAGAAAGAGAGATTTTGAGGAAAATAAAATGAAATAGATGACATAGTAAAAGAACATATATAGTTTCATATATTTGTGTCTATGTACAAACTTACCATCTTTATCAATAAATGTTAATGGACTTAATTCACCTATTAGAATAAAAGAGATTAAGATTGACTAACAAAGTAAAATCTAACACTATGTTGTTTTTAAAAAGATACATCAAAAACAAAGAGTTAAGCAAGATTAAAGATAAAAGGATAGACAGGATATAAATAAATTTTTAAAAAGCAGTGGTCACAATATTATTGAGCATGGTGGAATGCAAACCAAAGAGCAATAAATAAAGACACAGAGAAGAGTATTTCGTAATACTAAAGACTGCAATTCACAATGGAGGTATTTCAATGACTAATATATGTGTAAGTAATAACACAGCTACTTTAATAAAGCAGAGGCTAAAGAGAATGGAAACTAACGATAGATAATGTTAGCACATATCTCTGAATATAAGACACATAATGGGGACGAAATATTGACAAGAATATAGAAAACCTACAGAACTAAGTCAATAAAGTAGATGTAATAATCAAACTCTAATGCCAATAGTAGACAGTACACCTTGTACTTAAGTGCACATGAAACATTTACCAAAACTGGCCACATCTTATTTTCCGGAGTGACCCCTCCAACATTCCAGGAATGGAACTAGCACAGAAAACTTCTCTGATCACAACGCAATAAGGCTAGAAATTAGATCGTTCCACCTGGAAATTTCAAAACACATTACTAAATAATTCAGCTCAAAAGGGAAATTCAATACAAAACTGTAGAACTTAAAAAAATTGTAATAATGAAGACATAACAATACAGCAAACCAAAGGAAGAAAGAAAAAAAAAAAAAACAAGAGGAAAGAAAGACAATGAATTAGAAAGCAGTAAAAAGAAGAACAGGAGGAGCCAAGATGGCTGAATACGAACAGCTCCGGTCTACAGCTCCCAGCGTGAGCGACGCAGAAGACGGGTGATTTCTGCACTTCCATCTGAGGTACCGGGTTCATCTCACTAGGGAGTGCCAGACAGTGGGCGCAGGTCAGTGGGTGCGCGCACCGTGCGCGAGCCTAAGCAGGGCGAGGCATTGCCTCACTTGGGAAGCCCAACGGTCAGGGAGTTCCCTTTCCTAGTCAAAGAAAGGGGTGACGGACGCACCTGGAAAATCGGGTCACTCCCACCCGAATATTGAGCTTTTCGGACCGGCTTAAAAAACGGCGCACCACGAGATTGTATCCCGCACCTGGCTCGGAGGGTCCTACGCCCACGGAGTCTCGCTGATTGCTAGCACAGCAGTCTGAGATCAAACTGCAAGGCGGCAGCCAGGCTGGGGGAGGGACGCCCGCCATTGCCCAGGCTTGATTAGGTAAACAAAGCAGCCGGGAAGCTAGAACTGGGTGGAGCCCACCACAGCTCAAGGTGGCCTGCCTGCCTCTGTAGGCTCCACCTCTGGGGGCAGGGCACAGACAAACAAAAAGACAGCAGTAACCTCTGCAGACTTAAATGTCCCTATCTAACAGCTTTGAAGAGAGCAGTGGTTCTCCCAGTACGCAGCTGGAGATCTGAGAACGGGCAGACTGCCTCCTCAAGTGGGTCCCTGACCCCTGACCCCCGAGCAGCCTAACTGGGAGGCACCCCCCAGCAGGGGCACACTGATACCTCACAAGGCAAGGTATTCCAACAGACCTGCAGCTGAGGGTCCTGTCTGTTAGAAGGAAAACTAACAAACAGAAAGGACATCCACAGCAAAAACTCATCTGTACCTCACCATCATCAAAGAGCAAAAGTAGATAAAACCACAAAGATGGGGAAAAAACAGAACAGAAAAACTGGATACTCTAAAACGCAGAGCGCCTCTCCTCCTCCAAAGGAACGCAGTTCCTCACCAGCAACGGAACAAAGCTGGATGGAGAATGACTTTGACGAGCTGAGAGAAGAAGGCTTCAGATGATCAAATTACTCTGAGCTATGGGAGGACATTCAAACCAAAGGCAAAGAAGTTGAAAACTTTGAAAAAAATTTAGAAGAATGTATAACTAGAATAACCAATACAGAGAAGTGCTTAAAGGAGCTGATGGAGCTGAAAACCAAGGCTCGAGAACTACGTGAAGAATGCAGAAGCCTCAGGAGCCGATGCGATCAACTGGAAGAAAGGGTATCAGCGATGGAAGATGAAATGAATGAAATGAAGTGAGAAGGGAAGTTTAGAGAAAAAAGAATAAAAAGAAATGAGCAAAGCCTCCAAGAAATATGGGACTATGTGAAAAGACCAAATCTACGTCTGATTGGTGTACCTGAAAGTGATGGGGAGAATGGAACCAAGTTGGAAAACACTCTGCAGGATATTATCCAGGAGAACTTCCCCAATCTAGCAAGGCAGGCCAACGTTCAGAATCAGGAAATACAGAGAACGCCACAAAGATACTCCTCGAGAAGAGCAACTCCAAGACACATAATTGTCAGATTCACCAAAGTTGAAATGAAGGAAAAAATGTTAAGGGCAGCCAGAGAGAAAGGTCGGGTTACCCTCAAAGGGAAGCCCATCAGACTAACAGCGGATCTCTCGGCAGAAACCCTACAAGCCAGAAGAGAGTGGGGGCCAATATTCAACATTCTTAAAGAAAAGAATTTTCAACCCAGAATTTCATATCCAGCCAAACTAAGCTTCATAAGTGAAGGAGAAATAAAATACTTTACAGACAAGCAAATGCTGAGAGATTTTGTCACCACCAGGCCTGCCCTAAAAGAGCTCCTGAAGGAAGCGCTAAACATGGAAAGGAACAACCGGTACCAGTCGCTGCAAAATCATGCCAAAATGTAAAGACCATCGAGACTAGGAAGAAACTGCATCAACTAACGAGCAAAATCACCAGCTAACATCATAATGACAGGATCAAATTCACACATAACAATATTAACTTTAAATGTAAATGGACTAAATGCTCCAATTAAAAGACACAGACTGGCAAATTGGATAAAGAGTCAAGACCCATCAGTGTGCTGTATTCAGGAAACCCATCTCACGTGCAGAGACACACATAGGCTCAAAATAAAAGGATGGAGGAAGATCTACCAAGCAAATGGAAAACAAAAAAAGGCAGGGGTTGCAATCCTAGTCTCTGATAAAACAGACTTTAAACCAACAAAGATCAAAAGAGACAAAGAAGGCCATTACATAATGGTAAAGGGATCAATTCAACAAGAAGAGCTAACTATCCTAAATATATATGCACTCAACACAGGAGCACCCAGATTCGTAAAGCAAGTCCTGAGTGACCTACAAAGAGACTTAGACTCCCACACATTAATAATGGGAGACTTTAACACCCCACTGTCAACATTAGACAGATCAACGAGACAGAAAGTCAACAAGGATACCCAGGAATTGAACTCAGCTCTGCACCAAGCGGACCTAATAGACATCTACAGAACTCTCCACCCCAAATCAACAGAATATACATTTTTTTCAGCACCACACCACACCTATTCCAAAATTGACCACATACTTGGAAGTAAAGCTCTCCTCAGCAAATGTAAAAGAACAGAGATTATAACAAACTATCTCTCAGACCACAGTGCAATGAAACTAGAACTCAGGATTAAGAATCTCACTCAAAACCGCTCAACTACATGGAAACTGAACAACCTGCTCCTGAATGACTTCTGGGTACATAAGAAAATGAAGGTAGAAAGGAAGATGTTCTTTGAAACCAACGAGAACAAAGACACAACATACCAGAATCTCTGGGACGCATTCAAAGCAGTGTGTAGAGGGAAATTTATAGCACTAAATGCCCACAAGAGAAAGCAGGAAAGATCCAAAATTGACACCCTAACATCACAATTAAAAGAACTAGAAAAGCAAGAGCAAACACATTCAAAAGCTAGCAGAAGGCAAGAAATAACTAAAATCAGAGCAGAACTGAAGGAAATAGAGACACAAAAAACCGTTCAAAAAATTAATGAATCCAGGAGCTGTTTTCTGAAAAGATCAACAAAATTGATAGACCGCTAGCAAGACTAATAAAGAAAAAAAGAGAGAAGAATCTAATAGACGCAATAAAAAATGATAAAGGGGATGTCACCACCGATCCCACAGAAATACAAACTACCATCAGAGTACTACAAACACCTCTACAAACTACAAACACCTCTACGCAAATAAACTAGAAAATCTAGAAGAAATGGATAAATTCCTTGACACATACACTCTCCCAAGACTGAACCAGGAAGAAGTTGAATCTCTGAATAGACCAATAACAGGAGCTGAAATTGTGGCAATAATCAATAGTTTACCAACCAAAAAGAGTCCAGGACCAGATGGATTCACAGCCGAATTCTACCAGAGGTACAAGGAGGAACTGGTACCATTCCTTCTGAAACTATTCCAATCAATAGAAAAAGAGGGAATCCTCCCTAACTCATTTTATGAGGCCAGCATCATTCTGATACCAAAGCCGGACAGAGACACAACCAAAAAAGAGAATTTTAGACCAATATCCTTGATGAACATTGATGCAAAAATCCTCAATAAAATACTGGCAAAACGAATCCAGCAGCACATCAAAAAGCTTATCCACCATGATCAAGTGGGCTTCATCCCTGGGATGCAAGGCTGGTTCAATATACGCAAATCAATAAATGTAATCCAGCATATAAACAGAGCCAAAGACAAAAACCACATGATTATCTCAATAGATGCAGAAAAGGCCTTTGACAAAATTCAACAACCCTTCATGCTAAAAACTCTCAATAAATTAGGTATTGATGGGACGTATTTCAAAATAATAAGAGCTATCTATGACAAACCCACAGCCGATATCATACTGAATGGGCAAAAACTGGAAGCATTCCCTTTGAAAAGTGGCACAAGACAGGGATGCCCTCTCTCACCACTCCTATTCAACATAGTGTTGGAAGTTCTGGCCAGGGCAATTAGGCAGGAGAAGGAAATAAAGGGTATTCAATTAGGAAAAGAGGAAGTCAAATTGTCCCTGTTTGCAGACGACATGACTGTATATCTAGAAAACCCCATTGCCTCAGCCCAAAATCTCCTTAAGCTGATAAGCAACTTCAGCAAAGTCTCAGGATACAAAATCAACATACAAAAATCACAAACATTCTTATACACCAACAACAGACAAACAGAGAGCCAAATCATGAGTGAACTCCCATTCACAATTGCTTCAAAGAGAATAAAATACCTAGGAATCCAACTTACAAGGGATGTGAAGGACCTCTTCAAGGAGAACTACAAACCACTGCTCAAGGAAATAAAAGAGGATACAAACAAATGGAAGAACATTCCATGCTCATGGGTAGGAAGAATCAATATCGTGAAAATGGCCATACTGCCCAAGGTAATTTACAGATTCAATGCCATCCCCATAAAGCTACCAACGACTTTCTTCACAGAATTGGAAAAAACTACTTTAAAGTTCATGTGGAACCAAAAAAGAGCCCGCATCGCCACGGGAATCCTAAGCCAAAAGAACAAAGCTGGAGGCATCACACTACCTGACTTCAAACTATACTACAAGGCTACAGTAACCAAAACAGCATGGTACTGGTACCGAAACAGAGATATAGATCAATGGAACAGAACAGAGCCCTCAGAAATAACGCCGCATATCTGCAACTATCTGATCTTTGACAAACCTGAGAAAAACAAGCAATGGGGAAAGGATTCCCTATTTAATAAACGGTGCTGGGAAAACTGGCTAGCCATATGTAGAAAGCTGAAACTGGATCCCTTCCTTACACCTTATACAAAAATCAATTCAAGATGGATTAAAGACTTAAACGTTAGACCTAAAACCATAAAAACCCTAGAAGCAAACCTAGGCATTACCATTCAGGACATAGGCATGGGGAAGGATTTCATGTCCAAAACACCAAAAGCAATGGCAACAAAAGACAAAATTGACAAATGGGATCTAATTAAACTAAAGAGCTTCTGCACCGCAAAAGAAACTACCATCAGAGTGAGCAGGCAACCTACAAAATGGGAGAAAATTTTCGCAACCTACTCATCTGACAAAGGGCTAATATCCAGAATCTACAATGAACTCAAACAAATTTACAAGAAAAAAACAAACAACCCCATCAAAAAGTGGGCGAAGGACATGAACAGACACTTCTCAAAAGAAGACATTTATGCAGCCAAAAAACACATGAAAAAATGCTCATCATCACTGGCCATCAGAGAAATGCAAATCAAAACCACAATGAGATACCATCTCACACCAGTTAGAATGGCAATCATTAAAAAGTCAGGAAACAACAGGTGCTGGAGAGGATGTGGAGAAATAGGAACACTTTTACACTGTTGGTGGGACTGTAAACTACTTCAACCATTGTGAAAGTCAGTGTGGCGATTCCTCAGGGATCTAGAACTAGAAATACCATTTGACCCAGCCATCCCATTACTGGGTATATACCCAAAGGACTATAAATCATGCTGCTATAAAGACACATGCACACGTATGTTTATTGCGGCATTATTCACAATAGCAAAGACTTGGAACCAACCCAGATGTCCAACAGTGATAGACTGGATTAAGAAAATGTGGCACATATACACCATGGAATACTATGCAGCCATAAATAATGATGAGTTCATGTCCTTTGTAGGGACATGGATGAAATTGGAAATCATCATTCTCAGTAAACTATCGCAAGAACAAAAAACCAAACACCGCATATTCTCACTCATAGGTGGGAATTGAACAATGAGATCACATGGACACAGGAAGGGGAATATCACACTCTGGGGACTGTGGTGGGGTGGGGGGAGAGGGGAGGGATAGCATTGGGAGATATACCTAATGCTAGATGACGAGTTAGTGGGTGCAGCGCACCAGCATGGCACATGTATACATATGTAACTAACCTGCACAATGTGCACACATACCCTAAAACATAAAGTATAATAATAATAAAAAAAAGAACAAAGAAAGAAATGCAAAAGATACTTTTAACAAAATAATCAATAAAACAAACAAACCACTAACAAATCTAATCAAGAAGCAAAGGGAAAATTCACAAATACACAAAATCAAAAATGAAAGGGGAAGGAAAATGACTATCAGTAGAGAGGAAATTTAAGAAGTCTTAAGCGATTATAATGCTCAGTCTATACAAATTAGTTTGAAAATCTAGATTAAACAAGTAATTCTCTGGAAAACTTGGTAGTGATAGAAAGAGTAAGTAGACAATTATAGTAGAAATAGGGAAAGAAAAGCCATTAGACAAAATTAAATGTCCATTTATGTAAAAATACTTAATAAAATAGGATTGCTGGATATTTCTTTGATATGACAAAATACATAAGCCTTGGCTCCAAAGCCAACAACCTACTTAATTCAGAAACATCAGTGATTTCCCATCAAAATAAGGAAAACAACAAGGATGCCCACTGTTACCAACAACTATTTAACATTGAGTTGAACATATTTACCAATGCAATTAAGCCAAATGGAAACACCAAGTCCTGGGTTTAAGCGATTCTCCTGCCTCAGCCTCCCGAGTTGCCGGGATTACAGGCATGTGCCACCACGCCTGGCTAATTTTGTATTTTTGGTAGAGACGGGGCTTCTCCATGTTGGTCAGGCTGGTCTCGAACTCCCAACCTCAGGTGATCCACCCGCCTCGGCCTCCCAAAGTGCTAGAATTAGAAGCGTGAGCCACCGTGCCTGGCCTGTTACTATTATAATATCATTCATTCTATAAACAATGAGTGCTACTGGGTGACAGAGCATGTGGGAGGTGCTGGGTATATAGCAGTGATCAATAATCTTTGTATTCATCAGGTCTCAGTGGTTGTAAGAGCTAAATATTTACACAAAGGATGCTCACCACAGGGTAACAGGAACAGGGAACTTCTGAAATTTATTTGTAGGAAGAACTACACCAGCCTTTTTTGGTTGCCACATCTGGAACAAAAGGATTTCATCCACTTGTTCTGCCTTTGCTTCATTCAGCTTTAAGTTCAGGACCTCAGAAGAGATTAATTGGTTGAGCTAAAGAAACCTGCCCATCCTGTGGCCATACTGTGGTAATGATAGAGGAATTGATCTGGTGGTAGGCGCTTCAAGCATGCTTAGGGCATCTGAAGGAAGAGGACAAATTAATTCATTGTTTCTGCAGGAATGCACAAAAGAAAACTAGGGTGCTCTCATGGTAGCAGTAAATGCTGGACAGCAAAAAAAGAAAAGAAAAGAAAAAAAAGAAATGTTGCTGATCTCCAAAGGTTGATGACGTCTTTGTAATTGACCACTTGAATGACTTCTTTGTACTTGACCACTTGGATTTGTCTGCCATATAAGTCTATGCTGAATGTGAGGCCACCTTATCTGGTGAAAAATAACCAGTATAAAATCTATCATAAAGTGGTCACCAACTCTGCTTACTCCCTATAGTAATTTAGAGCTATGCTCTGATCATCTTCTACCTAAATCATCTTTTCTTTCAATAAAGTAGTGTGTGGTAGCACTGAACCATATACCTGTTTTCCTTCTAAATGCACCCGTGGTAAGGTATCTTTTATAGGTAAGACTTCTTAGGTAGAAGAGAAATAGCCAGTGCCACCATGCTCCTACAGAATAAACAGGGCAGGCCTGATGGGAGGGCTCGGGCTCTCAGATGCAGCAGGGTTAGTTTCTGCCATGCACTGGGATTGGAATTCCTGTTGTGCATCCGGATCATGTACAGAATTTCGGCTGACTTCAAAGAGAGTGATTTTGAGAAGAGAGAGTTAGTTGCCAAAAGGAGAAAGCAAGGCATTAATCTTTGATAAGCTCCATTTACTAATTTATAAAGGCAATGGGAATTGGGGTGAGGTTAAAAAGTAAAAGCTGAGGGAACTATCTGTAGTGAATGCTAATGATTTTCTGACCATGTCATGAACTGTGCTTTTTTTTTTTTTTGGTGGGGGTTGAGGTGGGGAACTATAGCATGATTATAAAACGTTACATACTATTTAGTAGTTTATAAGTGTTTGTAAGATTTTTTTAAAAACTAGTTCTGACCCCTTAAAATGGAAGAGCTATTTGCTAGAAGGGGCTTGTAAATCACAGCAGTTACAGGAGACATGTTTAGAATTCAGAGTCAACAGAGAGAGATTAGCATAGACAGCAATGCAAACAGTGTTTCCATTTTTTTGTTCATCTTCTTTATATCAACACAGAGAAGACTGGGAATGAAAGGCAAGAAGCTCCAGAAAGAATCTGGAGAAATTTACAGAAGAAAGAGAACCAATAACCATGCCCCAGGTATAAAGAACACAAACATCTAGGTAGGAACTATTTCAAACAGTTAAGTATGGATGACGTTTATTTATTCTTAAGGATTTTTATTTCTTTTAGCATGTTATTCTTTCAGTCATAGGCATATTTGGGGGACCCAGTACGTCACGTACTGTCCAAGGTGCTGGGGAGAGGAAACAACAATAAAAGATAGGCATGGTTTGTGCCCTAACAGATCTTATGGTCTGACAGGCAAGAGACATTGAACAAGTAATTACAGTCGCATGTGATGAATGTCAAGCTGGGCTGATACACAGTTCTTTTGGAACAAGCAGCTAGGGGACACTGGACCATTTTGTTTCTTGAGAGAACTAGAGTGTAGCTGATAGACTCTGCTCAAAAATTGTCTATTCAATTTTCAGGTTTGGATGTTGACATATATATACTTTACACATCTTGCATCTTTTAATCCTCAAAACGACCCTGCCGAATAGATGCGTGTTTTCCCATTTATCGACCAGAAAATTTAAACTCAAGGTAGCTAAATTAACATGCCCTTTTCACACACATAATAAAAGCTAAGGCTGTAAAAATGGACCTGCTTCAAAAACAAGCTGATTTTAGGATTTTTTTTTAAAAGATGAGTAACAGACTGACAAAGGGAGATCACTAAAGGAACATTTCAATGGTTAATTACACCAATATAAAGGTGAAGGGTTATACCTAAGGTCACGTAGGCTTTGGTTTTGGTTTTATAGTTAAATTAACATAAAAATGAAGTCTTACTCTTAGGCTAACTTAGGCTTTGGTTTTACAATAGATCAAAGGTGATCTGTTGCCCAGACTTTGGCCTTATTTTTGTGCCCAACTCTATAATACATATCCAAATTCAGGTGCCTAAACCGAAGGCCCCAGATCTAGGTCCCAGGGTTTCCCAGAGTTATTTTGCCCATCTGTGCTTATTTGCTTTCTCTTTCATTCATGCAGATACTTTCCTGAGTGAACTTTTGGTGTCCCCTTTCATAATATAAGCTCCAGAAAGCGGAAGTTCAATTAAACCAGAAAAACCTGTTTAATTGAAGCCAACCATTGTTTATTGAACACTGATTGGTGGAAAGCACTGTGGTAAGTGTTGAGGAAACAAGCTTGGTAAGACACAGTCTGTGCCTTATGTTTGCTTCCCACTCTCATCAGTCTTGACCAGGGATTGGCAAATGTTTTCTTAAAGGTTCAGATAGTAAATATTTTAGACTTGTGGGCCATATAGTCTCTATCAAAACTATTCAACTCTGCAGCTGAAGCATGAAAGTAACCAAAAACAATACATGAATGGATGGGTGTGGTTGTGTTCCAATAAAACTTTTTTTACCAAAAACAGATAGCAGGCTGAATTCAGCTTATGGTTTGCAGACCTCTCGTCTTGACCATTTCTGGTTAGTGCATCAAGCCACCAGCTGAGCTTCAGTTTTTATATAACAGTGATAGTCATGATATGAATTGGGAGCTTATCAGAATCTCTGAGCATAAGATTATAACATAAACATCTCTCCATCCTTTTATTTATTATGCATTAAACAAAAAACTTTCTCTGCCTACCCCTTTAAAGACTCATTCAACCACCACTCTGCTCCAGCAGAGAAAAAGATGTGTGTTTTGGTTTCCTCCACAAGGAATGATTAGGGAAATGGTTAGAGACTTGCTGTATAACATTAGAGACTTGCTCAGATAAATAGGCCTTCACTTTAACTGTGGTATAAATGAAGCAGCCGAGAGAATGACAGCATCATTAATTCAAGGAATATTTATTGAGCACCTACTATGTGAAAGGTCCTGGAATACAGGTATTAGAGAAGTGGTAAACAAAAGACACAGGCTCTCCATCTCTTATAAAGCTTAGAATCTGACTAGGAGACACACAATCTGTACATAAACACAAAAGATATAAATGATTATTAATTAAAAAAGAAAATGAGTAATATGAAAGAAATTCACAGTTTGTCATGAGAATAAATATGGAGTGAACCTAATGAAGCTTGGAGGTCAAGGAGGATCTGTTTAAGGAAATGACCTTTAAACTAAGACCTGAAAAATGGGCAGAAATTAGGTGAAGAGTAGGCAATGGGAAAGATTACAGGTTAAATGGGTGTCACTTGAAAAGATTTGTGAAGGTTCTGAGGCAAGAAGGAGCTTGGCCTGGTCTGGGGAATGGAGGATGGCCAGTGAGACTGGAGGTCAGAATACGGGGAGGTGACTGGCAAAAATGAAGCTGGAGAGGAGAGAGGTCAAACCACAAGCCTAAGAGCACTTGTTAAGCATTTTGTATTGTATCCTAAATGCAATGAGAAGATGTTGAAATAATTCACGCAGAATTGGCATGTTTAGATTTACATATGTAAAGATCGTACTGACTGCTGTAAGAAATATGTCTTGGAAAGGAAATTTGATCAAACCCACTCTCAGCCTTTCTCTTTCCAGCACCTTCTCTGGGCAAAACACCCTTGGCAACTGCACCCAGAATCAGGAGATGCGTAAAGGAAGAAAGTCATATCTCCCTTCCGTAGATTTATTACCTGTCCATAAATAACCTGGAGACATTTATCACCATGAATTTGGTTACTTATGCAAACATACAATTCTTATGCTATGTAAAAATTAAACACAAAAGTCAGTCCTATGTATAAATCACAGAATCACTATAAAAAACAATTACCTTAAGAGTCAGACATAAGATGGTCTAGATAAAGAAAGCAGGGAGCCAGAGGTGGAAAACTCCCTTGAAGAAGATTCTGCTAAACCCAATAAAAGGTATCAATGAAAGAGGTGGTAAAATTAGATGTAGGATACCAATTCAGATATGGAAGACGACTTAGAATACACAGACACACACACACACACACACAAACACACGCACATGTACATGCAATATGCTAGGCAGGAAACTTCTGATCCTGTCTGGCAGTTGGTCTCTATTTAGTATAATAGTCTTTTGAGATCAGAGTGGGAAAGGGAGGAATTGAAGTGACCATTCAGCCATCTGCTGCTGAGCATATTCAGGGAAAAGACAGAAAATTCGTTGTTTGGAATGCCTTGCAAGTGTCACCTGACACTGACATTTTTAGACTATCCTCAACTGAATTATTCTATACCTATCATGTGTGTGTGTGTGTGTGTGTGTGTTTATGTATGTACTAGTATGTATAAATACTCAAAGACACAGAGTCAATATCAGTTAATTTCATAGTGGTGACAAAGCTATATATCCAAGTTCAGAGTTGTAACTTTAACTGTTTAGTGTATTAATGCCTCACTGGGCTCATGGATGCTACATATTCTCCACTACTTGTTTACTAGCTTGTCAAAATTATTCAATATATGCAGTGTCACAAAGCACATGGTCACATCTCATATGTCTGCTTCAAGGGCAGGACCAACGTGACCTTTACTTTTTCTTTTACACGGGATAAAATCATTCTTTAGGAACAATGTCTATTTGCACAGCTACCCAATCTGCTATTGAAGCAGTCTCAATCTTCTTCAATATTGCTTGTTAAATGTTTATAGTTAATTTTATAGTAAAGGGCTAGATGTCTGAATATTTTCAAATGCATTCTCTATTGGAGTGGGTTTTAACTGTTCTTCTTTCACTATGTTTTATAAGATCGAAAACAGACACATAGAAAATAATGAAGTGGCTTAAAAAATTCTTTCTTGGATAATGAAAAACCTGTATCATATAGAAGAATAGAAGACTGCTTCCAAACATCCTCTGACTTGGAAGACAGTTACACATTTGTCTGTTACGTATTTCTCATCCAGAAGCAAATATTAACCAGTCAACATCGAATGCCATTTGATTTCATCCCCTTTGGCTTGGAAAACCTATGACTACCCACACTCAGGGGCCATCGGCATGGAAAGTATTAGTTCCTGTGCAGCCCAGGAGCTCTATAGGAAGCGGTGGAATCCCAAAGGTGGGTTGAAAGGTTCAAATCATAGCCAAGAAAAATAACTTCAGTCACTGTCAACGGTCAATATCATTTAAATCTCTAGAAATCTTATGAAAAAAAGATAAAAATTAAAAATAATGGCTTTCTTTAGGGTCCTTCCCACAGCAATGATTCAGAATACTACATTTTTAGACAGGGGAGGAGAAAATCATAATGCCCGGTAGAGGGGAGATGTAATTTTATTATCTGGCAAGATAGCGGCTTCATCATTAAAAAATTCAACCAACTAGAATACAGCGTCCTTTGACCTAGCAGATAAAAGGTCAGACAGCAATTTTGAATAATAAATGAGACCTGTTGACCTGATGACCCAAATCTGGCAGGGTGAGTGTTTCCTCTTTCACAGATGCAGACACACACACCAAGACAGCTCAGCTAATGAGCTGCCTCAACCCAGGTTGTGGGTGCTGCAGTGTTTTCGTGTTATGTAGCACGGGGAGAACAAATTTCTGAAGCTGTTGTGTCATGTAAAGTGATATTTATAGAAATATTTCTATTGTGGCTTTTAAGGAGACTCTTTCCTGAGTTCCCAATGTTTCTATTTAGTTGTTGAATTGAGTAGAAACCTAAACATTGGTCAAGGTATTTCTTCCACCTCTGATTTCCTTTATTATTTTAGCACTGGCAAAGAAGAAAGGAAATGCTATATGCATTTCACTTATATTAACAGCAAGGTGATTTTATGAGAATTTTCTAAAAATGGGAATGAACCTAAATGTGACTCTTTCACTTCATTTTGGTGCAAATAGTCCTTGTATTTAGATAACGGATGTAGAAGTACAAGGTATTAAGCTATATGGATATTTGTGACATAGTAATTAGTTTAAATGTTTAACTTTATTTGAGTAACACAGTGATGTAATTTGAAACCTTAAAAATTTCCAACTAAAATGAAAACAGAAATATGGCTTTAAACTAAACTATCCATCCCTACAATTTTAATCCTTAAAATTTTCATTATTGCTTTTGGAAAATAACAGCTGTTACAAAGTAAACTTGGTAAATGTTTACATTCTTTTTGATAAATATCCTATAATATGTCTAATTTTGACACTTTTGCTTAATAACATGTATAGTGCCTTTGTGTTTACTTGGTATTCTTTTCAATAAAAGATTTCAGGAGCCTGGCCAAATTCCAGTTTAGCTAATTATATTTCTCTTGCTAGGTCCCCTTTTAGCTTTCAACTGACTATGATAGTCTTCTTCACTCTTCATGTTAAACTCTTGCCAATTTTTGAATTGCAGAAGAGCCATTTGGTAAAATAACATTGTCTCTACTTGTAGTAATATCACACAGATGAGTAAAAATTGTTTTGAACCAATTTTTTGTTATTTACCATAAATTGGAAAAAAAAAACTTAACAATGAAGGATTTAGAGAAACCCTCACCATATATTTATCACAATTTCCCATTATCTTCCCAAAATAGAAAGACAAAATGGCAGCCAAAGCTGGTTCAGTTGGTTTCAAGCCTGTTCAATTTGCTGTAACTGAATAAATGCATATAGAAGACTTTTGGTGTGCAGAGCCCTAGTAAGCATCATTGTGTTGTGTTGCAAAAATTTTGCTTTGTGCATATTGAACTTTTCCAGAAAGTCACAACTTTTCCAAAGTAAAGGCACTTGACCTAGATTTATGGGTGAGGTCCCATTCTAATTAGTAACATGGAATACTACTGCTACATAGATATACATCAGCTGAACTGTGATACAGGAGAAGAAAGGAAGTGAGTTTACAGGGAGTGAGGAAAAATGACACCTTATGTATGTGTTTTGTGGAGCACTTCTTTGTCCCGTCTACACACTTCACATTTATTTTTACATAACCTCACTACAAACTCACGTAGAATATATGTAGTTTTGTGTTGGTAAATGTTTAATAAAAGCAAACAAACAAAAACCCCGATTTGTACTATTTGTCAATTTTTATGGTACAAATACTCCCACCATAACTAATTTCAAGCTACCAAAATGATGTCACTATGTACAAAGCTGAGGAGAGATGCATACAATTGGCTGTCAGGAGCTGGTGTTAGCTGGCTCCATCACACCACTGAGTATAGAGGGGCTATTGGTATCTTCATTTTGGAGTCAAGGAAACTGATACGGAGAGATTTAATGATTCATCTGAGATGGAGAAGCAAAGAATAGCAGGGCTGGTACTTAGACATCTTTTATTACCAGGTTCTGAGTTTTTCTCCACTTTCTACAATGTGAAGCCATTTAAGATAAAAAAAAAAGGCAGGAAGTGTAAGTGCGGGAAGGGTAAGGAAACTGTGCACCAACTCAGGAAGTGCACGTGCACTTCACGGAGGACAGAGGCAGGGCGGACCCACGAAAGACTTCAGAGCAGAGGCAGACACAAAGGAAAGAAACACTGGGAGACAAAGATGCAGACAAAGAAGAAAGAAATAGATCTGGGGGAAACCGGGAAATGTAGGGGGAGAGAGATAAAGAGAGAGAGAACATGTGCAAGTAAGCATTTTGGATAAAGAATACTCAACTTTTATATCAGTTTTCTCCTTCTGGCTCATTTGCCTCTTTCCCACTTTTATCTCTCGTCCTTCATGTTGTAATAAATATATTTTTTTGTTTGTGGTATTCTTTGTAGTTTTGTTAATATAGCAAACCAGCTAATGTTTTATATTTCACTCGACTCTCCTACTATTTCACCCTATCACCCATAATTCAATTAAATTAAAATGAACTTTGATTTATTTGTTTTACATTCAGACCACTTATTTGATTATTTTGCTGGGTCAATGGTTTGCCATTTAAAAAAATATATATTTCTCAGCCCTTTACTGTAGTATTACCTTGCAAAGACAAAGGGTTTCACATCCATTACCTAAAAAGTCTTATAGCACTCCTTCAGAAGAAAGGGCTATTAATTTTATTTTACAAAATAAAGAAAGACAAAAGGAATGAACTAATTGTTTAACAAATAGCAAAATGAACTGAGGCTTGAATCTGTGTTTCTACATTATTATTCTCTAATATGTAGCTATATTACACTGTTTCAAAACCAAAATATACAGTAAAATCTTTAAACACATTTTCTTTGAAAATAAATGTTTGGATGACAATGTATTCCATCATTTATCTATGGAGAAAACAAATAATAATGCTCTATTTTAATTGCCAGTGTAAAAGTTTAAGGCATAATAAAGAGGTAAATATATAAATGAGGCAATACAATGTCCATCCTTGGAGAAAATATTTTACCAACAGTTAAATAATGAGATTGAGTAACTGAGTATCAGGATATAAATTATAATGATGAAAACCATTTAAACTTATCAGCATAAGAACAAATTGTTAAGTTAGAGTATTGTTAGAACTAAAGGTTTGTGTTCCTTTCTTCATTTTAGTTTTCATTCTGTTGCAAATAAGTCACTTTTTCCCTAATCTATTACTTCAAAGAATTCACATAAGTGTTTCTAGCAGACTGCCTATAGTAGGGTCTGGAAATCAGCAGGGTGACATTCAGCAGTGTTCCTGTACATGGATGGATGGAACTGACTTATCAACTGTCACCCATATCACCCAAATCATCCATGTGAAGAAGGCTGACTTGGCATTGAGCTGGCAATTATCTGGTGAACCCAGCCTAGTAAACTGCCCAAACTGATAAAAGTTCAAAGAATAAATATAATTGCATTGGGAAATCATAGAGAATCCTTTTTGATGATTCAAAATGCAATATCTTGAATGGGTTCAATCCACTATAGCATGCTCATCAAGTCATCTAAGAAAAAAAATACAGACTGCTATTATAGGCTTTCTACAACATGGTTCAAAACCTTGCATAAACCTGGTCTTTACAGAAATGTAAATTATGAGTATAGCGCATGCTGAGTACATGTGGAAAGGTTACACACTCACTAATGTTATATAATCCATGTTACATGTATAATACATATGTATACATATAGTACACATACACATACAATAACTTGAATAATTAACTCAGGTTATTAGAGCAATGATAGAAAGGAGTTTCACTCTGAACAGATAAAAAAGGAAAGATGAATACAATAATTTACTGAAAGAAATTTGACTTCAACAATTAAACAATAGTACTGCCAAGGTTGACTTGGCCAGAGTAAGAAACTTCACTTTAAAGGTAATTTGCTTTATTAGTTCTCAGTATATCAGGCTGTCCAAAAAGCTTGGAGGCCAACCAGCAGTGCCATAGCAGTCAGAGCAAAATGAACAATTACAGTGTCATTATACTTAGCTTTCTAAGGTTAGGAAGTTCTTGCCTGTTTTCTAAGTGAAGGGAGCTGTGTTGTGTTCAGCATTTATTAAATTTCCCTGAACTTTCAGATTATCTTGGAGAAAAAAACTGACTGCTGCCTTTAGTATGATAATATGAAAATCCAAAGTGAGGAGCACCAAATGTTGACTTATTTTGTGTGAGCTTAAGGGTCTCTCAGACATTACAATGGCTAAGAATTTCATCTCAAACACCACATTCAAAAAGATTATAGAGTGATTGCTTGGAAGGCGATGTTCAGAAGATTTCTAATGTTGTATCTGGATGTCGCAAGAAACAATGCCTTGATCTACGAGCAATGTATGCCAGAAGGTAGGAATGGAGAAGCAACAGCTTACATGGCACCTTTTGAGTTCTTGTGTAATGAAATCTGGCTGAGGTCAAGAGAGATCAGCCCGTGAGCCTGGAAAAGTGACCACCGACCATCCTGAGGCTCAGTTAAATGAAGGAGGTGTTCCTAGATAATCTCCAAGGCTCTCATTAGCCTTAGAATGATTTAATAGCATCTAAGGTTTCTATAATAATATTACAGTTCAAAAAATGTTTTACATATATTAATTTCTCATATTATTATTACTAGGTTTTAGAAAAAAACTAAAGCTCAAAGTGGCTAGCCAGGATGACACAGATTGAGGAGGTGAGATTCAAATGTTAGTTTCCACCCAATGTATTTGGCATGTCCGTAGAAGTGTACATTGGTATGGTTATTGTAGTGAATAATGGGTAGAGGTGACCTCTTCCCTCGTTGATGCTGAAACAGGGGCACTGGTGGAATCTGGAGCAGTGGGTTCCCTGAGTAGAGGACTCAGAACAAAGGCCCAGGTCACTATCTTTCCACAGACATTGACTGACACAGCTCCACTTCTACTATAAATGTGTCCTAGAATCTATTGCTCATTCTATAGTAGGAATTCATAGACTCCAATATTAATTTTAACATTTTATCCAGTTTTAATGGCAATTATCCTTAATAATTATCCTTAGTTGTCAACATTAAAAACATTATCCATGACATCTTTAATTCCGGTTTGCCTCGTCCTATCACCTGGCAGATTTTTGGCCTTGATCCAGAAGACTCCAACCATTCAAGCCAAACATATTTACAACTGTGGTATAAGAAAGTAGCCCTGATGTTTACAAACAAAAACGAATTCTGAAAAATGTGCTCTAAAGTTAATACTATGTATCACATTAGACAATTGAAACTTCATTAAATATTACTCCATAGATACTATCCCCCATCTTTCATCTTTATGGAAATGGCTTAGGGGTGGAGTGAAGGAGAAGCAAAGATTATTTGATTATGTCACAAAATGATGATTTAGCAATTCAACATCCCATTAAAGTATGTTTAATGGGATGCTGAATTGATTTCTTAATTTATAAATTCAAAAAGTTAAAGTCCACTCACTAGGTTGCTGTGTAAGAAAGAACCCTGTAATGTATTCCAAAACCTTATGTAGATGATTTCTTGATTTTATTTATAACTTTTTTCTTCCAATGGAGCCAATGACTGAGGCTGGCCTATTCTGATGCATAGCAGTAAATGGCACCTGCCTTTTGATTTCATTTGTTTGACGGGATTTTTAGTGAGGCAAGAAATGACTTCAGAATAAAAGTCTCTTAATGAAACTTAACTTTTTAGCCTTTAAAAATGGGACATTCTATTTCTTAGCTTATTCCAGGTGCATACTTAAAATGTGCATGATTTTTATTAAAATCCACATTCTTGGAGAGTTAGAATCTCAGGCATACCTTGAAGCATCTCTTCAGTTTATCAATGTATGATTCAAACTCAAGCTTTTAGTTCACAGAAATATAGCCCAAAAGCAACGCCAACGTTAAATGGTTATTTACTTATAACTTGCTAATGTACTTTTCTCCCTGAGTATTGGCATTTCTTTTTTTTTTCATTTTAGGATTGGGAAACATGGATTTTGCTACTGCCATAGTAGCCTTGGTTTCTTTTAGCCATGGACTAGAAAGAAGAAAGAGTCCTCATTCGCAATTCACACAAACTGTAATGATGATACACATGTGGATTTTTTTTAAAGTACAATGAAAGTTTAAGAAAAAACATGCAGGTTTTCTAAAAATGTTTTGTAAAGATTAGGTGAAGATCAGTCTCCCCAACAGACTCTTATTTTTCCTTACAATATCTGTAGGAAAAAGCTCATTTGCAGACAGCTGCAATATGAGCTTCCTTTCCTTGCCCTGTCATTGACCTCCAACCTGATCTGAAAGAACCACCTTCTTTCAAAGTGAGAAGTTATTCATTTACCATAATAGCTCTATTCGGGGCCTCCTTAACAGAAACTAGCAATTGTGCCCAAACAAGAAGGTTTTGTGATCCTGACTACCGTTCTTACACAGGAGGACAAAACCAATAGGAAATTTCCGTTCCGACAGCCACAGTAGGCGGCCATAAAGTTGGTGTTTAAAACTATGGCTTATGTGTGGTGATCACAAAAAGAGAAAGAAAAATCATTAGGAGTTTGCACTTGCTCTGGTTATGTACTGGGGTTTGCCAATTATGTTCTCTTAACTCGACAGCTTATTCATTGAGCAAGAGCTGCTATATTAGAGGTTAGCTGACAGTCTGCAGTGTGCAACTTAAAATAAAACCACTTTATGAAGAGGAGTGAGAAATATAAATGATAAGCCTATTGGATAATCATTAGAAATAAATAAAAAGCCTTTGATACATGCAGTTAGTCACAAGCATTACAAGTTGAAATGCAGTCCAGTGTTAAAGAGACAGTTTAGAAGCACATGGCACATTTATCACAACTCCACAGACAAGTTATTGAGCTGTCTGTGAAAAAACAGAGCCAAACAGGAAAGCTTTCAGCAGTCAGCAGCAGTTGAGGTCCTTGATTGATATAGCTAGATGATGAAAAGCTGTCCGATGGCTTTCTGCAAAATAAAGTGAAGGAACTCAAGGTCTTTCATGGTGCTCTCTGACCAGAGATGAACAGCTACTTTATTATGGCCCAGATTGAGGTTGTGCCTTACTTCATATTCTGCTACTTTCTGATGCACACGGTAGGGGTTTGACATCTTCACATTAAAAAACAACAACAAAACAAAACAAGTTCACTATAAAGGACAGAATACCGCACTGGTTAGAAGCTCAGATTCTTTACTTGTCCTTACG
This sequence comes from Homo sapiens, assembly GCF_000001405.40. Taxonomy (NCBI): domain Eukaryota; kingdom Metazoa; phylum Chordata; class Mammalia; order Primates; family Hominidae; genus Homo; species Homo sapiens. Next base: position 53,560,419 of record NC_000015.10, read on the forward strand.
AGCAACTCTTTTAACTGTAGAGATGTAAAGGATGAGAATAAGTATTATCCTAGAGATCCCATGGCGACCCACCCCTTCCTTCCTGTGCAGTTTCACTCCAAAGCATCACAAACCAGGATATTCACTGCCATGACCCCGATACACCAGGTTATTTTTTTTCCAAGAATTAAGATGCAGTACTTATTTTTATTTTGTGCTCTAAAATAGAGAATGGCCTTTAGATAAGACATAAATAACTTTGGAAGTCTAGTTTAAGTTTTTTAGTTGCTTTGAGCAGTTTCAATGACTGGAATTTATTTTGCTAAGGAGTTTAACAGCAAATAATACAATGGTATGACCCTTGTCTTTAGCTTGATTCTTGTCAACTAAAATTATTAACCTTAAAATAACCACACTGCATTCTTCTCATTATATTCATTTGTGTCCTCCCAGCCCCGGCCCCCCAAAAAAAACACAGGGAGAGAATGAATGAGGAGAAAAAAGAAAGAGACTTGCTCTAGAATCATTTTAAAAACATTATATTCTTCCACACTCTCTCTTCTTATCTAATTCCCAGACTTCACTCTCCCTAAAGATATTATTACCACAGTCCTTTGTTTGAGATTAGAACTTCATAAATCTTCAGTTCTACTCTTTTATTGGCATTTTAGAGTTGTATTATTTGATTTTGAGTATCATAAACTGCATTGTTCAGAACACCTGGAATTTTTACCTTCAATAAATGAGACAACTGGTGTAGCACATTCAACCAAAAGGACTTCATTTGAAATTAATTCTGGTAAGGATATAGCTATTTCTAAAACTTAAATGCACTACTAAGACCTAGTATTAGTTCTCCTCTCTCTCCAAAAATATTAGAAATTTTACTCTATTTTTAAACTTCCTGAGGAAAAAAGCAAACATATTGAAAGCTTTTATTCTGTCCAGAACCCAAATTCATATCCCAAATATAAATATATAAATCAAAGTAATTAAAAAAATCAAAATTTAACATAGTTTTACTTTGCTTAAAGCCGTCAGCAAAGAGGGTATTCCTCTACATAAAATAAGTGCATACTTTGCTGCATTCTGGTTCTATTTCCTCATACAAATAAAGGAGGAAAATGATTAATTTCTCCCTAGAAACTCATATATTTCCAAAACCTCAATTTCTTGTTATCCAAAGTGCCTGTTACCTGGGGAATTCTTAGAGAATCTCAGGCCTCACCCCAAAAGAGTAAGAACTAGCATTTTAACAAGTTCCCTGGGTGATTCATATGCCTACTCAAGTTTCAAAAGCCCTGCTTTAATGCAGTACTTCTAAACTCTGTCTGCATTTTAGGTTCACCTGAGGACCTCTTAGAAAATACAGATGCCAGCACCCTACTATAGACCAATTAAATCAAAATTTTTGACAGTAGGGCTCAACCACTGATATTTTTTAAAAGCTCCCCAGGTAATTCAAGTGTGCATCCAGAGATGGGACCACCACTGTAATCAAAGCTATGTAACCTGTTTTGTTTATCTTTTTATGGTAGCCACTAGAAAGCTCAAGTAGTTAACATGAATCTTTTTAGGTAATTTATTGTTAATTGAGTTATATTAAGAACAAGAAACAAGATAACATTAATACATTTTTATCTCATGCTAGTCATTGCACTAAGCTCTTTTTAAGTAAATTTTCTCATTTAATGCTCAAAGCAATGTCAGTCTTCCTATTTTACATACAAGCAAACTGAGACCAGGAGGGGTTGAAAAAATTAAGGTGAGATAGTCCTTAATTAGTAGTAGAACATCCAGAACTTAAAACCAGTTATTTTTGACTACAGAGTTTACATTCTTAAATCCTTGTTACTACTTTGCATATTCAATTCTTGCAGCTTTTTTCCAACCTGTGGCCTAGTTTTCTCTTAATTGCCCCCCACCCCAATTATTTCTTAATTCCTGGCTTTGGTTTGTACTCTAGAATGAAAAGTGGACCTCAAAGTTTAGTGTAAATTAGAAGCAACTGAGAGTTTGTTAAAACACAAGTTGCTGATTCAGTAGGTCTTGGATACAACCCCTAAATTTGTAATTCCAAAGAATTCCCAGGTGATGCTGATGCTGCTGGTCCAGGGACAAAACCAAGTTTTAAGAATCAGTGGGCTAGATTAGTTGTGATGGCTCTTATGATGTTACCTGCCTTCATTACAAATTTCCTCAAATCATTTATGTAAATTGAAAAGTTATGAATAAGTAAAAACAGGAAAGAAGAGAGGGATGATGATATATAAATGATGTTAATAAGAATGGATAAAAATAAAACTTCAAGTAAGAAGTGATTTCCTATCCCCTACTGCAAACCCTTCCCAAGAGATAAATGGACTTCAGCATTCTTTTCTCCACAAAGTTATAATTAGACTTGGTATATGATGGCAGGCAATGCAGGTATTCTAAAAGTCAAATAAACTTATATTATGACATTGTTTAGAAAATAAATGAGCAATGATGAACAATTTTAAGGTCTTCTATGCCTTGTGTTCTCTAAGTTACTTAAATCATACCAAGATACATTTAATTATTCGATGAAATGTTTTGCTTGAGGTTATAAACTGCAGTGTCTGAAACAATAAAAGCGAGGGAATTTTTAAAAATTTATCTCAGTGATTTATGCTCTTAGTGCAAAGCTGACAATTTAAAATATACACTTGGTTTTTCTTCATCACTTTCGGAAAGAAATTTTCCACGTAACAAAATAGTAGCTAGAAAAATGGTCCTAATTATTTGTGTTGGATATTGGTAAGATGTGATTGAGAGAATAGTGTTTACATGAATCAGTTTCAGCAAAGACACATCCTTAGAACTTTATGATTTAAAGTTAACAAGCAGACTAATTTATTAAATTGGAAATTAGGTATATAATATAAAATTATTTTAAGTCTCTCTACCTGGACTGAGTAAAATTTAAAAGAAACTAATTTCATCTTTCACTTACGACTTCAGTGACATGTACTTCATTTGAGCTGTTAAAATAAAGGAAAGCAAGATCTGCCTGTTATAAAATAGATATTTTTATTTATTTATTTTTTAACTTTTAATTTAGGATTGGGGGTACATGTGAAGGTTTGGTACATAGGTAAACACATGTCATGGGGGTTTGTTGTACATATTATTTCATCACCCAGGTATTAAGCCCATTTAAAAATGTTTATTAATACCCCCAAACTAGGTTTGAGGTGAAGCTGTTTGCTAAATGATTAATCTAGTAATAGGAATGTCAGATGGAACACAATTTTTAAGATTTTTTTTTAATCTGAAATACTGTTCTTGCAGAATGTTGGTTGGATGACATAAAGAGCACAGGCTTGCCTATCACACTGATTACTTGATGTAATAGTAAGCAAGCTTAAGTGAACTGTGTGTCTTCAATCTTTCCAATCACTTAGGGATGGGCATCGGAGCTCGTCATCCATCATCCCTGGTCTGAAACATACAGTGCATCAGCAATCTTGGGCTGACCTAAATGATAGTAAAAGCCGCTATGCTGTTCACAATAAGAAATTGTTGTCCGCTGAATTACAGGTTTGTGATTAGATTGCTAACATGGCCAACTTGATGTATAAGTGAAGTGTCCAGGGAAGATATTCTTTAGGATCTTCTGAAGATTAATTTATACCCTTGAAATGCAGACCAATCACAGAGTCAAAAAATATGTCAAGGTGTTTTTCTTGTAACCAAGAAAGCCCAGCTGTTTTAACAGTCATTAATTCATTTCTGGCACCTTTATCTGCAAAAGAATTTAATAAACAAGGGGTCTAATGGCTATCATCTTGGCATGGCTAGAATTGCTCAATCTGATAATTGATTTTTTTGGAGGCAAATTTATATGAGGAATAGTTATATACTGTTAAGAATATAAACCTGAAATGTCAACTGTTTCTCATAATTTAAATTTTTACATTTAAACAATTTTAAATTTGCTAAAATGCCTATCTAAAATTCCTAGCTGTGTGTTATGTTCTCATATCCTAGGACAGCATCTAAAGATAGAAGACAAATTACCTGGTAAACATGCCATGTATTATTATTATTTTTATTTCCTTTCCTAAGATTACAATAACTTGAATTTAAAATTAAACTTTAAAGAAACTATCTCCAGGTCAACTGCATAGCCCTAAGAGAATATTAGCACAGGAACTAGGAGGCCCACCTTGGACTTCAGGTTCTGTGTCTAAATTTTCTGTATGGCCTTCGATAAACCATTTGGCTGCTCTAACCATTAGCATCCACATTTGGTCTTATAGGAATGGTATTTTCTGACCTATCAAAGGTCTTATTCAGTAGGATGACATTTATTGCTTCCATGCCTACTGAAAATCCTTCCTTTCCAGTCACGTGGGTAAGCATAAAATGATGAAGGTGCTAGTCCTGCTGACAGCAGGCAAGAAAATAGGCAAGTACGATAATAAGCTTAGTGTGCAGAAAAACCACCCAAAAATGAAAATGCTGGGGCCAAAAGCCCAGAATCTGAGTTGACAGATTCAGTGCTGAGCTCTGATATATACCTTTCTAATATGTCCTCCAGATAATTCTAATGCAGATAGTCCATGAGCTACAAGAAAATTTCCTAAGTGAAAGGAATTAGAGCTGGGTGCTTTGAGGTATACAGGAAAAAAACACTTGATTCAATCCTAAAAGCCTGGGAAAGGTTTTGGGGAAAGGTGCTGGAGAAATAAAAATTTCATGAGCATATTCTGGGTACAATAAGTGTAAGATTGGGGAAAGTGTTCCCAGCAAGGGAACCTCATGAGAAAGGGAGCCCTTGGGGACTCGAGGCAGGTGAGTTTAGAAAGTTTAAGAGGCAAAAACAAGAGATGCAGTTTAAGAAGTTGAAAGGAAACTATCACGTAGGACTTTTTTTCTTTTCAATAAATTACTTTTTGAACACATGTGCACAGAAAAAAAGTGTGTAAAAAGAATAAACAATGAAAAGTTTTCCTTCTGTCCTCTCCCCAGCCACCCATTTCTTTTTTGGAAGGCAAACACCATTAACAGCTTCTTGCGTGTCTTTCCAGAGATGTTAAATGCATATGCAACAATGTGCCAAGACCTATTCTCCACACTCCTGTTCCAGTAAATTAAACAGTAAGGTATACTATGCACAGTTCAGCATCTTGCTTTTTTGACCTAATGTATTTTGGATATTGAGCACATCTCCTACTTCTTTGTAAACACTGCATGGTACTCTACTATGCACACACTATGATTTATTTTACCAGTTACATGCTGATGGACAATTAAGTTATTTTCAATCTCTTGCTCTTACAAGCAAAAATATAAAGAATTAGCTAGTACCTAAGTCATTTCAAACATGTGCACATACGTTGAATTAAAAAAAAAACAGAATTTTTGAGTCAAAGGGTATGAGCATTTAATATGTTGGTAGATTCTGAAAAAATGTTCTCCACAGAGGCTGTAATAATTTGCAATGTCATTTGCAAAGCATAAGCATGACTGTTTCCTTCCTCTCAAAAAAGCAGTTAGACTTTATCTTTGGAACACTAGAGCATAAATCAAGGGTTTTAAGAGAAGGAACGCTCTGATTAGGGTTACATTTTAGAAAGCTATATTCTACAGCAGTGTGGAAAATGGATGGATTAGAGATAACCCGGTGTTGATTATGTGGGAGAGCAAGGATTTTTACTGAGCACGTATTACATGTCAGATTTTCTGCTAAGCACTTACACTGCATTATCACATTTATTACCTATAACCACACTAACTGTTATTACTGGTTTCAGACAAAGACAAAATGAAACAGAGGCTCATAGTTAATTACTTGTCCAAGTACATGCTGGTAGTAGCACATGGCAAAACCGGGATTCAAATCCAAGCAAGTATTACTATTAGCTCAGAGCAAGTGGTTTTAGCCACTACAATACCATTTGGGATGCAGAGAAGTTGATACATTTGAGATTTGTCAGAGGTAGAACTGACAGAATTTGGTAACTGAATGCATGCAGAGCATAAAGAAAAGGAACAGATCAGCATTATCCGTCGAGACTGGGAATCTAAGATTTACAGCTGGAAAGCAAGGAGTCGGGGGGTGACTTTTGAGTTTGAGGTGACAGTGGGAGATATCTACTGCCTGGGAGGTAGGAGAACAGTCTAGTCTGGGGAATATATGGGACTTCACCAGTGTACAGACACTACGCTTGGGAAGTCACCAGCATGGATAGGCTCATCTACGGAGCAACATTTAAGGAACAGGTCAAGGATGAGGAGAACATGAAAGAGGTGAGGAACAAACTAAGAGATAAGAAGACAGGAAGGAAAACCCAAAGAAAATGTTATCTCCAAACCATATTTTTAAAAAATCACTTTGAACTACTTTACAAATAAATTATTAATACCCACTTTTTTATTTATAAGGACTCTCATATACTGTAAAAGTAATATTCATGAAATAGTCCCCAAACACAGGAAAGAATAGGTTACTGGAACATACCCACCAACACTGTCTTGCACAGGTGATAGTCCTGGGGCAAATAGCTTTCTCTAGCCTGGCTGAGAGTCTTGATACATTTCTTTAAACTCTAATAACCATGCAGAAAAGTGTCAAATTGAGGATTTAAAGGCAACCGTTGCAGTCCCAGGAGAGTGTCTGGGAGTGATTCCTGTGTACCTGACATAACTCAGAAGCAGGAGAGCTGCACTCAATGGCAGGGAGAATTCTCCCACACCACCTCGTATAAATCTACAGAGGGCTACGCAAAGGTTTATGTGAGCTGTGTGTCCAACATGTGTTGGGAAATCAGTCTTGTTATATTTTCCCTGTAAATCCTTCCAGGAGTCCTCTAGGTTTAAGGAGGACCTTCACATTTGGAATCGAGAAATGAGTATAGATTTTCTAAAACTGCCTAGACTGTGTAATATGTAGTTCATACAATAGATTTGAGGGGAAGAATATGTAGGCACTGTCAGTCAATTGATGGGTTCAGACTCAAGAAGCTCCAACAGGCCCACCACTCTCCCCAACTCCCTCATAAGGAAACAAAAAGCCCAAAAAACAAACAAACAAAAAACCCTGTTTTTCAAAGGGACTAAGTTCTTTAAATGTGGCTGACCAATCTCTGTTGCATATCCATGCAGGATACCTGCATATCCGAGAGAGATGAGACTGATCTTATTTTGTTTATATAACCAGTTTTATAAATAAAAGACAATATCTTTTATGTTAGCATACCAAATTCCACTTCTGAATACACCAAAACTAAAAACTAAGACTGGACCAAACTACAGAATCTAAACACCTTTTTTATGTGTTTAAACTGATCTTTATAGGAACAAAAGCCTTGAAAATTATATACATAAAATGGTAACGTTACTAAAATCTTCTGAAAACAATGAAAAATCTAGTGTGTACCAGATTTTTAAGTCAAATTAATAACTAATTTAAAAACAGTTTTAATTATTAAACCAAATTTTTTATTTTATCAACAGATAAAAAACAAATAATCATTTCTAAGCTTTATTAGAAATGTCTTAAATTCAATATTCCTCCATTTCATCAAGTTTTATCTCAAACATTAATTGCATATCATCCTGATCATAACAAACAGTTGCCTTGAATAAAGACTATTGATTATCTAGGATGCTCCAAATCAAGATTTGATTCTAGGCATTTTTTGTCTTGTTTTTTTTTTTTTATTTTTTTAAGTAAATTCTACTAATTTCTAAGTATTAGTCAATGAATATCTGATTTTTAAAAATAGGTAAATTTAAAAAAATTACATCAAATACAAAATAATTTTTTACCATTTAATATGGGGATCGTATGTGGGGATCACATACAAGTGCATGCATGATCCACAGTACAACTTTACTGAGCAGCTTTTCAAAGTACATAAGCTTTTGTTTTTTACAGACCCTTAAGAAGTTCAGAATAGTGAAATCGGTTTTTATGAAGTAGAAAATAGGGATTTTCTAACCAATCTAATACTCAAAACAGTAACTCTAACTTTGTGACAGACGCTATTTGAACAACAGTGACAGGGAGCTCACCACTTAATGAGGCAGCCTGTTCATTCAACAGGCTTAAGGGTGTAAACATTTTCCTTAACTATTATACAAAAATCTGCTTCCCTGTACATCTAGCAATGTTGTTCACTCTGGCTTCTGTAACGATCCCAACTTGCTCCCCATTGTCACTAAGGTGGTCACTATTGATGTCTTCCATGCTAAGAATTTATTTTTTTTGAAGTAAAACAATTCCATTTCCTCCAGTCACTCTTCCACATCATGGTTTGAAAAGTTCCTCATCAATTCCTGCTCCAAAAGGACCACTGATCATCTCTAGCAGGCCTATAGACCATTTCATTCAACTATAACCATAGCTCTATGTGTAGGGTTATCATTTCTCATGAGTTAAAAACTCAGCTGCTATCAATGTAAACATACATTATAAGTATATATACCTTGAACACATCATTGATACATACAAATTTGTTTCCTTTTGAAGTTTACCACAAAGAATGGTACGATATATACTATATATATGACATAAATTTTAATTATGATATATTTAGCTTGTAAAATAATGTTTAATTTACCAGTTTTTCTTAGAGTAATTGGGAGAAATGGAAGAATGCAAAGTATTTAGGTGTGGTAGGGAGTTTACTGAAAACATAATACTAATCTAAAGTTTTCTTTCCTTTCACAGGACTTATGGTCTGTTTCTTTCTGCACATGAGATCATTCTCTTTCTCTGAAGACCAGTCTTCTGTGATTTGAAATACAGGTAGCCAGCCTATCCCTGCCTTTATGTGGTCATTCTTGTCTACATCAAGTACTATGTTGAGCCTCTACACTCCCAGCTTCCAAGACCTGGGACACACTATTTCATTTTATCCTAGGTCTCCACCCATCACAGGTAATATTAGAGATGACAAGGATTGCATAACTAGCAGCTCATGTGTATGCACTGTAGGTACAAGTTCTCCAAAATGGTGTGGACAAGACTGTGGGAGAAAAATGCATCAGCCACACAGGCAACCTGAGAGGTGTCATATTTTTGAAGCACGTGTCTATCAGCTAAAATACAGTATTGAATACAGAGATAAGATTGAAACCATCATAGAATGGCTACACTCTGAACCACCCATTGAAGTCAGGAGAATTCAACATATAAGAAGTCCTTCTAATATCTATACATCAGCTTATGAGGCATTTATTTGCATTCACAAGACCAAATGTTGAATGTGGTACCAGAAGATATGAAGCACCTGGATGTCTTTAAAGAGGTATAGTTGCTGTACTTCTAATTAAGTCTTCTCAGAGTACTGAGGTTTGCTGTCATGAGAGTAATGATTTTCTTTATCATGCCCCCCTAGAATGTCAGTATGGGAGGGAGAAAGTATAATTTGCATTATTTCATATGTCATTACTTTTATTTTGCTTATTTATCTTTACATAAACAATGAATCATAAAAACAATGAACTATGAAAACAATGAACATTTGACATAGGTGGCCTTTGTGGTCTTCAGTGAAATGTATGTAACGGTGATTCACACTTAACAACTCAGTAGGAGTGAGGTCATAGTCCATTAAATGCATTCCCTTTTGTCCACATCCTTACCAACACTTGTTATCCTTCATCTTTTTATAATAGCCATTCTAATAGGTGAGAATGTATCTCATGCTTTTGCAGGAATACACTCCCCCCTTTTTTCCAGTATATACTTTTTTAAAAGCTAAATTTTTTATTTTAAGTGACAAATAAAAATTCTATATATTTATTGGGCACAACATGATGTTTCGAAATATGTATGCATTGTGGAATGGCTAGATTGAGCTAAATAACATATGTATTACCTCATATACCATTTTTTTTTTTTTGTGGTGAGAACACTTAGAATCTAACCTCTTCACAATTTTCAAGAATACAATACATTGTTCTTAGCTATAGTCACCATGCTGTACAATAGGTACCTGGAGAACTAAACAGATCAAGGAAAAAAATGAAAAACGCCATTCAAAAGTGGGCAAAGGACATGAACAGACACTTCTCAAAAGAAGACATACAGGTGGCCAATAAACATGAAAAAATGCTCAACATTACTAACCATCAGAGATGCAAATCAAAGCCACAGTGAGATACTGTCTCATACCAGTCAGAATGGGTATTATTAAAATGTCAAAAAATAACAGATGTTGCCAGGTTGTGGAGAAAAAGGAATGCTTATACACTGTTGGTGGGAATGCAAATTAGTTCACTCCTGTGGAAAGCAGTTTGGAGGTCTCTCAAAGAACTAAAAATAGAATTATCATTCGATCCATCAAACCATTACTGGATATTTACCCAAAGGAAAATAAACTGTTGTACCAAAAAGACACCTGCACTCATGTTTATCACAGCACTATTCACAATGGCAAAGACATGGGATGATCCCAGGTGCCCATCAATGGTGAATTGGATAAAGAAAATGTGGTACATACATACTAGGGAATACTATGCAACCATAAAAAAGAATGAAATCTTGTCCTTTGCAGCGACATGGATGCAGCTGGAGGCTATTATCCAAAGCAATTAACACAAACAGAAAACCAAATACCGAATATTCTCACTTATAAATGGAGCCAAATACTACAAATTAACTCAAACAGAAAGCCAAATACTGCATGTTCTCACTTGTAAGTGGAAGCTAGACAGTAAGTACACAGGGACACAAAAATGGAAACAATAGACACTGGGGATTCCAAAATGGGTGGTGGGGGAAAGAGGGGAGAAAGTGTTGAACTATTGGGTACTATGTTTATTACTTGTGTGATAGGATCATGAGAAGCCAAACTTAGTATCAAGCACTATAACCATGTAAAAAATATGCATATTTATCTGCAGAATTTAAAAACAAAAAAACAAACAAAACATACTTTGAATTTATTTCTCTTATTGAATTGAAATTTTGTATCCTTTGACCAATGTCTCTTCAATGCCCAACCCCTGCCTCCAGCTCCTGAAACTACTACCCTATTCTCTGCTTCTGTGAGTTCAACTTTTTAAAATTTCACATAAAAGTGAGATCATGTGGTATTTGTCTTTCTGTACCTGTCCTATTTCACTCAACATAATGTCTTCCAGGTTCATTGATGTTGTTGCAAATACTAGGATTTCCTTCTTTTTAAAGGCCGAACAGTATTTGATTATATATGTCACATTTTCCTTATTTATTCATCCATTGATGGACACTTAGGTTGATCCCATATCTTGGCAATTGTGAACAATGCTGCAACAAACAGGGGAGTGCAGAGATCTCTTTGACATGTTGATTTCATTTCCTTGGTACTAATCCCAGCAGTGTGATTGCTGAATCAACAGCAGTTCTATTTTTCATTTTTTTTTTTTTTTAAGAATCTTCATACTGCTTTCCATAATGGTTGTACTAATATAGATTCTCACCAACAGTGTGCAAGTGTTCCCTTTTGTCCACATCCTTACCAACACTTATCTTTCATCTTTTTATAATAGCCATTCTAATAGGTGAGAATGATATCTCATTGTAGTTTTGACTTGCAATTCCCTGATGATCAGTGATGTTGAACATTTTTTCATATACCTGTTGGCCATTTCTGTCTTCTTTAGAGAAATCTGTATTCGGGTCCTGTGTCCATTTTTAAATTGGATTATTTGTTCTCTTGTTATTGAGTTGTTTGAATTCCTTATATATTTTGAATATTAACTCCTTACCACATGTATAATTTGCAAATATTTTCTACCATTCTGTAGGTTGTCTTCACTCTGTTGATTGTTTTCTTTTCTGTGAAGAAGCTTTTCAGTTTGATGTAATCCCACTTGTTTATTTTTGCTTTTTTTGACTGTGCTTTTGGGGTTGTATTAACAAACAAACAAAACACTGTCCAGACCAGTAACATGCAGCTTTCCCCCTGTTTTCTTCTAGCAGTTTTAGAGTTTCAGGTCTTGTGTTTAAGTCTTTAATCCAATTTGAGTTGATTTTTTGTATACGGTGTGAGATATATATTTTTTTGCCCTACCTATGATATTTTCCCCTCACATTGAAAGCTTATGTTTTCGAAGAGCTCATTAAAATAAGAAAATAAAGGAAAATATTTGGGATCTAGGGCTAGGCAAAAGTTTGTTAGAACTGACTCGAAAAGCACAATCCATGAAAGAAAAAAATTGATAAATTGGACTTCATTCAAATGAAAAAAAATTTCTTTGTGGGAGATAATGGGATCCTTGATGCAAGAAATTCTTAACCTTTCTCTGAAGAATTTCCTAAACAGACAGGAGCCAACTTGACTATAGATGCCTGGGAAATGGCGAGAATTGCAGCCTATGGCTGACTGATACTTGGATTTAAAAAGCCCTGTCTTTGTTGCAATACATGTTGTGCTCCAGTTACTGCCCTCTGGGAATGCTCCCGAACCTTACAGAAAGTCAGCATTCAGTAGCAATTAGAGTTCTCCTTTCTAGAGAACCACATTTTTCTATCCTTTCATCACAAATATAAGTTTTCCATAGGGATTGGGTTTTACATTAATTGGATAACAAAATCAAGGGAAGCAGTAGAATGTTGCTTTATTGAATACCAGCGTCCTTATAGTTGGGTTGGGAGGAGGTAGAGGTATCAGTATTTCAGTCACAAGACTTCATTTCATGGTCATGGATTCCAAACAGTGCCATTCAACTCTGATAGCAAATATTGTGTTAAAAACAACTGTTTATTTGATTTTTGTCACATTCAAACTTCTAGTGATTTAACTTTGTTCCTCTAAGCTAAGTATCTCATTTTGTCCAAATGACCTCCCTAAATGTGCATGTGGCTGTGTGTCTATTTCCTTCATTCCATGATATTATGAATAACTCTAAGGTGTGTTAACAGTCATCATACAGAAGGAAATTCCACATTAATTGTTCATATGTTGCATCAATTCACAATGGCATATGCTTACTCATATTATACATGTGCCTTTCTTTTCCAATATCTTAATAATCTTGGAGTCTAATTCTGTATGTATTCAAAGGCTAAAATTTTTCTGATTCATTTTGGTCATTGCTATTCCATAAATGTCATTTGATGATGTGTTTTTTATGATTCTTGCTTGTAATTTTAACTCCTTTATCCATTTTAACACCAACTGCTTCTTTTCTTTTTTTTTTTTTCGGAGACGGAGTCTCGCTCTGTCACCCAGGCTGGAGTGCAGTGGCACGATCTCAGCTTACTGCAACCTCCACCTCCCGTGTTCAAGCGATGCTCCTGCCTCAGCCTCCTGAGTAGTTGGGACTATAGGCGTGCACCACCACACCTAGCTAATTTTTGTATTTTTAGCAGAGATGGGATTTCGCCATGTTGGCCAGGCTGGTCTTGAACTTCTGACCTCAGGTGATCCACTGGCCTTGGCCTCCCAAAGTGCTGGGATTACAGGCGTGAGCCACGGCGCCCAGCCAACATCAACTGTTTCATTTGCATTTTTTAATTTGTTAATTTCCTAGTTTTGCATTTGTTTTTATTTCTTTAATTGATTCACATATCTCAGGATATTAAACATATCCTCTGGAAAGTCAGCTGGAAACTTCTTAGTACTTTCTAACGTTTGAGTATGTTATAGAAATACACCCAGATTGAAAATGTGACGATCTCTTATAAAAGATTTGTCCATTTCTGCTGTCTTTAACTGTATCTCTTGATGTATGACAGGGAATCTTCTATTTTTAAGGTGGTATTTGTTTCAATTCTGTATTACAATATAATCCTTCCAAAGACATTTTAAGTGACAATTAAAAATCCAAACGTAATTTAAAATTTAGCAGTAGGCATTGCTGTTAACGCTAATAATTTCAGCCGAAGTGAAAACTGATTGAAGAGATGCCTTCTATACATGCCTAAGTTCCCACACATAGACAATGACAGCCACTGTTTGGGTGCTCAAAACTATCTTTTAACTTAGATTCATGCATTTATTCAACAAATATTATTTACAGCCTAATAATGACAGGCATTGACCTAGGTATTGAGAAAATTGGGTGAATATAATAGATAAAATATTCACCATCATTGAACTTATGTTCTTCAATTATAAGAGGCACTCAGATTTCGGAAATGATAAAATGTGGAGAAATATGTAAAATATGTATCTCAGAACAAAGAAAGATATGATGTAGCTTTAGGGTTCTTTCATACTTTTTAAATTCAGCTATTTCTAATGCAATTAATTTTATTCAAACTTGTCCTAAAGAGACTATTTTAGTATTTGCTTATGTTTCTTGAAATAATTTTTTTCATTATATTATTTCTAATGCAAAGGAAATACTTCAGTTTTATGTAACAAATGACATCAGACTTTCTTTTCTTCCTCCATTTTTTCCTTCTATAAAATAAATTAACAGAGGCTTTTCATAGGATAGTCTATTTATTTTCTCTGTGCTCATGTATGAAGAAATATATATGGGTGGGGTGAGATAGGAGGAGTGTACACAGGTATTTATAATGATGGACCTGGAAAGGGTTAAAACAACTCCCGTACCAAGCCCTCACTTCCAAGTGAGGAAATCCTCCAACAAGCATTGCCCTAGAATACATTTAAAGAGGCTAATGAAAATCAAACACAACACACACACACACACACACACACACACACACACATTTAAAATGTATGTATACACATACATGTATACATAATTTATATGCATATATTATGTGTTTTGATACATATATATTTCAAAAAGCAATGTAGTAAATTAGTAGCTTATTTTTCATATGAGTACTACCATATCGTATGTTCCGAACTCAACATAAGGGTCACTACTGATGGCATTTGAAAACTGTCAAGTCAGAAAACTCTCAGGTGTAAATGTAGACTTAATCTCTGATGTTCATGGGAAGTGATTCATGGCTAGTTTTTACATTACACCAAGGAGATGCTTTATAACTGGATGCTGACACTTTATATATTAGGCTATAATCAATATTATTTGCTACATGCTCTGTCACTGAAATAAAACCATGATTGTTCTGCAAATAAAGTTTTAATTAATAACACAAACATCCCTGTTTCAAAATGTGGTAACCCTGTATATCCCATAACACAACTTTACTACCAGGTATAAAGATGAACTGAAGGTTTAAAAGTCTAAAACATTGATATCTCAATGGTATAACCTGAGTCTGTGTATTGTTTTTTTAGGCATACAGGTCATATATTGTAGAAGGGAAACTGAACTCAGTTTTCTAATCTGTAAAATGGAAATAACAGTACCTAGCCTGCATAGTTATTAGAAAGATTAGATCATGTGTGTAAAGCACACAGAATTTTTGGGCTCCTCCTAGATTTGGAGAATGGTAATCTGAGGTTGAGTATTGATGTCCATAATTGAATTAGTGTTAACCTGTGCATTTTAACAGCTGCTGTCAATGCCCATAACACAGAGACATTTAATTGCTAATCCAAGTCTATGCAATCACTTAGCTCATCACTATCTACCAGGGTAGAACTGGCAGTCAACAACTTCTGCAGGATTGAAAAGAAGACATCACTGGAGCCCACTGAGACCACTGGTCTCCCTGCTTATAGGCCCTTTGATCTTTGATTCATCTACCAAACTGAGAAACACCCAAATTATAAATCTGAAAACTTTCTAGTACCTACAATATGGCATACAAAACCATTCACAAACTGGCCCCACCCCAACTTTAAGCCTGCTCCATCACCTCACTTACACGATTGTATTCTAATTACACCCCTAAAATAGCTCTTATGACATTGCGTTATAGTTAATCAGGTGTCTAATCCCCATCTAGCCCTTTTTAGGGCTGTACCTCAAAGTATGTGTTTGCCTAGGGGCAGTTTAACCAGTGTATGCCTCTTCATATCTTCCAAGATAATCACACTTGAAAGGAGTTTCAGCTGTTAGCATCTTTCACAGACCCCTCAGACTGTCAGCAGTAAGATGAACATTCTGAAATTAAGTTTTAAGGATGTTCAGAAAAGAGAAGTAAGGTATAGAGCCTCCAGTTCCTCCAAAACTCTCCATAAGCAGGTGTGTCCAGGACAGCCACTCCCATTGCACTAAAGCAAATGACACATCTTATTGTACTCCTTGTGTCTTATTCCTTTTTGTATGCATGGTAACTTGTATAGTGCCCTTTACTTATTAGGTGAAATTTAGATTAAATAATTCCTTTCCTTCTCTCTTCTTCCCCCACCCCTAAAAATACACACATACAGAATTTTTCAACTTAAAGCTACCTCTCTGTGACAGTAACCAAGTGAAAAACTCAGATTCCTATGGGAACCTAGGGAAAATTGAACAAGACAGGCTTGGTGGATACTGAGATGACTTGGAGAACACACACTTCTGCAAAAAAGGTTATTATCTCACTAGCTGCTATCAGCTCCAGCCTACTGTTGTTGCATGAAAATGGCAATTTAGTGTGGTTTCTCTTCCTATCTGCCATGAGAAGTCAGATATCCAGAATATTTTTGGGAAATCTGGTTTTTATATGTTGGAAATTTGGTGGTTGTTTGTTTGGTTTGTTCTCTGTAAAGCATTGTCTAAGTCAAACAGAATGTACTTGTAAGGGATCAGTTTGAACCTTTGCTTTAGAGCTCCAAGACTGGGCAGTCTCTAGAAATCACTACTGTGCATTTTAGCTTGAAAAGATCCATTGTTCTTCCAAAAGACTAGGATGCTGTTAGGACACAGCCAGGCTGTTCATGGGTGTGCTACCTGTTCGTATGAAAGAAACTTGGTCAGTACCTGCCTCACAAAATTATGACTTTCATTTTATCAGCAAGGAAGAACTTCTGCACTGTAAAAGCTTATTAAGGGAATTTGATTGCAAATTGAATGTGGTCCAGCACCTCTCCAAAGCTCATTTAAGATATTTGATATTTTAGAGAAAAAGCCTAAATGGGCATGTTAACTATCCATTTACCTGCACTATTCTAGGTTCTATCATTGAAGTCTCAGACCATCAGAAAATAATGTCTTGGACCCCATTATCTCAGTCAATCAAAGACAAGACTTCTGAGAGATGACTCAATACCATGTCATTTGATCTTACAGAAGGCTAATATAAAAAAAACTGTCATGTTTAAGAGCATAGTTTGAACCTTTTAGAAAACTGGCTGGAGACACATTCTACCTTGTGTCTTAGCACTGCTTTATAATGGATATATAAAGCAGTGTAATAAATTCCAGGAAAATAGTTCCAGGAAAGAATGTTTATCCTCACGGATGCATCTATATATGATGCCTTAATGGGAAACAGTTTCTTTTCCTTAGTTGCCAGGACAAACTTAAAAAGCTACATTAAGTGAGAATAAGAATCCGAGGTTTGTTTCAGAGTGTTTGAAGTCCTTACTAATCCTTCCCCTTTATTTGTTTATTAAAGTTAACATTGGCTTTAGGTTTTAGATAACTAGGAATAACCCAATTATAATAGTTTGTTTTTATTCTAGTGATATGATTCTGGGTAATCACAATTTTTAAAATGTATTTGCTCCATTTTCTATAATATTGGTTTGCTTTGTTACAAATACAATTTTTAAAAATGAAGAGAATTCTATCCATATCATAGATTTCAGTGGGTATCTGCTTTCAAAATATCTTCACCATCATATACCAGGACTTTAAATTTTAATTTTAGAAGTATGTTATTTGTATTTTAAATGCATATTGCAATTCAAGAATTCCCTGCCATCTATTTGTTTATCATATGTTTATCAAGTATGTACTGGGTACCCAGCACTGACCTAGGCACTGGAGATATAATAGTGAGCAAGTTAGACATATCCCCCTCCCTTCAGGAGCTCACAGTCTCATTGCAGCAGAAAAGAAACCAGGTGATGAAAACACAGGGTGGTCAGTGGTGTGACAGAAGTACAGGTTAGGTCACTTAACATATACTGGGCAACAGAGAGGCCTTTCCAGAGGTTGCCCATGACATGAAGATCTCAGGCAATAGTGGGAAAGGGGAAAAACCTTTAGGCAGGAGGCTGCAGACTCTCCACGGCTGCCCTTCTCATTGTATCCCTGGGGCCTTGCTCAGTGCTTGGCTCATGGAAGGTACTGAAAACATTTAAAATAAATAAATAAATGAATGATGGGACAGCATATGCAGAGGTTGAGAGCCATGGGCAGTAATCGGTCCTTTGGAGGAACTGAAAAGGGTATGGTTTGGCTGAGTTGTAGAGTTTGAGGTAGGTAGAAAGAGGCAAAATAAGACTAGAGAGACATCCAAAGCTCAGTTGTAAATGAGCCTTATGAATCATCTAAATAATCTGCACTTTATCCTAAGAGAAAAGAGAAGCCATATGTGCTTAAATAAATAAAACTTAAAACAAACAAACAAACAAACAAACAAAATCCAAGTCCCCTTTTCTCTTTCAGCAACTTGACCTTTGGTTAACTACCTGGATTCCCTTGGTAATTTGATAAAGACAGAATGTCAACTAAGTCTCAAGGTGACATTGCTGATAGCAAAAATGACCCCTCATTGGTAAAATGCATCTGGACTAGGAGAGTCTATAAATGAACCATAAAAACCCGATTTCATAGCTTTGGGCTTCCCTGTGAGCAGGGAAGAAATCGTTGCAAGAGATATAAGGCTGTTAGCAAGATGACTTCCATAGATGAACTGCTGGACTGTTGCATGGACTCCTGATGAGGAAGGCCTGCTGCTGTGGTGAGCTATGGTTGCTGATCTCTGCCCTTTAGAGTAGACAAGTGCCAGGTGTGGTGTATGGTCACCTTGTGAAACTGCATGTTTAGGTGAGCCTAACAAGAACCCCTGACAGGCACTGCATCATTGAAGGGTTTTAAGTAGAGAGTTAACACAAACAGACTTTTATGGGATTTCTTTAGCTATTGAAGGCAATTGCCCCAGGACAGGTTACTGAAATAATACATTAACCAGAATTATTAATAGAGTTGCTGGAATAAAACGGAAACCTACAAAGAAGGGAGGAAAAAGCATTCTCCTTTTAAGTTTTACCTAAACCTAAATGTTCTAAGCCCATCAAGTGGGACTTACAGGAATGCAAACTGCTTTCCCTATCTTTTGGTGTGTGGTTCATCTGCCACTTAATGGAGAAAACATTAATCTGGACTGGCAAATAAGAACCACCAGAGGGAATGGGCGAAATACTAAATAAAGACCACCAAGCCATTTTCAGAAAGCAGCAACTATTGAAAAGAGTCAGGTGTGAAATACTATCTCACCCCTTAACTAGCTGTGTGACTTTAAACAAGTCATTAGGCTTCTCTGAGCCTCAGTTTTCTTGGCAGGAAGAACAAAGGGCTCAGACTCAATGACCTGCAAATGATTCTGACTCAAAGACTCTATGAGTCCTGTAATCTGAGTACCACTCATATGCCAAGTACTAGGCTAAGTTCTAACACCCCTCCTGTCCCCTATAAAAAAAATGTTCAAAATCAGGTAAATTTCAAATGCCTGTAATAGAAAGATCAAGGGCTGGGGCCAACAGCTGGAGTAAGTCTAGTTCAGGGTTGAAGTAAGGACTTCATTATGTCTCTGCACCCAAATGTCAGCCTGTTTAACATGATAATTGCATCTATCACTGAAACTTTATCATATGCTTTGGACCCCTCACGTGGCTGGTACTACGGTAGGCTCTGCTAGGTGATTAACTATCAGAAATTACCCAAGATAGCTGCCCACATGTCTGGAGTACTTATTGCAACATTTGCCCACCATAAACTCTTAGTGATTGCAGCTGATTGACAGAATTAATAGAGATAATAAATATTTTAGGACTCCCATATTCTTCAACTACCTTGAAGTAAGACATAAAAATCCAGCATAATTTAAGCCTAAAATCTAAAACGAAATAATGCAAAGTGAAAATAATAATTTCATTTAAAAAAGCTTGTCTCCAAGAACATTAAGCACTTTCATATCTTCAGGGGCCACTAAAATGTATTGATTGAGAATGCAGGAGAAAACCTCTGTTTTTACAAAAAGTTTTGAAGTAGGAAATTTTAGTGAAAAGAATTGCGTGTACTTCTAGGAAATCTCATCATGATCTCAGTGTAATAGCCATTTGCAAAAGAGCCCTGAACTGAGTCCATGCCAGGGAGCATTATTGGAAAATGGCCCACTGCAGCTACTTCCTGGAATTCCTCTTCGTGCTTCAGCAGCTAGCTTGGTAGGCACTGGGCACCAAACAGAGGCACAGCATCTTACAGAGCATGGGGAAACTCATTCCAGGATGACACAGTTTGTGATTTGTGACTTGAGCCTTGAAACAGGCAGAAGACAACAGCTCACGTTACCCAAATCATGAGATAAGCCTTAAAAAAAAAGTACAACTAAAAGTGGCCATGGAAAAAAAAGACTGAGGTAATTATGGCAAGTATTTATTCCAAACAGCCACAATTTTATAGTGGGAGTTCAGGGATGTATAGAAAAACTAATACAGCCTCTGTTCTCATGAGCCTGCCCAGCACTTTCCAACCTGCATTCCATGGCATTGTAGTATTTCTGAGGGAATTACATAATTGCCTGATTCAAATTTTCTTTTTAAAAGATAGTTATAATTATTTGTTTTAAGCAATTGTTTAGCTACTGTTAAATAATTGTGATTAAAAATGCAAATCTTGTGTATTAAATTTAATAAACTTGGAAACCATAAACACATTGACTGACTTATGCTCTCAAACAACAGTTTTTGTGCAGATTCAAGATTAATCTCTGTGCTTATATTTATGAATGTATCATTGATTAGAGAGCGAGAGTGTGTGTGTGTTTAATGTTAGTACTTAGCAATTTTGTTCATGTAAAATTCTGTATGCAAGTGCTATGGAAGTACTCTTTCTGCTTTCTTCTCAATCAAAATATTTTCACTACAATGTAACCAAAGCAATATACTAAAATGAAGTAGATCTTGAGACCAAAAGTTTATATGACTGTCATCCATCTACCTTAATTTCAAATCTCATAATTCATCAAAATATTTACTATGTAAATTATTGGAAAATTAAACAATTAAGGTAAGAGTTTTCTCTGTTTTGCCAGTTGTTTCATTTTTACAAAATGTTCAGATGCTTATGAAAGTTTTAAAACAGCAATTTGGATTCTTTCTTAAACAATAAAATGAATCTAGTCATTGGTAAAAATTAGAAAGTTCTGTGCTTTACATAGGAGATGGAAGATGGAAGTTACTGATGAACCTTAGCATTAATTTTCTGACATTTTGCAAATTTTCAATTATTGCTGTGTAGAAGATCCCATATGAAGATGAAAAAATCCTAACTCACTTCGCAGAGCAGAAATTATTTTGAAATACATTTCTGCTATTATGCAACAACATGTATGGAGACAGCACACAGCTCTTACCTCTGGCAATAAGAAATGGAAAATTTTGGAGCTTGTGATCTAAAATTGTACTTTATATTAGAAAAATTCCATAAAGATTTACTTGACTTTTTCCATGTCTAGATTTGAGAAAAGGAATTAATAATTTTGAATTACTGCTATACATTAAAATAATAGATTAAAACATTTAAAATTTTATAATTATGGCTTGTGAATTTGAGAAGACGAGGATTGGGCAAGGAGGACAGGGAAAGTGAGACTATATTCAATGCAACTCTGAAGGGAAACCTGCCAATTGTAATATATAAAATGACTTATGATGCCTTCACCCTCTTCATACAGTTGTTATAACTGGAGCATCTAAGTGCTTTGTACCATTAGTCACTCCTGTATTGCAGTTTCATTCTTACATTTTGTAGTACCTTTTATACTTGTGATTTATGCCTACAGAATAACTAGGAAAACCATATATGTTTTACATACAGATTCCAGAAAGAGACAACTCGGCTAAGTAAAGTTATTTTTTAAATCCAGTTCTGTAATGGTGTTACAGGACACGTGGTTTTCCAGTAAAACCTACTCCTGTAGTTCCACTTTCCCTGCATAGACTTCTTCCAGGGCTGTACTGCTTTCTTAAGCTATATCATGGTGGAATCCTATCCTTCATAATGTTTTGGAGAAGGCTGAGGGTGGCGCCTGCACAATTTGATTTGGTGTAAAAATACACACCAAATCTGATTTCTGTTACATTAAGGCATTCTCTGACAAAATATACAGAACAAGAAATGAAGTGAATTGTGTTTTAGAAAAATCTTATGGGCTTGTTTCCCCGAATACCTGACCGCTAATTTAAAAAAAAGAATCAAAAACCCACTTTAATTGAATATTTAATAGATGATTTAATGGTCAAGTTAAGATACATTTTAACTGCTAAATATAAAAATGATTTGTGTTTGCTTACTGGAAATATTTGTAATATAAACTAACATATATAATAAACTAATATTTAAAGCAAATTTACCATGAAGAAATGCAATGACTATTTTCAATTTATAAACATCGTACATTCATCAAACTATATTTTTGACTAATAGTTGGCTTTTATAATATTAATATCATAACAGTGGATTGCCATTAACAGTAGAGATAGTTTAACTCATTTTTAAAATGGGCAATATATTTTACTTTAAAATGAACCACTGGAAATATAAAAATGATAATATTCTCCTATGGAAAGGCCCAAATGTAGCTAGAGTAAAATATATCATTTTTTATAAATAAATGAGTTTACTGTCTTGTAAATTCCATCCTCTACATAATGCCTCATGAAATAGGGTGATTTACAGAAAAGAACCTGGGATTGGCAAATAGGATGGGGCATATAATCCAGTCTAGTGCCATTCTCCAACAAGTTGTATCATCATAGTAAAGCTATGCAAGTGTACTGTACCTTAGTGTTCCTCTCAATAAAGTGGGCCAAGAATTACTTCATTTGATGTATGAAAAAAGAAACAAAAAAGATATGCTAAAATTTTTTCAAAAGTAACCTGTTGTATACGTAGAAAAGGCATGCTAATCATTTGAAAATAACTCATCTAATTTGTTTTAGTATCTAAAAATAGTGGTAAAATAGATATTCCAGGGTCCTGAAATTGCTGTTTCTTCACAGTACATTCTGAATAAACTTTAGTTCATTTGGAAAACTTGAAATATGAAGTCCCTGAGGAAATTCTGAAAACTCCTTTGCATTCCTCAGCATTAAACACAAACCACTATGGTGTCTGATGTTACCACCTGGAGACCTCTTGATATTTTTACCACAGGGAAAAAAAAGTGTATCAAAACATTTCTTTTTCTTCTAGCATTATAGGAATCCCAGACATAGGGCAATAAATATGTTACTGATACCCACAGGTGAGCAGGCAATTCTGCCCTGTGTTACAGGTACTTTGTCATCACCTTCTGAAACACTGTTTCACAGTGCAGGGTATGTTATATAAAAAATAAATGATGCTGCCAAATTTCAGCAGTTGGAAAGAAACATAAGTCAATGGCATAAGGGAAGTAGGTGATGTAATGACTCTAGAATTAAGTAGATGGCTTGAAGAGATGGATCATGAGGTTTAACCTTTGAAATTATTCATTGAATATTAATATAAACACAAGGAAAAGCACACTTCTAAGTTGCTTTGTTAAAATTCTATTGATTAAATCAAATTTTTTTAAATGACAGAGAGATAATATATCCTATTCCTGGAAAATGTCTAAGAACAAACACCTAATAATCTGGTCTTACTTAATGTTTCAGTTAAGGATGTTTGTAGAGAAGGAGGTTAATAATGTCTACATAATTACACAAAAAAGGAAAGGGAAAAATTGACAATGAAACCCAAACTTGTCAATAAATGGTAAACGATTACAGATGAATAAAAGGAGATGAAAAATCGGACCAAATATTAACTTATACAAATTGGAAAAGATTTAAAAACTGATTCAAAGAGGATGGGTGATTGAGATAATGACCAACCATAAAGAAAGAGAAATAACCTCAAATGGGCATGAAGAACCACAGCAACTCAGAAGGTGTTACTAATGAGATTTGAAATTTGATGATCCTAATGGGCATTTGGTGTTGTTTGGTCTAAAAGCAAGGAGGCAAGCTTTCCCTCCCCTATGTAATGTCAACAAAATTTCTTACTCCATGTAGGACATGGAGCACTAATGGTTCATCTAAACAAGCTACATTTATGAAGGCAGAAAAAAATTATAAAACAATTTAAAAAATTAAGAAAAAATACTGCTCTACAAATAAAACACTAAATAGATACTTGGACAAAATTTGGACACAGGGTTTCTTTGCACCTCCTGCTTTTGTCAGTTTCTGCTTTGCACTGAAAGTGTCTTGCATCTCTTAAAATAATTTTAATGGTCTCTCTCTTTCAGAAAAAAGCTCCACAGCAGAACCTTTTCATTCCAGGTATCTCACCTTCTGAACCCAGCTTGGAGTATCCCCATTCCCATGTCCTGCCCACACCAAAATCATCCCATCTCCTGACCATGCCATACTGCCCTGCCTTGGTATCTGTCCCCATGTTATTCCCTTTGCCTCAAATGCCCTTCTTGCATCAAGCCCTTTCCAACTAGTGTCAGTTGGGTCTCACCAGAAGCAGATTTTAGATGAAATTAGAAATGCAAATGTTTATTGGGAAGTAACACCTGTGAAAGAAAAAGGGCAAAAGCAGGGTTGCGTAAATTGTGAACTTTAATATCTCATTCACCTCCCCTAAAAATCATTTACTCTTCCTCTAAAAGTGCCTACATCCCCCACTTCTCTCACCCCTATGAATAAGGATATATAAGTTTTTAAATATTATTGGGTGTATTAGTCTATTTTCACACTGCTATAAAGAAATACCCGAGACTGGGTAATTTATAAAGGAAAGAGGTTTAATTGACTCATAGTTCTGCAAGGCTGGGGAGGCCTCAGGAAACTCACAAACATGGCAGAAAGTGAAGGGGAAGCAGGCACCTTCTTTACAAGGCGGCAGGAGAGAGAAGCGCAAGCAGGGGAAATGCCAGATGCTTACAAAACCATCAGATCTCATGACAACTCCCTCACTATCATGAGAACAGCATGGAGGAAACCGCCCCTGTGATCCAATCACCTCCCTCTCTTGACACGTGGGAATTACAGATCCCTCCCTCAGCACGTGGGGATTACAGTTAGAGATGAGATTTGGGTGGGGACACAGAGTCAAACCATATAATTGCGCTATTGGGTACTCACTTTCCTGTGATGCCCCCATGCATATAATAAATTGGTATGCCTTTTCTCCTGTTAATTTGTCTACCGTCTGTCTATTTCAGCAGACTCACTTATCAAAGCTCCAAAGGGTACAGAGAAGTTTCTCTTACCCCTTCAGGCTCTATCAGCCTAACAGAAACTCTAAAGCAAAGAATGCCTGTGAAAGGAGGTCAATATGGGCCAGAAATGGTGAGGCCCTGGTATCACCATCATGCTCAGCCATCGTCCCAAGAAGAGTGTGATCTCTGCTCCAACGCTGGGTCAGATATTAAAGGCACTAACAACTGGAAGCTGTCAGATAGCCATATTCCTCACATCTGGGAAAGGAGTCCTCTCTTTAAGAGGGATTTTAGCAGTACGTCTCTTCATGTCTGCCACAAAATTATTCTCCAACACACATGTGAATGTCTATTCCTATGTGAAGCCTCTAAAATTCATTCCCAGGCAGTTGGTGGCTCTCTATGCCTTTACAGTAATGTGAATGTTAATTTCTCATACCACACTGTGTCCTCACTATTTTTACAACCTTTTGGAAAGTAGAAACCACATCATATTCTTCTCAGATTTCAAGTACATAGCTTGGGAAACAGAGCACCTAATAAAATATATTCAAAAGAGGTAGAGTGATTTGATGGCTGGACTTACCAGCTGGACAACAGACCAGACTGGTTATTGCCTATTCTGGTCCAGAGATACTAAGAGATATACCTCATGTATGTGAAAGTGAAAGGGTATTAAGAGTTCTCAAAAACTGATTTCAATGTACTTTAAATACTAATGGACTATTGGACTTTAAGGATAACATGTATCAACAATTAGCATGTTGTAAGCCAAAGTTTTGAAATTATGTTCCCAATCATAAATCTAATCACCATCATAAGTAGATTACATGAACCTATCTGTGTATCTCTTTCCAACCATTATTCTCACTTCTAGTTTTCTCTTTCAATTTACAGATTGGGTAACAGTCCATCTAATTTTAAAATTCTAAGATGTACTGTGTTTATTCTGTACTGTAAAATAATTTAATTTCAGTTGTAAATTTTAGAGTTTTCTTTGATGACCTTTTTAGGCAAGGCTTAGTAGTTCAGTAACATATACTCTTCATTTAATCAGCCAGCAATATTTACTCTCTGCTAAGCCCAAAGCTAAGCTGTGAGGACATAAAGATGAAAGTGAATGAATAGGATAAGAAGCCCCTTTTCTAATGGTGGAGACAGAATGGCTGATGATTTACTACATGGACTGGGAAGTGCTATAATACCTAAAGGGTACACAAGGGAAAAAGCAAACATGGGAGAGAAAGAAAAGGAACTTCTTGAGTTAGTGTGACTTTCTCTTTTGGTTTCATCTCCTTCTGAACTTTTTTAAAGGGGAGCGGGACAGAAACAAAGTCCTTAAGAATGTCTAGAATCCCTTTCTCTAAGGCAGTTCTCGGTAGGGTTGGTACTGCCCCCTAGGGGGAGGCTTTGGAAACTGCCCAAGTGAGGGACTGGGTTTCTCAATGATTGTAGAGACACTTTATTGGCATTTAGCAGTCAGGCACCAGAGATGCCAGATGGCCTGCAATGCTTAGGAACGCCTTTCACAGTGAATAACTGTCCTGCTTGGTTTTCAAATATTCCACTGGTCATTCATGAAAAGAAAAGCTTTGTATGTAATTTCCCAAGTCCAGAACATAACTTTGTTTTACATATAACTATGGAGGAATCTTTCAAGGCTTTTAACATACTTTGAATTTTCTAAGAAGGCCACTACCTTGTATATTAAGGAATGGCCACATTTTGCTACTATTGTCCAGTGTCAAGAAAATCCATTTTAGATACCCACATCACTGACAGAATCACCACACACACAGATATATGCATCAATAGCAGTGGTCTTATGTATACCACAGCATATTATATAACAGTATGTTACTATATCTTTCAGTGTAGTCATGCCCAGGATTTTGCACATAATACTTTACTATAAGTTACTTACCATTTATTTTTCCTTTAAATGTTATATAAATGATGTATGTAGGTAGGTTATAATGCTTATGAATTTCATTTTAAGATTTTCAAGGGAGCATTACAAAATATTGGCTAGGATTGAGAGCACTGAGATCCACTACGATTACTTTTTTTAAAATTTCAAGACTGACCTCATTCTAATGAGAAGAAACATGTGAGGCTGGAAGTTTATATAGACCATGTTCTTAGGCATATTCAGTTACCAAAGAGTGTTTTTACATTGTCCCTAGATTGGCAGGGCTGCCTGGCTGGAGGACAGATATTCTGCACAAATATACATAAAGGGCCCATGCTCATCTGTAGCAGGTAAAAGAAAGAACTAACAACTCTCCTTTGAATTGTCTTCATTTCTTGTAGCTTATTCTCAGGGGGTTGAAAATGAAGTACTCTGCCTTGGTTTTGCCTTCAAATACTTGTCAGCATTAATTTTTCCTGGTGGTTCTCTAGACAGATATATTGCTCTTGAACAAAGTAGATAAATTTGAAGCAATGCCCCTGGACTAACACTTCAGAAGAAAACCATCATCCTTATAATCACCATTTCCATTCTCTTTCTAGTACAGACAATTAACATATTATTTAGCATTTCTTTCATTCTGCCTTGGACCAGAGTTCTTTGATAGATGTCTGTCATTGTCATTTATTACACATCCACTCACTCAGGCAACAAACATTTAATGAGCACCCATCATACACCATGTGGTCCATTTGCTGCTAGGAGCACAAGATTAATAAGTTCCAACTTTTGCCCTCAAGGAGTTCACAGAGTTGGGAAAGAAAGGCAAATAAATAAGCAATTAGAGTGCCAGGTAATATACAGTATTTTAGAAGGTTATAAAAGGAGTGTAGAAAGTAATATAAATGAAAATGTCAGCACCTAACATTGAACCTTAGACATAGTAAGTGCTTAATAAGAAATGTTTCGAGTTATTCAAATTGTTCCAAGGCTGAAAATTGGGCAGATAAATTGAAGAGTTAAAATGGAAGGATAAGGCTCCAGCTAGCAAGATGACTGACATTCTGATGGGAATGGGATATTCCAAGGGCACTGGGACAAATGGATAATTTTTCCTTCAGCCACCATTTCTCTAGCAATTGCCACATACTAGACACTGTGCTATCTGCTGAGAAGACAAAGCTCTCTAAATCAGTTGTTTTTCTCTAAAGGAATTTAGTCCCTCTATTTACCAAAATTGTTTTTAGAACTATGAATACATATCCATATTGGCTGACAGAATTGCATTTGATGGAGGAACTAATGTCACACAAATTCCCAGGCTCAGAAGTAGAATGAATCATTAGTGGAGGCTGACCCAAGCCAGCCATGTTGCAAAGAGGGCTCTGTGTCAGCAGCATGGGGGCTACTGTAAGAGACCAGGAATGAGCCAGAAGTCCATAGGGAGGTGATGAGTCAGAACACAATATGTGAATCCAAATACTGAGGAAACAATGTTTGAGGCAGCGGCTCCTTAGAAACTTCTGTGGATAAACTGTAACTGAATAAGGAGTGAGGTAAGTTTCAGGCAAGGCTCAGGTCTCTAAAAATATCAAACTGAAATCAGATCATGACAAAGTGAGCAGTCAAGAGTGAAATAACTATCACTAACAGAGTCTTCTGGGGGGTTACAAACTAGATTCATTCATATGACTATTTTTAATTTCCTGTGAGCTTGCTGTGTGTACATCTCATGGTCCTAGGATGGTGACTCTCAGATAACACGAATTTCAGTTTGTATTCACGAATTTCAGTTTGTATTCAAGACTTTGTCTGGATGCTAAAGAATAGCAATCGGCTGGTTTCCCTCCACTGCTCCTTCTTTTACTAATTAGGAATTGGCTGAATCTTCAGTACAAACTATCTCACTTTCCATCCATTCACCCATCCACTCAATAAACACTTATTAACAGCTTCTAAGTAAGAGATCATTTTAGGTGATGGGAGGAAAAAAGATAAATAGACCTGATCCCTGTCCTTGAAGGGTCAGTGTCGGGAGGTCAGTCTCAGCTTCGGAAACAATAGTGCAAAACACATTGACTTCAGTGACAGAATCTAGATCACTTTTTGTCAATAATTTAAATGGGTATGCAGACAATCATAGATAAAGTGGTGCCTGCACGACTGTTACCAAAGAAATATTTAACTCAATTCCTCGATCAGACCATCTCTGGGCAGAGCCAGGCTGGCATTCTGACTGCTCATGAGGAAAAAAGATGATGAAATATTCCAGTTTTTCATATGCCAAGATGAAAATCATCAATCTCAATCTCCGTGAAAGATAAAACTACTTTTAGAAAAGAGCAGTGAACTCTTATCAGTCTTTCTAAGGTGATGCAATCTTTAAGATGATACAGAGAGGGCAGAAACAGTAAAGAAGTTTAGAAGAATGTATATGGGCAAAAGGGAAATGATGAAATTTCTCTCTCAATTTTATAAGGAGCTAAAAATAAGATGGGATATATTTTAAACCTAAATGACTACAATGCTTTTTGAAAAGTAGGTAATGTATTCTAGGTGCTAAATTATTTATTTGCTTATCATATACAAATTTGTCTTTAACACATGAATACCTTGATATTTAAATGAGATTGTCTATTAGATAATTAAAATTAATCTACACAAATGAAGTTTTAAATTTCTTCCACTTTTTCCCCTGTACCCCCAACCCTTATTCCTTTCAACTCGTATGTGTATGCCAAATCTTGTACATTTTTAGCATTTACCAGATGGCTTTTTCGGTTCCCAAAAGGAACCTTTTAAATTTTTAAGCAATAAAACTTATATTTCTGTTAATTCATATTCCAAATAAAAGTCTTCAATATTAATTACATCTTTATTGGAATAACTTACAATGCTACACCCCAGCTTTGCAGAGACTGCATATCCAATATCTGTTAATTGATTTCTTCTAGAGAATCTTTTTTTTCTGTTGTTATGACAAAATGTTTTGCTGTCTTGTAATCCTCAACTGGGTAACACATTTTTCTGTAACTGTCATACAGAAGGCACTTGGTAAATATTTGCTGAATTAAGAAATCCAAAAGGAGAATTGTAGGTAATTGGGAAGCAATGTAATACGGTGATGAAGATCTCAGATTTCAAAGCCAGCCTGCCTGAGTTTGATTCCCCGCTCTGCCACTTGTTGGAAATAAGACATTGGACAAATTATTTAACTTCTCTGAATCTGTTTTCTCATCAATAAAGTGGATATAACAATATTATCTGTTCCTATAGCATTGCTGTGTGGATTAAATAAATATTAGGTCATATCAGTGTTAACTGTAACTATGTTAATCATTACTGTTGTTATTCCAGAAGGCTAAGGGTTAGGAAAAGAAGGCATTTGCAAGATGAGATTAAAAGAGAACACTAGTGTTCTAAAGAGAAGAAATTAAAGATGCATGGGTTTCTTGCTAATGTCCAGGTTTCTCATTCATGCATTTCTTAGTCAGATGATCTTGAGAGGAAGAAAAGGGCATAAATGGCTTCAGTGGTCTTAGTAAACAGCTACCTTTCCCCACCCCAACTTTTTGCTTGGCTAAATCCTGTTCATCCTTCAGCTCCCAGTTTAGGCAACTTTTCTTGGAAGAAGCCTTCTTGAGCCCCAAAGACTATGTTAGGCACCTCTTTGATGTGCTTCCCTAGTCTCTGCTCTGGCATCTGACACACTTTTATGGTTAATGATTCTAGTTTGTATCCTCAGCTAAAGAATTTCAGTTTGTTAGTTTGTTCTTGGCGATATCCTTAGCTCTTGAGTCAGTGCATAGAAGCAGAGAGGAAGTGGTATAAAGAAGTGATGCATAAAGATGTATTTAAAGTTTTGGAGATAGGCACTGTACAAAATAGCATATCAAATCGCCAACACTCCATAACCAAAAGTCAATCATATCTGCCTAACTGTAGCTTCCTAGCTCAATCCACCCAAAAGTTTTAAGTGAGACATTTTCTTGTAGAAAGTAACAAAGAGGAGCTCTGAAATACGCATCAACAATATATGTATGTTTGCTTATAAATGCTTGTACACGCTATTAGCATATCAACATTATGTCCATTATAAAATACACACAAAAATAGAAATTCCAAAATGAGGAAATTAACACACGCACACATATATACATACAACACACACAACACACACACACACACACACACACACACACACACACACACACACATATATACCTTCTGATGTAGCATAAGTTAAGTTTGGCAATGCCATTTACATCTTGTTTTCTCAAGCTTGCATTATTCTTATTGTCTTTAAACCACGGTTTCTTGAGAGAGAACTGTTAAGTGTCTTGTCTATTTTCTGGTGATTAGTTTAGTTAAAAACTATAAAATAAAATCTACAGGTCACCTAAACAGGTACACTTGAAACTGAACACACCAAGGATGCCTTTTGTAGAGTCGATCTTCCACTATATCTTCAGCACACCTGGAATACCACATGTAACAATGTACCACCCAACATATGGGCCAAGTCATGACACCACAGTCAGTCATTATCACTGTGCTTTGCCCCTAAACCAAAGGTAATGTGATCCCATTACACTTTGTGCCACTAGTGTGCTTAAAAGATTTCCCACACCACACTAGAGAGAAAGCCCCAGACCTCACTACCACATACGAGGCCTTCTATGATGTGTCCTCCATTACTTCTCTGCTCCTTGATCACACGTACCACACAGGCCTTTCCTAAGTGACTTCTGTGGCCATAAAGAAGAACTCACTTACTCCTGGAGATCTTAGAGTAAATGAAAAAAAGATGCACTTACTACAAATAATGGCAGTCAGGGAAGAGTTTCCCTGTAGGGTAGTCACAAAGCCTTTCCACAAGTAGATATCCTTCTGGAAAACTCAGCAGGCCAAGAAAGCCTGCCCTGGGCCCGTACTTCTGCAGGGCAGGATCACCAAAATGTTTCTGTTGAATGGATTTTTATTTTCTTGATGTACAATAAATGCATGGTTTTATTTAAACAAAAAACACATTTTTATTATTTAATTTTCTAGATAAGTCTTTGAAGATGATGCATGCAATAAAGATTATTTGCAATACCCATATTTGATGCATCGTTTTCACAACCACATGGTTTAGCATGAAATTTAAATTCAGCCAATAATTCCAAGGTGACAGTTTTATCTACAAAGCCTCCATTTCTAGTTCAACCAATTTATTTAATGGAACAATTTAGAGCACTTGTTTAAACTGATCCAAATAACATTCAAAATAAAGGGAAATAACTTTCAAATGCAATTTAATAATAGAAACTATTGCTGTTTTTAAAGCAATGAATCTAAGCCTCAAATGTAAGTGTTAATTGTACAAGTTCTTATTAAAGAGATTCAAGGAAGATAGCAAAGTAATCATTATAAAAACGTTAACTTAGATAAAATCACCACTTTCCCATAAAACACAGATACACAAATATTAAGACCTCAAATAAAATACATGCTGTGAAGTGTAATAGGAGAAAACACTAAAAAATAAGACAAAATTACAGGTTTAAATATACATTATGCCTTAACTCTCACTTTATTGGATTTCCATTGCTTTCTAGACACATCCCTACAAATAGTTCCAGACACCTGGTGATTTTCTTTATTATGAGGGTTGAGATGGCAATAATTAAATATTCTGCATTTCCTTTAGTAAGAGAAGCATGATTTATGAGAAAAGAATAAAAATCTAAGAAAATCACTTAGCAAATTATTTGATTTTTAGTTCAAACTGATTTAGGGCAAATTTCTTCCACGTTGCAAGTATGGAAAACGTAGCTTACTGGATAACAGCACAGTATTTAGGAGAATATCTAGGTTTGCTTCCCTGTTTTTAGTAATTTTGTGTCTGTAGGCAAGACACAAAACCTCTCTTAAGTCTTAGTTTATTCATTTTGAAAACGGGGTAGTATAGGAAGTATGTTTCAAAGAGTAAGATGTATACCACTGGTGGCATTTAAGATAGCTGGTTTGGCAAGGTGGGCAGATTGCTGGAGCTCAGGAGTTTGAGACCAGCCTGGGTAACATGGTGAAACCCCATCTCTACAAAAAATACAAAAATTAGCCAGGTGTGGTGGTACACATCTGTAGTCCCAGATACTTAGGAGGCAGAGGTGGGAAGATCACCTGAGCCAGGAAGACTGAGGCTGCAGTGAGACAAGATCACACCATTGCACTCTAGCCTGGGTGACAGAGTGAGGCACTGTGTCAAAAAGAAAAAAAAAAGAAAGATAGCTGGTGTGGTGATAAACTCATATTTAAAAGTGTATTTCAACACTTTTAATGAGTATGATAAAAAATATAAAATTAGTATGTAAAATAAAAAAATAACTAATTTCTCAGGACAAACCTAGCTAGTATGATGGGAATCTCTTTCTTAGAGTATAGTTCTTTTCAGTTGTACTTTGAAATTTCACTTCAATGAACATGAACATTTTAAAAATGGTAAAGTCCTTTACACAGAGAACTAAATGTCAGAAGAAGGGTCTTAGGGTTCATGTGGATTGTGTCAGAATTAAAGGAAATGGTGAGCTAAATTTCATAAGATTCTTAGCAAAGCATTGGAATATATTAAAAACTCAATAATTATTATTTTTCCTTGTGACATTGTTGCCATATTGCTATAATCCTAATAAATCAAATATACTCCATTTAGCATAAAAGAAGTTTGAGTATCTGTGTATAGCAAAACCATCATCTTTTACTTTCCAAATGATTTATAAATAATACGTACCACCAAGAAACCAAGAAAGAAAAAAAGAAATTAAGAAACGAGGGGAGGGACAGGAGCTCATAGAGGACAAATAAGCAGAGTTGATGAAATTAAACAACATATACAATTTGCCATAAGAATATTTTGCAAAATGACATATGTTGCAATGATTAGGCTAAGGAAATCTGCCTATGAAATTTGAGGAATTACTACACCCAGTGAATAGCACCTCTATAATCATATTACATTTTGTCTTAGGACATTAGAAATAAAGATAACAGTTTAATGGTTATGTATTCTAAAAATTCTATCAACCAGCCTGGGCAACATGTTGACATCCCATCTGTACTAAAAATAAAAATTAAAAAAAAAAAAAAACTAGCTTATAATGGTGGTGCTTGCCTATAGTCCCAGCTACTCAAGAAGCTGACGCAGGAGGATCATTTTATTCCAGGAGGTGGAAGTTGCAGTGAGCTATGATCATGCCACTGCACTCCAGACTAGTCGACAGAGCCTGCACCCCCCACCCCCCCAAAAAAAATCCTATCAAGTAAGGCACTACATGCCACTGTAATGAAAGTATAAAAACATTTCCTGTAATTTTACTAAGTTCTTGTGAATAGTTTTTTTAAAATAAGCAATTTCTCAAAAAGAAAAAGACAATATTAATATGAAATATAATACTACTTGGATAGTTCTCTCTTCGATGTATTTTATGTGTCTCCCATTTAATTGCAATTGTAGTTAATATTTTCCTGCAGGTAATATTTCTGAAAATAATATACGCCCAGCATTTTGTGAATATGTTCTTGTTCTTTTAAATAAAGTATTCTAAATTTCTTCCACCAACATATAAAGTAGGTGTAATATTCTGGTGTTCTAATTCTTATCACAGATTAACCACAAATTTTCTTTTACCATAGGCAAAAAAAGGACTATTCAATAATTAATCAAAAGAGAGTTAATACCACACTTTAATCCAAATGTCTTTAGTCATAGTAAGACTAAATTCTATACTATCAACAGTTCTTTCTTTAAAGATGCATTCTGGCCATCTTGCCCAGGCTGGATTCTAACTCCTAGGCTCAAACCATCCTCCCAACTCAGCCTCCCAAGTAGCTGGGACTGCAGGAACCTCCTTATGTCTAAGAATGTACTGGGGACAGAATTGGGCACAATCTGGTGAAACCTCAAATATGAGTAAGCCAAATGACAGAAAAATTCATCTAAAGTTTCACTTTGATAGCTGACCAATAATTTCTTACCCAGAAAATGGGGCTCTGGGCCAATGAACAAGGTAGGCTCTCAAAATTAGGGAGAAAATTCAGAAATGACATCTACTGAGAGTTAACAAACAATGAACAAGTAACACTAGCTGACTTGGGAGAGGTGGAAGAAACCTATCAATGACACTATGGGCAGCCCTCCATATGTGTCAAAAATGCAAATGTAGTCACTCAAAATTAATTAAAAAGCAATTTTTCTGCTTCTTGCTTAAAATATGTAATACAACTATAATTACGTGATATGATGAAACAGGAGCTTTTTCACAGAGGTGAATTTACCAGATCATTAAAGCTAATTTTTGGAAAATAAACATGCATATGACTTAAAATAACCATCTAGCTTTATCAAATTATTAATTGAATTTACCATAATCAGCAACTGTCCTGGCATTAAAACATATTCTACCTGTTTTGATCTCTGGCCTTCACTAAATATGCCTTTTCATTTCTCTCTACATAACACTCTCCAATCAGTAATCTCATAAAAACAATGAGAAGAAATCATTAAGTATTTCCAAGAATGACTCCTGTTTTAAGATTTAACATTTCATATGTAGTAACATTGCTCCTAGTCCTGAATAAATTAAAAGAAAACCCTTTGTGAGAGATAAAAGAAGTACTTAACAATTTAACCACCTGTAATATGTAAATTTATAACATGTTTTCCTGACAAAAACACATATTTAATCACATGATAAATTAATGTATTCATGAAAAGCTTACAATAAAGTTGAAAATTAAAGTTGTACTTTTTTTTACAGTTTTTAATTTTTTTAAGTAACAGCTAACATTACGATAAAAATCATAGAACATTTTACAACATAAATTTAGACTCACTTGTTGGCCCTAAACCATAAACATTATCATTAGGAAGTGACAGTGACGAAGTTTGTTATAAAATCAAATGATCTAACCATAAAAATAGTTTATTTTTTATATGATACTTCTGTTGCCCAGAAAAGGAAAACTGGTACATGACTTTTATCAAGGTACAAAGTAAAAGCAAATTTACCCATTATGATTAGGGTATTCCTGTAATATATATCCTATTAAGCTATTGCTGTTACTTCTGCTTTCAGTTTTAATTGCTTAACTTCAAAACATTGTTATAAATAATACAAGCTGTTCTTCTAGCAAATATTTATGATTATAATAGGATCTAGAAGTCCTTCAAACATTTGACAATTATAAGAGGAAATTGATAGCAGAATAGGTCAGAAACAGGGCACTTGGCTCAGCTCTTGAAGAGATGATATACTGTGAACTTACATTTTCAATACTCTCTAAGTAGCGATGCTCCTCAAGTTATGGTGGTGTTACTTCTGGATAAACCTATCCTATGACCTTTTCAACTTACAGTGGGTTTAGCCAGATATAACCCCATCATAAGTCAAGGAGACTAGTGAATGTCTATCACTTGTGCACCATGATATAATCGAAAATCGTTCAGTTGCACCACCATAAGTTGGAGACTATCTATAGTAGAAAAGTTCTGTTGAAAGAGTATACCAATAAATTTTGTACTTACTTTGCAGAGGCAAAGTGTTTCTAACACACTGTAACTCTAGTTCTTCTGTCCATTCCAGCTTTGGCAGCATCTGCTTCATCTCACAGTTACCATTCTCTGCCATGGACACTGGTTGACTATTGACGGGTATCTTTCCCAAACTCTTCATGTGTTGTTGAACTTCCGCCAAGAGAACAGCTTGTATTGCTTCAGTTACCTGTAAGGTATTTTTTTAAGTGAATTATTTTTAGTATTATTACAAATGCTTGGGTATGTTGCAAAAAATCCAAAGCCCGGAATTTAAATTTGAATAGGTTTCCATAAACGATAACTTTTCATACTTCTAGAATTAGCATCCACAACAACTGAAATGTGGGTAGCAACAACTGGCACCCAGACTTTCACACTGTTTTTTTGCAATGCAAGAGATTCTAAAAGGATACTTGAGGGGCATTTTTTAAAGTCCAGAATGCCAAACATTACACTATGGGACAAAGAGGAGTTTTTAATTATTTTTCCTATTTTCATTTCCACCAGAAGATAAAGAAAATTCATTTGAATTTATCCTATGGCTCTTAAAGACAAGGTTAGATCCTCAAACCATGTCTAGCTCCAAAGCATTATTTAAATAAACACTGCATTTAAACTATGCTTTAC
This sequence comes from Homo sapiens, assembly GCF_000001405.40. Taxonomy (NCBI): domain Eukaryota; kingdom Metazoa; phylum Chordata; class Mammalia; order Primates; family Hominidae; genus Homo; species Homo sapiens. The sequence goes on from NC_000015.10 coordinate 53,597,715, forward strand.
ACAGAAAATTAAAGAAATGACTTCAATAATAAATCTCACTAACTTTTGTGTATACCTATGTGGTTTTACATAGATTAAAGTATTGCAAGGCACGTCTTCCAATTGCTGTGTGTGCCCAGTCAAGGACCTATGGTTCGAAGGGCGGGGGGAAAGGGACACTTGCCACAGAACATCCAACTAAATTCTTCATTTTTAAAATGAAGAATCTGGGTCATGACACCTCAAGCTTACACAGACTTGGTGGACAGACCTTCTGATCCCTGATTCTATGTCCTTCGAAGTACATGTCCACTCAAGATTCTATATCCTCTGCCCTCAGTGCAAAGCTAGTGACAGTTTCCTAGACCTCTTCCTGGTAACAGATGAGGCAAGGTCTAGCAGTTAGGTACAGCCCAAGGAAGGCCAGGAGCTGAATTAGGGAGAGAAAAGAATGGACACTGCTGATATAGACGAACTAGGGACACCTTCTCATCACTCTTCTTCAGCCAACAGTTAAACCTTCATATAGCTACATCCCAGTGCCTTTCATATAGCTACATCCCAGTGCCTTTCATATAGCCACATCCCAGTGCCATAGCATATATATTTTCCCCTCAGAAGTCTGTCCTCTGTCAAGCTGACTCATGTTCCACAATTCACCACTGGACCCCTCCATTACTCCCAGTCTACCCATAAGCATGTCTAGAGCTAGGGATATGAGACAACACCGAGAGTGGTGACCTAGAGATGCTTTGGCCAAAAACTGAACGTGTATTTATGTAAACAAATTACATTCAGTCTCTTTTGTATGTGATGGTAGCATGTGAGACCTTCAGGTCCCAGGGACATCCAACGAGCTTATTATGATGGCAGATACTTGCTGAAATCCTGGGGCAGAAAAGCTGGCCTCTGACTTTTAAATATAGGAAGCTTCCTGAGAATACTGGAGCAGCTTCCTGATTGCTGATTATCTCCCTGCCCTTGTCCAGCCCACACTCAAATGTTTAAGGAGTGAAAAAAGGCTAAGGAATAGTAGAATATCACTATTGCATACCATGCATACTAACATGAGGTACTGCCTAATCGCAATGCAAGTGAATGGTGCTTACTCATGAATATCATGTAATGAGATATTTAACATCAGAGTATCAATTATGTGCCATTAATCTAAGATATACTTCTGCATATCATGATGCTGGTGAATAGTGCCTATTAATATCTACCATATGAGACCAGCCTGGTTGACATGGTGAAACCCCGTCTGTACAAAAAATGCAAAAATTAGCCTGGCTTGGTGGTGCGCACCTGTAGTCCTGGCTACTCAGGAGGCTGAGACAGGATGATTGCTTGAACCCAGGAGGCAGAGGATGCAGTGAGCCCAGATTGCACCCCTGCACTCCGGCCTGGATGACAAATATGGTATATATATATATACCACTTCTGAGATACATATATATTAAGTATTATATATGTTTCTTACTAACATATACTGCTATATATATATCACAATATTGGTAAACCATGCTGATTTATGTATCTCACATGATGGGATATATTTTATTACTTATTCATGATGAACAATTTTATAACACTGAAGCTATTTCATTTTAAATTTGTCATACATGTTATTTGATATCACTGGTTCCATGATGTGGATGATGTGGTAGAAAGAACTCAGGATTATAAGTGAAAACGTTTGTATTTCCTATTCCACCACGACAGTTACCACAAATCCAACCTTTGACAAGCCACAAACTTCTCTGAAACTTCATGTTCTCACTTAAAAAACAGTCTGTGATACTGACAGAAATTAGGATAAGAGCTTTCAGTAACAGAATAGTGCATGGAAATTGCTCTTTCTATACTCATAAATTAAGGATATTGGAGGATATCCTAAGACCCACAATGTGTACAGACTATATTATACCCCTCAGAATGGGTAGTTTGGCCATATGCCTTCACTGGGCTTATGGCTGGCCTCTCACCCTGGGATGCTTATCACCCCAGAGGCATGCCCACAACTGTGATCTAAAATGTCATCTCTCCCACTGAATATAATATCCTATACAACTTGGATAATCATTCCTTCTTAAAAATATACAGGAATTTATGTATTTTAATTTAATATTTCTAATTATTTGATTTACATGTCATGACTTCACTTTAACTGTTGATTTTTTACATAGTTGTCACCACAAATGCATATTATAAGAATAATGATACGAATATCATCAAAAACAAGGAGAACAGAAATAACTATAGAATAAAATAGATTAACCATGATGAGTAGGGTACTCAGAGCCACAACATTTAAAAGTGAATACTGAATGGCATCCAACTGGAAAGAAACTCAAAATATATATTTAAACTCAGTGTGAGATGAGAGAAAGGCTGTATCTTCTAAACATGTAATAATGTTATTATAGTATCTGGAATAGAATGGGCACTACATAAATACCAGTGGAATTGAAATAGATTCTGCAGACTTTCAAAAATAAACTGTGGGAAGTATAATTTATTGACAGTTTATAACTATCAGTACTTGAGTCTCTCTCTATAAATGTAATAGATAGATTTTACAGGTAGTCAATAGAAATAGAATTTACTCCAAAAAAATATAAAATGTTTATATGGCATTTTATATAACTTTGTAATTTTAATAATGAGCTAGTATTGAGCATTATGGCTATAAAGCTGTCTTCCCAATGCATATAAAGAAATTTCTTCCAAAAGGTAGATATCAAAGAATCATATTCTTTTATGAGGCAATGTACACAGATTAAAAATAAAGTTTACAAACTCATTGACTGGAAAGAGTCAGCTACAAATCTGGGACATATGCTTATTAACTAAAGGTATTACTGAGTCTTAGGCAAGCTAAAAATTTTAGTGGCATTCCATAAACACCTTGGAAGAGCAAAATACTGTAAAATAGCATAGAGCATCATGAAGATGCATAAGAACCCCTGTGTCCTGGTTGTTGTTCCAGTGTCTAGTTTTTTTGTCATAAAACATTTTTCCCAACACTCTGCTCATGCTGGCCTTTCCTGTCTTTAGGGTGTCTCCTGGAAAAGCAACATTTCTAGCTGGAGGCCTACATTTCATGATGTGTACCCAGTGGTGTTAGATTATAAAATCCAAAGAAATTTAGTGCAGTACTGGAAACATGCAAATTAGCAATCCCCAAACTTTTCTGTTTCTTTTCTAGCATTTATTTTTATGTTGAGTGTTTAATGTGTGAGGAGCAAAACAGACAATCTCTAGACAAACTTATTCATCAGCAAAATTAATTCATTCTTCCCCCAACCTTAAAGGTAAACATTCAACTTCTAGAGCTAATTTTGCTCTGTTTTACAAAAGTATTCCATTTAACTAGGGTTAAAATGAAAGAAAAATTGTTAAGGACAGCTAGAGAGAAAGGCCAGGTCACCTACAAAGGGAAGCCCATTAGACTAACAGTGGGCCTCTTAGTGGAAACCCTGCATGCCAGAAGAGATTGGGGGACAATATTCAAAATTCTTAAATAAAAGGAATTGCAACCCAGAATTTCATATCTAGCCTAACTAAGCTTCATAAGTAAAGGAGAAAAAAGATCCTTCTCAGACAAGCAAATACTAAGGAAATTCATTACCACCGGACCTGTCTTAGAAGAGCTCCTGAAGAAAGCACTAAATATAGAAAGGAGGGACTGTTACCAGCCATTACAAAAACACACTGATGTACACAGACCAGTGACACTGTAAGGCAACCACATAAACACACCTGCAAAATAACCAGCTAACATCATGATGACAGGATGAAATCCACACATATCAATACTAACCTTAAATGTAAATGGACTGAATGCCGCAATTAAATGACACAGAGTGGTAAGCTAGATAAAGAACCAAAACTATCGGTATGTCGTCTTCAAGATAACATGTCAACTCTCAAAATAAAGGGTTGGAGGAAAATCTACCAAGCAAGTGGAAAAAAGGAAAAAGCAGGGGTTGCAATCCTAGTTTCTGACAAAACAGACTTTAAACCAACAAAAATCAAAAAAGACAAAGAAAGACATTATTACATAAGGGTAAAGGGTTCAATTCAACAGGAAGAGCTAACTATCCTAAATATAAATACAACCAACACAGGAGCACACAGGTTCATAAAGCAAGTTCTTAGAGACCTACAAAGAGACTTAGATCCCCACACAACAATCATGGGAGACTTTAACACCCCACTGACAATATTATACAAATAACTGAGACAGAACATTAACAAAGCTATTCAGGACCTGAACTCAGCACTGGATCAAATGGACCTGATGTCTATAGAACTCTCCACCCAAAAACAACAGATTATACATTTCTCTCATCACCACAGGACACCTATTCTAAAATTGATCATAATTGGAAGTAAAACACTCCTTAGCAAATGCAAAATAACTGAAATCATAACAAACAGTCACCAGGACCACAGCACAATCAAATTAGAACTCAAGACTAAGAAATTCACTCAAAACCATACAATTACATGGAAATTGAATAACCTACTCCTGAATGACTTTTGGGTAAATGACATTAAGGCAGAAATGAAAAAGATCTTTGAAACTACCAAGAACAAAGATACAATATACCAGAATCTCTGGGACAAAGCTAAGGTAGGGTTAAGAGAGTAATTTATGGCACTAAATGCCCAGATCAAAAAACTAGAAAGATCTCTTGTTAACAGCCTAACTTCACAACTAAAAGAACTAGAGAATCAAGAGCAAAAAAATCCCAAAGCCAGCAGAAGACCAGAAATAACCAAAATCAGAGCTGAACTAAAGGAGATAACTCACAAAAAAATCTATTCAAGAGATCAACAAACCCAAGAGCTGGTTTTTGGAAAATAAAATAAAATAAAATAGATCACTCACTAGACTAATAAAGAAGAAAAGAGAGAAGATTCAAATAACACAATCAGAGATGATAAGGGGGATATTACCACTGACCCAACAGAAAAGCAATCCTCGGAGAATATTATAAGCTAGTAATATATACACGTGACCTAGAAAATCTGGAAGAAATAGATAAATTCCTGGACACATGCACCCTCAAAGACTGAACCAGGAAGAAACTGAATCCCTGAACAGACTAATAATGAGTTCTGAAACTGAGGCAGTTAAATAAACAGCTTACCAACCGAAAAAAGCCCAGGACCAGACAGATTCACAGATGAATTATATGAGATATACAAAGAAGAGCTATTATCATTCCACCTGAAACTATTTCAAAAAATAGAAAAGGAAAGGATTCGTCCCTAACTCATTCTATGAGGCCAGCATCATCCTGATACAAAAACCTGGCAGAAATATGACAAAAAAAGAAAATTTCCTGTCAGTATTCCTGATGAACATCAATGAAAATATCCTCAACAAAATACTGGCAAACCAAATCCAGCAGCATATCAGAAAGCTTACCCACCATGATCGAGTATGCTTGATCCCTGGGATGCAAGTTTGGTTCAACATATGCAAATCAATAAATATGATTCATCACATAAACAGAACTAAAGACAAAAACCACATGATTATCTCCATAGAAGCAGAAAAGGCTCTCAATAAAATTCAACATCCCTTCATGTTAAAAACTCTCAATAAAGAAGATATTGAAGGAACATACTTCGAAATAATGAGACATATATGAAAAAACCACAGCCAACATCATACTAAATAGGCAAAAGCTAGAACCATTCTCCCTTGAAAATCAGCACAAGACAAGGATGCCCTCTCTTACTACTCCTATTCAACACAGTATTGGAATTTCTGGCCAGGGCAATTCCACAAGGGAAATCAATAAAGGTCATTCAAGTAGGAAAAGAGGAAGTCAAACTACCCTTTTCGAAGATGTCATGATCCTCTATCTAGAAAAGCCCATCATCTCAGCCCAAAAACTTCTTAAGCTGTTAAGCAACTTCAGCGAAGTCTCAGGATACAAAATCAATGTGCAAAAATCATTAGCATTCCTATAAACAACAGTCAAGCTGAGAGCTAAATCACAAACGAACTCCCATTCACAATTGCAACAAAAAGAATAAAACACCTAGGAATACAGCCAACTAGAAAGGTGAAGGATCTCTACAAGGAGAACAACAAACCATGGCTCAAATAAATCAGAGATGACATAAACAAATGGAAAAACATTCCATGTTCATGAATAGGAAGAATCAACGTCATTAAAATGGCCATACTGCCTAGCAATTCACAGTTTCATTGCTATTCATATCAAGCTATCAACGTCATTTTTCACATAACTAGAAAAAACTATCTTAAAATTCATATGGAACCAAAAAAGAGCCTGAATGGCCAGGGCAATCCTAAGCAAAAAGAACAAAGTTGGAGGCATCACGTTACCTGATTTCAAACTATACTACAGGGCTGCAGTAACCAAAACAGCAAGGTACTGGTACAAGAACAGACACATAGACCAATGGAACAGAATAGAGAACCCAGAAATAAGATCACACACCTAAAACTATCTGATCTTTGGTGAACCTGACAAAAACAAGCAATAGGGAAAGGATTCCTTACTTAATAAATGTTGCTGGGATAACTGGTTAGCCACATGCAGAAGATTAAAACTGGACCCCTTCCTTACACCATATACAAAAATTAACTCAAGATGGATTAAAGACTTGAATGTAAAACACAAAATTATAAAAACCCTGGAAGATAACCTAAGCAATACCATTCGGGATATAGGCATAGGCAAAGGTTTAATGGCAAAGATGCCAAAAGCAACTGCAACAAAAGCAAACATTGGCAAATGGGATCTAATTAAACTAAAGAGCTTCTGCACAGCGAAAGAAACTATCAATAGAGCAAACAGGCAACCTGCAGAATGGGAGAAAATTTTTGCAAAATATGCATCTTACGAAAGTCTAACATCCAGAGTCTACAAAGAACTTAAACAAATTTACAAGAAAAAAAACTCTATTAAAACATGGGCAAAGGAAATGAACAGACACTTTTCAAAGGAAGACATATATGTGGCCAAAAATCATATGAAAGAAAGCTTAACATCACTAATCACTGGAGAAATGCAAATCAAAACCACAACGAGATAATACCTCACACTAGTCAGAATGTTGAAGTCAAAAAATTATAGATTAGAAAATCAAAAATAACAGATGCTGGAGAGACTGTGGAGAAAAGGAACGCTTATACATTGTTGGTGGGAATGTAAATTAGTTCAGCCATTGTGGAAGACAGTGTGGTGATTCCTCAAAGACCTAAAGACAGAAATACCACTCAACCCAACAATCCCATTAGTGGATATATACCCAAAGGAATATAAATCATTCTATTATAAAGACACATGAACATGTATGTTCATTGCAGATCTATTCACAATAACAAAGACATGGAATAAACCTAAATGTCAATCAATGGTAGACTGGATAAAGAAAATGTGGCTCATATACTCCATGGAATACTATGCAGCCATAAAAGAGAACAAGATCACGTGCTTTGCACTGACATGGATGGAGTCGGCGGCCATTATCCTCCAGTAAACTGACACAGGAACAGAAAACCGAATACTGCATGTTCTCACTTATAAGTGGGAGCTAAATGATGGGAACACTTGAACACGTAGAAGGGAACAACCTACACTGCAACCTACTGAAGAACAGAAGGTGGGAGGAGAGAGAGGATCAGGAAAAACTACTAATGAGTACTAGGCTTAATGCCTGAGTGATGAAATAATCTGTACTGCAAACCCCCATACACAAGTTTATCTATGAAACAAACCTGCACTTATACCCCTCAACTTAAAATAAAAGTTTTAAAAAAGTAAAATCAAGCTAACATAATTCAACTAACTGCTTAAATGAATGGCTTTATAAGTAATTTGAGGATAGCCGGGCATGGTGGTTCACACCTGTAATCCCAACACTTTGGGAGGCCAAGGCGGGGGGATCATTTGAGGTCAGGAGTTTGAGACCAGCCTGATCTACATGGTGAGACTCTGTCTCTACTAAAAATACAAAAATTAGCTGGGCATGGTGGTTCATGCCTGTAATCCCAGCTACTTGGGAGGATGAGGCAGAAGCGTCGCTTGAACCTGGGAGACGGAGGCTGCAGTGAGCCGAGATCATGCCACTGCACTCCAGCCTGGGTGACAGAAAAAAAAAAGATAATAATAATTTGAGGATCGGTTATTGAAGCAGTAGAATGGATACTTGCAAGAGTCTCTATTCTTCCTGAAGGGCCAGCAATACTCATTTCCATTTTACAAATGAGGAAGACAAATAATCAAGAAGTTTAAACTATCTCACAGAGTCATGCATCAGGCCAGTAGCAGAGATGAGAAGAGAACCTTGAAGTCTGGACTTCCTGTAGAGTGGGTAAATTCTCTGGTAGTCTTTGTCCACAGCCAGCATTTCACATACCGTCACAGAATCATAGAACCTTAAAGGTCTGTTAGTCCAAACATGCCCAAATGACATTAAAGTTTATTTGAAGGTCAAATGAACAACTATCAAAGATCTTCAAGTGAGAGCAATTTAAGAGAAATGTTCTGCTGAATCCTTCTTTTTAATAATTTTTTCCCCATTTAGGAATTTTTTGGCCACTGGGGAAAAAATCTCACTTTTAATAGATAAACCTTTTTAGGGTGACTGCTAATGTGCTGATAAAGTTGCCTGTACTTGTGTTTATTCCAATTATTACAGAGGTTGCCTGCATAGCTACTCATTCACTCATTAAATATGTATTGACTGCCTACTGTCACTTCTGCTTTTCTGGGCATTGGTAAGAGAGGGGCAAATGAGACAAACAAGGTCACTGCTCTCAGCAAGCTTATATAACAGCGAGAAGACAAAATAAGCAAGCAAAACAGCAAATAATATAATTTTCATTAAAAGTAATCACAGCAAAAAAACTAGGTAATGTGATGATGACTAGATGACTGGGGTTGGGTAGAATGTGGCAGCAATATTAGTTGGAGTTATAAGAGAAGACTTCTTTAAGGAGATCGATTTTTTAAGCAAAGACCTAAATGATTAATGAAGAAATGAGAATTCTAGCCCAAGAGAACAGTAAGATCCTGAGTTCAAATGAGCTTTACGTCTTCTGGAAATAAAAAGAAAGCCAGTTGGGGCTAAATCAAGGTAAGATAGGAGGTGGCAAATGATGACAGATGTGGTCAGGCTGGGGAAAAAATCACATGCATATTTGCAGGCCATGATAACAAGTTTTTATAGCCATTCCAACTGTGTATATTTAGTATTATAGCATCAGCCCCTATAGTATATTACGAGTTAACTTTGTTTCCCTATAACCAAGAATAATCATTTGTAATTGGAGTTATTGCTATTTTAATCTTGCAAATATGATATGTAATGTATCAAGTTCATAAAAAAGAATAAACTTCTAGTAAACATTCATCGAATCAACGCACAACTATTTATTGTACAATTCACAAAGGTACTGCTAAAATTTTGAGACCAAAAGTAGCCTTAAAGGAGAAAGAAGGATTTAAATTGGACATTGAAGAACCAGTCCTCTAAGTCAACTCACAGATGAGGTACTCTCAGAATTAAAAAAAAAAGACTTATTAAATTACAAAACTATAGTAACCAAAACAGCACAGTACTGGCTCAAAAGGAGACATATGGACCAATGGAAGAGAACAGAGAACCTAGAAACAAATCCATACACCTACTGTGAACTCATTTTCGACAAAAGTGCCAAGAACATACATTGGGGAAAAGACAGTCTCTTCAATAAATGGTGCTGGGAAATCCTTATGCAGAAGAATGAAACTAGACCCCTATCTCTTACCGTATACAAAAGTCAAATCAAAATGGATTGAAGACTTAAATCTAAGCCATTAAACTATCAAACTACTACAAGAAAACATTGGGGGAGATCTCCAGGACATTGGTTTGGGCAAAAATTTCCTGAGTAAGCACAGGCAACCAATGCAAAAATGGACAAATGGAATCACATCAAATTTAAAAGCTTCTGCATAGCAAAGGAAACAATCAACAAAAACAAGAGACGATCCACAGAATGAGAGAAAATATTTGCAAACTACCCATCTGACAAGGGATTAATACCCAGAGTATACAGGGAGCTCAAACAACTCTATAGGAAAAATCTAACAATCCAATAAAAAAATGGCCAAAATAATTGAATAGACATTTCTCAAAAGAAGACATACAAAGAATAAACAGGCATATGCAAAGGTACTCAACATCACTTATCATCAGAGAAATGCAAATCAAAGCAACAATGCAATATCATGTCACCCCAGTTAAAATGGCTTATATCCAAAATACAGGCAATATCAAAAGCTGGTGAGGATGTGGAGAAAAGAAAATCCACTGTTGGTGGAAATGTAAATGAGTACAACCACTATGGAGAACAGTTTGGAGGTTCCTCAAAAAACTAAAAATAGATCTACCATATGATACAGCAATCCCACTGCTCAGTATAACCCCAAAGAAAGCAAACCAGTATATCAAAGAGAAATCTGCACTCCTATGTTTGTTGCAGAACTGTTCACAACAGCCAAGATTTGGAAGCAACCTAAGTATTTGGAAGCAATTAAGTATCCATCAACAGATAAATGGATAAAGAAAACATGGTACACATACACAATACAGCACTATTCAGTTATAAAAAAAATGAGATCCTGTCATTTGCAACATCATGGATAAACTGGAGATCATTATGTTAAGTGAAATAAGCCAGGCACAGATACACTAATATTGCATGTTTTCACTTATGTGTGGAATCTCGCAATCAAAACAGGTCAGGTGAGATGGCACACACTTGTAATCCTAGCACTTTGGAAGGCTGAGGTGGGAGGATCGCTTGAGCCCAGGAATTTGAGACCAGCCTGGGCAACATGGCAAAACTCCATCTCTTTAAAAATACAGAAAAAATTAGCCAGGTGTGGTGTGCATGCCTGTAGTTCCAGTTACTCAGGAGGCTGAGGTGGGAGGATCACTTGAGCCTGGAAGAACGAGGCTGCAGTGAGCTGTTACTGTACCACTGCACTCCAGACTGGGTGACAGAGCGAGATCCTTTCTCAAAAATAAATAAATAAATAAATAAATAAATATAAAAATAAAAACAATTGAACTCATGGACATAGAGAGTAGAAGAATGGTTAGCAGAGGCTGGGAAGGGTAGTGTGGGATAGAGGTAGGTGGGGATGATTAATAGGTGCCAAAAAATGTTAGAAAGAATGAATAATACCTACTATTTGATAGCACAACAGGGTGATTATAGTCAATAATAATTTAATTTTACTTTTTAAGATAACTAAAAGTGTATAAATGGATTATTTCTAACACAAAGGACAAATGCTTGAGGTTATGGATACCCCATTCTCTGTGATGTGATAATTAGGCATTGCATGCCTGTATTAAAATATTTCATATACCCCATAAATATATATGACCACTATGTGCCCACAAAAATCAAAAATTAAAAAAAAATCTAATTTCACATAATCAAATTCCCACACATAGGTACTTTAATGTATGGCATATTTTGAAATCAAATAATGGACAATCCTGCTTCAAACTGAAGCTTCAACAAGCAAGAAATTACCTGTGATAGCAAGAACCTCCCTCCCTCAGCCCCGGGCATTCACGCTCCCCTAGTGAATGGTGTACCCTTGCTTATGTTATGGTCCGTGTTTTCCCTCATCTCTATGTCTGTTCAAAGGCCATTTTATGAGGACAAGAGTAACTGCTTGTATTTTCAGATAGAGGGGGGTATCCATGAACCACAGCAGCAAGGAACTCTTCTAATAACGTCATGAATGTGAATTATATCATACCTGCACAGACTGGTCTCTCCAACAGGAAATTAGCTTCAAAAGTGAAAGGTCAGCCTCAGGTACATGGGATTCATTCTTACCTAGAAATATACAGAACACACTTGTATCTTTAGAGTATTAAAAATGGATAATGGCTCTTAAGATGGGCTGCATATTAGAATCACCTGGGAAGCTTTGTTTTTTATAAACACCAATGCCCAGGTTCAATCTTCCAGAGATTTTTATTTTACAGATCCTGTGGTAGAGGTGGGACAGGCATTAATGCTTTGTAAAAGTGCCACAGATGATTTACATATACAGCCAGGGTTCACATCCATTTGTGTACATTTATACACACACACACACACACACACACAATTTATATGTAATTCTAACAATTATACTAACACATATTCACATCAAATCAAATTCATTTTTACAGCTTCAACACATTTTTGTTCTTTTTGCTGACCCAAGACAGATCACCAAATCTTACAATTCCTTCCTTATACAAATTCTGAAATTCTACTCTGCCATGAATTAGTCTCTATCACATGTAAAATCAAATCAAAGACTTCCTTTGATTTGTCCTTACCCAGCTATACCACTTTGATCAATAGGTAGAGCACTACTGTTTTAATTTAACTCATTCTGTTATGTATTATTTCTTCTCTGTTTGCCCTCTCCAGTGTCCTTTCTATTTGCCTTAATGTTCAGTGTGAAATTTTAAGAATGAGTGAGTGCTTGGTCTATGTAAACTGGTTCATAGAGTGTCCAGCAGTTTCCTACACAAAAAAGTACTTAATAAGTGCCTTTTCATTAATTGAAAATGTACATATAACCATAATGAACAATCGATGAGTTAAGGCTTTCTGATGGCTACAGTCTATTATCTAGGTGCCAGATCCTGAGAGATAGGGAAGACTGGTAAGGGCTTCTGCAAGCGGAAAAGTTGTTACTATAATTGTCTACTTAAATTAATATATTGATATATGTTTGACATTGTGGTATCAACTATTTAAATTAGCATTTGTCTGATACACTTTTCATCAAATCCCTATTTTTATATTAACATATGAGGTATATATATATATATGAATATATATTTACCACATTAGCAGTCAAGGAAAATGCAATAAAGGTATTGTATACAATGCAATTTGAGAACATAAAAGTAATACATAAGAAACTTCTGACCAATTATTGATATTACTTTTTCCTGATAGAGCATTTAATATAAATGTAAAATGACCAAGAACACTATATAAAACATGGAAGTATGGTAGAAGATTATAATTTTGACATGTTTTCCATTTCTTCATGAACACAGCAGGTAAGAGAACATTTTCTTTTGATCTCTGTTTTTCCTCCCTCTCCCACTTTGTGGACCTTGTGACTCAACCATCAAAGCTAAGTATTGGTCTCAACTGTAACTACTTACTAGCATCATGGGGTACTTCACAGCACAATTTAATGTGATGTTAAAATTTTAATATGTGATAGAAATGAGAGCCAACTTATCTTGGCAATGTCAGTGAGTTAAAGAATTAATTGCAACTTTAGGGGGAAAGATAAAAGAAAGTATCCCAGCCTTACCAACATTATTCAGTCAATTCCTGCTGACAGAAGTGAATACTGGTTCCTAACAACGTTTTAGATGAGCACCTCGGAGTATTATTTTTATTCTTTAGGATTTGGCTTCATAAAATTAATACCATGAAGTCAATACTTCCTTTCTTTAACCTTCCATCTTCCTATTATTTTTTTGAAAAACATGTTTCCCTACTCCTTAGCTGAATTTCAAATGCTATAAGTGCCAACCTAAATTCCAGAGAGATGATTCTATAGTAACAGTAGCTGCTTAGGCTTTTTGCTGGGGCACCCATAGGAAAAGCAGGGGCCTCCTTGATTCTGGTTAGCAATCCCCTGTCTTTGCAGAAACACTTATATTAAATCTTAAATTCCAATCCCCTTCCCAGTTACGAGTGCTAAAAAACAAACAAACAAACAACAACAACAACAACAAAACACTGGATAACTAACCCTAATAAGAGTAACTATCTAAGGAGAAAGGAGGCAACCCAGACTGGGGCTATTTAGATGGAACATTATCTGTAATCATAAATGTGAGAAGTGGCCTGACACAGTGGACAGGAAATGGGGTTAGGAATCAGATTTGGATTGGAATGCAGGCCCCTCTACTGAATAGCTGTTTGCCTATGAGTCATCTAACTTCCTTGAGTCCCATTTTTTTTTTTTAACGGTAAAACAGAGATGCTGCCTCCTACTGTGCAGGGTTGTTTTTACATTAAATGAGATAATATATGTAAAACCATTAACATAATTCTTGGAACAAACTAAGCACAAGTTAATTGGAAGCTAATAATAAACTCTCACTTGAAAATACTCTTTTCAACAGTCGTGTGAGGGCCACTGTGTACTGTCATTCAGGTCACCCCATCCTATGGATCATATGCTGCACAGCTTTGGAGGCAACATGTGCATTGTATCTGGGATCACATTCCCATTTTACAAATGTAGTAATTAGGGCTTTTAAAAAGGAAAAGACATGCCCAATAGAACACAAATAGTGAATGGCAGAGCTGGATCTTGAATCTCAGCCATCTATCTTATTTATCTCCAAAACCACTGTTCTAGTCATTATTTATCCTTTAATTTCATTTGTCCATTAATTGAACTCATCCACTAATTCAAAAGTTATTTGCTAATTCCTTCTAGATATTGTTCTAGGAACCAGGGACACAGCAATGAATAAAACTGTCACAAAAATATAACTTCTATGGAGCTTACAACTTAGTAGCAGGAGGCAGATGAGATTTTTTAAAGTAACAGATGTCAGATAGATAGTGAAGAGGCTTATGGAGAACAGTACAACAGCGAAAGGGGTAGGGAGTGCTGCTGCAGTGATAAAGTGGCATTGGAGCAAGACTTGATGGATGGTAGCGGGTGGAGGGTGAGCAGGTTGAGCTATATGAAGGTCTAGGGAAAGAACACCACAGGCAAAGGTACAGCTAATGCAAAGGTCCTCAGACCTGCTTGTCATGCTTGGGTAAGAGTAAAAAGGCTAGGGTAGCTGGAATGAGTTAAGCAGGGGGTGAGCACTAAGAGAGAAGGTTGGATGGGGGTGTATATGTGATGACATAGGTAGAGCAGCCAGATCCTATAGGGCTTTCTGTGCTATAGTAAGGACAATGGCTTTTATTCTGAGCGAAACAGAAGCCACCAGAAGGTTATACATAGACGAGTGAGGTTCTGACTTAGTTCTGAATAAATCATTCTGGCTGCTTGGGTGGGAACAGAGTGCAGGAGTCAAGAATAGGAACAGAGAGATGATCAGGAGCCTGCTATGGTCATCCAGGCAAGACAGGATGAACGCTCACAGGGGTGAGGGTGAGGGAAAGGAAGGTTGAGGGGGATGGAGTTGCTGGTGTAGGGGGTGAGAAGCAGTCAGATTCTGGGATACATTCTGAAGGTAGAACTGACACAATTACTGACAGATTGGATGTGGGGTATGAGAGAAAGGGAAAGTAAAAAAGAATCGCAAGGTTCTTCGCTTGAGCAATTGGTGATTGGAAGGATAGAACTGTCATTTATTGAGATGTCCCAAACTTGGAAAAGCAGGTTTGGGAGATACATTTGCCATTTGGCATCAAGAGGAAATCTAAACACTGAAGTTGAGAATATAACCTTCTGAAATTGCAAGAAAATTATCTAATATAATAATCATTTATTTGGTAATAAAGATGATGCAATAAACTTTCCAATAAAACACAATAATAAAATACTTAACATATAAGTATTTCCTTTGCTGAAAAGTTTCAAATTTTTAGGCATTTCAAAGATCATTTGAAATCTATGTTTTATAAATGTTCAAATGTTATGTCTATGTTTTAAAATTATAAAATGTTCAATCTATGTTTTTAAATGTTTTATAAATGTCACCCACCTTATTTTCTAAATGAAGAAAGTAAGGCCCAGAAAAGCTAAATGACTAGCCTAAAGCCACACAGCTAGTGTAATCACAAACATAGGTAAAATCTATGTTTTATATATGTTATTTATTTTGACACTGCTAACCAGTTATAGAAAGACTAGTTATGTCCTTTCACAGAAAAAAAAAATCAGATCATATCTGTGCCAGTAACTCTCTTACCATTTCGTAAGCAACTGTAGAAGCTTGACATATTTAAAATGTCATTCCCAGCACCTCTCATCTTATTATGTATACTTTCCATTCTGAAAGAACTGTTAGAAAAAAGATTGACAGCATATTACTAAAAAGCATGAAAAATTATTTGAGGAAATAAATCAAAGATATGGGTACATGACCACTTTAGCAAATTTGGAAATTGAATACAAATTATTTTTAGCAATATCTTTCACATCAATTTCTCTTGTGAATCTGATTTCCTCACTTTGCTCCCACCTAAAATCTTATTTATTTATTTTTTTAGGCTCCCACCTAAAATCTTAATCCCAATTGACCTGCACATCTTAGTTTGCCAGAATTATCTGTGAACTATGTTTACAAGACAGGCTTTGCTATTTTAGGTTACATGATTACTGACTAATGCAACAAATTTAAAAAACCCAATATGTTCACATCTGTCAAAGAATTATCCTCAGGTATCATTGGAGCCTTATGAAGGCAGGTTTTACCCTAGGCCAGTGTTCTAATCATAGGAATCTTCCGAAACTGCCAGGGATGTTCTGATAAGTAGGCAGGTGTTGCCTTAAAATATAGTTAAATCATGTGCCCAGGTGTTAAGCACACAAGGATTTCTCAACCTTCACAACCACAGTAAAATCTTTGTGAAATGGTCACATTTGTTGGAAGGATTTGGTGTGACAAATCCAATATACATGATTTTGATTTCTCAAAAAATAATATCTGGGCTCTGACAGCAGATCAAATCTTGAGTGGCTGCAGTAGAGAAGCAGTCTCTAATCCTGACACCTTCATTCTATAATTTGTTTCAATGAAGAATTCTTTAAAGAGTCAACCAACGTGTGACAACATTTGAAAGGCTATTTAATGAAAGGCGTACCAAAAGTCCATAAGCTTCCCTAAAGTGCACCAGACATCAGACACATCATTTCCATCCTGTAATCTGTACCAGGAATAAACTTAGAATGAAAACCTCTGGCAAACAACTAAGTCCCTCATCTGCTCTGTGGGATCATGATTAGACCAATAAATCAAACTGGTTACCAGCCTAAGCTTTTAAGAATTTGACAATCACCTACACCACCCACCTCATTTTGTAAATGAGGAAAGTAAGGCCCAGAAAAGCAAAGTGACTAGCCCAAAGCCACACAGCTAGTGTAATCTCAACACTCAAAAGCAACAGTTATTACTAAACTGTACTATGTATAAATGAATCACTAAATAGCCTCTTCTATTTTATTCTATTTTAATATGCCAAAATATAAAATAAATGGTAAAATTTGAGGTATGAAATTTTCAAAGTTTTCCTTCTCTGACGATATAAAAATATATCATCATAAGCATTTACTTAAATGTTTTTGCTCATACTTGATTCACACCATGTATAATGGATTTCAAGACGTATATGTGTCTATGTATGTATATGTGTATGTATGTATGTATGTATCTATCTATCAACTCATTCAACATCCCACACTATGTCTTTCCTGGCACATATTATGAGAACATTGAATATTTGTTGAGTTAATGAATTTTAAATCATATAGATTTATTGCCAAATTATACTCTAATCCCAAACAATTAAAAGGGAGATTTTCTTAAATGTTTTTTAAACCAGAAATTGTTGCATACTTACCCCCCACTGGAAAGAAGGAAGGAATGTTAAAGAGCTAAATATAGCAAATAATGATATATATTTTTAATGTCATAATCTAGTATAGTCAAAATCTCTAGGTATGTCTTACCTGCCAACTCTACATGCCAATTCTAAAGGCATGTTAACTAATTTATTAACTAAAAATAGTCTGCTCAACAAATAAACTATAGTATCTGACTCTCGCAAAGAATCACAATTATTTTCCAATCCTCTTGGAATTCCAACCTGATTTGGAAGAGTGGCTGTGTATTTATCTGACAAGTCCAAAACTTTCCTGGAAAATAAATTTACTCCTGAATAGTCTTTTATCATTCCACTATTGCATAAATCCCAACCTGGCAACATCAGTGAGAAATTATCTTCATTCAAAGAAATTCCCAAAGAAATAGGACCCTGAAGCTTTAAAATATTGAGGTGCTTAATGCAAAGATAATCTAAATCTTTATCCACTCCCCATGGCAAAAGGCAAGACAGAAACAATTTTGCTGTGTCTATTGTGAGACTGGCATCTACTTTTCTTGATGGCTTAGGCTGCATTTTTTTGGAGATCTTCATTTTCTTCTGCCTTTTAATGCCATCATTTTCTTCTGAGAATTTGATGGTATTATCTCCTTGGGCCAGGCTTTCAGTAATAGGCTTGGCTAGTGCCTCTGCTGAAAGAGGACCACAGGCAGTTTTACTTTTTCTCAGTGTCAGTGTCTTCTTCTCCACTGTGCTCTTGGCTCTTCTCAGGACCTCACCACCATAGAATGAACTGGAAGAGTCAACATCACTGAGTGGAGTTGGTAGCAAAAGTTCAACAAGGTTTTCCAGATCAAATAGAAGAATATGAAAGCCAACGTTACTCCATTTTGTCTTCACAGGCAAGACATTAAAAGGTCTTGGGCAAAATTTGGCATCAGTAACCTAAGGGAACAAAAAATATTTGTGTCAAAGTTCTTGCTTATTATTTTATTAAAGATTCCATGATGTTAAAGTGGCATTTTTAAAAAGTATTACATTGCAGAGCAGCTAAAGGCAAGTCATTTCAATTTTTTTGTCTTAGCTATAAAAATTCATTTCTAAATTAAATATTCTATATTCTAACATTCTTTGAAGACTTCTTTTCTTTTTTCCTAAGTTTTATTTTTCCTCTAAATAAATATGAATTATGTCTCTGGAGTAAGATGGCACTAGATTAACATCCTTTAATATAGACTCTCATATCTTTCTACTATTATTGTCATAAAGACATACAAGGACAAGGTAGGTTTGAAAACTGAGGAGAACAAATGTAAGAACGCATGCAAAAATTTATTAAGTATTTTAACAAAAATGGTGCTTCCAAATTTGTTAAAATTGGAAGTAATTTAAATGTTAACCAATGTCATATTGCTCTAAGAAAAACTCAAAAAACTCACCTTGTTGACTTGCATTTGATTTTGCCCCAAAGGCTGGCACAGTGGGTTCCCATACTTAAATTATGTTCTTGCTAATTTATGAGGCATTCCTTGAATACTCTATTCCCTCATATCAACCCATTACTCTCTATAATCTTCCTTGCTTTTTTTCTTCTTTCTAGAACTTAGGATTTCCTTACAGAATATGAAAAATTTATTTCTTTATTGTATGTTTCCTCCACTAGCATTCAAGCCACACCTTTGCAGGAATTTTGTATGTTAGTTGCTTCCAGTGCCTACAAAACAATGCTTCTATACAGCATTATCAAGAGACTCAATTAATGTTTGTTGAATTAATAATTAGCAAATTTATACAATGGAACACCATTTAAATAATTTAAAATGGTGGTGTAAATTATATCGATCGGTGAAAAACATGTTATTAGGCAGACAAAATAATTCTCCTTTTGTAAAATTTTACGTACAAATATATAGGTATTTAAAAATTTGACACATATCTCTATCTACATTTGTATATATAAATATACATATATAGGGAACATGTAAATACAAATAAATGAATAAAGTCACAAAGGATATGAACCAAAATGTTAACAATAGTTAACATTTAATTGGGAAGAAGGAATTAATTGGGAAGCAGAAATTAAAATGATCTTTATACTATGGTGTGTTGTGTTTTTGGTTTGGTTTTCTGAAATTTTTTTACAGTGATGATATATTTAATTTTCAATAATAAAAAAGGAAAGTTTAAAAAGAAAACCATTACAAATTATAAATGGTAAAAAATGAAATGGAGAACAAATTATAAGAGCAAATTTGTCAAATAAGGGTTAATATAATTATTAATAAATAATTTTTGCAAATCAATAAGAAGAGGCTCTTACAGATGGATGAATGGGCAAAGATAATAACAATTCACAAAACAAATATTCAAAAGTTACAATATGAAAAATTTTTACTACAAGTAGTAACCAGAAAAATGAAATTAAAATAATACCATTCATTGGCCTATTAATTTCACCATTATGTTCATCAAAGCAGCCAGACATAAAAGAATTAGCTGTATGTAATTCCATCCCCGTTATTTTCAAAAGACAGGAGAAAACAAAACAATAGGGTTTAAGGATACCTTCATAAACAATAAATCTACAAAGATAGTGGCTACCTTTTGAGGACTGGGAGGTATAGTTTCTGGGGTGCTCACATGTTTTATTTCTGGATCTATGTGGTGATTATGAAGGTGTGTGCTTTATGACAATTCATTGAGCTGTACATTTTTGTGCTGTGTTGTTTACTTTTTTCTATACGTGTTATACATTTCATGGTAAATAAATAATGTAAATGAACTGTTTAAGGAATATTAACAAAGTGCCTCCATTTGGACTAAAAAGTAGAATATGCCCTGATTTTTTTTACCCCTGCATACTGTCAGAAAGTAACCAATATTTGAATTTCATGCTTATAATTTCTTTGCTTTCATTTAGTGTCTTAACCTTAAATATGTATTCCTATTTGACCTACTTAATTTTGCATGTTTTTGCATGTTTGCCAAACTCCAGATTACATCTCCCACTTATTTAGACCATGTTTAATTTCTTTTGATAGTTTTATAATCACTCAAAAATATGTTTATATTACTTGCCTATCAGTTATTTAGCTCTGCAGTACCTATAACTATGGGCCTCTTAAAATTTATTACTTTTATTGCCTCTGTTTTTTCCTGCTAGAATTTTGTCAATTTTGATACTCTTTTTAAAGCATCAACTTTTGACTTTGGTTATCCTCTCAATGGAATAATGTTTTTCTCAAAAGGTAGTCTTGTGTTAGCTTGACTTATTTTCTCCCAGTATTCGTGAAGAAGGGATTATTCTGCAGTCTCTGGCTTCCTCTGATGCAGTTGAGAAGTCAGCTGCTAGTCTGTCACACCATCTGTCTTTTCTCTCTGCTGTTTGATGAGATCCTTTTGGCTTTAATATTCCACTGCCTCGCTGTGATTCTTCTAGGTGTGGATGTTTTCCCCCAGTCCTCCACTGTATCTGAGCCTCCCCATCTTTCATTAACTTTGTGAAGTTGTTGGGCTTATCCCTTTGAATATTTTCTCTTACCATCCCATTATCCCCTTATGGGACTCTGATCAGGTATTTGCCAAAGGCTGTATCCCCTTACACGTTTTTCAACTCTTTTGTCTTTCTGTACCTCATGTGGGGCAATCCCTTCAAAATTTTTCTTTTAGTTTGCCAGTTGTCTTCTCACCTGTGTTTAATATGTTCCTTAAATTGCCCATTGAGTTCCTAATTTTGATTTTTACATTTTTCATTGCCAGATCTTCTATTTGGTTCTTCTAAAAAAACAAAATGGTCATTTTTATAGACAGCTATTTCTTACTCATATTTTAAAATAATTCTTTTATTTTTAAACCTACTTATTATACTTTGCATCTGTAATTAAAGTTTCTAAAATCTTTGTGGATATGGCTCTGCTTTTTTATTTTGCCAACATTTTCCTGTTTCCTTGTATGCTTTATAATTGTGTGTGTGTGTGTGTGTGTGTGTGTGTATGAAATGTGATCAGTGAGAATCCTTTGAGATATATGTGACAGTGCACTCTTTAAGAGAGGATTTTAGTTTGTGAATACCAGGTATCCAGGGGTACTACCAAATAGGGCCCTCTTTAAACAAAATTTTCAGCTTCAAAAGTTTTCATTCCTTGAAGGTGGTGTGAATTCTGACTCAAGATTATGGTTATTAATACTTAAGCAAAAGTACTTTCCCCCCTCCATCTAGGGCTGAGACCAACAAAGACAAATATTTTTATTCTCTTCTTGTGTGAAAAATATTGCTCATCTTGGTTGGCTTTCTCACTGAATACGCATCTCTTAGAGGACAATGAGCTTATGCTGTGGTATCCCATCCGACTTCCTATCACTGCACTGGACCTGGAAATTCTCTCTTTTAACCTTTATAGTGGTTTAAACTAAAGCTAAACGTACCCGAGGATTAGCAAATGCTCTTTCAGCCTTCTCCAACCTGTCTGGAATTGTGCTCTCGTTTTGCTTTTTACCTCTAAGAATTTCTGTAAATTTCTTGTTAATTCTAATATGCATTATTTTCAAAGATAAATTTTAAAATAGCTTACTCTTTATTTGTAGAGAAATGAACAGGACTGATGTTCAGACTATTAGCCAACAAACAGGTAAACATTGGATTTGCAAATACCATTGAAAATTGAATATTCAGTTTTGATAATGGGGGGAGTAAATGGGCATTCTTATACACTGCAAGATTAGTGTAAGTTGGCACTTATTTTATGGAAGGCAATTTGGCAACATGTATCAATAATCTTAAAATGTTACAAACTCTTTAATGCAGAAATTATTTTAAAAATAATTCCTAAAGGTATGATTATAAATATGCACAAAATCATATAAAAAATGGTCATTGAGGATTTTGCTGTTTCAATAAGCTGTAAATAACTTAAATGTCCCATACAATAGATTTGGCTGAATATATTATGGCATATATATATGCAAAATACATTATGACATACATACATATGCCAAAAATTCATATATATTGTCAATGGAAAATATTTAAATTTTTAAAAATATAATCCCATTTTCTATAAAATTGCAGATTTCTTAAAATATTTTGATCATATTTATTTTTTAAATTTCTAGAAAAACTTATATTTTACCATACCAAACAAAAAGCTCTTCTAAAAATAGTAATCAAAATGGCCAACCCAGAAATAAACCTAAATACTTACAGCCAACTGATCTTCAACAAAGCAAACAAAAACATAAAGTGGGGAAAGGACACCCTATGCAACAAATGGTGCTGGGATAATTGGCAAGCCACATGAAGGTGAATGAAACTGGATCCTCATCTCTCACCTTAAACAAAAATCAACCCATGATGGATCAAGGACTTCAATCTCAGACCTGAAAATATAAAAATTCTAGAAGATAACATTGGAAAAACTCTTCTAGACATCAGCCTAGGCAAGGATTTCATGACCAAGAACCCAAAAGCAAATGCAATAAAAACAAAGATTAAACAGCTGGGACTTAATTAAACTAAAGAGCTTTTGCATGGCAAAAGGAACAGTCAGCAGAGTAAACAGATAACCCATAGAGTGGGAGAAAATCTTTACAATCTATATGTCTAACAAAGGACTGATATCCAGAATCTACAATGAACTCAAACAAATTAGCAAGAAAAATACAAACAATTCCATCAAAAACTGGGATAAGAACATGAATAGAAAATTATCAAAAGAAGATATAAAAATTGCCAACAAACATATAAAAAATGCTCAACATCACTAATGATCAGGATAATTCAAATCAAAACCACAATGCAATACCACCTTACTCTTGCAAGAATGGCCATAATAAAAAAATAATAGATGTTGGCTTGGATGTGGTAAACAGGGAGTGCTTCTACACTGCTGGTGGGAATGTAAACTAGCACAACCACTGTGGAAAACGGTGTGGAGAATTCCTTAAAGAACTAAAAGTAGAACTACTATTTGATCCAGCAATCCCACTACTGGGTATGCACCCAGAGGAAAATAAGTCATTATATGAAAAAAATACTTGCACAACTATGTTTATAGCAGTACAGTTCTCAATTGCAAAAACGTGGAACCAACCCAAATGCTCATCCATCAATGAGTGGATAAAGAAACTGTGATATATATATATATATATATATATATATGATAGAGTACTACTCAGCTGTAAAAAGGAATATGACCTGGATGAGATTGGAGACTATTATTCTAAGTGAAGTATCTCAGGAATGGAAAATCAAGCATCATATGTTTTCACTTATAAATGAGAGCTAAGCTGTGAGAATGCAAAGGCATAAGAATGACACAATAAACTTTGGGGACACAGGGGGAAAAGGTGGGAAGGGGATGACGAATAAAAGACTACAAGTGTGTGCAGCGTATAGCTCTTGGGTGATGGGTGCAACAGAATCTCACAAATCACCACTAAAGCATTTAATCATGTCATCAAACACCACCTGTTCCCCAATAACCTATGGAAATAAACATTTTTTAAAAAAAGAAACTATCATCAGCGTGAAGAGACAACCTATAGAATGGGAGAAAGTTTTTGCAATCTATGCATCTGACAAAGCCCTAATATCCAGAATCTACAAGGAACTTAAACAAATTTACAAGAAAAAAACAAACAACCCCATTAAAATGTGGGCAAAAGAACAAGAACAGACATTTCTCAACAGAAGACATTCGTGTGGTCAATAAACATATGAAAAAAGCTCATAATCACTGATCATTAGAGAAATGCAAATCAAAACAGCAATGAGATACCATCTCATGCCATTCAGAATGGTGATTATTAAAAAGTCAAGAAACAACAGATAATAGCAGGGCGTTAGAAAAATAGGAACAGCTTTTACACTATTGGTGGACATGTAAATTAGTTCAACCACTGAGGAAGACACTGTAGCGATTCCTCGAAGACCTAGAACCAGAAATACTATTCGACCCAGCAATCCCATTACTGGGTATATACCCATAGGAATATAAATCATTCTATTATAAAGATACATGCAAGTGTTATGTTCATTGCAGCACTAGTCACAATAGCAAAGATATGGAATCAACCCAAAAGCCCATCAATGATAGACTGGATAAGGAGAAAGTGGTACATATATACCATGGAATACTACACAGCCATAAAAAAGAATGAGATGTGTCTTTTACAGGGACAATGGATGGAGCTGCAAGCCATTATCCTCAGCAAAATAATGGGAAAGAAAAAACAAACACCCCATGTCCTAATTTATAAGTGGGAGCTGAACAACGAGAACACATGGACACAGGAGGGGAAAACACACACAGTGGGGGCAGTCTGAGGAGGGAGCAGGGGGAGGGAGAGCATCAGGATAAATAGTTAATGCATGCTGGCCTTAATACCTAGGTGATGGGTTTCTACAGGCACAGCAAATCACCATGGCACACGTTTACCTATGTAACAAACCTGTACATCCTGCATATGTATCCCAGAACTAAACTAAACTAAACTAAACTAAAATAAAGGGCCCTAGGGGAAAAAAGAAAATGTCAACAATAGATATGACTAGCCAAATATTTTTAACATGTACTACCCTCCCCGCAAAACAGCTGCATTGATCAAATTAAACTTAAAAGCATAAGAACAAAATTCACAAGATCAATAATCAAAGGCTAATATTTTAGGCATATAAAGAACTCACATAAATTAATTTGTAAAATACTCATACCATCACAAGAGATAAACAAAGAGATAAAAATATTGTAGAGAGAAATAGTTTGTAAATCATTAGTCTCAAAAAAGTGTAAAATATTGTATACTATACGGGTTTTGATTTCTTAATTAACTAACTCTTTTTTTTCAACTTTTATTTTAGATTCAGGGGCTACATCTGCAGATTTGTGGTTTGGGATATGATTGATCCCAACACCCAGGTACTGAGCATAGTACCCAATAGTTGGTTTTTCAACCCACAGTCCTCTTCTTTCCTTTTCCATTTAGTAGTCCCCAGTGGCTATTGTTGTCATCTTTATGTTCATGAGTACTCATTGTTTAGCTTCCATTGATAAGTGAGAACATGCAGTATTTGACTTTCTGTTCCTGTGTTAATTAACTTAGGATAATGACCTCCAGCTGCATCCATGTTGCTACTAAGAACATGATTTCATTCTTTTTTATGGCTAAATAGCATTATATTATATATATATATATACACACATACACATACACATACACACACACATATATATCACACTTTCTCTATCCAATCCATTGTTGATGCGCACCTAGGTTGATTCCATATCTTTGCTATTGTGAATAGTGCTGCAATGAACATACAAGATCACGTGTCTTTTTGGTAGAACTTTATTTTCTTTCCCAGTAATGGGATTGCTGGGTCAAATGGTAGTTCTTTTTTAAATTCTTTGAGAAATCTCCACACTGCCTTCCACAGTAGGTGAACTAATTTACATTCCCACCAAGTATAAGTATACACTGTATACATTCCCACTTACAAATATACACTGTATAAGTATTCCCTGTTTTCTGTGGCCTCACCAGCATCCATTGTTTTTTGATGTTTAATCATAGCCATCCTGACTGGCATGAGATGGTAACTCATTGTCGTTTAGAGTTGCATTTCTATGATAACTAGTGATGTTGAGCATCTTTTCATATGTTTCTTGGCCACTTGTATGTCTTCTTTTGAGAAGTGTATGCTCACGACTTTTCCCATTTTTAATGGAGTTATTTTTTGCTTGTTCAATTAAGTTCCCTATAGATTCTGGCTATAAGACATTTGTTGGGTGCATTGCAAATATGAGAAGACCTCTGAAGTGATGGCTAGAAGAAGGGTAAGAAGGTATGCATATAGCGTGAACTGAGAAAATTTCAGAATGGCTGAAAGGTAGAATACGGGAAGGTAGAGAATGAGCTACACAGAAGAGATGAGGGCCAGGTTACATAGATCCGTATAAACTCTACTGACTACTAAATGCATTCTAAGAATAGTTATAAGTCTTCAAGGGGTATTTAAGAAAAGAAGTCATCTACTCACAAACTATAGCTGTGGTTTCTTCTGGATTACTGGTTAATCAAGCTGGCTGAAGGCAGAGTTCTGCCCTCCTATGCACTTCCACTTCCTCAAAGCTATAATCTCTGTCTCAGCACCTAGATCTCCTCAACTTCTGGGCCAATCAAAATCACAGCAATGATTCGAGCAATATTTCTTGTTCTCCTCTTATTATTTTGTGGTCCACACAGCCACAATAGGCCTAGTGCACTGCCATAAGCAAAAATCCTAAATTTGTGTTCCTAAATATGGTCACCTTATCAAAGAAGCAACTGAATATTTTACATTATTTTAAAATCATAAATGTTATTCCAAATTTAATTAACATACAACAGAGTTGGCTTCCATTTGAAAACAAGTCCATTAGAATATAAGTATAAATTGTTGCTATGTTTTAATGTATTAAAATTATTAAACATAATTCCAGCTAGTCATCACTGTTTGAAACTTTAGGAAGTGTATGCTAAAAGTCTTATTAACAAAGGGCCTTGAAAACATAATGACTATCATTTTGGATATAAGTAACACAGAAAAATGACAGTAAATGCCCATAATATATATTTTCTGAGTTTTCACATTTTATAGATTGGGCAGACACAATATTCAGTAATGTTTAGCAAAGGCTGTAGTTAATATTAACTTTATTTTTATGTTACCTATATGCAATATATTTCACAGACAAAAAGTCTATTAAAAGTAGCATGCTAAAAGCAAAAATACAAATATAATTATGTTAATTTTAGGATGATAAAATATATCTAAAACATCATTCTAACGGAAGTGTCTTGGAAACATTCATTAATCTGACTGCAATTTTTAAAAGTCTAGAACAAGTAATTAAAAGCAAGAAGTATTTCATCCCATCTATGCCACTGCAAAAATGTGAGGAGTAAATACAAATTTTAAGTGATTGGTTTACATGTTGTTTATAAAACACTATCTGATTGCCTGACAGATAATTCCCCAACATGTGATTTCCAGGTATTGCATCATAGACAAGGTCCTGGTATTTTCCTCAAAAATCATCACTTTTACTACTACTCTCTGAAATCCCAGGTTGAGAAAAGAGAGAAGGTATTGTTTACAATTGGTAAAGCAAGAGGGTGGCACTAAAGAACAATCCATTCCAACCTCTGAACTTTGGAGAGTTTGGGAGTAAAATAATGCTGATACATCTACATGTGAATGCTATAAACAGCAGGTGGGGAGTAGGCAAAGGCACACAGGGTTGAATTCTTTGTCTGGAGTACAAAGACTTTGGGAAAAGATACTGAGTCTGAAAGTCTGCAAGTAGAATCCCAGATGGCTGGCAGGCCAAAATTATTCCTCTACTACCCACAAGAGCCCAGAATAATTAAAACCAACGCCAATGACACGAAATGCAAACTGTAAGCAATCCAAAGTACATATAAAAAGGAAAAACAGAAAGGACCAACTGTTCAGACAAAAAAAAAAAAATGTAATAGGTGTGAAAGTACAAGTCTAACACTTTTATCTGAAGAACAAAGAAGTGTACTGATTTATTTTCTTTTTCCTTCAGCCTACTATGTTCTTCTTCCTTTTCTCCCTGATTCAGAAAAACAAAATGCTTAAACAAGACTGGTTTTACTCCTGGCTTTTGAAGGTAGAAACGTACTTTCTAGCAACATGTTCTGATAACTTCTTTCTCAAAACATTTTGGATCCCCCACTGAGTTTGTTGTGAAAAAATTTGACCTGCCCAAGCTACTGTTACCGGGGGTCCTTGCTCCCAAAGCTCCCAAGATGGTGGTGGGCAGCTTCCAAAATAGCGGCAGGCCACTTCCAAGATGGTGGCAAGCCTCGTGTTCTCTGACCTGGGGTTCTAGGCCTTATGGATTACAAGGAATGGAATCTTGGGCCACGCGATGAGTGTTATAGCTCTATCAGAAGCCGTGGGTCACGGAAGAGAACCGTGGGACCCAGTGACTAGTGTTCAGCTCAATTAGGATGAACCAGGCACTTAGCCAGGCAGGAAAAATGACAAGCCTTTAGCCTGATTGGGAGCAGCAACGGGCACCTTGCTGGATCAGGAGCACAGCGGACACCCTGCCGGATCCAAGGGATGGAAGTCAGCGGCAGGTCTGCGAGGCGGCAAAGAACAGTGGTGGACGGCGAGCCAAAGCTCAGCTCCAGCCGTAACAAACACGGACCAGAAGAGTGCAGCTGCAAGATTTAACAGAGTGAAAACAGAGTTCCCATACAAAGGGAGAGGACCCAAAGGGGGTTGCAGTTGCTGGGCTCAAATGCCTGGGTTTCTATCCCGATCTTTGTCCTTCCCGCTGTGCTCTCAGGCAACAGATGATTGGCTATTTCTTCACCTCCTGTTGTTGCCTAATTAGCATTTTAATGAGCTCTCCTTACTATCTGATTGGTCGGGTGTGAGCTAAGTTGCAAGCTCCATGTTTAAAGGTGGAAGTGGTCACCATCCCAGCTAGGCTTAGGGATTCTTAGTTGGCCTAGGAAATCCAGCTAGTCCCATCTCTCACTACTACAACCATAAAATAGATTGGGTAACACTGATGCTTAAATCTGCCCTCATCTTCTCACTTTTGTCACTTCGTACAGTAACACTTAATATAAATATTTAAATACAAAGTTAGGAAATATAGGCAGCAGCTGCTAAAACATTTTAGATATTTCCTTATATTCCTGAATGAAGAATTTAGAAATTGTCTGATTTGACTCTTTCTCCTCACACTAAGGAAAAATGAGAGAGAGAAGGGAAATGACTTGTTCTAAGTTACCCATCTGGCAAATAGCCCAACCAAGATTCCCAAGTCTGTTTCTCCTAAGATGACATTATCCACTTAGATTCTTCAAAGAATGAAATAATATTTTTTATTTATTATTTTTAAAAGATACAAGGGTCTTCATTAGCTAAACATTCATTTTACAATACACCACAGTCACTGAGCTGTATAAGGAAGGAAAAGTCGTCATCATGTGAAAACATTCACTAATGAACTAGTCACATATAAAATTAGTACGTAAACACTCCTTGCCTTATAACATAAAGACCTAGCCCCATCTATTAGACTTGGACTGGTTATCTGATGATGCAATTCAATTGTAGAGTAGATAGCAAATACTGTTAAAGATGCAGGATTACACTAACAGTGATAGCAGAACTCTGAGTCATAACCAATGCCATTGACAAAAAACGATGTAGCAGAGAAAACCAGATAACTTGAGAAAACTAACTCAGAAGCTTCAAATGAAAAATGTTTTAATGTAAAGTGTATAAGTTAGGCCTGTGGAAAGCTTGATTATCTTTCAAATTCTTTTCTAGAACAAAACTCCTTAATATTCTTATTGAAATTCAAACATGAAATAAAGGATGACATATTGTGAACCATACTAAAAACATTTAATTAGAAAAAAAACACACAAAACTCACTTGATTCATTATATAGTCATTTAAAAAATTAGTGCCTAATTGCAATCATAAATCTATGTTTTTCTCAATATAAATAAGCTATACTATTTTACATGTTTAATTTCATTTTTAAGTTAAAAATAAAATACTTTTTAAAATCTCCTTAATAGTTCTCCACTCAGCTAACTCATCAGATTAATCTATGCTCTCCAATCTCTCTGACCACCAGTATACCACTTTCTACTTTCTGCCTTCTACTCATAGCAACTGAGATACTTACTTTCTGGTAATTTTAATTCTCTTTGTTCTCAACCTTCTTTTCCCAGTTGTGCTTATCACATTAATTACATATTTTAATAAGCTATGTACAATTGAAGAATTCTGTGTATATAATTTAGTTCCTAAGAAAACAAAGTTTAGTAATCTGAAAGACCCTATGGAATCTGCATTCTAGTTAATCTTCAAGTTTCTAAATTACTTCTACATTTTAAGTAAATAAAAACTATAAGTCACAGCTGAAGCATTAGAAGTGTAGTTAATGCAAAGAAAAAAATTATGAAATTTAAACTATGAATCTATACTCAAGGGAAAGTACCTCCATCAAAAGGTTTATAACAATGGAAGTTTTTCAAGTGAGAGATGGCACAGATGATATTAAAAAAAAGTTGACACCCATGTATTGAATACTATATTACTGAGAAATTATTTAATGATTAGCCGGCATCATAAGTTTGACAGGAAAAGATAGTGTGATTTCTTGATGCGGAAAATTTTCTGAGAAACAAGTCTACAATGTAGATAAATTTATAACCTAACTTATAAGAAGTTAACTTTAAAACTTATGCCATAAAAAGGTAGAGAATATGGTACTTAGATACAAAAAGAAATTACAGTAGATGCTTACATCTTTGCTGTTAAAAATTTCAAATAACTAAATTTGTGTTATGACAAATTAACAAATTCTAAATATTTTGAAAATACTAGTTGATTTCTAGTCAAGATGGCAAAGTTTGGACTTTGAAGTAAACTAAATTTTTTAAATTCATACCAACAATAGATTTTTTTTAATTAAAAAAAAACTTAAAATGTTTAGCTAAGCTCAAAAACAAAATAAACAGCTTGGAAGACCACAAACGGGAAGAAACACAAAGTGCTAAGTGAAGTTAAAGTCACAGGCCTGCTTACCAACAAGTCTATAAGCAGATAATAAGGCTTTAGAGTCAACTTCTGAGGCTAAATGTCAGGCCATTGGCGGGTGGACAACCTAGAAAAATCCTAATCTAACTTTTAACTCAATCAACCCATCAGCTAGTTCACTGATTAGACAGACATACACCGAATATTAATGCAGTCCAGGTACCATTCTAGACTAAAGGCCTTGACAAGGTATGCAGACACCTACCTAAAACCAACAGACAATATCAGCTGAGGAGAGAGACAGCGAGAGAGAGAGAGAGAGAGAGTGAGAGAGAGAGAGAGAGACATAAAATACAGCAAAACAAAAAACCCAAGAGAAAAAATTTTTCTCTAGAAATGAGCTTGCAAACCAAACTTCTATAACACAGGGAAACTAATACTCAGAAAGATAGCTACAAATATAAAAGCTGAAACATATATTAACTCCAGATAAAATCAGTGCCACAGAAGGGACTGAAAATGTATTATTTATGACTATCAAAGAGAAATCAGAGGAATGACATTCATAAAAATGACCACGAAGTTATGGAAGAAAAAAAAAGTAAAAATAAAATGAATAAAAGAGAAAGAAAGTTTTTAGAAATATTAGGAAAAGTATAATAATTATATTAAAAAATATAGCAGGGGCAGAACTTCTAGGTTAATTAAGTTAGGTCCACTGAAAATATGCTCCTTCAAAAAGGCAAAAAGATCTTGAGAAATAACCAAAGCTTTGTGACAAGGATCTTTTCTTCCCTAGTAAAATGGCTGGATGTGAGTAAAAACAGTGAGTGTCCTAGCATTTTAATTTGCCTTATTCTCATTGCCCCTCTCTAGCTCCACAGTCTTGAAAATCAGCAGTTTGGCAATCATGGTAGCTATGAAAACCAGCAGCCTACCAGCCACTGGATCAGGCATATATGTTTGGAGACCCTCAAAAATCCGCATCCCCACAAAATTGGCAATATTTCACCTGCCTCCCAGCTCCCTGAGGAGTCCCATTTACCAACCTTATCATTATTTGGGAAATTTACAAATATGTGCAAATTAAACAATACACTCCTAAATAATTAGTGGGGAAAAATCAAAGTAATGAAAGAGGGGTATCATCACTGATCTTACAAAAGTTTTTAAAAAGATCTCAGAGAAATACTATGAATCTGCCAGCAAATTAGGAAATCAAGATGAAATGGACAAATTTTTAAAAAGACATAAACGACCAAAACTGGCATAAGAAGAAATAGAAAGTGGAACAGACCTATACCAAGTAAAGAAATTGAATTAGTAGTTAAACATCCTTCTATATAGAAAAGACCAGGTCCAGATGACTCCACTGTTAATTTCTACCAAACATTTAAAGTAGAGTTAATACCAGTTCTTGATAAATATGTCCAAAAAAATAGAAGTGGTGCGAGAACACTTCCCAAATCTCTCTAAGAGGCCAGTATTACCCTGATACTGAAACCAGACAGAGATATCACAAGATAAGAAAAGTACAGACCAATAACCCTTATAACTATAGACACAAAAATCCTCAAGAAAATATTCACAAAGCAAATCTACCAAAACCTAAAAATAATTTTACACCATGAACAACTAGAATTTATCCCACATATAGAGTTGACTTAATACACAAAAATCCATTAACATAACGTATCATATTAATAGAATAAAAAACAAAACACATGATTATCCTAATAGATGCACAAAAAGCATTTGAAAAAATCAAACACAATTTCATAATAAAAAACACCCAAGAAACTAGGAATAGAAAAGAACTTCTGCAATCTGATAGAGGGTATCTGTGGAAAATCCACACCTAACATAATACTTATGGTGAAAAACCAAATGCTTTCCTCGTAAGGTCAGGAACAGGACAAGTATGTCCTTTCTTGTTAGTTCTATTTAACATTGTACTAGACGTCCTGGACGGGGTGATTAAGAAAGAAAAATAAGTAAGAGGCATCCAGATTAGAAAGAAGGAAGTAAAACTGTCTATATTTGCAGATTACATAATATTGTATATAGAAAACACTAAGGTATCCACAAAAAAAACCTATTTGAACTAATAAATGAGTTTAGCAAGGTTGTAGTACACAATATCAATATAGAAAATTGATATTTTTTGGATCTGTGTTCCTGCCCAAATCTCATGTTGAAGTATAATCCCCAATGCTGGAGGTGGTGCCTGGTGAGAACTGATTGGATCACGGGGGCAGTTTCTAATAGTTTAGCACCATCCCCCTCTCCTTGGTACTACATAGTGATTGAGTTCTCATGAGATCTGGTCGTATAAAAAGTGTGTGGCATTCCCCCTCCCTCGCTCCTTCTCCAGCCACATGTAAAGCAGTCCTGCTTTCCCTTTGCCTTCTACCATAATTGTAAGTTTCCTGAGGCCTATTCAGAAGCAGAAGCCACTATGCTTCCTGTAGAGCCTGCAGAACTGTAAACCAATTAAACCTCCTTTCTTTATAAATTACCCAGTCTCAGGTGTTTCTTTATAGCAGTGCAAGAACTAACACAGAAAATTGTCACTGAGGAGTGGAGCATTGCTGCAAAGATACCTGAAAATGTGAAAGCAGCTTTGGAATTGGGTAATGGGCAGAGGTTGAAAGAGTATGGAGGCCTCAGAAGAAGACAGGAAGATGAGGGAAAATTTAGAATTTCCCAGAAATTGTTAAATGTTTGTGACCAAAATGCTGACAGTGATATGGACGGTGAAGGCCAGGCTGAGGAGGTTTCAAATGGAAATGGGGAACTTATTGGGAACTGGAGTAAAGGTCACTTTGTTATGCTTTAGCAAAGAGGGTGGCTGTATTGTGGGTTTGCTCTAGGGATCTGTGGGACTTTGAACTTGAGAGTGATGATTTACAGTACCTGGTGGAAGAAAGTTCTAAGGATTGAAGCACTGAAGATGTGACTTGGCTGCTTCTAAAAGCCTATCTCATATGAGCAAAGAGAAGTAGAGAAAAGAAATGACCTGAAATTGGAACTTATATGTAAAAGAGAAGTAGAGCATATAAGTGTGGAAAATCTGCAGCCCAGCCATGTGGTAGAAATGAAAGGCCCATTTTTCAGGGGAAGAATTCAAGCAGGCTGCACAAATTTGCATAAGTAAAGAGGAGGCAAGTACTAATAACCAAGACAATGAGGAGAAGTCTTCTAAGACATTTTAGGAAGCTTCATGGCAACCTCTCCTCATCACAAGCCCAGATGCCTGTAAGGACTAAATGGTTTCCTGGGCCAGGACCAGGGCCCACTGTCCTGAGTAGCCTCAGGACACTGCTCCTTGCATCCCTGCTACTCCAGCACCAGTTGTGGCTCAAAGGGGCCAAGATATAGCTTGGGCCACTGCTTCAGAGCGTGCAAGTGGTAAGCTTTGGCAGTTTCCATGTGGTAATAAGCCTGAAGATGTGCAGAATGCAAGAGTTGAGGCTTAGGAGCCTCTGCCTAGATCTCAGAGGCCATATGGAAACACCTGGATGTCCAAGCAGAAGTCTGCCGCAGGAGTGGAGCCCTCATGAAGAACCTCTACTAGAGCACTGCAGAGGGGAAATGGGGGGTTGAAGCCCCTACATCTAGTCCCCACCTAAGGCACTGCTTAGTGGAGCTATGAGAAGAGGGCCATCATCCTCCAGTCCCCAGAATGGTAGATTCACCAGTAGCTTGCATCCTCAGCCTGGAAAAGCTGCAGGCATTCAACAGCCCATGAGAGCAGCTGTGGGGGCTGAACCCTGGGAAGCCACAGGGGTGAAGCGGCCCATGGTCTTCAGAGCCCACCCCTTGCACCGGTGTGCCCTGGATGTGAGACATGGAGTCAAAGGAGATTATTTTGGAGCTTTAAGATTTAATGACTGCCTTGCTGGGTTTCAGACTTGTATGGGACCCGTAGTCCCTTTCTTCTGACCAATTTTTCCCCTTAGGAATCTGAGTATTTACCCAATGTTTGTACCCCCATTGTATCTTGGAAGTAACTAACATGTTTTTGATATTACAGGCTCATAGGTGAAAGGGAAGAGCCTTGTCTCAGATGAGGCTTTGGCCTTTGGACTTTTGAGTTTATGATGAAACAAGTTAAGACTTTGGGATACTGTTGGGAAGGTGTGATTCTATTTTACAATGTGAGAAGGAGATGATATTTGGGAGGGGCCAGAGGTGGAATGATATGGTTTGAATATGTGTCCCTACTTAAATCTGATGTTGAAATGTAATCCCCAATGCTGGAGGTTGGGCCTAGTGGAAACTGATTGGATCAAGGGGGTGGTTTCTAATAGTTTAGCACCATGCCCCCTTGGTACTGTACAGTGAGTGCATTCTCATGAGATACGGTTGTTTAAAAAGTGTGTGGCATCTCCCCATAACTCTCTCTTCTGCTTCAGCCATGTAAGACGTGCCTACGTCCCCTTCACCTTCTGCCATGATTAAGTTTTCTGAGGCCTCCCCAGAAGCAGCAGCCACTATGCTTCCTGTACAGCCTGCAGAACTGTGAGCCAATTAAATCTTTTCTCTTTATAAATTATCCAGTCTCAGTTATTCCTTTACAGCAGTGAAAAACCAACTAATACAAAAATTCTATTGTAATTCTGGCAATAAACAATCCAAAAATAAAATTAACAAAACAATTCTTCTCTCAATAGCACCACAAAAAAGAAAATGTACCAAGAAATCATGAATATTTATGTATCTAACAGCATAGTCTCTGGATATAATTATAAAGATAAATTGACAAAATTGTAGTCATTGTACTGATTTTAGCACAAGTCTATCTATCAGAAACAGATCACTCAAGGGGATAAAATATTCTATATTAAAAATATGAAATAAAACAGAATTAATAACTTTGGTAAAGCATGTATGTGTAAAAATACTAAAACAACATTACCTGCATTTATGAACTAGAAAGAATACATTATTTTCAAGTTGCTACTGACCCTTGTGTGTACACAAACACAAAC
The DNA here is from genome assembly GCF_000001405.40 of Homo sapiens. NCBI lineage: Eukaryota > Metazoa > Chordata > Mammalia > Primates > Hominidae > Homo > Homo sapiens. The sequence goes on from NC_000015.10 coordinate 53,633,881, forward strand.
GCCCAATATGAACATATGTACCAGTGATATAAAGAATATACATTCTTTATGGCATACATTGAACTTTTTTTAAAGGAACATAAAAATCCTCAATAAATTTAAAAGAAACAGTATCTGCTAAAATCTTCATTCTTATCCATACTGCAATTTAATTTAGAAATCAGTAATAAAAAGTTAAGTTTTGAAAATGATAATGTGCCCTCCTGAGTAATTCATAGTTTAAAAATACATCACAATGTAAGTTATAAAATATTTAAAACTGAGGTCCTCCCTCTTACAATTAAAATAACCTGGACATAAACAACAAAAATAGTCAGTCTCTGGAAGGTAGACAGAAGCCTGCTTAACTAGGAACCTCAGGACCTGAGGAACAAACAACACTACAGTGAATTCCCTGGGTTTTCACCTTGCCTCCCATATATCCCAGAAGAGGTTATGGTGAAACCAGTGACCTCAAACTGCCTGAAGGCATAGGCATGAAAGATCCCAAGAAAAGCCTGTCCCCTCTAACCCAGTGGTGTCAAATCTTTTGGCTTCCCTGGATCACATTGGAAGAAAAATAATTGTCTTGGGCCACACATAAAATATACTAACACTAATGATAGTTGATTAGCTAAAAAAAAATGCAAAAAACTTACAACATTTTAAGAAAGTCTACAAATTTGTTTTGGGCCCCATTCAAAGCTGTCCTGGGCCGCATGCAGCCCATAGGCTGCAGGTTGGACAACTTGATCTAACCAAAGGACTAGGAAAAGGGGGCCCTAGCAGAACAGAAAGTCCTTTAGACAATATTTAACCTACTCCAGTCAGTGCCAAAGGAAAAACTGCTCTTCCCTTACCCTGGTGTTAGTGAGGCCAAGCAGGAGCTCAACCTCTTGTCTCACCAAGGAACAATAAAGCAAAGTAAGTTGACCTTGCACTTTCACAACCAAGGTGGTGCCAGTAGGGCTGAATGGGTAGGGGGACTGAATGGTGGGTAGCTGACTTCCACCCTTAACAGGCAGCAAAGGTAGTAGTGCAAGACAGTGCTATTTGCATTCCACTTTTCCTGTCAGGGAGGTCCAGAGTGGACCTTCTGCTCTCACACAGCAGCAATGAGCCAGAGCAAGGTGGTGTAAGTTGACACTCTGCTTTTGCAGGTATAGAAGCTCTGCTTTTTCCTTCCTCAACTGTGTCACTAAAGTGACTTGAGAAACTGCAGAGGGTGACGATCTTTCAGAAATAATGCTGACTTTAACTTCTTTCCTCCCTACCCTCTGCAAACCAGTGAGAAGCACCTAGGGTAGAACAGTAAGTAGGCCTCATTCAAAGAGATACACATTTATCACCATACCATCCTCCCTGGTGTAGCTCTGATGCCATTTTAACTGAAAAAAGACAAACGTAGGTAGAGAACTTAACAGCTTTTGAAACACAGCTTTTGCCTATATGACTATTGTTTTAATTTAGAAAAACTCAGCTTATGGAGCAAATTGAGGTAGATCCCTTCACTTATGAAAATGATAAATTAATTCAGAATTGGGGCCATTTTTGCCTTGCCATCTATAGCCCTACACACATGTGGATAGAAAAGCTTTGGGAATTCCTATTCTCCTTGGGTGGGAGCTTAAAATTTATTTTCTTAAAAAATCACTACAAGAGTGACTTAGTGGAGTTTCAAATGCTGCTGTTAAGTGGAAACCATTATCTTAAGGAAATTAAAGCTGCAACAGAAAACCAAATACCACATGTCCTCACTTATAAGAGGGAGCTAAACACTGAGCACTCGTGGACATAAAGATGGAAACAACAGACACTGTGGACTACTGGGGGGGATGGAGGGAGATGGGGAAGGGTTGAAAAACTAGCTGTTGGGTACAATTCTTAGTACCTGGGTGACGGGATCATTTATACCCCAAACCTTAGCATCATGCAATATACCCAGGTAGCAAACCTGTGCGTGTACCCCCAAAATCTAAAATAAAAGTTGAAAAATAAAAACAAAATGCTGCTGTTAATAAGACATGCCATTACACCACGGGTTAAAGGGACTTTAGTGAGACAGCCTAGAAACCAAGTACCCTTTATACCATTGTTTCTTAAGGAAAATAACAATCAAAGCTCCAAGCAACCCATTTGCAAGCTGGGAATACGATTCATCCTCATGTTGGGGCTGCTTGCTAATTTTTCTTTTATTGCTTCAGTGCATCCACTGATGCTGCTTGGTTTTATGCTATACTATTTCTTATTCTGTATAAAATTTTAATTAAAGTCTCAAATGCAGTGGTACATATTTCAAATTTTAATGTCTTTGTCAATAAAGGTAAATTTTTTTCTATGCCCATGTCCCAATTAAGTCTGTTTCACAATCAAGATCGAGTTCCAGAAACTGAGCTGAAAATGTCTGAATATCCTAACCTAAGATTTGAGGTTTCCTTTGTCAATCCTAACCTGATCTGCTATGCTAAAACACAATTAATTACAGTATAAGTGGTTGTAAAGACAAAATAAACTTTTAAATTCAACTTTTAAATAAATCTTTAAAATGAATACCCAAACTACAAACTAACTTCACTGAAACTTTTTAAAAATTAAATTAAATTAAATCGGGAGGAACAGATTCTCCCAATTAGATCTGTTACCATATTTTATATAGGTCATACATCACATATACTATCAATAATATTACAAACTATATAAGAAATGTAGCTTTGAGATAAGATAGTTTTAAGTCAACTGTCTATTCTTCATTAGATAATTATACATTGAGAATCTACTATGTAAGAACTCACTATGTCTAAGACTAAGTGCAAGGCAAATTTAGTCATTAATCTTTAGAAAATTCCAATGGAGTACGTCTTGTGGGTTCCAAGATAGGAGGCTATAGACTTAGATAATTCTGTGTACTTGTCCACAATCACACAGGTAACGACTGGAAGAGGCAACTTTTAAACCCAGGTCATTCTAATTCCAAGCCCATGTTTTAATGATTTATTTCTTTTCTTAACAACTTTATGGTCATTTGCATAGTATATAATTAATCCATTGTGTTTAATTAAATGATTTTTAGTGCATTTACAGAGTTGTGCAGCCCTCACCATAATTAAGTTCTAGAACATTTCTTTCACCACAAAAAGATCCCTTGCTCTCATTTCCCATTGCCACTCCCACCATTAACCTACTTTCTATGGCTACAGATTTTCCTTTTTTGGACATTTCATTATAATAAAATCACTCAATATGTGGACCTTTTTATTTGGCTTCTTTCACTTAACATGTTTTTGAGATTCATTCATGTTGTGGCATGTATCAATATTACATTATTTTTTATTGCTGCATCTCTATTAGCTTTATACTGCACAAATAATCTTATAATTGAAGAGAAATAAAAATGTATTAACATTAGGATCTGAGATCTTCTTACACTAGTGAAAAATCCTTATTTTGCACAACGTTTCTCTCCTTCCGCATCTTCATCATCTGAGTCTGGGGACCTTTTATCATTTAATGTGGCTTTCCCCAGAACATTTTTACTTGTTGTCTGCTTCAAACCTAGGCTGCACAGCACCACTGGAGTAATAGAGTATATTTTAAAAAGTGCTTTGAGCATGTTACTTTTAGATTCTCAATAGCTCCCAAGTGTCTGTAGAATTAAGTTCAAATTCATTGAGTTGGCATATCCAGGCTTCCAGTCAAGTTCTTTTTTCCTTTCCTGTCTAACTTTGCATCCCTCTTCCTTCATGTGGTCACATTTCTCTGACTGATGCCCTGCATGTTTAACTCATTTCCAAGTGTGTGCTTTTCCCTGTGCCTGTTACCCAAATGGCAATCCTTCCCCTCTTCTCAGCTTCTATCCCAAATCCTACCTCCTTTAATGCTTCATTCTTGTCTTCCCCAGCCCCATATTCTCTCTCCCTTCAACTCTTTAGCAATGACTTTCTGTATCATATTTTTAGCCTTAGGCATTCACAGAAACTGTTCATGCGTGAAAGTGTGAGTGAGACTCCTTCAATCTAGGAAATATATTTTCTGGTGTGAACTATTTGAGGGCAGGTTTCATGTCTGATTCCTTCAATGGGGGGTGGGGAGTGGAGAGGGGTTACTTCCCATATCAATATTTTGCAATTAGTAGTACTCAAGAAAATTCATTGAATGAAAAATTTGTATTCCTTTACACAACCAGGAAAATGAATGCATGAAATAGTACTGACCAATGAAAGCAGCATTTTTTTCCTTTTAACTGTAAGGAATGAGGTGAACAAACATAAACTTCAGCTTTACTATCAACACTTCAACAACAAAAGAGCTAAGAATAATTCCCAAGAAATGTGTGTCCAACCTCTTAGCTATAACATTAGACAAAGTCTTTTTTCAAGGGTGAAATGAAAAATGTTCAACACCACAATGGGGCTATCTAAGGGCAGCTCCATCACTGCCAGATATTCCAGTGCCTTAGCAAAGTAAGAGATGCTCAGGTCCAATATCCAATCTAGCAGGGCTTTCATTTCCTTCCAATCATAAAACAGAGGGCTACCCTGGAATAGAAAAACGACACAAGAAAGAACAATGACAGATTTCTACTCCATGGCAACATGCCAAAGGCTTGTTTAAACATGGTCCTGGAAGTCAGGAAAAGTGACATTTTGTTATTGGTACTTTAACATATAAAATATCCTTCTAGATTTGTAATCAAGATTTTATATTTTCTCCTAATCACATTCTTTTTTTTTTTTTTTTTTTTGGTACAGACTGGCCTTGCACCAAATTACAGAGAAACATACTGAAAAATCAGAAAATTTTTCTAACTTTAAAATATCAAGAAGGTATTATTTGTGCTCTGATACGTTTATTAAGCCATGGTTAGCTGGGTGCAGTGGCTCATGCCTCTAATCCCAGCACTTTCGGAGGACAATGCGAGCAGATCACCTGAGGTCAGGAGTTCCAGACAGCCTGACCAACATGGCAAAACCCCGTCTCTACTAAAAATACAAAAATTAGCCAGGCATGATGGCGGGTACCTGTAATCCCAGCTACTTGGGAGGCAGAGGCAGGAGAATTGCTTGAACCCGGGAGGGTTGCAGTGAGCTGAGATTGAGCCATTGCACTCCAGCCTGGGCATCTCAAGAAAAAAAGAAAAAAAAAGAACCATGGTCACTGCAACACCAAGTTTCTCACTAAGGAAGTCTACTCCATCTCCTGACATCTTTGTTTCTTGTAATGGCAACATTCTACCAGTCCACCAATCTTATATCTAGATACTACCTTTTCTTTCCCTTCTCTGAATCCCCTCTCTTTCTTCAATGCCTTTCCTACCACATCCTTTCCTTCATAGTTTGTTAACCATTAATTAATCCCTCTACTCATCAAAAGTATCTCCTATGTGCTGGGTGATGTGCTATATGTGGACGACTCAACAGCGAGCAGAACAGACAGCCGCAGTCCCTGGAGCAGAGCTTGCAGCCTAATTCATCTCACTTAAATTCTTTTCTGTCCAGGTGCGGTTGCTCATGCCTGTAATTCCAGCATTCTGGGAGGCTGAGTGCAAGAGTTCGAGACCAGCCTGGGCAACATAGCAAGACCTCGTCTCTACAGATAATTAAAAATTATATAAAATAAAATTTTATATAATTTTATTTATTTATAAAATTATATATAATTTTATTTATTTATAAAATTATATATAATTTTATTTATTTATAAAATTATATATAATGTTATAAATTAAAAATTATATAAAATAAAAAAATTCTTTTCTTGCCTTATCTCCTAACTGCAGTGTGTGCCTGGCACTGCTGTCTGATTCTTCTGCTATTAATAGTTAATATTGGCCTTATGATCTTTGTGATTGCCCTGCCTTTGTGTCTCTTTTCATGCGGAAAGTGCCCTAACACCCATCTACAGAAATTGTAGTCCTGAAGAAAGCTCATTTCCCTCAAGAGACCACCTTCCCTAAACCTTTAATAATCTGCCCTTCCAGTTGCAATCTTGCCTTCCTTGGAGTTCCCATGACATTCTAATATCTTAGAGTTCATAAAACATGAGGTATTTTATAGAAGACTTCATTGAGCCTAAAAATACCAGATAAAATTGAATCATATAATCATGGAGTACAACATATTAAATTTCATAACATTCTCCTTCTAGTAACTATTCAATGCTGAAATATAATGGTTGAAGATGTTATTCCAGGTCTTTTAAAAAATAATAAAAACTAGCACACTTTTAAAAATTAAGTATGCTTTTGTTTATGGTAACATGGGATATAGCCTTTGGGTGTGAGTCCTGCACATTTCAGTTAGCCCATCTCTAACCTCTGTGTGACCAGAGGAATTCACTTAAGAAACTGTCGCCTAAGTGAAAAATAAATGTCTTACAACACTAGCCCATTTAAGCACCTAATTACAAGGTCAGTCAAAAGTCAACTTGTTCTATAACAGATTGCTTTCATCAGTGGCTTCTTGTCTACCCAGAGCTTCAGTTAGGATGCCTCCACTCTTGGGTCCTGATATGCTTGGATGCCATAGCCCTAACTTTGTACTAAGTCTCCTAAAAATCTTACTGATGTAGAATTTGGGGTAATTTGGAAAAGGACATAAGTTATCCTTACATAAGCCATTTCTCCACAGATTACAAATGAAAAGTAGCATTTTTCCATTCTTTTTCTAAAAATACAATCATTGAACACTTTCTGGTTCTTTTAAAAATTCTTTAAAATGAAATTTCAGGGTAAAAAGCTATGTTATCTTTAAAGTATTGGCTAAATTGTGAGGCTGCTCCAGCAAGTCTGTTTCAAAACACACTTCAACAAATGTGGATATATGTAAGTTATTCTTTTGTCATGCTGTCAAAAAATTTAGTACTTCTTTTAATATTTGTTAATAATAGGAAATGTGCATTGTGGGCTTTTAGTGAGAAAAGCTTAAAGACTAGTTGTATTTTTCTGTGGCTTAAGTGTCAATCTTTGCCCAATTTCTTCATTTACTATTTACCTTTTCCTTTTCAATTTGTGAGTCCCTTTATATATAAAGATATTAATACTTTATTGAATATTACAAAGATTTTTTTCAAGTCTGTTATAAGGTTTTAAGTTGACTTGTAAGTTTTTGAGGTTTTTACAATTTTTTAAGTAGTAAAAATATTCATTTTTTTCATTTTTTTCTGAAATTTTGCCTCTTAGATCTTTTGTAACATGATTACTAAAAATATTATCAAGTATTTTCCTTTAGTAATTTATCCCTCTACATTTAAAATTTTTATTCATCTGAAGTTTATTTTTGTGAAAGGTAGAGAGTTGGGATATAATTTTATATTTTATACAAAAATCACACTCAGTTATACAAAAGCCTTTTATTAACTTTCCTCTTTGACTTTAAGTGCCATCTTTAACAAAGAGTAGGTTATGATATGCTCATTCCTGGACCATCTTTTTTTTCCCCATTTATCTCTTTCTCTGTTCTTGAACTTGTACCAAGTGCTACTATTTTACTGTGTGTGTATTTGTGTGTGTATGTGTGTATGGAGATAAATATGTAGACAGAGAGATAATATGTTTGACATCTGAGAAGGAAGAAGGAAGGCTCCAGCCATCATTCTGCTATCTTAGCTCAATTCACATATTTGTTTTTCAAGAAGAATTTTATAATCAACTCATTGGTTCCTGGAAACCCACTAAGGAGATTTTGAAATGGATTGTTATTAAATATATAGAGTTGTGAGTATGGAAACCTTTAAAATAGTGTGCTTGCTCTCTGGGACTATATCATTTTGTTAAATTAAGGCATTTTTGTGTCTTTTAGTAATTTTTAGAATATGGTTTCATATGGCTCTTGCATATTTCTTATGAAATCTATTCCTATTTATTTTCTTTTTAATGACTTATGAATGGAATTTTAATTCCATTGTACATTCTAATTGGTGTTTTTTTATATAAGCACTTAAGTTTTGTTTTTAGCCAACGACCATGCTGAACATTATTTTTTGTTTTATTAGGTTTTCTGATCTATTAATATTTTATATGCAGAGTGTCCACTATTACTCTATTTGAATAAAGGTAATGCTTTTCTTTCCTTCCATCTTTTTTTTCTGTTTCTTATATTTTGGCATTTGCTTAAGCTGTCAGAAAAAAATGTTAAATAATAGCAGAAATTGTAGATTACTGTAATTTTACTTGGTATGATTACTGTTGCTATTTTAAAAACTCATTTGATTCATATATTTTCTTGATGTTGAATAAGTTAAATGGTTTTTCTAGGTCCATTTATGTGAGTAACCACCCTTCTTTAATCCCTGTAATTCGAAGTTGATATATGCAGTAGTATTAAGTAAATGAAAGAAGAGTGACATTATAATAGCATAAACTAGTAATAATTGTATATTAGCATATAGTCCCAAATTGCTTCCCCATCAAAGATAAAACTAAAATAGTATGTATCAGAAGCTTAGTTAAAAATCTAACCAGGGTAGATCTTTATGTACTGATACTGAAAGATGTCTGCCAAATATTTTTGACTTGACAAAGCAACTTGCAGAATAGCTCTATAGTATCTCATTTCTATGTAAAAACAATATATACATGCACACACCAATGTGTACACATATGTTTTACTTCATATCTAGAAAGGGGCACATCAACAGCATCATAATAATAGAGCCTAACACAAGGGCTGTGTTTTGAAGGGTGAGAGAGGTTTCTTTATTATCCATAAATGTCAGGTTCCTCTCTGTACTGTCAAGCATTCACTTCCTAAAATTCAGCCTTAATCCATTAGTGATACATGAAAACTGATACTGCTATACAGTATTTTGGAAAGTCTTAAATTACAACATAAACCATACCTGAAAACTCAAGTTACTCTATATATTACTGGCATAATATCCAGGAAAAGAAAATGCTTTCAAATTTTGCCCCTTCAAATACATCAAGACATGCCATCTACTTTAACTGATTGAATACCCATAACCACATAAAAATTGCATGGGAAGTACAATGTAAATGCTATTTTCCTTATCTACCTGCTTGTCTCTGAGGGCTGTTTACCATTGGGATCCAACTTATTCTGGGAACTGTGTTACCTCCCTTAAAATACATATTTCCATTAGTGATGGAGAGTCCTATATTGGTTTACCTCTTCTTTGTCCTCTTTCCTAAAGCTAGTCATTTTCCTTATCTATAAGCTTCTCCTTTGCCACTGCCTTGTCCATTTGAAGATTCTAAAGTAGAAAATACCAGTTAGGAAAAAAAGCGAAAGAATTCTTCATAAATGTAATGATAAATTAATATGTATCCAGTGCTAAAATTATTTCATCCTATTTTTACCTTAGAACTATTTAGCCTAAATAATAGAACTGAAAACTGATACAGATATTGACTTAAGAATTCCTTGGTTTATGAAGATTTATGACATAAGGCATAATGACTGCCTAGTCTCCATTCCAGCAGCAAATTAATTAATTAGTCAGTTAATTAATGTTGTAATAACTGTTTGTTGAGAATACTTTTATTAAGGAAGTTAAACCATCACCCACAGTACACAGACACGCTATGAGGATTTTTTTTTCTGAAATGTCTCTCCTTCTGTCCTTGAAAAGATGGTAAAGCTTAATTCTCACCTAAAACGTTAAAGTCCCTAGTTGTTTTGAAGTCCAAAGCACCATGGTTTCTAAAACAGATGGGAGCTGGCTTGAGACATGTTCCTCATCAAACTTTCTTTGGGGCAACCAAATACAATGCTAAGAACCTGGCCACAATAAAAGCAGCTACTGAAGGAGAGCCTGAATCTGGTCTTTTCTAACTCCTCACACACCTAGGGCTAGTCTCAGAATAATCCCAGATATTGTTTGCTTAAGTTAAAAACTGAAACGTGCGTGTATGTATCTGTGTGTGTGCGTGTGTGTGTAGAAAGAGAAAGAAAATAACACACTTTTCAACAACTTACCATTTCCATGATCTAACCTAGAGTACCCTGTCACAAAAAAAAATGAAAGAAAATACATTTTCATAGAATCACAATATCATCTAATTTAATTTTACATATGCAAACAAAATGTACAAAAGACTATTTTATCCATGAAAAATGTGTACAGTAACATACATACTTTTTATACACTGAGCCCTCAGTTAGAAAATCCAAATCAAGTTTAAGTTTAGTGTTTAATTGTAAATGCCAAGCTAATATTGTTATCTATTGTAATTACTTCAGGAATAAATTTCTATTGTGATTTGATGAAAACAGTGTATCCATCAGCCTTGAAATCAAGTGATCCTTGAGTAAATTTAAATATTTGAGAGGGTATCCATATTTTAGATAAGCACAAACAAACGCAAACCAAAAACACAAACTACACCTCCCATATACGACCGGAAATGTGAAATAAGATTTATTTTACTGCATCTGTGCTTGCAATTAGGAAAGTCTCTGCTTTAGTCTATCTTTTCTTGGTGGTACATAGTTTTTCTTAAGATGTTTAAGGAAAAAAATCGAGACATTGAAGAGCTCGTTCATATTTCCCCATGGGAATTTTATCTTCATTGACAGAAACCAGTAACTATTTTTTAAAGGATTTTTTAAGCCGATTAACTAAATAAAAAATATTTACAAAGAGCTGTGCTCATACTGCACCAAATATATGTCAACATTTGTAACAAATAATTTAATTTTATAGGGAGCCATAAGCATATAGGTGTATACTAGTTATGAGAAGTATGTATCTTGCAAAGATATGAAAAATCTGGAAACCATTGGTGGAATAATAGGAACAAAAAGAATCCCAACAACGTGTAAATCGAACAGCAAGGTGTAAATGAAAGTGCCAACCATTCATTTTCAGATTCTCTGAGACCTAGGTTGCTGAAGATCGTTGTTGGCAGTAAAACTGTCTCCTTCCAACGGGTCGGGTGGAGAGCAGCATGATTGGCAGGGCAAATAGAAGACAAAGGAGAAAGCCTTCAATCTGCAGCTGATGCACAGGAAGAACATGGGGAGCTGAGCTTACAATAGAGACAACATTACCAAGCTAATGGCACGGGCAATCATGGGGCCACTACGCATCTTGGGTATCAGCAGGGCATCCATTTTCAGCTAAGTGTTAGAGTACCTTTTTGCTTTCTCTCACCACTGCAGGGGTAAAACAACTTAGTGCGTGAAACCCACTGACTGGTAATAAATTACTATATTGGATACTTTTTGTTTTCTTTCAGCAATGACTTTACTGTGTATTCTTGCTATCACTACCAATTAAAGTGGAGCCTGCTTTAGCGAACTGTATCTAACTATATATCAGCCCTGATGCTCCAATTGCTTTGGCAAGTATCACAGGGTCAAGAGGCTCCTTTGACCTTTATCATCTAAGTCTTTCTGACCACTCACTATTTGAAGCAATCTCAGCTGAACAGATGGACACTTTCTGTGACATTATAAAGCTTAGAATATAAAGATAAACGAAATTGTGTTTCAGGCTTCAAGCTGGTTTATGCCTGTAAAATATTATTAGTGTGTTTACAAAATCTCCAGATTTAAAGCGTATAATCTGACTCTGGCTAATGGACAAACTGCTCATTTCTTTTTTAATTATAGGTTTTGTGTTTTAAGTGTGAAGAATAGCAGAATTTTGTAAAGCAGTTCTCAGGGTTATCCAGTTACATTTTTAATGCATATATCAATAAACCGTTATAAAATGAAGGGTGTCATTTACTGTGCAATGAACCTTTTGCATGTTGGTTTTTAAAATGATGTACTAAGAAAGATATGCTAAACACAGAAAAACTAAAACTGTAAATGTTCGATGAAGTAAAAATTAAGATTTTTATTTGCCTTAAGCATGATTTTTCTCTTAAACTATATCATTTTAACTGCTAGGAGATTCTAGTATTTTTGCATATCTAAATATAAAAGGAAAATGATTAAGCATCAGCTTTATATTCTTTAACCCATTTGTGTTAGTATGTCATACATGGTTATTTGAATATTTTGAAATTGCTAGATTAACCTTAAGTAGGACATATATATTTTTTGCTAGTCTCCTTTAAATAAAGTGATCATATAATTTATTGTTCAAACCAGGCTACTTTTTAGAGTGAAATGGTGCATTATTAACAATTACCTTTAAACAAGAGGCATGAGCCAAAACTGTCCCAGGGAACCTGGATGTATGATGACCCTATCTTACAGGAATAAGGTGATGATGTGGCTTCTTAAAAAGCATCGATGTTTCTGTAACACTTAAAATGTGACTATTGTTCTGTAAATCATAACCATATCTCTGTATGTCTATTTTTTAATGACTGCAAAGAAATTAATTTTGCAGTCATTTTCTTTTACACTCTCAGATAGTTTATTTCTACTTCTCAAAAAACTTCTGATGTATACAACAAAGGAAAAACAACCAAAGTCCTAATTATAAAAATATTGCTGGATTGTTTGAAATTTTTATTTTTATATCTCGTGCTTATAAAACCCCCGTAACTCATATTCTCTTATCATATTTCCCAAATAATCTCTCAGCAATCAACTAAATTTCTGTGGTGCAGATTCAGTTGCAGGTAAGTGAGAAATAATACAAATAATGGATTTAGAGGTAAACAAACTGCTCATCATTTTTGAAAAACGTTGTAAGACCAAGGTAAAGGAGGGAGTGAGGGATAGAAAAAGAAAAGAAATAAGGTAAACAAAATTACCAAAGGCCAGTAGACTGTTTCAGGTCACCTTGTATTGAGGACTGGTTAACAAACAAGAGACAAAAGCTAGGGACCAATGTATTCTCCCCAACAAAAAGAACCACAACCACAAGTGTGTCTCCAGCTTCTGGAAAGGGATTGAAACCAAGTGCCAGCTTTAAACTTTCATGGTTTTATAAATAATTCTGAGAAATAAATGTACAACAAAATATCCTCTCTAGGAACTGAAATACTGAAATGATAGAAAACGTCAAATAAAAGCTCTGGGACAGTTAAAAAAAAATGGCAAGGAAAGTAAGGTATGGCCAAATAGGTGTAATAAAAAGGAAGTCTCATAACCAAAAATAAAAAAGGGAATAATTAAGGGTCTTTGTTGATAAATTACTGAAGTCAAAATATTCCCCCAAATTGTAGGGTATTGCCTGTACTAGAGACAATATACAAAGGATTATCCTTTCTTGGTACAATGCAAAGGTAAGGACACTATTAGTCCTATGGCAGAGACTCCAGTAGAAAGCTTAGTAAGTCTGACCAGATCTCAAGAATAAAATGTGAAAAATCAGAATTATTTTTGTGCACAAACAGATTAGAAAATCATATAACTCCATGTGAAAAATGGAAAAGATGTGTTCAATTGTTATGAAATCACAATAGTACAGAACATGAAATACTAACTCAGACACCAAATTCTGAATTATAGAAGAAACTAAAGGTATTTATATCCATTCATAAATTTTTAAAAAGTAAGATAAGCAAAGGACATTTGAAAGAGATTCATTACTTAAAAATAGCCTTTCCTATATTATTTTTGCCTTTAATAAACAATACTAATACTGTTTACAAAGAATTCAATAATAAAGATAATCAAAAGAAAATTAGATCATCCATAATTATAACACCTAAGGAGATCCTTAACTTCCTGAAGCAGGAATCTAAAGAGAAACCACACTTTTCCACAAAATTTCATATAATTTTATATAGAGCCCTACAAATTATCTGTGCAATCATTAGTATTTTTTTCCTCTCTCATGCTCCCTCTCCTCAGTCATCGGTATTTTTACCAAATGCTTACAGTTCTCCACCTTTTCCCAGCATACGGCTTCTGCTTCATTAGCTCTGTCTCTGTGTAACAATCAAGAGCAGAGACCCCTTCTGACCCCAGGTTGGTACATTGAGTGAATAAGAAATAATAAACTTGAGTTGTTTTAGCCAATGAGATTTGGGACATTGTTTGTTACTAGAACATAATATAGCCTATTCTGATCTAGATGTTTTCCAAATTGATATCAATATATACATGGACAGACAGGTGGAAACAAGAGAGGCCTGGTGACTGATTCAATGTCATATAGCCACTCATTTAATCAATGCAACTACTGAAATGCCAAAGTTGAAATTAAAACCCAGATTGACTACTCCTAGTCCAGTGCTCCTTCCACTACATGAAATGTGATTTCTCATGCTTACGTGCATTATACTTTCTCTGGAAACTACTAGAAGACACAGAAACAAATTCCCCCTAACTTCCCCACCTCTGACAGATGGCACGTCTGTTTGAATAGACACGTCATGATCCAATTTTGGTCTATTCTGCATCCTATAAAAATTCAATGTCACTAGTAGAATAAAAGTTCTCAATATCAAATCCAAAAAATTCATTAATAAGCCAAATTTTACGTAGCAGGAAAGATACTTGTCTCATGTGTTCTTTAAATAGCAATTATTTCCTTCCATTTGTTTTCACCTCTTTCTCTATATGTTTTTGTCAATTAAGATAACAAGTATGTGTTACTAAATTACTCTGTACTCACCCTCTGGAGATGAAAACTAATTAAAAGAGATGTGGTATGTACATGTAATTTTACTTACTCCAAACACCTTTGCTTCCCAAACTATGACACTGAAATCAGCAGTATCAAGTTGATGCTTTCTAAACATCATACTAACAAGCTTATAATTGGCCAAGAGGTCAGGAAAGGTATAGGTCTGAAGGAAAAACAACTTAGCCAGAACTGGCTCACCATTAAGTAGACCAAAGGACAAATTTTTTTTAAAATAGTGTTTCTCCTCTTTTGAGTGATTTGTATGTGTATTCACATAACGAATAACCAACCACAAACACTTATTTTGGGTATATATTTGTGTGGCCACCAGATATTTCAGTCAATTCAATTCAACACATACTTATTAAATTGAAATCAATACCCAGAGAGTATGCTCACTAAAAAAAAAGTATATAAAATTTATGAAATGTCTCAGAACATGAGTTCTTTCAAACAACCATACCACAATAACTTCTCACATGTCTAGCAACTGATTGACAAGATCAAGCTTGTAGACTACCTTAAAAAAGTAAGAAGCAGAAGAAACAAGACAAAAATCTCTGAAAACCCAAAAGAGAGCTTACAAACCAGGGCTCCCAAATTGAGCAAAACCAGTTATAATTTTCAGCAAATAGGGAGCTTTACAAGAAAATCTTTTAATGACAATAATAAAATATAGTTCTTTCCAGTGGAAAGCTACCACACTCCTCTTCTTGTGGCCTATTATAGTCAATTATAACACAATCTAATCACAGCACTGCCAATTGCAGAGGTCAAGAAACAATGACCTGTAGGCCAAATCCTGCCTACCACTTCTCTTTGCAAAGAAACTATTACTGGAACACAGAAACACTCATTTACTGATGCGTTGGCTATGGTTGGTTTTGCATTACCAACGCAGAGTTGAGTAGGTGTACCAGAGACTGTATGGCCCACAAAACCAAAAAATATTTGATAACTGATCCTTTAGAGAAAAACATTGCCAACCCCTGGCTTATTCTAAATTAATGGGAATTTTAATTGTATGCAAAATATTTTTTCTGGGCAAAAATGCAATATAAATATAAAGAAAGCAATTTTATGTGTTAAATCCCCTTAATTCAGTTGTTACACTTTAAAAGAGGACCCTATCTTAAGTCTGTATTGGTTGTTTTTGTTACTCATGAGATTTTCCACCACAAATATAAATTGCTCCCAAAAGTCCAAGTCCAAGAATTCTTACAACTCTATAGCAAAAAACCCTAATAATAAAAAAACCAAGCCAAGGGTTTGAATAGACATTTCTCCAAAAAAGATATACAAATGGTCAAGAAATATATGCAAAATGCTCAATATCATTAATTATCAAAGAAATGCAAATCAAAACCACAATGAGATACCACCCAATACCTTTCAGGATGGCTATTATTAAATGAAAACAAAAACAAAACAAACAAAAGTCAGGTGTTTGTGAGGATGTAGAGAAATTGGAATCCTAGCACACTGTGGGTAGAAATGCAATGGTGTAGCTGCTATGAAAAACAGCATGGAGGTTCCTCAAAAAATTAAAAATAGAACTACCATATGGTCCAGCAATCGACTTCTGGGTATTTATCCAAAAGAATTAAAATCAGGATCCTGAAGAAGTATTAGCATGTCTATGTTTATTGCAGCATCACAATAACCAAGATGTGGAAATAATCTAAAAGTTCATTAGCAGATGAATGGATAGAGAAATTTTGATATATACATACAATGGAATAACATTTAGCCTTTCAAGAAAGGAAATTTCTGCAATATGTGATAACATGATGAACCTTGCAGACATATGCTAAGTGAAATAAGCAGTCACAGAAAGACAAATATTGCCTGATTACACCAATATGCAATATCTGAAATAGTCAAATTCATAGAATCGAAGAGTGGAATTGTGCTTGCTAGGGGCTTAAGTTATTAATCAATGGGCATAAAGTTTCAGCCCAGTAAAATTAGTAAGCTATAGAGATCTGCTGTACAACACTGTACCTAGAGTCAGCAATAACGTACTATACACTTAAAAATTTGTTAAGAGGGCAGATGTCATGTTAAGTGTTCTTACCAAAATAAAATAAGAAGTTGAAGTCCAGGTTCAAAGACTTCCTCTTATTTTCTTCAGGGGTACAAGTCATAGTTAACCTTCCACTGTGTCTCACTTTATATTCCATCTCCAGTCATATCAACTTCTCATTAACCTCCTACTTCTTCCCCATCTTCATATTCTGGGCTTTTGGACCTGCTGTTCCTTATGGCAAAATCTTATTCATCCATCAAGATTTAGTCCTAATATGACTTCCTGCATACCACAGACAGGGTTAGCCTCACCATCTAAAGCGGTTCCTCCCACTGGCACTTTGGGATATAGGTCAACTAGAGCACATATGTCACACCATGGTTTTTGCCAACTTGATGTTAAAACAAACAACAAAACAAAACAAAACAAACACCAGCTAACAATTTCTTTCTCTTGCTTCAACTAAGCAATGGACTCCTCTTCCAGACACACTCTCTCCTCTAATTCAGTTTTTTTTTTTTTTTTTTTTTTTACATAGCAAACAAAACGACCTTTTCAAAACATAAATCAAATCATGTTACTCCTTTTGAGTAAAATCGTGAAAAGACTCCCTTTAATACTTGGAAGTCAAGCTTCTTACTTTGGATTATTACACCCAACATATTCTGTCCGTCCCTCACTTTTCAATATTGACTCTTAATGCTCCCTCCCCCATACTCCTCTTGAGTCACACTGGCCTTTTTGACTTCATTGTCTACATCAACCTCATTCCTACTTTAGGCCTTCTGTTGTAGCTGTTTGCTTTCCTTAGAATATTCTCCCCTCTGAAAGGCGGGAGAATCTCTGGTTCTTTCTTGCAATTCAAACAGTATAAATCCTACCTCCTTCTCTGATGTTCTCTGACCACCCAGGCTATCGTAAACCCCTAAGACTGTCTATCAAACTGCCCAACATTAATTCCCTGCAGAGCCTTTATCATTATCTGACAGTCTTGTTTTGTTTTGTTTACGATGTATCCACTCTCACTAGAAATGTAAGTGCCATGGGCACCATGATCTTGTATCAAGAAGAGTGCCTGGTACATAGTAGATGTTCAATGAATACTTGCTGAATGAATAAAGTATTCTGTTTTGCATTCCATGCTACAAAACTTACATAACATGCAGACACAGTAATTCTTTGTTTTCAAGGAGCTTTAGGCCTAACTGAGAAAATAAGACAAATAAATAGTGGCAAAATAATTAGGCAATCTATAGTTTTTGTTTGTTTGTTTGTTTGTTTGTTTTGAGACAGAATCTTGCTCTATTGCTCAGGCTGGAGTGCAGTGGCGAGATCTCAGCTCACTGCAACGCCTGCCTCCCAGGTTCAAGCAATTCTCCTGTCTCAGCCTCCCGAGTAGCTGGGACTAAAGGTGCGCGACACCATGCCGGCTAATTTTTTGTATTTTTAGTAGAGATGGTGTTTCACCATGTTGGTCAGGCTGGTCTCAAACTCCAGACCTCAGGTGATCTGCCCACCTCTGCCTCCCAAAATGCTGGGATTGCAGGAGTGAGCCACTGCGCCCAGTCCATAGTTAATTTATAAATTGTTTAATCACTTCTCGGCCTTCTGGCTAAGATCAAATGTAGCATCTGTTTTTATCAGTTTAATATAAATTGTTTAACTAGCATGTTCATGGTAAATTGTACATGCACATACTGTAGTCTAGGTAGGATATGACTAGGTAAAGAGAACATCTCTGGTACATGAGATTGGGCAGGAAGAAATGTGGAGAATAGAGTCACCAGAACCACCCATGTGGAAGAGCACTAGTGTACGAGAAATTATGGAAGAGCCTTGTCATGGGAATCTAAATGGGGTCTTCAGAGAAAAGGAAGAAGAACAAATCCTATGAAGCTCAGTTTCTCCTGGGGCTGCTAATCCAGTATGCCACCCTACCTTCCCACAATGAGCTACCTAAAAGCATTTAATGTCATACATGTTGAAACGTAATCAGCCCTCTCTTCTCCTCTGATGAGAGGGTGAGTTAAGCAATTTTCAAATGATGTACAAAAGCAGGAAGCAATGTTTGCTACTTGGGGGATACAGAATTGTACTAGTCTTTGCATCTGGGAAATGAAACATAAATCAGCCCTCTTCATATTTATTACACTTAAATTTCTGAAAGTTATTACAAACCTGTTGATTAGATTGTTGCTGGCTTCAGGGGTTTTGTATTGAGGGGAGGGCTTAGTAAAGTAATTATTTCAGGGAAGTAGAGGCTCCTGATATACAACGCAATCCTCAGGCTATTTTTGAGTGCTTATTTTAGACAACTTTGTTATTAGAAAAAGAAGTCTAAGATTTAAGGGCAAGTAAATGGGGTAATAATATGCACTGTGTTGGTATAATAAGCCATTTTAACCACATTGCCTCTTAATCTTCCTTTCTGAGTCTTTATCAGCTCTGTTCTATGCCCACCTTACCCAAAGTGAATCATTTCTCCCTAATATGCTGGGCATACTAAGTTTTATCACCACTATTTAATACACTTTTTCTTATAAACTTTTGTAATTGAGACTGGTGTCTAAATATCAGTGGAGGCTGCTGCTGTGTTTCAACAGCCTCTTTGCTATTATTGACTATTTTTTGCTAGGTCACTATCCTCTGTACAACCAAGTCACATGTAAACCTGATTTGGACTTAAAGCAATTGGGTGGCGAAATAAATACACTTTTTTTTCTGTCAGTCATTTATATTTTTTTCTCTTACAATTCAAAAAAGGAAGCATTCTTTACTTTCTTACCATCTATTCTTCATGTTTTAGACTTCAGTAGTTTTCAGTTCATGAGTTTATTCCACAAATATTTCTGAATGCCTTCCACGTGCCAGATATGCCAGGTGATGAGAATTTCATGATAAAGTTATAAAATAGGTTTATCATAACTGTAACTGTCCCCTTTGAACTTACACTGGAGTAGAGGGTAGAGAAGATACAAAATGAAATAAAAAGGATGCTGAGAAAGAGAGTAACAGAAAGTGGGCTGCTACCTGCATAATGGTAAACTGACATCGAAGTTAGACTTGAAGGTATAGAATTGAGGTGAAAATATTCTGGCAAAAGACTAACATCAGTGGAAATATGAGTTTCTTTAATGAGGCCAAATAGTTGGGGATTAAATATCTGGGTCATGGGACTGAACCTGTAGTTGACGTTTTTCATCTTTTTTAATGTATGATGTTTGATTTGGGTTTTTATCACAAGAATGAATGCAACTCAGATTAATAATAATGGAATGCTCATTCTTAGTTTCTTTTCTTTCTGTCATGCTTGTGGAAGCTGAAAATAATATTTCATAAACAGTTATGTGAGTTCAATAGACTGGAAATTATTATGGCTGAAGAATATGTGTAAACCTTACGGGACATCCCCTGCCCCACATGATAAGTGTCAAAATCAAATTTATAACTCCAAAGATACTCTTGCTAAGAAAATAATAGAGTTCCTAGTTTAGGAGATATAATATATTTTAAAATAATAGTACTAAATAGAAATTTGAATTTTATGAACATTCTGAAATATTAAAGAGGATATTTCCTAGGTTTTGATTATGCTTAAATATACCCAGTCTGGAAATCAACACAAAATTACCAGTGGATAGTAAAAATCAATTAGAGTTCTTTCCCAAGTATCACTCATAAACTACTGACAAAACCTGCTCTAATTCTCAAGTGAAGAAACTTTTAATTATAATATGATGTATGTGTTCATGCTGAATGAAATTCAGTATATCCTGAAAACAAGAATCAAAAGCAACCATACTAAATGATTTATCAAGAAGACATCAGGTAACCACAAGAGGGCTGCAAAAGATTTAAGAGATATGATGTATCATTCATACATAACGAGACTTTCGTAGATTATATTACTTAGTCCCATTATACTTCATGATTTGTCTGTGAATTAAATACCCATTTATTATACCCTTTATACAGATAGAGAAGTAAGGGCCCATATCCTTAGATTTTATTAATTAGTGAAAGATAAACAGATTTTGATAATTATTTCCTGTTACAAAACTGAAGTCTGATAAAATATAATAACTCAATGTTTTAAAATACAAGAACTTGGTCCTAGAATTAATGGACGTAGAACATTAGATGAAGGCAAAAAAACATCAAGTTGTGGCCCCATAGCTGGGCCTTTGCGGTAGGTGCACAAGAACAGTGAAGCAAACCATCATCTGAGGTACTGTGTGTTATATGGACACTTCCTCACCATGCAGCTCATTGAATTTTCTGTAACTAATCTCAGTAGCTATCTTGATTAAGATAGAAGGTAGACCATTTAAATCAGATGTATATTGAGGGCATAATTTGTCATGATTAATTGGATTATCATAAAAAGTGAAAATTTTGACAAAACACACTCAGAACTGTTAGTTTTCTGCTTCTATCTTACTAATTCCATCCTTGTTAACACCAGAAATTTAATTACTAAAAATATGCCTCAAGATATTTTAAGCTGATCGTTAGCATACATAAATGTTAAAGTCATAAAATAAAGATACGCTTAAGAGATCTTGGCCAGGTGCAGTGGCTCACGCCTGTAATCCCAGCATTTTGGGAGGCCGAGGCAGGTGGATCACCTGAGGTCAGGAGTTCAAGACAAGCTTGGCCAAAATGGTGAAACCCCATCACTACTAAAAATACAAAAATTAGCTGAGCGTGGTGGTGCACACCTGTAATCCCAACTACCCAGGAGACTGAGGCAGGAGAATCGCTGGAACCTGGGACGCAGAGGCTGCAATGAGCAAGGATCGCACCACTTCACTCCAGCCTGGGTGACAGAGCAAGATGCCATCTCAAAAAAAAAAAAAAAAAAAAAAAAAAAAAAGAGATCTTAAAGACAATTTGTTACCATCTATCAACCTGACTTTATAATTGATCTGGTTTAATAAAAGATAGGTCCTTGGTAATTAACAATTTTGGACTGACAATCATATAATAAAAACTTTGTGAAAGTTCAAGATTCAGGTATCCTCTTAGATTTGGGGAGATGTCAACTGTCAAATAATTTTCTCATTTGAGCCTCAAGATAATCACACATGAAGAGAAAGGACCCATACTATTCTTTCCATATTTTGCCATCTGATTACATGATGAATGTCATGCTATGGTTGTTGTAAAACAGAGATTGGCCTGAGAGACAAGAAAAAGGAAAACAAAACATCTGCTACCAGAGAATCAATGGAGAAGGCCACGTTTTATATAACGACAAGAGACCTCTAGTGGGAGCTCAGAAGAAAGTAATGAAGGTGAGCAGGACTTTGCATTTTGTAAGTTTTTTTTTTTGAGATGGAGTCTTGCTCTGTGGGCCAGGCTGTGGCACAAGCTTGGCTCACTGCAACTTCTGCCTCCCAGGTTCAAGCAATTCTCCTGCTTCAGCCTCCTGAGTAGCTGGGATTACAGGCATATGCCACCACGCCTGACTAATTTTTGTATTTTTAGTAGAGACGGGGTTTCACCATGTTGGTCAGGCTGGTCTTGAACTCCTGACCTTGTGATCCACCCACCTCGGCCTCCCAAAGTGCTGGGATTACAGGCGTGAGCCATGGTGCCCAGCTTTGTAAGCTTTCTTAATGGCTTTCTAAAAGTCATCAGGTTTTGGGCAATATGCGAAGACATAGAACAACTACAATTTTCAGTCCCATTTGATTGTGCATGGAGTTAAATATGTGCATAAGAAAGCCCCTGCTGCTCACAGCAGCTTGTTAGGATCATTTTTATATCTGACAGGAATAATCACACTTGAACCAAAAGATTATGCAGGATATTTTAATTTAGGATTAAAGCTGTTTGCAGAATTATATAAGCTATATAGTATGAAAAAAATTACAAATAAATAAACGTCATTTGGAGATGCAGAGAACTGGTGGTGCCTTCAGGGCATCACTATTAAAACAGAATTCAGAAAAATGGGCAAGAACGTTAGCTGGATGTATTTTTTTAATAAGTTCATGCTCTTAGTTCCAATAAATAAAGATAAAGTCTTAATACATTTTGTTTTTAATAGTATGGGGAAATATTCCATGAAAATAAATGCTTTCTTTTTTGAGAATTGCTTCCTGTTAGTTTTTTGCATTTGCTACTCTCTTAGGGCCAGTTTCAACATAAGTCATTGGTACAGAAGTAGTGCTCCTGTTGGGATTGCTTTAAATGGGTCCACATGGTACTCTCAGTCAATAAGTGGTATTACCAGCTTTCAACAAGAAAGATTTTATTCTCCTCCATTTCTTTCCAGTTATAAGCAACTAATAGTTTGAGTTAACATTTGAATTCTACAAACATCATTTTTTTCCAGAAAATACCATCCAGTGCATTAGTCATTAAAAAAACAGAATAGAAACACATTTTAAAGAGGTAACATTTATAATCATTTTAATCAGAACCAACAAGTTTGCTCAATAACAGAGCATCCAAATCCACTGGAGTGAATTTGGACCCCAATAAATAATAACCTCTTTAAGTAGGTGGGATAGGGTCATCTTTTGGGTACTACAAGAAGCAGGATCTTAACAAATTGTGAGAGGCTACATGTTTTTAAAAAGGAAAAACAGGCCTCGCATGGTGGCTCATGCCTGTAATCCCAGCACTTTGGGAGGCCAAGGCGGGCAGATCACAAGGTCAGGAGATCGAGACCATCCTGGCTAACACAGTGAAACCCCGTCTCTACTAAAAATACAAAAAATTAGCCGGTTGTGGTGGCATGCACTTGTAGTCCCAGCTACTCGGGAGGGTGAGGCAGGAGAATCACTTGAACCTGGGAGGCACAGACTGCAGTGAGCCGAGATCATGTCATTGCACTCCAGCCTGGGCAAAAGAGCGAGACTCCATCTCAAAAAAAAAAAAAAAAAAAAAAAAAAGAAAGAAGGAAAAAAGAAATAAGGAAGAAAAAAGTCTAAATAAGCTAAATAGTTTTGGATGCATAATATATGAGCATGATTACAGAATTCATAGGTTCTAAAATATCTATAAAATTATTAATGTAAATGAAGGCAAATGTAAAGATGTGCTTTAATAAATTATGCTAACACAGTCCCTAGATCAAGCTAAACACAAAATTAAAATGCCTAAAATGTTAAACTTTTCTCCACGTTCTATGTTAGAACTTCCCCCTTCAAATTAACTGATAACTACAAATGGAGTATTTAATCCAAGAAGAAAGTTATAATCTTAGATTTCTATGTCTCTTATAGGGTTAATGAAATATTGTAGGGGGAGAGAAACTGAAATAAATCTAAAGCTAAGTTTAGTACTAAATAAATGATATAAATATTTATTCACTGAAAAATCTTACTTTAGAAATAATGGAAGAGAGAACATTTTTTGAAACCAGCTAAACCCAAAGCAGAACCAACCTTTTCTCTGGTAGAAATCACGGTTGCCTATCAGCAATTATAAAAACAATAACGCCGACCTTGAATGAGCCTTAAAGGTCTTCGCTCACAATTATATTATCAGCTTTATGAATTTTCAGTTGCTATCTCAGCCATAAATTCAATAAATGCAGAGTTGATTAGTAATAGGAAGATAGCTATTTTAACAGCTGACTTCATTGAAAAAGGCATTTGAGAAAGTACACATTATACTGGCATTTTCCATGTTAAAAAATGCAGCTTTTTCAAATCCTGCTCAGTACACTTTAGATGAGGACTTATGTCCTCTCAGGAACAGCAATAAAAACTAAAAATCAAACTCAGCCAAAACTAGAAATGATTTAAATAAATTATATCTGTAGTCCTGGGAAAGCAATAGTCAGCTAAAAGGTTTTTATACCTGGAAATTTTTTTACATTTCAAGACTTTACCTTGGAGCATTTTTTTTCCTCATCTTAAATATATAACTTCACTTCCTCTCTGTATCTTGAACATAACAGCTCGCAATGGTAGAGAAACCCAATCAAAAAATAGCCCTGTGTGTAGTTATTGTAATTAACAGATTCAATATCTATTACAGCCAGTCAGGTATCATAGCAACCTTGTAGTGCTGAAAATTGCTTAGAAAATTCTTCAAAACCAGCAAGACTCTGCTTTAGGAAAACAACACTGGGGACATGACTGGCTGTCAACATCTGTGGGTGTTGCTATGGGCACAGCCACAAAGAACTCTGCCATCTATACAAAAAGGTATACACACAGAGAAGAGGGGAGGGACACGGAAGATAAACTGATAAGGAAAATCAAAAAGAAGAAATAATTGGGCTGGCAATATACAATAGGCACACAATTTTGTGTCCATGTTTTACACAAATTCTTTTCTATTGAAGCTAGAGAATCCAAATTAAACTTAACTGTAATTGTGACTAAACATGAGCCAGGGTTTGGAAATAATATCTGAAAACTCTCCATTTGTACCCTTTATCACAAGTCTTAATTTGAAACTTAAAGTGAATTACAGTTAAAATAATATTTAAACTTCCACTTATAAACCCTTAATAGTCGTTTATAAATCTACAGAAGAGAAAAGAACAGGTTACTATGAACAAGAACCCAATATTGATTTTTCAGCAGTGCAGTAAGGCATCTCCATTCTATTTGGCTGCTGTCAAAGCCACTCTTTAACAGCTGGAGTCAAATTGCACTATTTACAGCAAGAGCCCTTGTCAAGTGGACCATAAGTATCCTAACAATACACTATTCAAATGGCACTTTGCCACACAAATTGCTGACTTGATGAATAACCTATGTCAATGACTAAGGCCAATATAAAAGTTTCATTTTTATGAGAGGTTTTACATTCACACATTAAGTAAGCTTTCTTTGAAGAACTATTAGGCTATATATTTCAGGCCTGTGGACGCTGAAAATAATTAAAATCTGTTTAAATACATCGAGGGAACTTGACAACATTAATATGGATCCGGTGTTAACTACATTTGTCACACGAGTCAGAACAGAGTCCTTCCGTTGCTGGCACTCCCCACCGGCACGTGCTGCACAAAGCCAGACTTAAGCTAGCCTAGCACCATGAAATAGGAGCATTCTCCTTTTGTGCCTCTGATTTACATGGCCAACGAATGTTTAGATACAAGCCAGGCTTTGAAGTCCTGTGAGGAAATTCGGAGTTGCTTCTGGGTGCGAGGTGGACAGCTGGAGTCATTTAATGGTGCATTTTCTACTTTTCATAGTCACTCAGACCTTCTAAATTAGTTTTGAAACGAAGCTGTGACATGTTCCTCATAGTTTTCTTCATGATTGAGGTAATATTTTAAAAACAAAAAAAGTTTAAACTCATGCCACAAAATGAGAAAAGGGAAATTCTTCATAAGGCAGTTATAAAAAAAAAAAAGGATTAGATATTACAGAAATTTTTATTTAACTTACATTACATAAAATTATCTATAAAACTCTTATGGTAAACAGTTATACACTGTCAAAAACTTGCATCACTTTATGTGTTCAAAAAGCAAATGACTTTGTAGATTTCTCCCCTAACGTTTATTTCTTTATTCCATCTTCCTAGGCTGGGTATTATCATTTAGGTACTACAGTTTTAAGTTGAGATTCACCAAATCAAAATACTTAAAACAGAAATCTTAATCCAATGTTTACAGAGGAAAATGACTGTTCATCAAGTGTTTGAAATGTAAAATAAAAATCTATTTATTTTCTTTTAAAATTATAAAAAATTGATATAGAATATTTTCCACACTAGAAAAATAGTTCTATGCTGCTTATTTTATTAAAAAGAATAAATCAAAAATTTACTAATCAAAAAGGGAAAATTTTCATTCTATATGGATGATTTAGCCCTATATAATGCAATTTATTGTTTTAAAATAAATATTTGTTCTTTTTTTATAGTTATACAAGTTTAATATTAAAATAAAGATAGTTTAATAAAAACCATGGTAACATGTAGTATTGCCATGATGAATTATTATTTAATACTTTTACAAGTATATTTTCAGATGATATTTTCCAGTCTCACAATTTAGAAACTATACTAATTCTATTTTGGTTATTTTTTGTGTCATAAAATATAAAAGAACTAACTTTCATTCTCATAAGGTGATAGGTAGTAGTGGGATCAAATTTTCAATTGGTGGTCTACCAATACACCAGCTGTTTTTTACAAGAGGTATGAGAATAAAACTCTAATAAAAATTTTCAGCAAATGGTACCAGAGACACATCACCATAAGGTCAGCTAAAGGTTAAAAATATATATAACCATATGTCTAGAAAGCTCAACTAAAATGTAAATAATGCAGTGCAGTCTTTATTTATAATCAATTTTATATGCTTAGATAAAGATGCACATATAAGTGCGTTATTTAAAGAAAATTCCATTAAAAAAAATTCCAACTAAGTTGGGAGCCATTACTTACAAATTTGTTTCTCTACAAAGGGTGGTTTTCCAAACACATATGAGTTCCCGGTTTCTGTCACAGGTTAGACTTGATATAAGCTCTTTTGGATTACATTCCACACAGTGCAGAGGTTGGGATAAGTTGTTTCATGTAAAATACAGATATGGAGGGAAAAGGGAGGTGTTGACTATTTTGCCAATTTCTCCTCAGACCTCATGATCTCCAAGTCCAGTAGACTGTCTAGATCATAAATTGGGAAATGACAACCAGTGCATCACCTCTAGTCCACTGCCTGTTTTTGTAAATAATGTTTTTATTGGAATACAACCACCCTTGTTGAAGAATTGTCTATGGTCGCTTCTGTGCTCCTAAAGCAGAGTTGAGTACCCATAGCAGCAAAATTCTGGCCTGCAAAGCCAAAAATATGTACTATCTGGTCCTTTCTAAGCCTATTTTTTCTGTTGCTATAAAGGAATACCTGATGCTGAGTAATATATAAGGAAAAGAGTTTTATTTGGCTCCTGATTCTGCTGGCTGGAAGACAGGACATCTGGTGAAGGCCTCAGTCTTCTTCCACTCATGGCAGAAGGTGAACCAGAGCCATGTGTGCAGAGATCACATGGTGAAAAGGGAAACAAGAGAGACAGGAGAGGGAGGAGCTCTTATTAGCATCCAATGCTCCTGGAAACTGATAGAGCTCATGTACTCCCATCCTTACATTAATCTATTCAGGAAGGATATGCCCCATGACCTAAAGACCTCTCCTTAGGTCCCTTCTTCAACACTGAGGAACAAATTTCAACGTAAGGTTGGAGAGGTTAAATATCCAAATCATAGCAGGTCCTTTACAAAAAAGAAAAATACTTATCCCTGGTCTAGTTCATCATTGTCTAATACAAATAGAATGAAAACCACATCTGTAATTTTAAATTGCCTAGTAGATACATTAAAAAAAGGAGAAAGAAATGGGTGAGATTAATTTTAATAATATATTTCATTTAATTCTACATAACCAAAATAGAATTTAACATGTAGTACTAACCACATTTCAAATACTCAGTAGCTACAAATGTTTAATGGCTACCATTTTAGACAGTGAAGCTCTAGAAAAGCAAATCACAAGGAGCTGCTGGGGGACCTATTCTACAGAAAATCAGTTTTAAAGAAAAGACATTTCCAGGATACTACAATGGGCCCCAAATAATAATCCACTTTACCCTTTTATTCATTTTACAGACAAGAAATGCAGAAAAAGAATTTAAAAGCAACTAACCAACCAACAAACAAAATAGGTGTTTTTACCTTAAAATATCATGAAGCTACAAAGATTTCTGCAATATATAGATGATTTTAGGGTGGTTATTTATTCCCTACTTTGATGCTAAATTCCTTCCATTGCAATTTAAACAGGTTCTATCTTGTCTTATCCTTAGATAAATCTAAGAAAAGCAGTTCCCCATCATGAATATGATATTGTATTCCTTTAAATCCTTTATGACTCTGGCCTTCCTTTCCTATACCAGAGATATTGTTTGTCTAGCAGCACAAATTCAACTCCTCTAGCATTTCAAATTGGAATTATTTTCAAAATGTTTTGTTGTATTTGTTTTTCTCTTGCAAACTTTTCCCCAGATCTATATGCACTTGCTTCAAATACAACAATAAAAAAGAAATACAGCATTCTAATAAAGTCCTAATGTTGCCAAACACAAAAAGCTCCGCTGCTAGTCTCCTGTTTAAACAGTTCATTCTATTGTTGGAGAATATTTCACCTGTGTCTTACTAAAATCCACACACAAAAAAATCCTGAAATACAAAGTAACCTTTAACAGTTTTAAATTTCACAGGCATACTGTCCCTCATTTTTTCCACACATAAAATGAGTATGATTCAAACTTGGTTTCTTAAAATTAATTTTTTTCTTAAGAAAACTCATGAAGCATTTTACTGTATTAGTAACAAGGAGAATGGGAAACTTATAAGCACCCATAACATTTCACACTTATCAAATTTGTAAATTAAAGAAGACTAAGATAAAGCAACCTTGGCAGGTACAGTGGTTCACACCTCTCACACCAGAGACTCAGGAGGCTGAGGCAGGAGGATCACCTAAGGCAAGGAGTTTGAGACCAGCCTGGGCAACAAAATGAGATCTTGCCTGTAATAGAAAAACTTTTTAAATTTAGCCAGGTATGGTGTTGTGCACCTGTAGTCCCAAATACTTGGAAGGCTGAGCTGAGAGAACTGCTTGGGCCCAGGAGTTCAAATCTGTAGTGGGCTATGATCGTGCCACTGCACTGTGATTGTGCTGGAGTGCAGTGGCACGATCTCTAAAAATAAGACCCTGCCTCTAAAAATAAATAAATAAATAAATAAATAAAACAATCTCAACAGCCTAACTCTATCAGGATGAAATGCTAAGAGAAAAAGTGTATAATAGACATTGAAGATACCCAGAACATAAATTAAAAAGATATAACTTAGGAGAAGCACAAATAAATATTGTTCTAATTAGCACTAAATTCAATAATAAGAGAAGTATAGTATGTAGGACAAAGAAGGTGATAGTCCTGTCCAATTCAGTTTATGTCCGAATGTAAAGAATGAAAGTTTGAAATTGTAGTCATCTAAGGCAAGGGGCAAAAGCAAGAAAATAAAGTTGAAATCAGCCTATAAGTAGGAAAACAAGACTCTGGCATTTCATTGCTTCTTGAAGTCAAGGAATAAACAAAATTATATAAAGAAAATGAAATCTATATATATTATTACCACTACCTAAAGAGTAGCTATGAAGCTCTTCAAGAGAGTGAAATAAATATCAGTCAGTTTACCTTCTGGGAGTTAAATTAGTAAAAATGACACTTGATGAATGAGATTTGCTCCTGCAGACCCTAGACATCTGAAACGCATAGGTCAAGAGACATTCCCCCGGTTCTCAGCTAATACTCTGACATATAATTTCCACTATAAGATGCTAACTCTGTTATGAATAGTGAGCAACAAAGACACATCAAGATGGGGATGCTTGGCAGCTGGCTCAGCTCACTCACTGGGCTTTATTCACTATAGCCTTATGATACCTAAGACTGTCAGTGTGGTTCAATTTCCCACCTTATGTTCAGCTGTTAATGTTGAAGTTTCAATGCATCTCTATAACTGTCCTTAGAAAAATGACCTTTTCAAGTTAAGAATAGGAAAAATAGGTTTTAAAAACCTAAAGACAATGGATTAAATGAGAAAAGAAAAAAAGCTGTCACCTAATCACCGGTTTCAATATCTGAAGGAGGAAAGTACGAACAAAAGCAGGTGTTCTAAATGGAGTCTTAAGAAGAGAAATACAAAATTCAGAAATGTTTCCATGCATTATTAGCTTTGACCAAGGGAGATGGTACTCTGCTGGGCTGAAAGCATTGGCTACATTCAACTCTCAGAGCTCAGTGAATGAATATCCTCTGGGCTCTGACTCCATTTCCATCAAGGCACCCTGTATTACAATTTCCCCTGGCCTCAGATTTGCTACAGTGAGAATGTACCAAGCAATAACCAGAATGCCAATTAAAGAATTGTCATTCTAGTTTATATACTCATTTTTTAGGTATTTAGTTAGTGTGACTCAGTTCTCACAAGGTTGACAAATCCTAGACTCACGTGTGAAATCTAAATCAGTCCTCTAAACCTAAAAAGCTAAAGATTACATGCTAGCACCCCTGCCCCAACTCTACTGCTTTGAGGCATGGCTTTAATGGCCCATTGGCCTTTCTTGATGATGACACATTATTTTGCCTAACTATATACATACACCTGAGATAAAATAAGGTCTTATTCTAAGTCCTTATTAATAGTATATTACTAGCCTTCAAAATACCATTAAAATAACAGAAAAGATGAACAATATGTAATTAAAAATCAGCAAAACCTTGATTTAGCAATCCCACTTCCAAAAATATATCCTTTAAATAATCTACATGAAAAAAGCTTTAGGTTCATAGATGTGTTATTTTTAAAAGTGAAACATAAAAACCAAGCCATATATCAAGACATAGAGAAACAATTTATACCAGCAATGATAGACACACCACATAGAGCATAATGCAGCCATTAATAATAAAAGTTACATATTAATACCATGAAAATATGTTTATATGAAAAAATACATTTGATATGTACATATAAACGGCATAGTTACAACAGTATGTTGAGGGGATAATTTGGAGGTGAAAATACAAAAAGATGGAAAATAATCCCTTTAAGAAATCAGATTAAATTACTATATCATATTTAGAAGTAAAAAACAATAAAGCTAGTCCAAATTTCTGCTAAGCTGGTTGACTTGGTTTATGAGAATAAATGCCAACTCCATCACTGTGTATTCACTGAGGCTTGGAATCCTAGAGAGTTAGTGATCCTACAGATATTGGTTATATCAAAAGAATTATCCATACTGTGATCTAGTTTTTCTGATTTTTTTTTTGTTTATTTTCAATCAGCATTTTTAAGAGGTCAGATACTCTCAAGTGAAAAATAAAAATATATCCAAACTACAGAATATAAATGTTTTCCCTTCCTTATGTTAAATCACCTAGGATTCAAGGGTTAATATAAAATTGACTCAATTTTGATAAGCCAGAACCTATTTTGTCAAAAATCATGCCATAGTAAGTATAATAGTCACTCAAAAAGTTATACTGATTCACCCAAGATTACTTGGTAGATGCAGCAGTCTCTTAGTTCTTGTTTTCATGCTGATACTTAAGTGCCATGTATTTATGAATGCATATAACTTCTTATTCGGTTGATAATGTTCTTTGTGAACAACAGCTTGATTTGAACTTACCTTACATGAAGACTCCACCTGCAGACCAGGGCAAGGTAATGGCCCAAGCTGGTAGGGGCTGGAGGATCTCTGTTCTATACTTTTGTGCTTAAGTGTCTCTGAGGCAATGGGAAGTACAGACTTCACAAGCTGTGAATCATCACAACAATTAAGAATAATTCGTGCTCTTTCTCCTGTCTCATGTCTTTCCAAAGTGCCTGGAAAACAAGATTAGAGGTAAAAATGTCAGGAAAATATTTACCCCAACAGAATAAGACAGAACAAACACTCTTTAGCAGAAGAATCACAATCCTTTAAGTTATCGTGCCTTAGTATCTTGCAACTGAAAAATAGCCTGGGAGCTTTTCCTAAATTATTCAAAACACTTGCTCATAAAGTCTGAACTTATGGATTTGAAAAGTTCATCTTCCTCTTTGCGCTTCTTCATCCACTGAAATCAACAGGAGATTCGATAGTCTTTAATAGTAAAATCTCTTACTTATTATACAGTTGCAAGTGATCAATAACACATAACTATGGAATATTTTAGTGCTGTCCCCTAGTGTTCCAACTCACAAGCAACAGAGAACCCACAGTGCTTTGCCTGGGTTTCCAGGCTTGAAATGTTTCTATTGGTAACACATAATTTAAATGAATGGAGCAAGTAAGAACACGGATGCTTTGTGTACTGCCTCCCTCACCGAAGTGTCCCCACAGGGCTTTGCTGTTTTATTGTTGGTATTGTTGTGATTATATCCTTTGGCTTTTATTTCTTATGTTATTAGAAGGGGAAAAAAATCCTTTGCCTCTGTCATTCTTCCAGTTTCAGAATTTAGGAGTGCTGTCAAGTTCAACTTAAAGTTAAAAAAAAAGTATAAAATAGACCAAAAGTATCAGAAACCAATTCACAAATAATTCAATGCTTTTATAAAATACAATGCCATACACTCAGTGAAATATCAATAAATACGAATTAATCATGTTCTGTCTCTTATGAGTTCATTTGTATTATTCATACTATATTAAATATATAGGTTATCTCCTACTGAATAAAGACACCAAGGAATACTAATTTAATAAACAATACCTAAATACAGACTTCATTTCATATTCTTTTCCACCAATGAGAAAGAAGTAGATGTACTATTTATATTGTTAAGAAAATATCAACTTAATTACAATAAGAAAATAGAAATAATAATTGTAGGCCACTATGTCTTTAGATAAAAACATTGGTAGATACATTTGAAGATTATGACTATTCTATCCTTCCTCATTTCTCTCCCACTCTTCTATAGCCTTCTTTTATTACAACTAAACTACCATTAGCTGGCACTGTGGATTCTGAATCAGTAACAGTTACTGTGCTCAAATAACAGGCAAAACTTCAGTCTCGAGTCCCTTAACAATATACTTTTATTATAACATTTCTACATTCATAAATAAACATCCTTATCATACAAGCTTATAAACATGTTGTTCTTCTAAGCTTTCCTTTTCCACCAAGATTGATCTATCTGGCTGGGTGTGATGGCTCATGCCTGTAATCCCAGCACTTTTGGAGCCTGAGGTGGGCAGACTGCCTGAGTCCAGTAGTTTGAAACCAGCCTGGGCAACATGGTAAAACGCCATCTCTACAAAAAAACACAAAAATTAGCCAGGCATGGTGGCAAGCACCTACAGTCCCAGCTACTAGGTAGGGCTAAGGCAGGAGGATCTCTTGAGCCCAGAAGGTCAAGGCTACAGTGAGCCAGGATCACGCCACTGCACTCCAGCCTGGGTGACAGAACGAGACCCTGTCTCAAAAAAGAATAAACACAAAGTTCGTCACAATGGTATGCAACAGCTAGATATTCTGGGACTTTAATTTTTATAAATTAGGAAAAAAAATATTGATATATCTTCTGAAGGATACACCTCAGGGAGAAAAAAATGATTTATAGATCAACAAATGAAGCTGACAGCAACATCAAGAAAACCCTTCCTCTCAAGACTGACAATAGGAAAAGCTTCACAAACCAAAGATAAGAGTTATTACTGCTTCCTGAAAACTACTGCATTCCAGAACTTGGAACCGTGTTATGTGGTAAAATTCACTGTCTTTCTGAGAAGTCTCTCTTTGAATACGGTATCATCCTGGATATTTTCTTCTCACAGGTTCTCTGTGGCTCCTCAAACTATGATATTGTTTACATATTTTGAGAATTATTGGGAAAGAACTTATTGCATTTTAATACATTTGTTATGTGCCTTATGCAAAATGTATACATTTTATATATGCACGTTTTATTGTATACCTAATGTCTTACCCAAATACAACATTTCTTGTATTTTTTTAGTGATGAAAACAGTTTATCTACAAACTTAGGTAGTTGTAATCCATTTTCATTCATACACAGATAATTAATCTGTCTGAGCATCTACTATGCTACCATGTACCATCCACCATGCCAGATGATGACAATGTATAGTATTTAAGAATGACTCAGTCCAGGTCCCTGGGAGCTTCCTTAAAACCTAATGGTAGTGCAGAGGCAAGAAACATCTGAAAACTGATAAGCTGCAATATTTAAAGTAACACCTAAGCTATTTCCACCCAAAACTAACAATCTCTCATTCTAAAAATGTTAGACACTCGGTTTTGTGTACAAGGGTTTCTATCATGATTAGTTATAAAATAGTTTAAAAAATAATGAATATTTTGTTTTGAAGAACTGATTAAGGCATACACATGACATAAGGAGTGGTTAGAGTCAATCAATTTCTGTAAAAGATATAGACAGACAGATAAATAAACTACATGTTCAAAGCAGTAAGTTAATTTTGTAATAAATTCAGGATGGCAGCTTTTGAAAGACCTTGGTTAAAATTCTGACAGTGGATGGGTATTCCCACATGTGCTAGTTATCAATTTATTACCTCTTAGATTCAAATTCACCCTTCACTGCTTGCTTTGTGAAAATGAATTTGGGCTTGATAAATATTTTCTCATTCATCAGCTGGTGAAATGTTAACCTTTGTGGACAGAGCGTGCTGGAAACACCTAGTAGAAGAAAGGGTTAAGGCCAGGTATAATAGCTCATCCCATCCTAACTGTAATCTTAGCACTTTGGGAGGGCGAGACGGGTGGATCAGGTGAGTCCAGGAGTTCAAGACCAGCCTGGGCAACATTGGAGAAACTCCATCTTTACAAAAAAATACAAAAATTAGCCGGACATGGTGGCATGTGCTTGTAGTCACAGCTACTTGGGGGGCTGAGGTGGGAGGATCACTTGAGCCAGAAAGTCGAGGCTGCAGTGAGCTGTGATCATACCACTGTATTATAGCCTCAGTGACAAGGTGAGACCTCGTCTCAAAAAAAAAAAAAAAAAGAGGAAGGAGGAGGAGGAGGAGGAGCAGGAGGAGGAGGAGAAGGAGGAGGAGGAGGAGAAGGAGAAGGAGGAGGAGAAGGAGAAGGAGAAGGAGAAAAGAAGAAGGGAGGAAGGGAAAGAAGGGGAAGGGGAGGGGAAGGGGAAGAAGAAAGGGCTTTCTTTTCTTGGTTCTCGTGTACTTTTCTTGGAGTAGTATTAGTGTCTTCCCCAGTACAGCTGTCTGTAGTACATGACGGCGGGGCTAGCAGCACTTTGCATCCAACCACTTTCTTTGGCATACTCTTTGGGTAGTTTTGTAACAGCGCCTCCAGCAAGACATCTCCCTATGGACAGCTTTCTCTGGCACCCGCGAGGGAATATTTCTGGAAAGCTCCACCAGCACTACACCATAGCAGCTTCTTTGCCATTCAGTACATATAACCATACCCTCTCTAGCAAGGTCAGGAACTTAGCCCTAGGGGGTGGAGGGGGGTCTTTCTTGGTTTCTTGGTCAAGCTATCTCAAGTTCTAGGGCTAGGAGTCATCCTTCACATCTGCTATTCCTATATTCTTTAGAGTTCTCTTCTTACTAGTCAATCTCTCATATTCAAATTCTTTATGATAGTTAACAATTCTTTATACTAAATTTTCTGTTTAAGTTACTGCATCATTTTTTTTCCTGATTAAACCCTGATTAATACACTATGACAAATCACTTATGATGCAGAATGTTTCCTTAAATATGTCTCCAAAGCTATGAAATTTACATAACTTCAGAGATATATTTAAACTATTAGAGAACATCTACAGCAAAAAAATAACCAAAAAGGGAGGTATGACTACAAGGAAGATTTCCAACAAGGGATGCCTTTGCAACTCTAATATACTGCCTTGGGCAAGATACAGAATAGCTACTGTTTCCAGATATTAAAGAAATATAAGAAACTGAAGGTTTACAAAATTGCTTAATTCAACTTCCAATTTCAGGAGTACTTTTGCTTTCCAAAGTAAACTTAATGATAATTAGAATTTTATTTCATTATAGTACATCAAGAATAGGAGTTAATTCATATTTATTATTCATTTGAATCAATCTGAACATGACAAGGAAAGGTGCAGAGACATAGGTGAGTTAAGCATTACTGAAAGTTACACTACATCTCCTCCTTCAAAGTAGGTGTGCAAAAATATTCTATAAAATCTATTGTAAGTAAAATCTTTATTGTATAAAATGCTTTCCAGTAAATATTTTGTATTTTTCTATTATTTATTTAATATGAATTTTTATATAATTTGTTTTAATCTTAAACTATACAATAGTGCATTAGAGACCAGAGCTAATCATAAGAAAAGATAGCTTAAAGCAATTAACATCTTGATAAGAAATGAAGGAAAGATCAGTTTCCAAAGTTGCGTAGTTTCCAAAAAGTCAGCACACAGAAATATAAGAAACAGCCAAGATAATCTCTGCAGATCCCTAGAACCATATTGACAGGATTTTCACTTGTACACACTGCTTTCCCTGTCAGTTCAGCATAACCCACAGCATACCTAATCAACTACATGTAAAACCAGAGCTTTCTCTATGACCCCATGCACAACCCTGCCCATGTTCTTTCTATCTGTCCAGGGGGACAACAAGGACACATCATCACAGCATGGTGTTTAGGGGCAGACTCTGGCATCAGACTGTCCTGTAGTTAAATCCTTGTTTTACCTTTGATAGCTGTGTGGCCTTGGACAAGTTACTTTACATCTCTGTGCCTCAATATCTTCATCTGTACAATGGGGATAATAATAATCCCTACATCATGGAGTTACTTGAGGATT
This sequence comes from Homo sapiens, assembly GCF_000001405.40. Taxonomy (NCBI): domain Eukaryota; kingdom Metazoa; phylum Chordata; class Mammalia; order Primates; family Hominidae; genus Homo; species Homo sapiens. The sequence goes on from NC_000015.10 coordinate 53,670,731, forward strand.
AAATTGAGTAGATATAACAAGTGCTTAGAGGTTTCGGCACACAGTGAATGCTGTGCTATATGACAGCCCTCTTTGTCACACGAGAGAGGTCCTCACTCAGCTGCTTGTGAGCTGATTAACAAACCTCTTTGGCCCCCAAGCACTAGAGTCTGCCTGACACCTAGGCCTGAGGTCACTGGGCATATGGCCAGCTTGGGCCCCCAGGGCTTCCTACCTGAGACTTGAACCTCCTCAATCAGCCTTTCCTCACAGGCTACGTTACAATCAAACTCAGAGTAGGATTATATATTTGACTTATTTTTTAATCCTCTTCAGTACACCAGAATGGGGTCTGGCATAAATTAAAGGCTAGATAATACTTCTTAATAGATTATATGACATCAACAACCTGCTCATGATTTTTTTTTAACTGGCGCTGCACTTGGGATTAAACCTAAACTCCCTGACCAAGAAGTCATAGTCTCACCCTCGCTCTGCTTTCTCCCATGTCAGCCTCCCCTTATTCACAAATTAGATTTTCTTTTTCTTTTGTTGAAAACAAACAAATTTTTTCCTGCTAGCTCTAGCACATCCTTCAGGTATTAGCTTAAAATCTCACCTCCTCAGAGAAGCCTTCTAAAATAGATTCCCCTATCTTGTACTGTTTTCTATCTCAGCTTCTTCACTTTATAGAACTTATCACATTTGTAATTGGTGTCCTTTATTTGCTTGCTTCCCCAACAGATACTAAACTCTTTTTGGCAAGTATGTGTTCCATGAGCTTGGTACAAAGCAGGTCTTTCTAAATATTCACCGAAGAAATTGAAGAATTTTATCCTTTCCCTGAGGCAGTGAAAAGAGGTGGCTATAAAGCATCAGAGCATATGAGGGTCTCAGTGTGACAAGATTTAATGCCAGAAATATGCACTATAAACTTAGACCCTAGAGCCCAGGAGAGGCCAACACTGCGAAAAGTGCCATTCACAAGCCTGAGGCCTGTCCCAGCTTTCAGCAATGTTGCCAGGTCACTCCTGATGGCACAAGAACTTGTAATTGGAGACAGCGAGTCAGTTTCTGAATGTGACGTGTTGTCTTGACCTGTGAACTAGCCATTTCTTGCTTCGTGGACTACAGAACAGAAGATGCTAGTCTAAAGATGAGATGGAAATAAGAAAATGCACAGAGAGAGACAGAAATGGAGAAGGAAGAAAGGGGAAGAGAAAAGAGAAAAAAAAGGGAAGAGGGAGAGGAGAGATGGGGAGAAGGGGAAAGAGGGAGGGAGAGAGCGAGAGAGAGAGAGAGCACTTACAACTTTCTAGTTTTGTTTCTAGATCCTTCCTAAGGAATAGTGCCCCTAAAGTGTCTGAAATACACACCTGAATCCTTATAATAAACACCACTTTCTGATAAAATTAACTTTACTTCTACTGCTTCCTACCTAATAGGGGCCCTAATAAGAATGGGGCAGAGATGTTTCTATTACGGTAAAGGCCAAGTTTAAGGATGCCCAAATAGACAGCATGTGGAGTTCCAGGTAGAGATCAGAGCAGAGACACAAAGCCTTAAGCATTAGCAGCACATAGGTGAGGATTAAATGCCGATTAAAAAAAAAAAAAAGCCACTCCAAGTGAATTTGGAGTGAGCTGTTTCAGGAGACGAGCATAAACCCCTGTTAGCAGTTTCTGCACAAGAAAGAAGGAAGATTCTGAAACTGCTGTAAATCAGTATGTTGCTAAAATACAGCCCTCTTGTAAACCCATTAGGATTGTCAAATTTATAGGCATCTACAGTTTTTTGTTTTGTTCTTAAATAGAGCAAATAATCACTTTGTGATGTACCGGTTATGAGATCTGATCTTGCAATATCAGGCTGTCTTAAAGCATGACATGTAGTGTGAAGGATGCAGCCTTCAACTGCAGTAGAAGAGCAAGGCACAGAGTAAAGAGCACACTTCTATACATCTGCCCAAATGATGAAAAAGATCTAAACATCTACCTAAAGAAGGAGAAGAAAGAGCCATCACATTCTACACTTCAATTCCCTTCCAAACAGCCAGAAGTTGTTTCCTTGATTTTATTTTCCTTGAAATTTGTGCATAATTTTATTATTTGCTGTCTTCTACTTAAATATTTTATTTTGGCTGGGAGTGGTGGCTCACTCCTGTAATCCCAGCACTTTGGGAGACTGAGGCGGGCTAATCCCTTGGGCTCAGGAGTTCAAGACCAGCTTGGACAAGGTGGCGAAACCCCATTTCTACAAAAAATAGCTGGGTATGGTGGTGTACGCCTGTAGTCCCTGCTACTCAGGAGGCTGAGGTGGGAGGATTGCTTGAGCCTGGGATGTCAAGGCTGTAGTGAGACATGATCATGCCACCGCACTCCAGCCAGCCTGGGTGACAGAATAAGACTGTCTCAAAAAAAGAAAAGAAAAGAAAAGAAAAGAAACTTGTTTTCAACTCCCATTGACATTTACTTTCCAAAATTAACAAAAGTATCCTAGCCTAATATCAATGTATGAATAGCTTTAAATTACATACTTCCTCCTACAAATTAACTCGGTCCACTAAGTCTATGAAAAAAAAGAATAGCTATTATGCTCAAAGGGAGAGAAATAATTTAAAAAGAAATCATAGTCATTTGATGAATCCATCTGCAAATGATCAAGAGGAAATTAAGACTAAACAACATCACCCAGATGGATTAACACTTTATCATGTTGTACAGAAACATTTTCTTTATGTTAAAATTATACATAAATACATTTGAGACTAATTGACTTACTATAACTCATGGTGTCTTTCCAAAGAAGAACAGTGTAGAAACACCATTTCTATAGAAACATAAAATTCTCCCAGACCATCCAAAGCACATATATTGTAAACCAATGAATCTCAAACAAATTTGTTTCATAGAAAAGGAAAACATTTTAAATTAAATATTCTGCTTATTATTGGATTGTGGAAAAAGCATATATATTTCATTGTGAAAAAAGCATATAGGGCCGGGTGCAGTGGCTCACACCTGTAATCCCAGCACTTTGGGAGGCCGAGGTGGGTGGATCACCTGAGGTCAGGAGTTCAAGACCAGCCTGACCAACATGGCGAAACCCCGTCTCTACTAAAAATACAAAAAATTAGCCAGGCGTGGTGCTGCACACCTGTAATCCCAGCTAGTCAGGAGGCTGAGGCAGAAGAATCCCTTGAACCCGGGAGGCGGAGGTTTCAGTGACCTGAGATCGCGCCATTGCACTCCAGCTTGGGCAACAAGAGTGAAACTCCATCTCAAGAAAAAAAAAAGCATATATATTCATCACTAATCACATAATAGGATAGGAATTATTTAGCAAATAATTGTATTTAAATGAACAAAGCTTAATAGCAAGAACATGTGAGTGGACATATTATAGAATTAGGTCTTTTCCATATTGGGTAGGCATTTTCTAACTGAATCCATTATGATATTGGGCAAGTGATTAAGAGGACAATATTTCAAAGTGACTCTCTCTGAAACAGAGTAAGTTTTAAAAAATGACCTCACTACCAAATTTGATAATCAAATTCATAAAAGTCAGGTTTCAACAAAACCACTGACTGACAGTTATAATCAAATTCCACAAATCAAAAAATTTGACCATTGGGTCTGTTATACAATTTATCATTTATTTTCAGTTACTCATGAAGTTCATTGCCTTGCTCAGAAACACATATGGAGATCGACCTAGCACCCCCTTTCTATTAAAACCATTTCACAGTTACTGCATCTTACTCCAGGAAATGTATAACTGATGGGGGTTCCCACCACAAACAGGGGCCCTGGAGGTATCAAATTTAGCTAACTAGAAAATAATGGAAGGGTGGGGAAAGGGAATGAGTCTTAAAACATTAAATTAGGGATAAAGGTACTTACCTTCATTCCTAAATGTAGTTGATATAATAAATTCAGCTAAAAAATGGAGTGTCAAAGACCTGGCTTATTTTGTACTATATAGAGGCCCTAATATGATAACAAACTTAGATTGGCGTCACATCAATCTTCTGTACCTTAAGGGTATATAGGATACATTTTTAAAAAGTCTCTAACCACCATGACCTTAACCCCAGCTCTGCCACAGCCTCCAGCACATTCACAGCAATGCTGGGATTTATCAGCTGGGCCACATTCAACCCTCACGTCTAATTCTGACCACAGACCTCCAGAAAAACGGAATAAAGAGGTGTGGCGGGGGACAATTGAAAGAAAAAAAAAGGATTGAAACACCTGGAGGTTTAAAGTTGCTGAGATGTGTAAAGATAGCAAAGAATGCATTAATTTTCAACACATTTTAAACTAGGGTTTTCTTGATAAGGTATCTATTTATTAACACACGCTAGCAGCGTAACATCTACTATGACTTTGGGAGGCCGAAGCAGGCGGATCACGAGGTCAGGAGATTGAGACCATCCTGGCCAACATGGTGAAACCCCATCTCTACTAAAATACACAAAATTAGCCGGGCATGGTGGCACATGCCTGTAGTCCCAGCTACTTGGCAAGCTGAGGCAGAAGAATCGCTTGAACCTGGAAGGCGGAGGTTGCAGTGAGCTGAGATTGCACCACTGCACTCCAGCCTTGAGACAGAGTGAGACTCTGTCTCAAAAAAAAAAAAAAAAATCTACTATGACTAATTTTTAATTTTTAACCTCACTCTAAGACTAAATACAATTTACAACCAATTTAAGAGGTAGATATTCACAGCCAAGTGTTTCTTAAGTATAACGTAAAGAATACATTTAATTAATTGTACAATTATCTATTATATACAAAACTATAAAATTATACTGCTACTGAGTATTTCAAAATTTCATTCATCACGTCGCATTATTTAAATTTATTACACCAGGCATGTTATTTTTAAATTTTAAAATATTTCAAAAGTAGATTTTGTCCCTCATGCTTTTAATTGTAGGTTAAGTTACTTATTGGGTATAATATCCTTGAAGAGATTTGAGTCTGTTCATTTATATGCTTCTGGTGTCAATTAATTTAATCAGATCAATATCTTGCTGAGTTGATCTGGAATTTTTCCTGGGAAGAGGAAGAGTATTGGGAAAGGATAAATTGGGGTATGGTCTCTTGAATAAAGTGCTGGGTGAGGGGTGAAGTCCTATGAGAGTTATTTTGGTTATTTTTTTGGAGAGGAAGGATATAGTAGAGATGAGAGTACCAAAACATTTTAACTGCCATCAGTTTTCCCTTGGGACATGATGGTGATTTGCCTTAGGCAAATAATGGGTGACTAATGCTCCAGCAGGCATGTCAGGATTTGTTTTGAAACCACCAAGGCTCAGGGTACCCTCACTATACTCCTAGGTCCCCAGTGCCACTTGTAAAATTCAATACCATATTACCACACCCAGTGACCTCAAAAGGCTCTCTCATCTCTTCACACTTCCTTTCTATAGACTCACTCACCAGTGAGGACCTCCAGAAAGGTAGGACTGTCCTACCTGACCACTAATGTAATAGGAAGACTTCTACTAATAATCCCCAATGACAGTCATCCTTATGTGATTCCCTCCCCTTTGAATATGATAGGATGGCCCTCCAGTGATTATTAAAGGGCAAAAGGAACTTTGCACATGTAATTAACGTTTCTACTCAGTTGTCCTTATAATAAGCAGATTATTCAAATAGACCAGGCCTAATTTGATGAGCGCTTTGAATGCAGAAAGTTCTCTCCAGCCACTCAAACAAGAGGAAGTCGAGATTTAAAACATTGGAAGTATTTGATGTGCCATTGCTAGCTTGGAAGTGGCAGGAGGCCATGAATAAAGGTCAGGGAGTGGCCTTTAGGAGCTGAAAGCAACACCTGGCCACAGCCAGCAAGGCCCTCAGACCTACAAGTGAAAAGAACTAAATTCTGCCAAGGACCTGAATTAGTTTGAAAGTGAATTGGTTCCCAGAGCCTCTAGATGAGAGCCCAGTTGGCTGACATATTTATTTTGCCTCATGAGATCCTAAATAGAGAACCTGGTTGAGTTTGCCTGGACTTCTAATTTACAGAACTGTGAGACAATAAATAGGTGTTGTTTTGAGCTGCTAAGTTTGTGTTAATTTGTTATACGCAATAGGAAATTAATATAACCAGGACTTGTGGCAGTACTTTTACTCAGAACAACATATTTAGATTTCAAATATTTTAGTCATTCTTTACTATTTTATACGTGAAATTCTTGCTTTTTTTTTTTTTTTTGACAGAGTCTCACTTGGTCGCCCAGGCTGGAGTGCAGTGGCACCATCTCGGCTCACTGCAAGCTCTGCCTCCTGGGTCCACGCCATTCTCCTGCCTCAGCCTCCCAAGCAGCTGGGACTACAGGCACCCTCCCGCACGCCCAGCTAATTTTTTGTATTTTTAGTAGAGACGGGGTTTCACTGTGTTAGCCAGGATGGTCTCAATCTCCTGACCTCATGATCCACCCGCCTTGGCCTCCCAAAGTGCTGGGATTACAGACGTGAGCCACCGTGCCCAGCCAATTCTTGCTTCTTAAACATAATATATAACTAAATGCATAAACACATAAAAATAAGTAAGTGTGATGGCTAGTTAGACATTTCATACTTTTTTATAACTCCTTCCCCTTTCTTACACCCTAAGTACTATAAGCCATTCAGATATTCTCTAAATAGCTGGTGATTCCACAATCATATGCCACATCAAAAAATTCCTTTTAAAGCATTCTATTTCCAAAGGAAGCTGATATGATTTGGCTCTGTCCCCACTCAAATCTCAAATTTTAGCTCTCATAATTCCCATGTGTCTTGGGAGGGACCCCGTGGGAGGTAATTAAATCATGGGGTCAGGTCTTTCCTGTGCTGTTCTCATGATAGTGAGTAGTCTGGTGGTTTTATAAAGGGAAGCTCCCCTGCACACACTCTCTTTTTCCTGCTGCCATGGAGGACATGACTTTGCTCCCCTTTTTCCTTCCACCATGATTGTGAGGCCTCCCCAGACACGTGGAACTGTGAGTCAAGTAAACCTCTTTTCTTTGTAAATTACCCAGTCTCAGGTGTGAGAACAGACTAATACAGAAGCACATGTAAGAGATAAAATATTGTTTTCTCATCCTCTTCTTTATCATCATCATCATCATCAAAATTGCCATTATCTACCACTAATTGAGTATTTTTAAGTGCCATTTAATTCTTAAAACAATCCCGTTAACTGCAAAGAAATGGAAGATCAGGAAGAATAAGTGACAGGGTATTAGTGTTTCCTGTGGTTGGGAGGGTGATTAGGGAAAGTATTTTAACTAAAAAGACAGGCAAGGCCATAATGCTATGTGGTAGAGTTACATTTCTACCAGAGATTATGGGGACTGGCAGGTTTAGGGATAGATTTAAAGTAGGGAATGTTTGGTTGGCAATACAGAGAAGAGAACTGAAGAAAGAACTTTATTGGCAAGACAATCAGCAAATTTTTCAAAAGTTCATATAAAAGATTAGGAACATCCCAATCCATCTGCCCTTAAAACATTTTATTTTTTAATGTTTTTGCCACCTCTGAAAATGTATAATTCTATCTTTTACTGAAGGCTTACGAAATAAATGTAGCAATAGTTTATCTTTCAAATAACCCAACTTCATCACTAGACATTATTGATAGTATTGGGGCTAAGAAACAGGTACTGATTAGGACTTCCATGGAATGGCTACACAGGTTCCCTATATAGCCAGTAGTCTTTGGTGGGCTCTTAACTCTATAGAACCATTTCCTTTTCCTTCTTTTCCCGGAGCATTCTACCCTATCCCTTCTTACTATCATCCTTATTTCTGTAGTTTATAATCTCTGCTGCCACTTCCTCTAGGTGTTTTGTATACAGATGCATATACTTTATCTCTACTATAGAGGGAGTCTTACAGAACAGAGACTTTCCGGCATCAGCCTTTGTCCTACCCAATTCTGAATTAGAGAACAACTTGCTCTTCCTCCCTTTTTTGGTCCCCTGTCTGGTAAAGACCCCAGTATGCGTGGCTGCGTATCCTATGCCACAAGGTTCTATCCCCCACCTCTCATAATGTATAGATCATGGTCTAAAGCATCTGTGTTGACTTCTGGGTATATACCAAAATTGACTGAAAACAACGATATGAATAGATATTTGTATACCCATGTTCACAGCAGCATTATTCACAAGAGCCAAAAGATGGAAGCAACCCAAGTGTCCATCAAATAATGAATGGATGAATAAAATGGTGTATACACCTAAAATGGAGTATCAGTCAGCCTTAAAAAAGGAAATTCTGACACATGCTATAAAATGGATGAAACTTGAAGTCCTCATGCTAAGTGAAATAAGCCAGTCACAAAAGAACAAATATTGCATGATTCCACTTATATGATATACCCAACCCAGAACAGGTAAATTCACAGAAACAGAAAGTAGAATAGCAGTTGCTAGGGAATTTGGGAAAGGACAAATGGGGCATTACTGTTCAGTGGGTATGGAGTTTCATTTAAAGAAGCTGAAAAAGTTGTGGAGATGGATGATGGTGATGGTTGCACAACAATGTGAGCATACTTAATGCCACTGAACTGTACCCTTCAAAAAGCTTAAAATGGTAAATTCTATGTTATGTAAAGATCCCACATCTTTGTTTATATTTTACCACAATCATCATAATAAAAAAGCATCTGTGTTAATAAGACAGCCCAAAGAAGATACAAGGAAAAGAAAACTTTGAGAATAAACCCAAAGAACAATATACAGAAAGCATGTAGAAGTAGGGCAGTCTGAGAAAGAGGGACCATTGGCCATCAGGAGAAGGCAGTGTCATATGAGGCTGAGGATGGAGAGAGAGAGGGAGGAAAGAAGGACATTGATGGCAGAGTGATTGCAGACAAGTACCTGTGACCCAGAGCATGGCAACTCAACTTGGCAGTGAGGTATAGGAAGAAGAGTTCCAATGGAAAAAGTGTAGCAAAAGCCAGATTAAACTGTATTAAATCAATGGGAGGCAAAGATATAGAGTGGAGATGGCATTTTGTAGGAAACCACCAGTTACTTTGGGAAGAATCTCAGAGAAAAATAATAGAAGCCCACAATTCCTTATCCAAAACATTTGAGACCATAGGAATTTAGAATTCATGATTTTTCAGATTTTGGAGAGATAAAATAATGCACATATGCATATTATATAATAACTGGAGCAAGGTCTAACAGAGCAGACAGTAATCAAACATGCTATATATCTGCAGCAAAAAAAAAAAGAAAAGGAAGAATACTTACACTTAGTGAAATAAATAACCTTATGCAATTTAAATTTTGGTTATGTTGCTTTACTACAAACTATTAAAAACTTTTATTTTCAGAGATTTTTAGATTTATAAATTTTGGCTAAGAGAATGTAGGCCTATACTCCAAATAACTGGTAGCAAGGTGGCCAGAACTAACCAGAAATATTCTCTGAGATAAGATAGGTTAATAGAATGCTCAGTTTCCTGCAATATAGTATATTAACTCATGCATTTAGCTCCTATTTATATCTATACAAGTATGCTTAGTCATGCAATTCCAACCCCAAGCTTGGCGGATTGTTTTATCTATGCCCTCTATGATTAGATCATAATGTACTAACAATTCTGTTAAATTCAATGTTTAAAAGAAGCACAAGTTTCTTTACACAATTATTGATGGGAGATAACTTTGCTAACAGACCAAGCTTAAGAAAACTATCATGGTTGTAAGATATGGAGAGAATTTCTATTTTTAAATGACAGACCTCTAATAAGGAACATGTAACTGTAATTTTCAAACTTGACTTATGGTTGATACTTCCAGAAGTAAGAAAAATGTGGTGACCAAAGAAAGTTAACCTGCGGGGTAAATCATGGGTTAAAGCCAATTGTTTTTATTAAATCTTCTTATCTTAGTTATCTTCCTAGAACCTTAACCCCATAAATTTTCTAAATTTTTTATTAGCAGAAAATACAATTCATTTACTAAATTTACAAAAACAGCTTGTTATCTGCTCAACTGATGAACTGTAAGATGGCATCATGTGCCTTTCAGTGGAGTGTTGGGTACTCAGATGCTCCAAGGGCTGAAGCAGGTCCTTTGTCTACTCAGCATATGGGTCTCAGTGGAATGGAACCTGCTTCCCCCAAATGTGAAAAGGACTGGGGAAAGTGGTGGGCCAATCTATTGCCTGGGATGCACTGACAAGGCTGAGATCAGCAGGCAACATTATTTGCAGCACAGAAGATAAAATCTGACATTCCCTCAGTCGAATTCTCTGCTCACCACTCCCAAGCCAAGGACTTGACCTTTGAATTTGTTTTCATCTAGTTCATCCCTAGAAACACAAAAGACCTTTCCCATCAAATCTTAACAGGTAAGCAAATGGTAGGAGTTGGATATTATTGATACAGTCAGATGAATCAAGTGCATCCAGTATCCTTTATCTCTCAGCCAAATCAGAGAACCTACTTTCCCAGAGAATAACAATCATTACAGTCCACTGAGTCTTGCGTTTCCAATTGTTTCTGTGGCAGCTGGCTACTGGGAAGTTGCTAGGGAATTGAAAGAAGGCAGCGTGGGGAGGGCAGATGGCTCCTTTGGGTTTATTTCCACTAAACGTTACAGCTGTGAAACCCACTAACGTTCCAAGTGTCATATAAAATGCTTGAAGAAAGGGCCTAGTTAAGGAGGAGCCAAAGAGCAGCCATCCTGATGTGTTTCTTTTTCTACTGTTGTAGGTGAAGCCCCCGTAAACATTAAATGCAGATACCAGATACATAACAAACTACTCAGCCAGAACTCAATCCAAAAGTGTAATCAGACCACAGGAATCGCTAAAACTGATTACAGCCAGTATTTTCTTTACTAAAGGAAAACCCAGGAAGATAGCAACTGCCAAAGGAAACAATAAAGGCAGCAAAGGGTGGGACTTAATTGATGAAAGTAATTTTAAGAGCAGACAATATTTATTTTTATCATTAGAATGAGACTGTATTGATTTTCCTATTTGTTTCTGAGCATACAAAATGTTCTGAAGACATCCTGCAAATACCACAATAATATGCCTAATATATATTAAGATGCCAGGAGAACCAAAAAAAGGTGGAGTTGAATAATATCTCAATTAAAATGCACACACACACACATCCACAAATACCTGTGTGTGTGTCACTTGAAAAAAAAAGTGAATCAAATGATGTAGAATTTTTAAAATAAGTCATGGATACCTAAAAACAATATAGAAATGTTTATATAAAGTATAATCCTGTAATAAAATGTAGGTAATTCTTCCAATGTTTATAACTAATAAAGATTGACAAAAACTCTAAATTTGGGGGAAAAATTACATGTGCCTGTTTTGTTGACAGCCTTTCAATGTGATACCTGAATTTTACAATGCACACCAGAAACCACTTCATGCAGACCATTTTACAATGCACACCAGAAACCACTTCATGCAGACCATTTTACTACTTCATCCTTGGAATGTCCTTACTTTGAAAAGTTTGTAAAACTATAAGATCAAGTTAACAATTACATAATTTCACCAAAGTGGAGATCCATGTTCACCACATGGAACTAAAGACGACGACTGTGGTGGGCCTGTGGGGTGGGAGGATGCACTCATGTGTCTGTTTGCATGCACATGCATGTAAAGATGTACACTGGGTCTTGTCTCTACATTGAAATAAAATATATATATACAACGAGACTTACATGCCTCTCTTCAGTGATGCAGTATTAATTGTTTATTTAATTTGGTTCAAAGTAAGGTCAAACTCTTTCTTATTACTGTATTTTTGCTCTGATTTTTTTTTCCCACCATCTCTTCACGGATGCATAAAACTGAATGTTTTCAGAATAATCCAGGTCACCTCTTGAATGCTTAAAAACTTATTCCACCAGATACCCTAAATCATCTCTCTCAAATTTGAAGTCCCACATATCTCTAGGGCAGGGGCAAAATACGGCCAGACTCCTTGCTAAAGCATAACAAGAGTCACCTTTATTCCAGTTCCCAACATATACTTCCTGTCTTCTTCTGAGCCCTGTAAACAGTTCCAACCTCCGCTTGTTATTCAGTTCCAAAGTTGCTTCCATATTTTCAGGTTATCTTTATAGCAGTATTCCACTCTACTTATACCAGTTCTCTGTATTAGTCTGTTTTCACACTGCTATAAAGAAATAACAGAGACTGGACAATCTATGGAAGAAAGAGGCTTAATTGACTCACATTTCTTTATGACTGTGGAAGCCTCAGGAAACTTACAGTTATGGCAAAAGGTGAAGGGGAAACAAGGGATGCCTTACACAGTGGTAGGAGAGAAGTGTAAAGGAGCAACTTCCAAATACTTTTAAAACCATTAGCTCTTGTGAGAACTCCCTCACTATCATGAGAACAGTATGGAGGAAATTGCCCCCATGATCCAATCACCTTCCAACAGGTCCCTCCCTTCCCTTGACACACAGAGATTACAATTTGAGGTGAGATTTGGGTGGGGACACAGAGCCAAACCCTATCAGGGTATACACACATACTTAGAAGGCGTAAGTTCTGATGTTTGGCATCAGAATAGGGTGACTAGAATTAACTGCAATGTATTATACATGTCATAGTAGCTAGAAGAGATAATCTGATTGTTCCCAACACATAGAAATGATAAATACTCAAGGTGATGGAAACCCCAAATACCCTAACCTGATCATTACATATACTGGCATATAAGAAAGTATCACTTGTACCCCAGGAATATGTAAAATCTTATGTATCCATACAAAATTTTTTAAAATAAGGATAGTATCTTCTCTACATAAAATTTACTTTCATTTTTATACTAACTGAATCCTATGAAACAACTGTCTTTGGCTACTATAAATTGCTCTCTTTCTTACATTATGTATTTTACATGTACCTATTTCCCCATAGAAAATAGATTTTAAAAACACACACACAGAATATAGTGAATATTAAGTATATTAATTTATAATTACTTGGGTAAGAACCACACAGGAGAGAGAGAAAGAGGAAGAAGAGATCTAATCAATGATACATCTATAAATCTCATATATATATATGGTCTGATTTTTTAAAAAGTATACGGATGGCAAATACAGACAGCCTGGCAAATAAAATAGCAGATTTTCACTTATACTTCCCAACTGTACTGCTACCATTGAGTAATTCAAAATCTCTTAGACTAACAGGAGTTCTTAACCTTTTTTACACCATGAACCCCATCAACAATCTGGGGATGTCAACGAACCCTTTTTTTCCAATAATAATTTAACATTTGTAAATAAAATGCATATAATAAAGGATATCAATTAATTTTTAAAATCAGCAAAATCTTAAAATCACAATATGAAAATAAGTATGAGCATATCTTTGTATACGTTAATATATAAAAGAAAGAAAACATTGCAGGTATAATAGACGAACCTTTAACAATGATTTTCTGCAAATGTTGAGATTCTACTGTTTTTAAGAATTGCCGGAGGAGCCAAGATGGCTGAATAGGAACAGCTCCGGTCTACAGCTCCCAGGGTGAGCGACGCAGAAGACGGTGATTTCTGCATTTCCATCTGAGGGACCGGGTTCATCTCACTAGGGAGTGCCAGACAGTGGGCGCAGGTCAGTGGGTGTGCGCACCGTGCATGAGCCGAAGCAGGGCGAGGCACTGCCTCACTCGGGAAGCACAAGGGGTCAGGGAGTTCCCTTTCTGAGTCAAAGAAAGGGGTGACAGACGGCACCTGGAAAAACGGCTCCCTCCCACCCGAATACTGCGCTTTTCCGACGGGCTTAAAAAGCGGCGCACCACGAGATTATATCCTGCACCTGGCTCGGAGGGTCCTACGCCCATGGAGTCTCGCTGATTGCTAGCACAGCAGTCTGAGATCAAACTGCAAGGCGGCAGCCAGGCTGGGGGAGGGGCGCCCGCCATTGCCCAGGCTTGATTAGGTAAACAAAGCAGCCGGGAAGCTAGAACTGGGTGGAGCCCACCACAGCTCAAGGAGGCCTGCCTGCCTCTGTAGGCTCCACCTCTGGGGGCAGGGCACAGACAAACAAAAAAGACAGCAGTAACCTCTGCAGACTTAAATGTCCCTGTCTGACAGCTTTGAAGAGAGCAGTGATTCTCCCAGTACGCAGCTGGAGATCTGAGAAGGGCCAGACTGCCTCCTCAAGTGGGTGCCTGACCCCTGACCCCGAGCAGCCTAACTGGGAGGCACCCCCCTAGCAGGGGCACACTGACACCTCACAAGGCAAGGTATTCCAACAGACCTGCAGCTGAGGGTCCTGTCTGTTAGAAGGAAAACTAATAAACGGAAAGGACATCCACACCAAAAACCCATCTGTACATCACCATCATCAAAGACCAAAAGTAGATAAAACCACAAAGATGGAGAAAAAACAGAACAGAAAAACTGGAAACTCTAAAACGCAGAGCGCCTCTCCTCCTCCAAAGGAACGCAGTTCCTCACCAGCAACGGAACAAAGCTGGATGGAGAATGACTTTGACGAGCTGAGAGAAGAAGGCTTCAGACGATCAAATTACTCTGAGCTATGGGAGGACATTCAAACCAAAGGCAAAGAAGTTGAAAACTTTGAAAAAAATTTAGAAGAATGTATAACTAGAATAACCAATACAGAGAAGTGCTTAAAGGAGCTGATGGAGCTGAAAACCAAGGCTCGAGAACTACGTGAAGAATGCAGAAGCCTCAGGAGCCGACGCGATCAACTGGAAGAAAGGGTATCAGTGATGGAAGATGAAATGAATGAAATGAAGCGAGAAGGGAAGTTTAGAGAAAAAAGAATAAAAAGAAATGAGCAAAGCCTCCAAGAAATATGGGACTATGTGAAAAGACCAAATCTATGTCTGATTGGTGTACCTGAAAGTGATGGGGAGAATGGAACCAAGTTGGAAAACACGCTGCAGGATATTATCCAGGAGAACTTCCCCAATCTAGCAAGGCAGGCCAACATTCAGATTCAGGAAATACAGAGAACACCGCAAAGATACTCCTCGAGAAGACCAACTCCAAGACACATAATTGTCAGATTCACCAAAGTTGAAATGAGGAAAAAATGTTAAGGGCAGCCAGAGAGAAAGGTCGGGTTACCCTCAAAGGGAAGCCCATCAGACTAACAGCGGATCTCTCACCAGAAACCCTACAAGCCAGAAGAGAGTGGGGGCCAATATTCAACATTCTTAAAGAAAAGAATTTTCAACCCAGAATTTCATATCCAGCCAAACTAAGCTTCATAAGTGAAGGAGAAATAAAATACTTTACAGACAAGCAAATGCTGAGAGATTTTGTCACCACCAGGCCTGCCTTACAAGAGCTCCTAAAGGAAGTGCTAAACATGGAAAGGAACAACCGGTACCAGCCACTGCAAAATCATGCCAAAATGTAAAGACCATCGAGACGAGGACGAAACTGCATCAACTAATGAGCAAAATCACCAGCTAACATCATAATGACAGGATCAAATTCACACATAACAATATTAACTTTAAATGTAAATGGACTAAATGCTCCCATTAAAAGACACAGACTGGCAAATTGGATAAAGAGTCAAGACCCATCAGGGTGCTGTATTCAGAAGACCCATCTCACGTGCAGAGACACACATAGGCTCAAAATAAAAGGATGGAGGAAAATCTACCAAGCAAATGGAAAACAAAAAAAGGCAGGGGTTGCAATCCTAGTCTCTGATAAAACAGACTTTAAACCAACAAAGATCAAAAGAGACAAAGAAGGCCATTACATAATGGTAAAGGGATCAATTCAACAAGAAGAGCTAACTATCCTAAATATATATGCACTCAACACAAGAGCACCCAGATTCATAAAGCAAGTCCTGAGTGACCTACAAAGAGACTTAGACTCCCACACATTAATAATGGGAGACTTTAACACCCCACTGTCAACGTTAGACAGATCAACGAGACAGAAAGTCAACAAGGATACCCAGGAATTGAACTCAGCTCTGCACCAAGTGGACCTAATAGACATCTACAGAACTCTCCACCCCAAATCAACAGAATATACATTTTTTTCAGCACCACACCACACCTATTCCAAAATTGACCACATACTTGGAAGTAAAGCTCTCCTCAGCAAATGTAAAAGAACAGAAATTATAACAAACTGTCTCTCAGACCACAGTGCAATCAAACTAGAGCTCAGGATTAAGAATCTCACTCAAAACCACTCAAATACATGGAAACTGAACAACCTGCTCCTGAATGACTACTGGGTACATAACGAAATGAAGGCGGAAATAAACATGTTCTTTGAAACCAACAAGAACAAAGACACAACATACCAGAATCTCTGGGACGCATTCAAAGCACTGTGTAGAGGGAAATTTATAGCACTAAATGCCCACAAGAGAAAGCAGGAAAGATCCAAAATTGACACCCTAACATCACAATTAAAAGAACTAGAAAAGCAAGAGCAAACACATTCAAAAGCTAGCAGAAGGCAAGAAATAACTAAAATCAGAGCAGAACTGAAGGAAATAGAGACACAAAAAACCCTTCAAAAAATTAATGAATCCAGGAGCTGGTTTTTTGAAAGGATCAACAAAATTGATAGACCACTAGCAAGACTAATCAAGAAAAAAAGAGAGAAGAATCAAATAGACGCAATAAAAAATGATAAAGGGGATATCACCACCAATCCCACAGAAATACAAACTACCATCAGAGAATACTACAAACACCTCTATTCAAATAAACTAGAAAATCTAGAAGAAATGGATAAATTCCTTGACACATACACTCTTCCAAGACTAAACCAGGAAGAAGTTGAATCTCTGAATAGACCAATAACAGGATCTGAAATTGTGGCAATAATCAATAGCTTACCAACCAAAAAGAGTCCAGGACCAGATGGATTCACAGCCGAATTCTACCAGAGGTACAAGGAGGAACTGGTACCATTCCTTCTGAAACTATTCCAATCAATAGAAAAAGAGGGAATCCTCCCTAACTCATTTTATGAGGCCAGCATCATTCTGATACCAAAGCCGGACAGAGACACAACCAAAAAAGAGAATTTTAGACCAATATCCTTGATGAACATTGATGCAAAAATCCTCAATAAAATACTGGCAAAACAAATCCAGCAGCACATCAAAAAGCTTATCCACCATGATCAAGTGGGCTTCATCCCTGGGATGCAAGGCTGGTTCAATATACACAAATCAATAAATGTAATCCAGCATATAAACAGAGCCAAAGACAAAAACCACATGATTATCTCAATAGACGCAGAAAAGGCCTTTGACAAAATTCAACAACCCTTCATGCTAAAAACTCTCAATAAATTAGGTATTGATGGGACGTATTTCAAAATAATAAGAGCTATCTATGACAAACCCACAGCCGATATCATACTGAATGGGCAAAAACTGGAAGCATTCCCTTTGAAAAGTGGCACAAGACAGGGATGCCCTCTCTCACCACTCCCATTCAACATAGTGTTGGAAGTTCTGGCCAGGGCAATTAGGCAGGAGAAGGAAAGAAAGGGTATTCAATTAGGAAAAGAGGAAGTCAAATTGTCCCTGTTTGCAGACGACATGATTGTATATCTAGAAAACCCCATTGTCTCAGCCCAAAATCTCCTTAAGCTGATAAGCAACTTCAGCAAAGTCTCAGGATACAAAATCAATGTACAAAAATCACAAGCATTCTTATACACCAACAACAGACAAACAGAGAGCCAAATCATGAGTGAACTCCCATTCACAATTGCTTCAAAGAGAATAAAATACCTAGGAATCCAACTTGCAAGGGAAGTCAAGGACCTCTTCAAGGAGAACTACAAACCACTGCTCGAGGAAATAAAAGAGGATACAAACAAATGGAAGAACATTCCATGCTCATGGGTAGGAAGAATCAATATCGTGAAAATGGCCATACTGCCCCAAGGTAATTTACAGATTCAATGCCATCCCCATCAAGCTACCAATGCCTTTCTTCACAGAATTGGAAAAAACTACTTTAAAGTTCATATAGAACCAAAAAAGAGCCCGCATCGCCAAGTCAATCCTAAGCCAAAAGAACAAAGCTGGAGGCATCACACTACCTGACTTCAAACTATACTACAAGGCTACAGTAACCAAAACAGCATGGTACTGGTACCAAAACAGAGATATAGATCAATGGAACAGAACAGAGCCCTCAGAAATAACGCCGCATATCTACAGCTATCTGATCTTTGACAAACCTGAGAAAAACAAGAAATGGGGAAAGGATTCCCTATTTAATAAATGGTGCTGGGAAAATTGGCTAGCCATATGTAGAAAGCTGAAACTGGATCCCTTCCTTACACCTTAAACAGAAATCAATTCAAGATGGATTAAAGACTTAAACGTTAAACCTAAAACCATAAAAATCCTGGAAGAAAACCTAGGCATTACCATTCAGGACATAGGCATGGGCCAGGACTTCACGTCTAAAACACCAAAAGCAATGCCAACAAAAGCCAAAATTGACAAATGGGATCTAATTAAACTAAAGAGCTTCTGCACAGCAAAAGAAACTACCATCAGAGTGAGCAGGCAACCTACAAAATGGGAGAAAATTTTCACAACCTACTCATCTGACAAAGGGCTAATATCCAGAATCTACAACGAACTCAAACAAATTTACAAGAAAAAAACAAACAACCCCATCAAAAAGTGGGCAAAGGACATGAACAGACACTTCTCAAAAGAAGACATTTATGCAGCCAAAAAACACATGAAAAAATGCTCATCATCTCTGGCCATCAGAGAAATGCAAATCAAAACCACAATGAGATACCATCTCACACCAGTTAGAATGGCAATCATTAAAAAGTCAGGAAACAACAGGTGCTGGAGAGGATGTGGAGAAATAGGAACACTTTTACACTGTTGGTAGGACTGTAAACTAGTTCAACCATTGTGGAAGTCAGTGTGGCGATTCCTCAGGGATCTAGAACTAGAAATACCATTTGACCCAGCCATCCCATTACTGGGTATATACCCAAAGGACTATGAATCATGCTGCTACAAAGACACACGCACACGTATGTTTATTGCGGCATTATTCACAATAGCAAAGACTTGGAACCAACCCAGATGTCCAACAGTGATAGACTGGATTAAGAAAATGTTGCACGTATACACCATGGAATACTATGCAGCCATAAAAAATGATGAGTTCATGTCCTTTGTAGGGACATGGATGAAATTGGAAATCATCATTCTCAGTAAACTATCGCAAGAACAAAAAACCAAACACCGCATATTCTCACTCATAGGTGGGAATTGAACAATTAGATCACATGGACACAGGAAGGGGAGCATCACACTCTGGGGACTGTTGTGGGGTGGGGGGAGGGGGGAGGGATAGCACTGGGAGATATACCTAATGCTAGATGACAAGTTAGTGGGTGCAGCGCACCAGCATGGCACATGTATACATATGTAACTAACCTGCACAATGTGCACATGTACCCTAAAACTTAAAGTATAATAATAAAAGAAAAAAAACTTAAAAAAAATTGCCTTTAGACTTACTGTATGTTGTTTTTATTTAAATTGATGTAACATTGACATAATATACATTAACTACACAATTCAGTGGCATTTAGTGCATTGACAATGTTGTGTAACCACCAACTCTCTCTAGTTTCAAAACATTTTCATCTTCCCAAAAGAATCCCCCATACCATTAAGTAATCATTCCCCATTCTCCACCCTCCCACAACCACATCTCCTGACAACCACCGATCTGCTTTCTGGTTTTATGGATTTGCCTTTTTTGGATATGTCATATAAAAAAGAATCATACAATATGTGCATTTTTGTGTATGTCTGACTTCTTTCACTTAGCATGTTTTCAAGGTTCATTCAAGTTGTAGCATGACAACTTGCTACATTTTGAGGGTGGAGTAACACTTCATTGTATGTGTATATTATGATTTGTTAGATTAACAGGAGATTAGTCTATGGAGATTCCTCCATTGATGGACATTTAGGTTGTTTCTGTACTTTGGCCATTATGAATAATTCTACTGTAAACATTTATGTACAAGTTTCTGTGTGGGTATGTTTTTATTTCCTTTAGGTATATACCTAGGAGTGGAATTGCTGGGTCATTTCATAATTCTATTTTTAACCTTTTGAGGAAATGTCATACAGTTTCTACAGTGGTGGTACCATTTTATATTCCCACCAGCAATGTACAAGGGTTCCTATTTTCTCCATTTTTGCTAATACTCTTTGTTTTCCACTTTTTAAATTATAAGTATCCTAGTGAATATGAAATGGTATTTCATTATAACTTTGATTTGCATTTCCCTGAAGAATAATGATGTTGATAACCTTTATAGGGTCTCATTCTGTCACCCAGGCTGGAGCACAGTGGCACGATTACAGCTCACTGCAGCCTCAACCTCCCCAGCTCAAGTGATCCTCCCATCTCGGCCTCCAGAATAGCTGGGACTACTGGCACGTACCACTGTGCCTGGCTAATTTTTTAAATTTTTTATAGAGATGGGATCACACTATGATGCCCAGTCTTGTCTCAAACTCCTGGACTCAAGTGATCCTCCTACCTTAGCCTCCCAAAGTGCTGAAATTACAGGCATGAGCCACCTTGTCCAGCCCTATGTCCTCTGCAGAATTGAGTGGCTCGTCTTTTGTTGCTGTGCCATAAGAGTTCCTTATACATTCTGGGTATTAGACCATTAACAGATGTACAATTTGCAAATTACTTTTCCCATTCTGTAGATTGTCTTTTCACATTCTTGTTAATGACCTTTGATACACAAAAGTTTTTAAATTTTGTAAACTTCATCTATTTTTTTCTTTCGTTGCTCAGGTTTCTTTTTTATTACAGCAAACATGTAAAATGATAGACAGACAGACAGACAGACAGATAGATAGATAGATAGATAGATAGATAGATAGATAGATAGATAGATAGATAGATGTTTAACAAAAATAAAGCCAGTATTCCACATACAGTAACTTCATACATCTTTTCTGCAAACACTGTGTGTTAAGTATCTTCATTATTACCATGAGGAAACTAGGGCTCTGGTCAATTTAGGGATTTGCCAAAGACTGCACATGTTAACAGTGGAAAAATCTTCTTTCTTTGAACACTAAGCAATAGAATTAGTTTGACAGATTAAAGGTGAATAATTAATCATGTGGCATTACTTGTGCTCATGGAAGCTAAATATTTTTTCATTCAATAAATATTTGTTGAGTTCTTCCTATGTGGCAGGTGCCATATCAGCTTCTAGAAATAGAACAGTGAACCACACAGGCAGAATTCTTGCCCTCAAGATGTTTTCAGATTAGTGAGAAAGACAGATGTTAACCCCAGAAATGTAATTATGAGAGGTGAAGTGCACTGTGCTATGGGAACAAGTCATAAAACTCTCCCCACAGGAATACTTATCAGTACACTTGGACACTTTAGTATATTCCATATGCCACTTTCTTATATGTTGCTTTATATTTTTTCAAATTGTTTCAAAGGTACAAGTTTTCCCTGATTACACTGAAAGCTCTTTAAGGAGGGAAACCATATGTGATAATTCTAGTGTCCTTCACAGTGGTATGCATTTCACCAGAACAGGAAATAATTATTGAGCACAATTAGAATGGAGAGAAGGAGTTAAGGAGTCAGGAATAATGAATCCTTAGTACACACTAGTACAGTAATTCATGAAGGATTTATAATAAATAATAGTTAATGTTTATTCAGCCCTCGCTGCCATTAAGAGATGGTGTTTTGAGGAGTTCAAACTTGATTTATGTAATATAGAATAAAAAGAGTGGAACAAGAATTCAAACCTAGGCAAGCTGACTCCCAGGGCTCATGTACATAACTCCTCTGGACATTGTCGCCTACTTAAGAGATCAAATTTTGACAATTGTGTAAATATTTCATAGCTAAACTGCAAAGTTCATATACAACAGCATGTGCATACACATGCAAACATACGCACATGCACAATATTGCATGAATCAAAATCACAAATTGCAGTGGAACTGTGATAACTAGGGCAAAGGAGACAGAAACAAAGATTCAAAAAATGGTCAGTAAACTAAAAATATATGTCGAGTAATAACATCAGTAATTATTATAATAAGAAAGAGGTCTGGAAAAGGTGACATAGGAAAAATCCCACCCTATACTTTAATGTATCCTATTTTTTCTTTCCTAAAACCAATCAACCCAAGAGGGTTCCATCTGTAATCTACCACAACAAAATAACATGGCTTCGAGAAAATGACATACTAGAGAGACTATTACCTGCAGGATGCGGCATACCCCAAACCTACTTTTAACATACCTATAATGAAAATCGTATACTGGTTATGCTCACAAGACTGTCAACACAACATAACTTTGACCTGATATCTACAAAGCGGTGACCTTGAGGAGAAAACCAAGCAATATTGTTTCTGAGAATGGTATAGTTGGTCACTAGTGTAATTTTTAATGTTATTTTATATGTATGGGAATAGTAGATGTTGTCTACCATAAAAGAAGGTGACCAAGTAAAACCTGTGGACTGGCAAATTACTTCTCCATGTAGTAAACTTGTATAATATTTTGGTGTGGCAAAGTAGGAATTTACCACACAATTCTAGTCTATTGAGGCAAATACAGCTATATTTCTGAAAAACGTGTCTTGCACATATTCTACATACCCCTCACTGTAAACTATTAAAGCAAACTCAAATCTATACGACAAGATTAAACACTGAATATTTTTGAAAAACATGAGCTATTAGCTGTTGGTTGACAAAACTCATTTCTTTATATTTTTATCTTTTCCTTTTTTCTTCTAAAAACTTTTTAAAATTAGTTATTTCAAAGCCTATGCACTTTGAAAACATGGAAGAACAAGTGCTCCACTTTGCAGTATTGTGGATTGAATAATTTTCCAGCTAACTACTACTATTTCTAATAAGAAAAAGAAATTAAAAGGTGGAAGTTTTGACTTCTTACTGGCAAGGCAAAAAAAGAAAATTTAACACCTGTGGTGAAAATAACTCTGAAACGTATCTTCTTCCTTACTTCCTTAATTTCTTATGAATAGGTTTTGTTTCAATGCTCTGTACAAAAAATGTTTGTTTTAAAACTTGGAGTGTGTTTTCCTACAGAAACCACGTCATAATCAGAGGCTGGGTGCTCATGCTATGCTATAATCATGAGGCTTTCTGCTCAGTGTTACACAGTCCACATTACCTGAGCAGGAACTAGAAGAAATGAACAAAAACAGACTCCCATGGACCCTGATTTCTACCTACTAATTGGTCAAAGACTTCAGTCCCCTAAACCCAAGCCCCAAGCTGCTTCTGAGATGTCCTTAGGTCTGGAATCCACCATGGATACAATACTTTTAAATATTCCTCCTGGAGCCCAGCAGTACCTGGGAAGAAGCCAGCCCAGTTCTCCAACAGGAGTCACGGGATGTGGACTGGCAGCTTTCCATGGTCTGTGCAGAGATCTGTAGGAGCTTGCTGAGTAAGGGAAGCAATTTCAGCATTTTTATATTTTGGCAACTATCTTCCTATGAGCACAAGAAAGACAGCCCTGAGCAGTGATACATAGCTTTTGCTTCTCCTCCCTTCCCATCAGCTGTCGCTTCTGCTATCAGAGTGCCAGCCACGAACAGCCTCCCCACTTGTAATTTGCTGCGGCTAATCTGTCATCTGAGAAATCAGATGACCAGAGCCGTTAGAACTATGTGTAAATTTAGAGCCAAACTCTGAAAGACAGCCAGAGACCCTCTCCTTTAGGAGATCTTATAGCAGGCTTCCTGGCAGCCATCTCCTTTCTTTTCAAAGCTGTTCTTATCTAATTCCCTGCTTGACAGTCTCAAAAGGCTGACCTCCATCTGCAAGAGGTGTTTGCATTGCACGATAAGTGAAGAACACACCAGAATGGAAGAAGGAGACATATAATCTAGTGCCTGTGCCAACACCTACTCTGGGGACCTTCAAACTCACAAAACCTCTCTGTGTTCTATTTCCTCACTGGTAAAATGGGTATAACTATACCTGTCCTGCTTAACAGTGAGGCAAAATGGATCAAACATTTTCTATTGCTTTAAGAATGAGTTATTATGAAATCAATGTATTTAAAAAGAACAATCATCATTCTCAGGGGTCTGTAAACTATAGATGCAGGCCAAATCAGGCCTGCTGCCTGTTGTTGTAAGTAAAGTTTTATTGGAACACAGCGTCACCCTCTCCTTTATGTAGTGTCTATGGCTTCACTTATGCTACAATAGGAGAGTTCAGTAGTTGTAACAAAGATCATACGGACCACAAAGCAGAAAACATTTACTATCCAGCCCTCTACAGAAAAAAGTGTTTCTGATCCATCTTAAGGTATTTTTAAAAAGTATTATTTTTAAGCAAACAAGGTTTCATTGTCCCACACAAAAAAGTGCAATTACTTAATATGGCATATTTCCCAACACAGTTTGTACACTTAACAGAAGACCTTCAACAGAAAGTTACATTAATAACACACAAGAAATTCATTACACAAATTATCTGCTATGTAAATCCACTACTGTGAAAAGAGTAGTACTCAGAATTATTTTAAATTCAATTCTTAAAAGAATAATTAGCTCAGAGCTAAGATTTATTTCTGGTATGTAATTTAGGGAAAATAAAATCAGTAATACATTATTACGCCTATTGTGTCTCACAGCAATGAGGGCGACCAAGCCGCCCAGAGTTGTCAGTGCCAAATACACTGTGGGAGCTCAAATATTAATCAAATTGACATCTGCAATATTTTCCTTTCCTAATCAGGCCTAAACATCATGGGACATCCGGCAAATCAATAAGCAAAACTAGATGCCCTCATCACTCCTAACCTGGCAGCGCCACATTTTTAGCCAGAGGACGAGGGCCCTCAGTGTCACATAAACATTTCTTTACCTCAGTTGTTTGCCACTCCCAAGAGTGTGTCCACCTACGACCCCAAAATTTACCCTGTCATCCATCTCACTATGCCACCTATCACAGAAAGGAACACCCTTATCAGTCCAAGATAAAATAGGCACAGTGGTACATGACTCTAGAATATGCTTACGTATTCTGCCAAAGAGACTCGTAAGTAAAGTGAGAATAGGCTCTTATAAAGTATTCGTGAAAAACGCAAGAGGCCTCGCAAACTTTCCTCTATAATCGAGGAAGGGTGGCACAGGGACTTATGCTATACCCCATACTCCCCAAGCTCCCACCAAGGCAGACTTCTGGCAAGTTGAGAATTAATTACTTTTGGCTTCAAGCCCCTTTTCCTGCCTTTTCTTTCTAGGCCCCTTTCCTCAAAACTCTTCTCCCACTAACACCTCCTATTTTCTCTCTGTGGGCTCTGGAGTTGCTCTAGTGCTGAAAGATCTGATAAATACCTTTATGTCAATTTATTCCTCCTTCACGTAGTTAGAGGAGGCAGAGTGCTGGAGAAATGAAAGTAGGAATAGGTCTGTCCACACATGGAACTAAGTGTGAACCCTGTGGAGAGAATAGTAAAACTAAAAGGCCAAGGCCCAGGAAAAATTGACTGGAGTAGGAAATACACAGACCTTCACCTGAGGAGGTGAAATATGCCCTGTGAACTCCAAAACCCTAGGGAAGACTTGAAGCAGAAAGCTAAGGACCTGCTTACAGTTGGGCAGTCAGGATCTAAGAGCCATAACTGGCCAATGTTAAGGTGAATTAATTCATACTCAATCTACTGAGGTAAGGGCACTTGGATTAATTAGTTCACTCATTCATTTATCATTCGTGTGCCAGGCACATCCATGAGCAAGTATATTCCATACCTTCAAATAGCTCTTTTCAGCCTGTTTTGGCTTTAGTTCGTATTTTCCCCCTAGCTTTATGAAAATATAAATGGAAACACTTCCTGATCTCAGACCATTCAACCTTTGTAAGTAAAGAATAAAACAGAAATCAAGTGCAGTAAACATGATGGAAGCATCTTAGCCAGCTGAAATCTGGCTTGGAAAAGAAAACATAATTCACTAAATTGTAACCAAAATTAAAATTGCACAGATTAAAGGCAAAACACAACAAAGGCAATACCCAACACGAGAATAAAGGAACAGCATAAACTTATTCAAAAGGAATGAATGTGATATAGAAAGTTGGGCCACCAGCCACCTTCACAGGGTGTTGTAAGGCTCAAATGAGGTGGTCAATGGGATTGTGTCTAAAGAAGTGAAGAGGCACGTCACAAATGTGAAGGTCTGGGTAGAATCATTAATACTATCATCACCAATTATAAGCTCATCTTAAGATGAGTTGAGATTGTTTTTAAACTATTAATATAGACAACCAAAAGATGAACAACTTATATTCTCTAGGTTACTTTGGCACTAAACCTATGCATACTGTTTGATACGGAAATTCTAAAACAAACTTTTTATAGAAAATAGTATAGATAACCAACTATAGGAGATTCCTCAATTAAAGCCTAGTATGTCCATAATGACAACTCTATCGATTATTGTCCATGTGACAACCCACTCCGTCCTTTCCTACCCTTCTGTGTCCTTCCTTTTTTGTGCACAGGGAGGCTGATGCCCAGAACTGAATGCCCTTCCTCTCTCACTTTCAGTGGATTAAATTAATGGAGGTGACTGCAGAAGAAAAAAGAATTTCTTCCAACCCTCCCCTCTCTATGTGAGTCCTCCATCTCTGGCAGGAGCTGCTTCTTTTCTATGACTTCATGGGGTGACCATTCCTCCTGAGCTTCAACTCTCACTGGGTTCCAACAACAATGTTTTCTCCTCTTTTTGCTTCAGTCCTAGAGGTGGCCAGAGCTTCCTGATGCTGCCAGTGCCTGGGTGCTGGAGGCCCTCACCATCCATTCCTTGTCTGGTCCCTAATCCCTGCCCACACCTCTATAAATAGTCCTTTCATTCAAGTTTCTTCATTTGACCCATCTGGGTTGACTTCAGTTTCCTGCCAGGACTGTGACTGAAATACAATATAGACTAAAATACAGTAAATATCTATTTATTGACATAGAAAAATGTCTGACAGAAAGTAGATCAAAATATTAATAGCACTTATTATTATTATTTTTTTGTTTGAGACAGAGACTCGCTCTGTCGCCCAGGCTGGAATGTAGTGGCGCGATCTCCGCTCACTGCAAGCTCCGCCTCCCGGGTTCACGCCATTCTCCTGCCTCAGCCTCCCGAGTAGCTGGGACTACAGGTGCCCGCCACCATGCCCGGCTAATTTTTTTATATTTTTAGTAGACAAGAGCACTTATTAAGTAGTAGGATAGGATTATTTGTTTTTCTTTATATTTATTTTTCAAACGTTCTTCAACATTTGGTTATGTATTTGAGGGTGTATAAAAAAGAAATAACAAAATTAAAATACAGAATGGGAATAAATATAATCTCAAGAAGTACTAATGGTTTGGCTTTGCTTTACTTCCCACTCTGGCAAAGAAATACATAAATAAAAAGTTACATAGCCTAAGGGTATCCCGATGGGAAAAGGGGACCATAAACACTCGTGAGTGCCCAGATATTTATTTATTCTTGCTGGATTCTATCACCTATGAAAAATATGTTTAGTTACCAAGTGTTCACAACTGAAAATGCAATTGGGCACATTAATAAGCATATGTGATTTACAGGCTTATATTTTATAAGCAGAAGTCAAGACTTTGCTGCATTCATTGATAATAACAATAGTCAACTATTACTAAGGGCTAACCACCTGCAGGTACTGTTTATAAGCATTGTAGGTATTAGCTCATTTAATCCTGATAGGAAGGCAGTATTATTACCCCATTTCATAGATGAGGAGATTGACAAGCAAAGAAGCAATGTAATATGATCCGAGGTCCTATTAACAGGTTCTGGAGGCAAGCCCAGGCTTTAGGGCCTATTTTATCTATTATAATTAACTGTTGCTCAAATCAAGAATTCTAAAACTCCCCTAATTTTGTGTATATTGTGCAAAGAACAAGCAAGACCCTCAAACTGGTTCACCACTTATTAGTTGTACAGTCTTGTACATTTATGTATCACATCTGCAAATTCCTCATCAATAAAATGGTGAATAATACTTCTCTGACCTACCTCAGAAGTTGTGAGAATCTGATGGGAAAATGAGCAGGAAAGCCCATCAAAGCTATAAAACAATTTACAAATGTAAGGCAGTATTAGGTTGCACCCTCTAAACACTAGTACACTAGTCATCATCACTTACACATGACAGTAAAATGCAAAGAAAATAGCAATTATTTTGGTGAAGTATGGCTCTAAACTATAATATTATAAACTATCCAGTCTGTTAATAACACCCAACATAAAACCACCACTGATTAATCAATAAAAATCATGCTACAGTTTCAGTGAAATGTACTCTCAAACGAACTCCCCTGACTCACGTTCATTAATTACCTCACCTTATTTGATATGTTCCAGCATTTTCTGGAATGTATTACTCTCAATCTTTAGTTATTTAGTAATTGTTTTTTAATTTTAAAAAGTTCAAACTCTACATTCTCTATGATATGATATCAAAAGTTCAATTGAGCCACTCAGTTTTCAGTTTCCCTGACTCAACTTTTTGGAGTTTTATAATTAATTATATTCCATTATTACTGATCATCAATTAGCTCAAAATGTTGCTGAGATGGTGAGCATGCTGAAGAAAGCAGAATTTAATGATAATTTGAGACCAGTAGGACACTAAATTTCTCTCTTGTTAATAATTAAAGTAGATAACTTATGTTTTTATTTATAGCTTCCAGAAATATCCGGCTCATTCCTGTGCACTGCCCTGTCAGCTAATCATCAGTTGGTCAGGATCTGACTTAGGCCGTTGTGTTTAATTTTGCACACATGCCTTTAACTGAAGCCATTAAATGCAGCCCAAACAAAGGTTAAAGCAAGTGAGGTCATCACCGTGTCTTCTCTGAAACTTTCCATCTGGTCAAATGCTTGTACATCATAAATATATAAAGAATGAAAGGGATAAAATTTCAACTTACCTGTTTCAATTTCCCAGATATAAACTGAGTCATCTGCACATCCAACAATTAAAAAATTCTCAACCGGGTGCCATTTTATCATCCTCACAGGAAAAAGGTGCTTCCGGGCATGCAGGAGGCAACTCTTTCCCTCAAGGTGAAGGAGAGCCACGGAATGGTCACCGCACACACAGCAAATTATCTGCTCACCCCTTAGCTGTGAAAAAACAACATGCTTATGTAAGTAAATAGTCAAATGCTTTCTTTATGAGTAAGTCAGATTTTTTTCTCCCAGTAACATAAAAAAGTTTTGTTAAAGCCCCATTTACAAAAATGATATTTCTGCTTTCTACAGCACCTTTCATGTAACCCTCTACAGAGGAGCTTTAAACACAGAGTGGAGTCTAAGCTCAACAACTTCACAGGAAGGTCAAAAGATGAATCCAGGACAGATCTACTTATAAGATAAATGAAGGACTTGACCATCACTCAGCAAATTCAGGCAGCGAGGCAGACATCGGAAATAATGCAGAATAAAATAAACCCCAGAACTAATTTGTTGCCACAAAAAGAAGCTATTTGTAGACACAAGCTTAGGCCCAAGGGTATCATGAGCTGATATTTTCCACTTAAAGCCTCAAAATGTGATTTGGTGCTGTTCCCAGAACTATACAGGTTCTAATCCAAACAGGAAACTCAGTGTAGACACAGTCTAAAAGAGGTAAGCATTAGATAGCTCCAACTGAATGTACAGCCTCAAAGACATAAGGACCAAAAATAGGCTCCCAGGACAACAATCCTTAAGATACTTTTTAAGAAGTCAGCATGTGGTTACCTTGAACAGGTTACGACAATTACTATCCAAGGTGGATTCTAATGATCTAGCCAGAAATTTGGCTGTTTTGTTTAAAGCATCAGTTTGGAGACCTTGAGACACCCATTACTCATCATTAACCTCTCTGGAGGCGGGGATGCAGGGAGGATTGGGATACATGTTTTCTTTCCTAATTCTTTATTAAGTGCACTCCAGAAATCGTAAGGAAAAAAAAAATCACAAAATGGCAGGTGTGATAGATCTGGAGCCTAGACTTGCAGAACGGATCATATGTCATTTTTCCCTAACCATTCTATTTCCTGGAGAACCTGCCCATCCCACGGCTTCTAGAACAGGCAGCCCAACGTGCTCCAGGAAACTTACATACATACACACACATACCGTGTGAACACAAATCTTATGGTCAGGAATAGACTATGGAGAAATAATGTTTATAAGCCAATTAACTGACTTAAAAAATCATTTTACCTGTGTTACCATGTCCTTTTACTACAGAGGAAACTCAAAAGTTGGTTGTTCATGTTTTTTTTAAGTCAACTTTACAAAAGCTGAATTTAAGTTGACATTTCATGAGAAAATTCTACCTAAAGCGATTTCATTTTGCCCATAACAAGGTAGATGCTCACAAACTTATTAAAGCTCATTCTCTGTTAAATAAATGAATAAGCAAATAAAAACCCATTTAAGAAGAAAATGTGCTGGGCACAATAGCTGATG
Source organism: Homo sapiens (assembly GCF_000001405.40). Classification (NCBI taxonomy): domain Eukaryota; kingdom Metazoa; phylum Chordata; class Mammalia; order Primates; family Hominidae; genus Homo; species Homo sapiens. Next base: position 53,701,281 of record NC_000015.10, read on the forward strand.
CCTGTAATCCCAGCACTTTGGGAGGCAGAGGTGGGAAGATTCCTTGCACCCAGGAGTTGGAGACCAGCCTGGGCAACAAAGCAAGATCCTGTTTCTACAAAAACAAAAATAAAAAACAGTAGCTGGACTACATGCCTGTAGTCCCAGCTACTTGGGAGGCTGAGGCAGGAGGATCCCTGGAGCCCAGGAGGTTGAGGCTGCAGTGAGCCATGATCACGCCACTGTACTCCAGCCTGGATGACAAAGTGAGACCCTGTCTCTCTCTCTCTCTCTCTCTCTCACACACACACACACACACACACACACACACACACAGAAGACAAATGTAACTATTTATCAATATTATTATAAAAAGAAATTCTTGACAAGGTCTTGCTCTGTTGCCCAGGCTGGAATGCAGTAGCATGATCTCAGCTCATTGCAAAATGGAAGTTATTGAAGGCAAAAGTTAATTTCTAATTTATAGATTCCTATATTGTTTGACTTGTTTTTGCCTTGAGTATCTACTTTTTTAAAAAAAAGATAATTCCATTAAAAATGAAGATATAGAATGAGAGGAAAAAAATAGATGTAAGTACTTGAAGAGAATTAAGTGGTTGTTGTAAAGCTAAGCATTGACTAAATCTTTGCTTTAGAGCCAAATTATCCGTCTAATGTAAGTTATAATAATACTACAATTCATATAGAAAGATTAGAAATAAATATATATGAATCATCCAGTTGTATTATAAGTACATAGAACTCATGTTTTTCTTTTCTTTGGAAATATGGGTCATTTTTACTTGTCTTATTAAGTATTCTATAATTTATATAATTTTCAAATTTAGATGTTATATTTTACTCTTCGTCTTACTTTAAACTTCTCTGGTGACATCAAAAGACTTGTTACTGGACCAGCTTCCAAAAAGAATTTATGCAAAATTTCTTCAGTAAAGATATCCCACAAGATCACACATGAGTCCAGGTCCCCAGACAACATCCAACTTTGGTCTAATTTCGAAGAGAGACCATGTGGATAGAGTAATGAAGTGACACTTTGGTGGTGGCCTTTAAGAACTTTATGAGGGGGAGAATCTGAAAAACAATGAAACACCAAATAATACAGATGTTATTTTTGTTCAGAAAATCGTCCCAAGATTCTCTTCTATAAAATTTTAACATAAGGAAATTACATATAATTAAAGCATGCACTTGGCTAAGAAAACTAGTGAACATCCTTAGATCATCTTGAAAAACAAGTGCCTCACCAGAAGCCAGAGTATGCTTTTGATGAAGCACTACAGTTAGTTGTTCAAAGTCTATTAATTCTAGGCCAGGCATGGTGGCTCATGCCTGTAATATCAGCAGTTTGGGAGGCCAGGATGGGCAGATCGCTTGAGGTCAGGGGTTCAAGACCAGCCTGGCCAACATGGTGAAACCCCATCTCTACTAAAAATACAAAAATTAGCTAGGTGTGGTAGCTCGCACCTATAGTCCCAGCTACAAAGTCTATTAATTCTTAAGGACATTAGTAAGCTACCAATTCCAGCGTCACTGAATAGTAAACACTGCTCTAAAAGAGTGAATACTTCGTACATTTACCTCCACAAAAATAAATTCAGAATATTACTTATTTTCATTCATTTTTTTTTTTTTTTGAGACAGGGTCTCACTCTGTTGACCAGGCTAGAGTACAGTGGTACAATCATGGCACCATAAGACAAAACTTCTATTCCTCAAGTTCCCTGGGCTCGGATGATCCTTCCACCTCAGCCTCCCTAGTAGCTGGGTCCACAGGTGAGCGCCACCATGCCCAGCTAATTTTTGTTTTTTTTGCAGGGACAGGGTGTCACCATAATGCTCACACTGGTCTCAAACTCCTGGGCTCAAGGGATCCACTTGCCTCAGCCTTCCAAAGTGCTGGGATTACAGGCGGTAGCCACCGCGCCCAGCCCGTCATTCTTTAAATTAGAATGACTAAGTCTAGTATACAAGAAAATAAAAGTTTCAGGAAATATTTTTGCTTTGAAAGATGTTAGACATTACCTAATTCTACCTCTTGGCTTTACAGATAAAGCATCTGAGGCTCAGAGAGGTTAAGTGACTTGCATCCAAGTGTGAAAAAGCAAAGCAAAATGTTTAAGAGTACAGCATTGCTGTTAAATTAATCTGCCTTTTCTCCCTGGGTCTATCACTTACTAGATATGTCACCACATCTAGTTGCCTTTTCCCTCTTAACCACAGATGTTACATCTGAAAATTTAGGATAATAATATTCCTTACTTCGGACAAGACTGTTGTGTGGAATAAATAAGATAATGTCTATAATTTTGTAGCACTCTGCTTGGCACTTGGTAGGCATATGGGCATTTCAAATCACAGCTGTATGAGAGCACAGGACTACTGACACACTACTGTGCTAGGGGGTTACTCTTCCCACTAACCACACTGCTTCTTCCTTCATCATTAGCTAAACTCCCCCAAACTGGAAAGAACCATAAACCACAAACTCTCTTTATTCAAAATGAAAATAAACATCAAATTATTATTATACTTCGGAAACTTCTATTCCTTCAGGCATATCCTCACTTTTTATCTCCTAACCCACCTGGATGAATGTTCATTGAGGTGCTACAAGTCAAATATGGCTTTTTCTTGCTTTCTGGATATTAGGGTAAATCAGCCTAGATAAAAACTGCTAGGTCTTTGCTTTTTCACTAACTTTTAATGGCAGCCATTTAGCTGTATACCAGTACATTACCTCTCTTTGGTTCATTGCCATTTACTCCTCCACTTCAGTCAATCACTGAAGCACAAGTCAGTAACATTTAGTAAGTGGCCAAAGATATATACTCACACATCTGTACAGATATGCTCACATATATGTACAATAATAATCAATTCTGCATTGTCCATAGTAGCTAAAAACTAGAAAACCTACATGCCAATTAATAGGCAATTAAAGTTCAATTATTACTAATTATTTAAAGTCAGCTCATAAAGAATGAACTCCACAATATTTTAATTAGATTTGTTTAAGGACATTTGAGTAAAGCATGTAGAATACATTTTTATTTGTGCAATATAATTAAAAGACTGTATGTTGTTATGCTGATATGTGCTTGTACACACATAGAAAATTTCAAGAAGAGTATAAATAAACTGTTATTAGCAGTTGCCTTTGGAGAAAGAACTGGAAGATCAAGTAAGGAGAAAAAATCATTTCTTATTGTGTAGCCTTCTGCTTGAGTTTTTTTTGTTTTTGGTTTTGGTTTTTTTTGAGATGGAGTGGAGTCTTGCCCTGTTGCCCAGGCTGGAGTGCAGTGGCGTGATCTCAGCTCACTGCAAGCTCTGCTCCCAGGTTCACGCCATTCTCCTGCCTCAGCCTCCCAAGTAGCTGGGACTACAGGTGCCCGCCACCATGCCCAGCTTTTTTTTTTTTTTTTGTATTTTTAGTAGAAATGGGGTTTCACCGTGTTAGCCAGGATGGTCTCGATCTCCTGACCTCGTGATCCGCCCGCCTTGGCCTCCCAAAGTGCTAGGATTACAGGGAGTTTAAAAAAAAAAAAAAAACCTATATGTATGTTTTACTTTAACATTAAAATATGTACATATTTATCAGCAAATGCCAGCAAATTATTTAGGCCTCTAAATCTTGTTTAGTGCAGTCTGTTGAAATTGCAGCTTTAGATAAATCAAATAAATAGGGTCAAATAAAATTCAAGGACCTTTTACTAAAGAACCACCTTCCAGAAGTCTTGCTTTGGCAGCATTCAAAGCCTGGGTAATGATAATTGTCCCATCTTCACAGCCACATATTAGTTTATCAAGACTTGGAATATACTCTGATGAAGTGACTACAGCAGTTCCTGCCCCATCTTTAAGCCCAGAGAAATAGTCAATAATACTTTGTGACATAGTATCATGCTTATCAAAATTATCTTGAAGAGTCCAGGTGGCAGTTACTGGTATCTCTAAAAAGAAAACAGACATAAAAAGAAAATTTGGTTTATCAGTACATCATAGACATGGAAAATATCAAGGCACCCTCCCTTCAAAAATATGAATACAGTGTTACAGCCTATCCCAGATTCATATTGCCAGCATTCATCTCTTGGGAAGTTCAATTGATGTTAACATGAATTATATTGGTTATATTAGTATATAAGATCCATAACCTTTGTGTGTGTGTGTTTTTAATTAAAAAAAAATTTTTTTTTTGAGACCAAGTCTCACTGTGTCACCCAGGCTGGAGTGCAGTGGCATGATCTCGGCTCACCGCAACCTCCACCTCCTGGGTTTAAGCAATTCACCTGCCTCAGCCTCCTGAGTAGCTGGGATTACAGGTGCATGCTGCCATGCCTGGCTAATTTTTTGTATTTTAGTAGAGACGGGGTTTCACCGTGTTGCCCAGGCTGGTCTCGAAGTCCTTTGCTCAGGCAATCCACCCACCTCAGCTTCCCAAAGTGCTAGGATTACAGGCATGAGCCACTGTGCCCCGCCTAAGCTTTGTGTTTATACCTGCTTTCATGTTGTCATTTAATACGTAGTAGTACACAATAAATTTTTCTTGTTTGTGGTCCCATGCTGCTCAACTTAGAAGAACAATGAATTAATTACAAATTCATTCTCAGAAGACATGTTACTAGAAAAGGAAACTGACTTACCTCTAGGAGAACCATCAAACTTGGATACAGGAACATCAGGGATGTGCCACAAAGTAATTCTTCCTGAGACTTCTCCAGAGAAAAGTACCTTGTAAAAAGGCTCTTTCCTTTCATTCATGTAGCCCATAACAAAGGGACGGCTCTGTTCCTAAACAAAAAGTGAGCTTTTATGTAGGAAATATTCTAACTAGAGAGAGATGGCCACTGTTTTTAAATGGAGAAACAAGACTTAATAACTGAATAAATCTTTTCAATTTATTTCCCACTCTTTTGACATTTTCAAGTAAATTAAATGAAATAATCTGTGATCTAGGACTAAAGAGGCTTTATAAAACAAGAAGCAAAGTCATAGACCTCAGAAAGTCAATAAAAGTATCTAACATTTACTGACCATGTTATATGTGCGTGTGTGTGTGTGTGTGTGTATATATATATATATATATATATATATATATATATATATATATATGGCTATGTGTACACATTACTGCAAGGGGCTTTCTACATATTCAGTTAAATAATCCTCACAATAACCCTATAAAATTGGTACTATCATTGTTTTCATTTTACAGACAAGAAAACTTGGAATGAAGAGATTGATTTGTCTAAGGCGATTAGAAGAAGCAATGGGCTTTGAGTCCAGTCATTGTGATTCAGCAACCCATGTCTTGATGCTAAAGATGTCCACTGAGAAGGCTTAATTTCTTTACAGTTCCTTTATAGTTCTAATTGTCAGTTAAAACAGCAACAAGTAACATTTGTATAGTAATTTTGTTATTAATATGTTTTCTACATTTTGTTGACTATTTTCAGATTGAACATACTTGATTTCTGATTTCTCAAGTGGCCACAAAGGAAAATGATTCCATAATTTATAATGGTGTGTATATACATATATAATGTTATACATTATATAAATTATGTATAATATTGTACATTGTATCTAAATTATATATAACTTATGATCTTGCTGAAGCAGAATATGAATATTGGGCACCAGCGTTTTTAAAGCTATGCCTTCACTCATGAATGCATTTAGAGCATCCCTAGTCCTTCTCAGGGCAGTATAGCTGTTCTTCGGGCAGGTTTGTATATAGAGATTATGCATAAGGGATCAAAATCATTTAAGCGATTACAAAAACAAAACCCAAACTCTCTTTGGCGCAGAAATAAAAGTCATCCTAAAAAGAAAGCCAACTGCTGGTGCTAGAATTAAAGAAGTTCAGGAAAGTGATGCTTCCTAGTCAGAAAATACATGCTTTAAGGTCTGGATTTAGACACATTAGTGAAAAATTCTATTCATTAGTGATTATTAAAGGCCACGATATTGCTACATTTAATCTTCACAACAAAGCTATGTAGTAAGTAAACATTGCTATTATCCTGATATGAAAATAGGGAAACTATCACAGAAAATAAGAAACCAATCCAAGGTCATCCAACCAAGACGTATAATTAATTCCCTATAGTCCCAAGAAATAAGAGCATCACAGAAAATGGTTCCAATAAAGTCAGTTTCTAAATGAATTTTTTTTTTTGAGACAGAGTCTCGCTCTGTTGCCCAGGCTGGAGTGCAGGGGCATGATCTCGGCTCACTGCAAGCTCTGCCTCCAGGGTTCACACCATTCTCCTGCCTCAGCCTCCCGAGTAGCTGGGACTACAGGCGCCCGCCACCACGCCCGGCTAATTTTTTGTATTTTTAGTAGAGATGGGGTTTCACCGTGTTAGCCAGGATGGTCTCAATCTCCTGACCTCCTGATCCACCCACCTCGGCCTCCCAAAGTGCTGGGATTACAGGCATGAGCCACTGCGCCCGGCCAATAAATTTTTTTAAGACTCAGAGGGCACTTTGGTGTCTTACAGCCATGATTTTTATAGCTATTTGAAATGGTGTTGATAACATTTGGTTAAATTGGCTACTCAAACTCTCCCACCCTTGTATGCACTTAGAACTGATTGTTCCAACTCCCTGGTTATTCTGATTTGAAAAGGAAGCTCCAAGAGGCTGCTGGGTTACTCGAGTTGGTGGCAGCACAACTCCTCCCAGCTGGTGCTTTGCCTCTGGCAGCTGAAGTTCCCTGTTGCTCTCATCCCCTCTGCCTTCACCTTCCACATTGCTGCTTCTCACTTGCTCACACTCACCGCTTGGTCCCTCGCTCCTCCTCCTCCCAAACAGTTCCCTCTAGTTCTGCTATTCACCTGAAAACTTCTTCATAGTCCCTTACCATGTGAATTCCGATTTTTCATCACTGTGTCCATCATAAGAGTCTCCACCACCCAGGAGGTAATAAAACATAGCCATTAGCACTGAAATCCCTGGGGCTAACTGCCTGGATTTAAATCCTGGCTTTACCACATCCTAGCTCTATTGAAAGAGCAAGTTGGTTACTGTAGGCAATTTAGTGCACCTCACTGTCTCATTTTCCCTAACTGTGAAATAAGACTAATAAAAGCACCCGCTATATGGGATTGGTGTGAGGATTAATGAGTAGATAAAGATAAGGTGCACAGGATGGTCCCTGACATTTAGTCCCTATTCAATTAATTTTAACAATTCTGGTAATTCTTTTCTCAGAACAATTAAGAAACTCACTCCAAAACCCATTACTGGATTTGGGCTAAACCACTTGAATTCAAATCCTGGGAATTCACCTCTCTGAACATCAGTTTCAACATGGGATCTTGGTGGCAACTAAAGTAAATGAGGTTGTTTGTATGTTTGACAATAATAAGGACTCAAATGAAGTTTTTGTCATCATCATCACCATCATCATCATCACCATTACTCTTAGTTCATGCACACACATTTTTTATTTGCAATTCTTAGGCTGTTTCTATCCCAGCTATTCCCACTTCAGCACAGCAGTCTTACTCTGTGGCTGAGACCCTGGGAAAACCAGTTCCTTGTCTCAATAGCCAGGACCCCTGCACCACAGGCCTCAGCAATTACCAGCTGTGATTTGAAGCTAGGGAGATCCTCATGCAGCTGCTGGAAGGAAAGACGAATCCTCATTCTTACCACTGTAACTCCATCAGCAGATATGTACATGGGCATTACAAACAATAACTGAGAACCTGTTACTGTCAAACCTGGAGATTTAATTCTATGGTATTACTCCAAAAAATGAGTTCAGACAATAGTACCTGCTTACAGAGCAGTCTTTTCTAAGCTCACTGAATGTATCAAATTCATCTCTTCATCCTACCACAATGCCTTCATTACTTGGTAACTGCAAGAGAGACTAAGGACTCTTACATTTAGTGAACACTAGTGATGTTTGAATAAGGGGAAGAAAGTCTGACTTTATGCCCTGGATAAAAGGCAAGTAAGGACAGGCAGACCAGCTTTTTCCAGTTTCCAATTATTCTATTCATATTTCACTGGCTTCTAGGCTTTCTCGCTTTTAAGATACAGAAACATCTATGGTTGTTTAAACAAGAATTACTGGTAAAAGACCTATAAGCTTATGTCTTCACATTTTGAGAAACAAAGCAAGGTAACTTCCCATGAGATTAGTTATTTTTTAATTGTTGTATTCTTTCCTCATGGTTATACATAACATTGAAATTTTCAGGAACAAGAAGCCCCTAAAGGGCACAACTGATCATTGGCTTTCAGGGCAAACTGTGCTTTGTAAAAATGCATTCAAAGCTAAGGAGGAAAGACCAGATCCTTTAAAAAATAACTGAATATGCTTTTCTGAGTAAGCCCCAATACTGTTTTTGTGATCGACAGCAAAACAGGAACCTATTACTGCCCACAAATAATTTTAGAAATAGTGGTTGATGCATGCCGTAATTATAAAGTTTGCTTGTGTCCCAGTGGCACTTGGGGTTCTAATTTTTGGCTGACAGTTTCTTAATCAAGTTTTCACAACAAAACCTCACAGATATGTTAAAGGGACAATCACTGAACTATAGGATTTCCAACAGCTATGCTGCCTAATTAAGCAAACCATCATTCTGTTAAAAGTAGCATGCTTCCTTGGTTGACACATCAATAATTCAAAACTCTTCCACTCTCCATGAAATAACGTTTATGGATAATTAACTGATGACAAAGTCCAAAGGCTCAGGGAAAAGAAACACTTTGGATAACACTACTGAAAGAAAACAACTGCTTAAATTTTCAGGCTTCCTAGAATGTCAGAGGTATGATTCAGTCAAGTAATAAGCTCACATTTATATTCTCAACTCTCTGCCAAAAGCATAATTATATTTGTTTTAACAAGAAAATTTATTCGTAAGAATAGCTAAATACATCTGAAAATGATATCAATATATGATTAAAGAAACAGAACATAAAACATTTCATAAAGTTTAAAAATTGGAGTAGATACGTAAAAATGTTAACAATGTTTTGTCACACCATTTATCACAAGGGTCAGTGAAAAAATGTGTGGTGTGTGTGTATGTGTTTGTACGTATACACACACACACACACAAATGCAGAGAGAGAGACAGAGAATGAGAAAGTAAATATAGCAAAATGTTAGCAATTGGTGAATCTAAGTAAAACGTATATGAATAATTACTACACTACTCTTGAAACTTTTCCAATTATTTGAAAATTTTCCAATCAAAATAGGTAAATACATACAACAAAGTAAAAAAAAATCTCAGTGAATATGTACTGCGGTGAAATTAGGAATTTTAATTTCTCCTTTCTTTTTAACATTTATAATTTTCCTATAATAAATACATATTGTTTCATTATAAACTTAAAATACAGACTTAAACATAGCAGATTTTTAAAGACAAAGTTTTCTCTTTGGTAGCCATTGATAATTAAACTTGATTTTCTCATTAACAACTTGATGGGATGCTTCAATTCAATTTTTTCAAGCCTGATTCTGTGACAGACAAAGCAACACTTATCCAAGAAACTGAGTGAAACAGCTTTGAGGCAGTCACTCTTTTCTTGCATTACCTTATTTTCCTGCACAGAAGTAGAGCACAGTAAATGAGGATAAATGGTCTCTTTAAGCACTCTTCCATCAGCAGGGTATATGCTTTTTGAAAGCCCACTGCGTGGCAAAAATAAAAAGCAAAGTTTAGAACTTTGAGGTTCTTTATTCGTTTTTTTTCCCCCTCCCACTTTCAAAAGCCGGATGGTACCGTTCAAGTTTCTAAACTCTAGTTAGAAATTGTTGGGTTAATAATTACAAGTGACTTTTTGAAAACCCAGCACCAGCTGTACAAGTTATACATGGTTAATCTCATTCCTCCATCCCCTGCTGTTTTGTACAAAGGCTGAAGCCTACCAAGCCCAGAGTAAATCTTCTAGTGCCAAAGTTGTTTTGTTCTGGTTTTTGATCATGGGCAGCATGCAGGGATTTTTCCATAATAAACCTCCCAAAGTTCATTTTCTACCTGAATGTTTTGTATGCCGCTCCCATCTGAGCCCACCTGTTCAGCAGCTGATAGATGTAACTGTGACCATCTTCTGTCCAGATGAGGATTCTGTGAGCAGCAATCACTTCTCCACCAGCAAAGAACTGCCCATTTCTACTAACTTCAGTCAGCAGAAGGGAAAAATCACAATAATCATAAACCTAAAATATGAAGTTGATGCACATTATCAAAGGCTTAAATCTAGTCTGCCAATAAGATGAATATAAATTATGATAGTAATAATATAACAACATAGTAAGCGTTAATAACAGACCATACTGTACTCTCATATTAAGATGATATTTTACCATGACTTATTGACTTATATTTATCTTAGGGTAGGTTTCAGGGGATACAGTTCATCTGGTTATATCATTCCAGAGTGTGTACACTAAACATAGAAACCCCAAATCCCAAAATTTCTAAGTAATTTTATTCTTTCCATAATGAGTACTCCAAGTTTTACATTTGAAAATGTATTATGCACATAAAAAATATATATCACGTAAATCTTTTGCTAGACCATATACTTTTAAATCTTTGTTCAAAAATACATTATCACCACACAAGTAAGACTGTATAGTTTTGTTAACTGAGCCAGTTATAAAAAACTTTAAAGAAAAATAAATGTTATGAAATGATGGCAACTTAGCTTTTCTTTCTTCTTGGAAATGTCAGCGAACATATTCACAAGAAAATAACGTTTGTCCCTCTTAAAACAAATGTAGTGACAAAGTAGAAAAAGTAAAACATCTAAAAATATAATCAAACTATGTAGGTGAAAAGTATATTTTTAGTTCTGAAATGTAAACACCAAATTTTGAAAACAATTTAGAGCTAAATATTCATTGTTATTATGGTTTGTTACTAAAATTAGGATATGCTACTACATATATAATATCTTGGGATACAAAACTGTTGCATATACCATGATATTAAATATGTAGTAGTATATCCTAATTTTATTAATTAGAGAGTTAAAAACTGATATGTCAGGCCGTGTCCAGTGGCTCACGCCTGTAATCCCAGCACTTTGGGAGTCTGAGGTGGGCAGATCACGAGGTCAGGAGTTTGAGATCGGCCTGACCAACATGGTGAAACCCGGTCTCTCCTAAAAATACAAAACTTAGCCGGGCATGGTGGCATGCGCCTATAATCCCAGCTACTAGGAGGCTGAGGCAGGAGAACTGCTTGAACCTGGGGGGTGGAGGTTGCAGTGAGCTGAGATCGTGCCGCTGCACTCCAGCCTGGGAAACAGAGTGAGACTGTCAACCACCCCACCGCCAAAAAAAAAAACTGTTACGTCAGTCATAAAAGACACATCATTCCATGTTCTGGTAATACTATTACAGAGAATTTGTATCATATTTAAATCATATTCTTATTTTTGTACAAAACAAAAAAAATTACACTTGTACATCACTGGTATTTATTATGTTACTTTATAATACCTTCCAACATTTAGAAAATACCACCAATAGAAGTCTCTCAGTATATGTGCAAAATCGAATTGTCTGGCAGTTCAAGGACTCAAGAAACTTGGATTCTTTTTCATAGACATCTTGCTTTTCCTTCAAAAGGAAAGAAAATCTTTTAGTACTAGTTCCAGGTAATTCATACACAGCCATGAGAAGACCTGCTTCCCGTACATCTCAAGTAGATCACACCATTATAAAACGAAAAGTATCTGAGTTACCTTTTGAGTGTTTTGAACTAAGAAGTTACTTGGCAATAGAAGCTGTGTACCTGGGTGATGAAATAATCTGTACACCCAACCCCCACAACACTTAATTTACCTGTATAACAAACCTGCGTATGTACTCCTGAAAGTTTAAAAAAAAAAAAATTAAAAAATATAGGATGTATTTCTTGAAAAAAAAAAAAAGCTGTGATCAGGAAATCCACTTAGATTCAAGGGCTCATTACATGCAACCATTCAACAAACATTCTTTGGGGAACTACGGCTGGATGCTGAGAATGTCAAGATGAGAATAAGCTACAGACTGTTAGATATGGCAGAAAGGTCAAACAAAAAAATCTAAAATGATGACTAAAAAAACCTACAGTATTTTATTTTATTTTATTTTGTTGTATTTTATTTTATTTTATTTTATTTTATTTTATTTTATTTTATTTTATTTTTTCCTTGAGACACAGTCTTGCTGTGTCGCCAAGGATGGAGTGCAGTGGCAGGATCTCGGCTCACTGCAACCCCCGCCTCCCGGGTTCAAACGATTCTCCTGCCTCAGCCTCCTGAGTAGCTAGGATTACAGGTGCACTCCACCACTCCCTGCTAAATTTTTTTTTTTGTATTTTTAGTAGAGACGAGGTTTCACCATGTTGGACAGGCTAGTCTTGAACTCCTGACCTCTGGTGATCCGCTCGCCTTAGCCTCCCAAAGTGCTGGGATTACAGGCGTGAGCCACTGTGCATGGCCTAGTATTTTGATTGCTTAAACAGAAAAAAAATGAACAAAGTGCCAACACACAGCACATAGAATAGTACGTTCTCAATAAGTTTGTGAAAATGCTGGATGTGTATTTCTTAAGCTCAGCATACCATCACAATTCCTAGGCTTCCTCAACCAATAAATTCCTAAAAAGACCCCAGAACTCCTTGGGGAAGCCTAAATAATTTTGTCATCAACACACATAGTATGGCTGTTCTTTTGTCCATCATCTCAACTTGTAGCCTGATGCCAGTGAATAGATGAATATACTGGACTCCCCAGGGACATGCCCCTCAAGTTTTTAGGGTCATTTGCTTGCCACTGTTCACATATACTCAGAAAAAAGGGGGATTTCCTCTGTAACGAACAGAGAGATGTTCTATTTTTTAAAAGATTAAAAATGTAATCTTTCTGTGTGTGTGTGTGTGTGTGTGTAAATGAAAACATTTGTATATACATGGAGAAAAGGTTGGAAGGATACAAGCCAAGTGTACCAAGGCTCACCCCTGGGAAGATGGATGGGGGAAATATATGGAAGTAGAATTTATACACTTCTATGTTATTTGAACTTTTGACAATAAACATGTAATAGCCTTAAAATTTATAAATTTTAATGAATATGCTTGAAATTGTAAGGAAAAAAGAGTAGGGTTCCCAAGCCAACCTGAATGCTGTTGATAGATGAGGAAAGATCCCATACTTTGAGCTCACCAGCTACTGATACCACCAAGAGAGAATCTTCTGTGAAAATAATAAAAGTCACATATAAGCTTACCATGGATATAATTGGGTAGGTAAAAATCATTTCACAGTCATTTAAGAATTACGCAGGGCTGTGTAGATAGAAAATTTTCAGCTTTGGAGTTACTTTTTAACTAGAAAAAATAAACATTTTACATCGTGCTCCAAATCTGTTTTAAAATTTCAAAGTGATTCCTAGGTATAAGAAGAGCACCACTAGAAGCAGAACCACATTGCAAATCATCATAAAATGAAACCTTCCTATTTCGGAAGTAAGTGAGGCGCCAACTTCCACTTCCCTTTGCAGTCACTCATTACAGAAACTGAATTATCAATACTACATCTAGAAGATACAGCAGGGCAAAATTCCAGGAGTCCTGCTAATCCACAACAAAACCTGCTTGTCACTCTTAAAATGTAACAAGCAGAACTTGGTTATAAAAACACAAATTCTCCTCTTTCCCCCTCATCTTAACCTTTTGCTGACTTTCCAATGTTTTGAACCACTGGCATGGGTGTTCTTAGTTTTTCTTGATCAGGTGTATTACAGACATATCCTCATTAACAGGTAAGCATAAAGAAGCATTCTTTCTGAATTTCTGCCCAATAATTTGACAAATAATTCAAAAGTAGATATTTTTATATGCAATCTCTCTACTGTCAGATAATATCCAACTATTACCTTGAATTCTCATGGAGTGAACAATGCACATGCAGTTGATCCAGTCAGGAAACTGAGATGATCTAAAACTGTGAACAACAGCCAAAGTTTTGGCATCAATTATAAGGACATCTTGATATTCTCCACAACAAAGAAGCCAGCCTTCTCCTGTCATCCGGAATGAGCAGTGGTAATACTACGTACATGGAAAGCAAAGCAAACATTTAATTATCACTAAAATTAACATAATTTGGCTACATTGAAGATTTCTCTAGACTTTAGTTTTAGCATATGATCAATTAAGGTATTGAACTGAATAGCAACTAAAATTTCTCTTAGTTCAGTTATTCCAAACTCCTATTGGCACTTTAGTCTCATTTGCATCTCATGATTTTTCTAGGGAAAGAGAGATCGCTTGGAAGAAGTAATTTTATTCTAAATCATGGAAAGCTCACAATTATATTATTTCTGGAGTGCAACTTGGAACTAAACAACAACAACAGGACCAGGCACAGTGGTTCATGCCTATAATCCCAGTGCTTTGGGAGGAGGCTATGGTGGGAAGACCACTTGAGGCCAGGAATTTGAGGTTGCCGTTAGCACCACTGTACTTCAGCCTGGGTGACAGAGCAAGACCCTGTCTCTTAAAGAGAAAAAATTAATAGCAACAACAAAACCCAGGTTCCTTGCCATAGCAACAATGCTGTATGTTAAAAAGAAATAAAGTATTTGAAGGGCATTTGAGGATTATTATGCCAAATAAGTTTTGGAAATCTTTTATTAAAGATCAAGTAATGCATTCTACTTTCAACCAGCTCTCTCTGTGCAGGGTTTTATTTCCAAAAAAAATAGAAGAGAGTTCATGAATGTTACAATGCACATCAGCAACACTAAGAGTGTAAAATATTTTAAAACACGGTCAGCACCATTGGAATCATGCAACCACACTACATATGCTTGGAAACCATCTACTAAAAGCCAAGATTTGCTTTAAAGATTGGGAAGTGATTATAAAAGTTATATACAGAGAAATTAAGAACCTATCCACCAAAACATAGGGTTTAAAATTGGAAATGAGGGAGAAAAAAACTGTGTGTGCTTTATAAGACAGCACATCATTAAAACTGAATTTTTACACATGTACAAGTATGTGTATGTTTTGTAGCACTAAGGCAATATATGGAAATTGTCTTTCAAATCTGTTAGAAAGATACAAAAATGAAAGAATCAGGGGGAAAATCTGCTTGAATAATACTTTTTGGGAAAGCAAAATGCCAAAACAGCAGACAATTACTGGTGATATTTGACCCTCATGACAAAATAAAAATTCAAGCAAAGAATATTCTCCAAAGATGTTTCTTTAGAAGTGTATTTGCAAATGCCCTAAACAAGTTGCAGAATCTAGAAATGCCCTGAAGGAAGTGAGTGTACTTACACAGATTGCAGTGTGCCTGTAAGGAAGTGTAGCCTTCTCCATGCACTGTCCATTGGTGACATTCCAAACACACATCTCCCTAGCAGAAGATAACTTTGTGTTATTCTCTGTCATTTCCACTCAATTGGCTGGAATAATTTTTGTGCCACCAAGTTTTTCTTTAGCAGCCTGATCATTTATGTGGCTTTTTGTTACAGATTTTGGGCAAGAAAATGTTGTGGTCATTAGCAGGGATGACATACTGTATCTGTATCTTTTTGTTTGGGTAATTACACCCTGCTGCCAGCCTGCAAACCTTACTTTAGAGACAACCTGGCCTACAACAAATTGTGGGGATACAGCTATCACAGCCTGTTAGTGACAGTACAACAATCTTTCAGTGGAAACTGTATCCTCTTGAAAATGCTTTATTTCACTGAACTTAAACTACATATTCTGAAAATCACAATGCATCAAGCGCTGCATCTTCTGAGGCCAATGTATCATTTTTGTAAAAACAAACAGTGCCACCAAGAGGCTACATTTGGTCTATCATCGATAACAGTTTATCTCTGCTTCTCCTGATTTGAAATCCTAAAATCATCCTTGCCACTTAATATTTAGAAAAATATTATTATTTTGAAAACTCTTACTTCGTTTATGTATTACAAAGACATAGTTTTAAAATACAAAGTACACCCAGCATAGGGTAGTTTATATGACTTCACAAAAATCAGAATGGCTGTTTCAGAATTGTTTGGTAATATTCTTCAGTCTTGAGAGTTTTAACACATAAGCAAAATTTTCCATGCAAGAAAAAGAAAAGTTTTATAGGCCTTAAAGGAGATACTGCCATTATACTAAGAAACAAAATATATAGACTAATAATGTCAACAACTGTATGCATTTGGTGATTTGCAGGCTTTTTTGTTTTTCTAACCAACCATGGGAACTCAATCTTCTACATGAGTAGTTCTTAAAATGGGGCAATTTTGCTACCCCTTATTCCCCCTACATTCCAAGGACACTTGGTAATATTTGGAGATATTTTTGGTTGTTGGAACTAGGAACACACTAGTGGCATCTAGTGGGGAGAGGCAAGGGATGCTGCCAAATATCCTACAATGCATAGAACAGTACCCCACAACAAAGAATTATCTGTTCCTAAATGCCATTAGTACTGAGGTTGAGAAATAATATTCTAGAAATACACACAAAATATTCATAGCATTTTCCCTCTGTTTATATCCAGCCTCATTCCAAAAAGATTTCAGGTAACCTGAAAAGACATATAATTCTATAAAATAGGAGGAAAAAATCTCTCTGTGTGTGTCTGTGTGTATGTACTAAAAAATAAGATTGGGAGGAAGGTAGATATTGAAATAATATATCTCAAAGGGAAACAAACTAATAATGCATCTATAAAATAAAGAAACATATTGCAAAGGTAAAGTAATTGAACCTTAAGCAGTCAACATTATAAAATTTTAGCTCTTTAAGGGATTTGAGCTTATTAACAAGGTTTTTGACTCTAGCTATGCATCAACAACCACCTGATACTATTCCAAATATTATCTCCAGAGATTCTAATTCCATGACTCTGTGTTGGGATCCTGGCATGTGTGGTTTTGAAAAGCACCTGGTCAGTCGACTTGTTTCTAGCCCATTTCTAAACCAGTAGCTCTAAATTCTAGCTATACATTAGACTTATTTGAGAACTTTTAAAAAATACTGATGGCTGACCATGCAGATATCAAATCAGGCCAATTAATTCACATTTTCCAGGATTGGAACCTGGACACCAGTAAAAGTTCCTTTAAAAATATTAATGTATTTAAACCATCTTGGATCCCATTGCTTTCCCTATTTGTTTGCTTATCATTTTATTTTCTATATTAAATCTGAAAATAAAATGAAAATATATCACAAAGCAAAAATTTGCTCTTTGCCTATCAATTTTGCTTAATAAAAGAAAGCAAATTTGTGGTGTATGAAATGGAACACTGACATCTTACCTGGAACCATATAAGTTACATAGGTAAAAATAAGACATGAAATTGAACTATTAAAAAACATAATCTTTTCATTTTCTGAAGCTGTCGCCTAAGTTTGTACATAGCTAAAATCACATTCTGTTATAAAAAAATTAAATTTAAGAATTTTTAAAACCTTAATAAATTTTAAGAATTTTAAAAATCTTAAGATTTTTAAAAATTTTAAAAACCTTAAGATTTTTAAAAATTTTAAAAATCTTAAGAATTTTTAAAAGCTTAAAAATTCTTAAATTTTTATTTCAATGAAAAGAAAACAGCAGATGAAAGTGTCTACGACATATAACATTAGAAAATTGTTATATTCTCACTACAAATTCCTTGAAAAGGGGAATTTTTTGGTCTTACTCAACTTTACATCCCCACCTCAGCACCTCAATAAAAATTTGTTCCATGGATAAATACATCAGCCACCATTCTTCCATACACTTTCTATCTTTTGGAAATATATTATTTTCTCTTGACCTCATTCTTATTTTTCATATTTGTGTGCTTATAACACTATAGTTTTGATCAAACTTTAATGAAGTGTCTGGAAGGAGAGGAGATAAACATGAATGCTTGCTTTGCCATCTTGCATTGGAAGTCTATTACATTTTTCAAACTCTTTTCCCTTGTCTTTTATTATACTTTCATTTTTTCTTTGGCATTCTCAGCCTCCTCTTCTTCCTCTGTCTGCTTCTTAAGTGCTGGTTTTCCCTAGATATTTGTCTTATACTTTCTTACATCCTTATATTTCACTCTCTTCCTGGGTAAGTTATCTACTCCCCTGGCTTCAGGTACTGTTATTATGCTATTGGAAGCCCAGAGCGGTTTACTTCAGCTCTATATTTCTATAGGCAACTAGCTTTTAGACATCTCCACCTGTGTGACTTTCAGGAGATCACACACTTTCATGTTCAATATGAAGCATAGCATCTTCTCTCTTTGGTTCATTATCTCAATGAATGATATCGTTACTAATAAATTTCCCGTAACTCTTGACCCAACATTTTCTCTCACGCTCCCAAATGTGGGTACTTGCTACTTCAAATATGGGCTCTGGGCCAGCAGTACCCGCATAGTCTAGGAATGCTTTGGAAACGCAAGTTACTAGACCCTAGCCCAGACCTACTACATCTGTATTTTCGGTAGTGGGGCCCAGAAATCTCTAATTAAACAAACTCTGCAGGTGATTCTGGTGCACGCTCAGGATTGAGAAGCACTCACCTAGCGGCTTCCAAGTCCTGGTGCCCTACTTCTCTGGGCTCATCTCTTGCCAGTAACTAAACCTTTATTAATAAGTTATAAACCTTTCTATTGGGGCCAAGGCTTTTTGCCTTAAAATTTTATTAACTATACATATATAAAAATAATATAGTCATACCAACCTTATTTTGATTAGTATACATATGATAATATGTAATTGGAATGACTATTTTATTCAGATTTATTCTACTAATTTATTTTGTGCTATTTGTCCCATTTTTTAAAAAAAATTGTTTTCTTTGAATTAAACATTTTTTTAATTAAAAGTTACATACTCTTTCTTTTATTTTTTATTTCTTTTGTCTATTGTTTCTGTAGCTACTAAACAATACTTGAAACGTAAACATATAAATATAGCTTAAGGTCTAAAGTCAATCAACATCTTTACCCACCTCTAGAACACCAGAATGTGTGGGATCTTATTACTACATTATTATATGCTATTGTTGACCAGAATCGCGTGTGTGTGAATGGGTGTATATAAATATCATTATGTCTTATAAAGTTTCTGCAGCTTTGCTGGGTTTTGTCCAAAATTCCTTCTTCCATCTCAAATCTTCCTTCTGAAATCATTGTTCTTCTTACTAAAGAATATCATTTAGAAATGTGTTATTATACTTATCGTGAGTCTGTTGGTATAGTGAGTACCTTTAGTTTTTGTTTGTCTGAAGGTTTATTATTTTGCCCCAATTTTTCAAAAGTGTTTTTGTTGGATATACAATTCCAAGCTGACAGATATTTTCTGTCCACTTTTTGAAGGGATTTCACTGCTGTCATTACAGTTGGGAAGTCAGCTCTCTGCTTAATTAACACTCCTTGGTAAATAAACTGCTTTTTCTCACTGTCTACCTACAGGATCTTCTCTTTTTCTTTGGCATTCTGTTGTTTTAACATCAGATCTCCAGTGGTTTATTTTCATTATCCTAGAATTTTCTGTGATTGCTGAATCTGAGGATGTATGCCTACAAATAAAATAATAATTTGAGAAAAATATTAAACACTGAGCCATAAAGCAACTCTGGGTCCCCTCTGGTCACCATAAAGGCAAAAATGCTAAGTCCATAGCCAATATCTGGGACTTCTCAAATCTAAATATGCATTGTTGTTTGGAAAATAATGGGGCAAGCCTAGTAGGAGTAATAATTTCCAGTGAATAAAGTTAAGACTTGCTAAGAACACAGTAGCTGAAGCATAGGTACTACCTGAAAAGTATCTTATAGATACAGCATAAGTTTTAGAAACCTCAAAAGCACAAAGTTCTAGAAAATTCAAATCAACTTGGTGAAGGAGGACAGCTAGGTAGACTGAAACTAGACTCCCAGGCTCTTCAACAATATTTACAGGGCTCATACAGCAGAATTCATCTTTCATCAAAAATATATCCATTAACCCCTAGTTTCTCTTTTGGAGTTAGATCACTATGGGCAAAGATCTGAAGCTGAAACTCAGTAACTTTTCAGACCTTTTTCTCAGTTAGCTATTATGTATTTCTCAATTTTTTCATGTAGCCCCAGAAAAAAATTCACCATCCCCAAAATTCTCTAGATTGGGAATAAATATCTCAGCATGTGTAGCAGACTTTGTGGCAGCCCTGGTGAATGAAAGCTACAAGCAAAGGTTAAAAAAGGAATGTATTAGGACATTTCACTTTAGACTTATCCAAAGTTCAATCCCTCTAAATATTACAATTAATGATTTACTATAAGCTATGAAAATAGGTATCTCTTTGATACCTGTTCAACTAGCCAGCATATTAAACTATTCTGTTTATACAAGCTGGACCTTGATTCCTCACTATTCTTTTGGTTTTCAGAATTCAGAAGCGTATAATTTCTCTTTGTATTAAAAACAAAAGAGAGGCTTATCTTGTTTCAACTAGAAACCCAATCCCTTATTCATAAATGCATATTGAATTGATATGACATTCCTGAGTATATTTTGGAAAATAACTCATCAGGAGCCTAGTTCATAGTATTTCTTCCATCAGTGGAACTTTTTCCTACAGGTAAGTCCTATTTCATGAGGGCAAGCTTTGCTCCCGTGACACTGCACCCAAATCACTGGCTATGTTCCTTTTCCATCTCTCTGCCACCATTCTACTGATAATTGAGTCCTCTCCTCTGTGAGATTTATTTATTTATTTATTTTTATTTTTTATTTTTATTTATTTATTTATTTTGAGACTGTCGCCCAGGCTGGAGTGCAGTGGCGCCATCTTAGCTCACTGCAACCTCTGCCTCCTGGGTTCAAGTAATTCTCCCTCCTCAGCCTCCCGAGTAGCTGGGATTACAGGCATGCATCACCATGCCCAGGCCAATTTTTCTATTTTTAATAGAGTCAGGGTTTCGTCACGTCGGCCAGGCTGGTCTCAAACTCCTGACCTCAGGTGATCCGCCTGACTCAGCCTCCGAAAGTGCTGGGATTACAGGCATGAGCCACCGTGCCCGGCCTGTTAGTTTTATAGTAGCATCAGACAAGGGTACAACATGAAGACTGTAACTATTAAATTGTTTTGTAAAACTATGAAAGCTTGGATGGGTTTGCTTAAGAGCTCAAAGTGTGTTACTACATGAGAAAAGACAAACACCTAGACTTTTTCATTGCTGATTCTACAATACTAGGCATTGGTCACTGACCCTCACCCAGTAAGAGTGCTACAAGTTCTGATACACATGTTGAGATGCTTAACTTGGTCCCAATCCAGCAACAAGAGTATTGAGTGAGGGTTCATAATACTGATTACATTCCTTGGGATCATCACACAAGTTATTCAAACTTTCTATATCTAAATGTTCCTATATGTGAGAGGCACATGTTGATCACAAAGGTTTCCTTCAGCCCTAAAATTGTATTCCATTGTAGTTTTTAAAAAGGGAAGGAAATGGAGAAGGGGACAAAGTTTACATACCATACCTACCCATTTTCAGCAGCACTAACAATGTAGGGCTGTTTAGAGAAGTCCCTTGCTCTTGCCAAACATGTTACCGAAGCTGAATGACCAAATAGGAGTTCTTTCGCTGAAATCTGAAAATAATGAGAGTGAGCTTTTAAATAATTGTAAACTGTTTGAAGAATAAAAACACCACAATATAGTATTCATAACTCTGATTAGGAAATTCTGTTGTTTTTGTTGTATACAAGTTTTAAGAAAACTGATATATGTAATAACAACATCCACAGAGTAATAAACTTCTAGGTAGAGGAATTGTGCTGTAGACAGGTTTTGTTTGTTTTGGTTTGGTGTCCATCATGAAACCTCCATGACTGCCAGCCTGTCTTACAACAGCTAGGTTGTGAATACAAATAAGTCTGTGTTGATGCTTCCTCTGAACAAAATGTCCCCTCAATAATAGTAGCACATTAATGTTCAGAGTTCAGAATTCAAAATAACTTCACAAAATAATACAAGAGAAAATATTACCCTTTTTGAAACCACCATAATACCCTATATGGTGATAGGAATGTAAATTGGTACAGCTATTTTTAAAAACAGTATAGAGGTTCCTCAATAAAAATAAAAATAGAACTTACACATGGTTCAGGATTCCCACTTCTAGGTATATACCCAAAGGGAATGAAACCAGTATCTCAGAGAGGTATCTGTACCCCCATGTTCATTGTAGCATTATTCACAGCAGCCAAAATATGGAAACAATCTAAGTGTCCATTAACGGATGCAGAGATAAATAAAATGTGTCACATACAGTCTTCCCTCATTATCCATGGGGGACTGGTTCCAGGACACAGCTGCCCCACACCCCATGCCCCATCACTTAAGTACCTAAATGCCAGGATGCTCAAGTCTGCAATATAAAAGTATTGGCATATAGCCTATGAACATCTTTCATATCCTTTAAATCAGCTCTAGATTACTTATAATACCTAATACAATATAAATGCTATGTAAATTGCTTTTATACTATATTTTTTAGGGAATAATGACAAGGGAAAAAGTCAGTACACGTTTAGTACAGATGCAATCCTCTTTTCTTTTTCCAAGTTTTCAATCCACAGTTGGTTGAATCCATGGATGCAGAAGCCATGGACATGAAGGGCCGACTGTATACACAATGGAATAGTATACAGCCAAATAAATAAAAAAGAAATAAATCCTGCCATTTGTGACAACATGGATGGACATAGAGGATATTACGCTAAATAAAATAATCCAGACACAGAAAGACAAATACTATATGATCTCACTTCTATGCAGAACCTAAAAGGCCAAACTCATAGAAACAGAATTAGTGGTTGCCAATGGCTGGGGGTGAGGGAAGAATGAAGTAATGTTGCTCAAAGGGTACAAACACTGAATTACACATAAGTTTTGGGATCTAATGTACACATGGTGACTATAGTTACTACTATATGGTATACTTCAAATTTCCTGAGAGAGTAGGTCTTAAGAGTTCTTGCCACACACACAAAAAATGATTATGTGAGGTGATAGATGTGTTAACTAATTTGATTGTTGTATTAGTCCATTCTCACACTGCTATAAAGAACTACCTGAGACCAAGTAATTCATGAAGAAAAGAGGTTTAACTGACTCACAGTTCCACAGGCTTAACAGGAAGCATGACTGGGAAGCCTCGGGAAACTTACAATCATGGTGGAAGGTGAAGGAGAAGCAAGCACATCTTATCATGGCAGAGCAGGAGACAGAGAGTGACGGGGGATGTGCCACAAACTTTTAAACCATAGGATCTCGCGAGAACTCACTCACTATCACAAGAACAGCATGAGAAAATCACCCCCATGATCCAATCACCTCCCACGGGGTCCCTCCCACAACATGTGGGGATTACAATTCAACATGAGATTTGCGTGGGGACACAGAGCCAAAACATATCATTTGCGGTAATCATTTCACAATGTATTCATATATCAAATCATCACTCTGTACATCTTAAACCTATATAATTTTACTAGTTAATTACAGCTCATTAAAGTTAATATAAAAACGACTAAAATTCCATTAGTCATAGACTAAATATCAGACCAGTTACCATGGAGGAAATTTTAGGCTTCAAGTTTCACTTCTAAATTATCTATATTACCTAAAATTTCTAAAATTAAAACATCTTTCTTATTTATATAAAAAATAAGAAAAGATCAAGAAAATAAGAAAACAAGCCACAGATTGAGAGAAATATTTTCAAAAGTTATACCTGATAAAGGACTATTATCCAAAATACACAAAGAACTCTTAAAATTCAACAATAAGAAAGTTAAAAACCTAATTAAAATATAGTCAAAAGATCTGAGCAGACACCTCACCAAAGAAAACATACAGATGGCAAGTGAACATATAAAAAGGTGCTCCATATCGTATGTCATAAGAGAAGTGCAAATTAAAAAACAATGAGAAACCACAGCACACCTATTAAAATGGCCAAAATCCAGAACATTGGCAACATCAAATGCTGGCCGGGATGTGGAGCAACAGGAATTCTCACTCACTGCTAGTGAGAATGCAAAATAGGACAGCCACTTTGGAAAAGAGTACAGTAGTTTCATATAAAACTAAACATATTCTTACCATACAACACAGCAATCATGCTCATTGATATTTAACCCAAGTAAGTTGAAAAGCTGTGTCCACACAAAAATCTGTACACAAATGTTTACAGTAGCTTTATCCATAATTGCCAAAATGTGATAGCAACCAAGATATCCTTCAAGTGGTGAACAGATAAATTATGGTACATATATACAATGAAATATTACTCAGCGCTAAAAAGAAATCAGCTATCAAGCCATGAAAAGACACGGAAAAACCACTGATGTGTATTACCATATGAAAGAAGCCAATCTGTAAAGGTTTTATGATTCCAACTATACGACATTGTGGAAAAGGCAAAACTTAGCAGACAATAAAAACATTAGTGGTTGTCAGGGGTTTGTGGGGAGCAGGAGATAAATAGATGGGGCACAGAGAATTTTTAGGGCAGTGAAACTATTCTGTATGATGCTATAATAATGGATACACCAACCTGGCTAACAGGACGAACCTCGTATCTATTAAAAATATAAAAATTAGCCAGGAGTGGTAGTATGTGCCTTAATCCCAGCTACTTGGGAGGCTGAGGCAGTAGATTTGCTTGAATCTGGGAGGTGGAGGTTGCAGTGAGCCAAGATTGCACCACTGCACTACAGCCTGGGTGACAGAATGAGAGTTCATCTCAAGAAAAAAAAAAAGATACGTGTCATTATACATTTGTCAAATCCCATAAAACGTACAATACCAAGAGTGAACCAATGCTTGATGATATGTAAGTTAATTGGTTGTAATATATATATATATATGTGTGTGTGTATATATATATGTATGTGTATATATATATATATGTATGTGTGTATATATATATGTATGTGTGTATATATATATATATATATATACACACACACACTGCTCTAGTGTGGGATGTTAATGGTGAGGGAGACTGTGTGTACACGTGTGTTGGGAGGGGGGCGGGGCTGATCAGGTATTTCTGAAACTCCCTGTACCTTCCAGTCAGTTTTGCTTTAAACCTAAAACTGCTTTCAAAAATAGTCTATTGAAATACTTTTTAAAAATATCTTATTTATCTTCCTGCCTCAGAAATACTAAAATTAACCTTCCTACATTACAAACAAAATTTTAACTAAATGATTTTTTAAAATATCGATGCTGGCCAAGCATGGTGGTTCATGTTTATAATCCCAGCACTTTGGCAGGCAGAGGCAAGAGGATCACTTGAATCCAGAAATTCAAGACCAGCCTGGGCAATGTAGTGAGACCTCATCTCTACAAATAATTTTAAAAAATTAGCTGGGCATGGTGGCGCACATCTGTGATCCCAGCTACTCAGGAGGCTAAGGTGGAAGAATCGCTTGAGCTCTAACAGTCAAGGCTGCAGCAAGCTGAGCTCATGCCACTGCACTCCAGACTGGGTGACAGAGTGAGATCCCATCTCAAGAAAAAACAAACACCCAATTTTAAAAATATGACACTAAGGGCTAATTCCCCTATCTCATGTGTGAAAGAAGTAAATTCCTCATTATTTTGTAAAACAAGATGATGAAAATTAAATTACAAAACAGAAAACATGTAAGATCTCCTCAGATGGAGAAAGTTGTCAATAATAAACCAAACATCGCCCCGGCACGGTCGGTGGCTCATGCCTGTAATCCCAGCACTTTGGGAGGCTGAGGCGGGTGGATCACTTGAGGTCAGATATTCAAGACCAGCCTAGCCAACATAGTGAAACCCCATGTCTATTAAAAATACAAAAATTAGCTGGGTGTAGTGGATCTCATCACTGCACTCCAGCCTGGGTGACAGAGTAAGACTCTGTCTAAAAAAAAAAAAAAAAAGACCAAAAATTGAATTTGAATGGCTAGCAAATGTCTTGTGGGTAATAAAAATCTATTTTCCAAATGAATTAATATCTATTATGTTTTTTCTGAACTATACGAACATATGTAGATGGTAACTCAGCCATATTAATGAGGACAAATTATTTCATGACATAATTGTTCTCTGCCTTTGTATCATTTCTATCATAATCAGAAATATTTCCTTCTTAAAAGAGCTGTTGTCAGACTAACTTTTTAGTGCTACAAGAAGTGTTTTGTGGTTGATTAGAATCCTGCACAATTCAAGTTCGCGCTACCTTTTTCCTGAGAAGTCCAGAAGGTTCCATCTCAGAGAACAACATACTATCTTTCCCTGTCATCACACTCAGGGGTGCATATCCCTGTGCATTTAATCCCTTTCCAGTCTATTAGAAGCCAAATTAAGCAATCAATGAGGGAACATCAAGGATATTCCCTCCTCCAGAGAAAATCTACCATGGACAAAATATCAGAACAGAACATCATGGCCTTTCATATGAAGTCCTCATTCTATTACTAAATCCCCACATATATTTGAATAAGCTGTGACAGTTCACTAAAATTTCCTCATTTACCATATTGTAGAACTGCTGTGAAGAATAACAAAATTCAAAAATTCTACAATCACACTTAGTCACTGTCATGATGAAATCTGCAAGACCTTTCCTGTTGTCCATTAGCTCTACTTTTATGAAGCATTGGTTCCTCCTGACCACCACCATCACTTCCAGGTACTTCCAACAGCACAATGGGAGACTGAAAAGAACACACAACTTGATGAATGTATTAGTCTGTTTTCACACCGCTGATAAAGACATAACTGAGACCGGGCAATTTACAAAAGAAAGAAGTTTAATGGACTTACAGTTCCACATGGCTGGGGAGGCCTCCCAATCATGGTGGAAGGCAAGGAGGAGCAAGTCACATCTTACCTGGATGGCAGCAGGCAAAGAGAGATATTGGCAGGGAAACTCCCCTTTTTAAAACCATCAGATCTTGTGAGACTAACTCACTTTCACGAGAATAGCACGGGAAAGACCAGGCTTATGATTCAATTATCTACCCCTGGGTTCTTCCCACAACATGTGGGAATTGTGGGAGATACAATTCAAGATGAAACATGGATGGGGACAGAGCCAAACCACATCAATGAACATCTACCGTATTCCAGACAAAAACACAATCACAGAGTAGTGTTTAAATCCCCATTTCACAGGTGAGGAAATTGAAGCTCAAAGAATATAAGTCATTTGCCCAGTATCACAGTGTTGGTAAATATCAGGGCTGGCACTTGACTAAGATCTCCATTCTTTGTCTCCACACATTGCTCTTCTTCATTTTATTGTGTTTCCTTCTGAGTATTAGACAGGCGGAAGAGCAGAACATAGCAATACTAAGGGAATCTATCTGACAGGATATTCACCACACCTTTCTCTATGCTTTTAAGAAAACAAGCAATCAATGCCAGAAAACCCAAGTAAAGAATTTGCTGCCACGGGATTTGGAGAAGCTCCTCACTGGTAGACTTCACAAAATTCTGGGGAAACTAGAGGGCTATGGGAGTCAGACTTCGAACTCAAAGGCAGCATGTATAATCTAGGCATGCAGTGAGAAGCCCAAGGCAGGGAGACACTTATTCTCTAGCTCCCCTGTGCCCTGCCATCCCACTGCACATGGTCAAGGAAAGACTGAGGCACATCTTCAAACCCCTATTGAATACTTGGGCACTCTGAGACGTGCAGAACTTACACCACCTTTTTTCCTTCCCTATTCCTATTCTCCAATCCCCTTTATTCCTTATGCAAATGAATAATACCATCATTCTACCAGTCCCATCCAGCTCCCAAACCCTAAATCTGGGAAAGATCCTTGGCTGTTCCTGCTCCCTTACCCTACATCCAATCAGTTTCTCAGTTCTGTCCATCCTCTCTTCTTAATGTCTTTTCAGTTTTCATCTCCTCTTCATCCTCACTGCCATTCATTTGGTTTATCCTCAAAACCTTTCTTGAGTAAATTACAGTAGAAGTCTGCTAGCCATAGTCCCTGTCCCTGATGTCAGCTCCCCCTTTCTCCAATATGCCCTTCACATTGCTAGCAAGTGATCTTCTAAAACCCAAATACAATTGAATAGTATTATGTCATCTTCTCACATAAAATATCCTCTAAAGCCCTTAAAATCACCACTGCTTTTAATTATCATGTGCTATTAGCTCTATCTAGTGAAAAAAAAACAAAACAAAACTTACAAACCCCTCAGCCTGTGGGATTCCATGCTGGACCCATCCTGTCCTTTCCAGATGAGCCTGTCACCTCTAATTCACCATGTATGCTCCAGGTCTACTCAACTACTTTTACCAGTTCCCTTAAGGCAAAATGCTCATGTCTTTCACACACACTTGTCATTGCCTGTGTTTGCAAACTCACCTTCAACTCCTGTGCATTCTTTAGAACTCAGCTCAAGCATCACTCTCAGAAAGGCTTTCCATTCAAAAACATAACAGGATACCACTTAACACCCATTAGAATGGCTATTACAAAAAAAAAAATAAAGTAACTAGCACTGGTGAGGATACAGGGAAATTGGTTGCCCTGTGTACTGCAGGTGGGAATGCAAAGTGTGCAGCCACCATAGGAGTGCCTCAAAAAATTTACAATAGAATTAACACTCCATAAATATGTACAAAATTATGTGTCAATTAAAAATAATTTCAAAAATAGAATTACTACATGAACCAGCAATTCCACTTCTCAGTATGTACCCAAAAGAGTTGAAAGCAAGGATACAAACTGTTATGTGTGCACCCATGTGTATAGCAGCATCATTCACAATAGCCAAAAGGTGGAAGCAACCCATGTATGTATCCATAGATGAACAGATAAACAAAATGTGGTATATATATACAGTGGAATATTATTCAAACTTAAGAAGAAAGGAAATACTGTCATATGCTCCAGCATGAATGAACCTTGAAGACATTATACTAAATAAAATAAGCCAATCACAGACAAATACTGTATGATTCCACTTACAGGAGATATATAGAATAGTCAAATTCATAGAGATAGAAAGTATCTCAGTGCTTTACAAATTCCTATTTACAAGTCTGTCTCCCATACTGGACTCCGAGAAACTTGGAGGAGGGATTTGTGCCTAGAACAAAAAGTACCTGTGTAGTTTGCCTAATGAAAGCGTAAATAAGTGTTCCTGGTTTGTTTTTCCATTTTGCATGGTGGCAAGCGAGTGTTTAAGACCACAGAACCTGATGTATTCTCTTACCTACATACTTTTGGAGGGGGAAAGAACTTTCCAAACTTAGTATGAAGAGAAAATAAATGGCTCCCTGTTCACTTTACAACCTCCCATGCCCGACTTCCTTCTCTTCTTCCTACCATCCTCTCCCTGAGATGCTGCCCTACGGTGACTCAGTCAACCATGTAGTTACATCCTTTTTTACAGTCTCTTCTGTCCTCAAGGACTCCTTTTTTTCTACCCCTACCCAAATTATTCCTTTATATACACATTTTTTAAACAAAAATAAAATTAAACCACTAAGTATTAACCCATTAATCTACTCACTTGACCACCTTATGGATAACAAGAGGATTTGTTGAGAACTGAAAAGTGCCCTTGATTTTTTTCAGTCTGGAGTTTTCCCTGCTAATAGTTGATTAGTTGCAATGTGGGGGGGCAAGATTCATGGGAAAATAAGAGATGCTATTTATTCAGTCTGGCTCTATGGTTAGCCGTAGAAAATGTTCAGGAAAATCTTTACATGGAGTATCTCACATTCATACGAATCAATAACTTCTTTGTGTAATTAACTTTTGCACAATGTCCTCACAGTGAATTTCAAAAACACAAAGCTGATCCCATCCCCAACTTAAATCTCCTCTATAGTTCTCGAGAATTCAATATAAATTCCTTCACTTGTCATCTCAACTTCTCCACGCCTAGGCCCGTCTTCCCCTCTGGCCTTACCTCTCTTTGATCCTTTTTCACACCTAGGTTAAGGCAACAAACAGCTCCTCCCTTTCCTCCAAGCACAGGCAGTCTCCTTAATGTAGAATAACTTTGCTTCTTCCACTCTCACCAATCTAATTCCTATTCCCAGCCCATATCTCTATCCCTGGATTTCTCTGTATCAGCACTCTGGGCATTTGGAATGGAAAAATTATTTATTGTGAGGAGCTGTCATGTGCACTATATGACCTTTGTAGTATCTCTGGCTCCACCCACTACATGCCACCTTGTCCTTCAATTGTGACAACCAAAATGTCTGTAGATAGTAACAGATGTCTCTTCGGAGGAAAATTGCTCCCTGTAAGAACCACTACTCTGAATCCAAGCAGAAGACTTGCTCCTAAGAGACCCATGGCATAACTTCTCCACTGAATATGGAGTGCAGACCATTCCCTGCTTAGAGTGCCTTATATCATAACTGTGCCACAGTAGCCAGTTTTTTTCTGTACTGCACTGTAACCTCCTGGGCAGCCAGCACCAGGTCTTATCATTCACATTTGAATTTACAAATGAGTACCCACCATACCACACAACTTACAGCATGCACTCAACAAATGTATGCTAAACAAAAGTTGAATAAATATTAGCAATGCCTTTATAAATATGAAGATGCTAGAATTCCAGATTTCTTAAGCTTATAGTGACCTACATATTATTACACAACTATTCTAGCCAGAAAATAATACACTTAAACATTAAAAATAAGTAAGATATTTTAGTCACTTAGAAGTTTGTGTTTAAACTATAATAGAAAATTAATGTTTTAATTTTCAAAGGGAGCCACTATTTTTAAAGCACAACTGTTGCAATAATACCCATCCTTCCTTCAAGAACGTTCATTAACATTGAGCTGAGCTGGTCTGCAATGCAGTTCTTGGCAGTCCTGTAGTAGAACTGTTCAGTGATGGGAGATGTTAATTAATTACACTATAAAATAGAATTACAATTAATTGTTAATTTAGGTTTTAAAGTGACAAACTTTAAAGGCTAAAAATAGTCTTTGATCTTTAAAAGGCTTCTTAATGAGGGCAGTATACTTTAACTACATCATTAGTTTAATTGTTCAAATTGGGTCTAGAGACTGCTAGAGTTAAGCAAATATCTATTCTGATACGTTAAATGTTTATGACTTGAGACAGGGACAATTAATTGCTAATCAATGGACCAAATCCTAGGTGAGGTCAGGTTCTGAAATAGAAGGATGACAATAGTAAATTGGATTTAGAGCATTTTGATGTGATCTGTAAAAATCACAGGCAGGCAGAGACTAAAAGAATAGCAAGAAGGCCAAATGAGCAGAAACACCCACATAATTAAGATATTACTCATTTAGTTAATCGTGGCTTTCAAGGGTGCCCTTTGTTTAGATTAATGAGCCATAATTTTTAAAATTATACTTACATGCCTGTAGTTCAGTTACTTAAACATATAATTCAGGATATAAAATAGTAAAACTCAGCATAGCTTAAAGGATGATAACACTTAGCTGTAGCTAAGATTAGCAATATTCATAATATAATTTTCAAATATAATCTTGATCAATCATATAATACTTTATTTTCTCAAAATTCAGAAGTAAAATCAATTTATTACTTTAATAAACATCTTTTTAACAATCATGCAAACCTTCCACTGTCATTGCAGATAGAAAATGCAAGTTGTCCGTATTTTGTGAGTGGTGTCTGTTTCAATATCAGTAGCTTTCACTAACCTTTAGTTCATGTGAGAGATTCCAGAGACAGAGCTGACCCTCTTGACTTCCAGTCACAATCGTTCGCTGGTCATCAGTGATCATGATGGCAGTGATGCTGTGGGGAGGGGCCTTCTGTCCCCAGAGTGCCACTGCCTGCAGGGAAGTCCTCATTTTGGGCGAATCCTGACATACAAAGAAGGGAAGAAGCATACATGGTCATCTTTTTGAAATTTGAGGAAACCGATAATATTACAAGCAGATTTATGATGACCAAACTTCAATGATGTGTTCTCCCAGTGCTATGGAAAAGGGTGTTTCCCCGTCAATTAGAAGAGAAAGTAGTCATCAGAAACTGAAATTACCATGCACACTGCTAATTCATCAAACAAGAATGACTTATCTTCGAATTCCTTATTATTGTTGAAGAGAAAGAAAGGAATGGTCTATTCACTTCACACCCAGCTCTTCCTGTGGCTACATCCAACTTGCTGCAAAGTCCTGCTGGGCCTCTCAAGAAGCATAGAGCTGTCTACATGGTATAATTTGAAGCCAGCTTTGCAGACTCTCTCTCCCTAGAAATGTTACCTCATCTAGGTAATAAATACCTGAAATTGGTGAATTTGCTATTAAAAAAATAAATCTTTTCCATAAAAACAGTGTTTCCTAGTCTTCAAGATTCATGTATGACTGTCATGATTTCTGCCATATTCTATTTTTAATAATAATTTTTATTTTACCTATTTTTATGTTTGGTATCTTCCTAAACAATAATCTTTATGAAATTACTACATTCATATGTTAGTTACAAGGGTTAAAATGAATACATAAGTATCAAAAAATGTTATCTATGACCACCCAAAGTATCACTCAGTGATGTGTGCATTATATTTTGTGAAACACTGAGTTAAATATTCTCCCCAAATTGTCATTCCTTCCTGAAACACAAACAATTTTGGGAGACAATTTAGCATTATATATTTAATCCCATTAAAAATGTCCGAAAGAGAGGAGAAAGGGGCCAAGCATACTTCCCACATTGCTTTGAGAAAGTCAAGAAAATGAAAACCTTCTGTCCTGCAGGATTTCTGTTGCTAAACCACCAAAAGTGTAAATACCAATATAAATTTTTAAAACTTATGATACATGTTATTTCTAATGTTCAATTATATGTCTACACACACACACACACAAATATATACATAAACATGGGTGTGCACTGACACTATGAACACAAATTTTCCTTGTAGTTCCATTGTCTGGAATTCAGTATCTAGTTCCCCATTTTCACTTCTTAGGTCAATATGTTAGTCTATCTAGTCTATAATACACTTGCATTATTCTAACTGCCATGTCCAAACACCATGAAGCCAAAGTTTCTACAGGAAATGTTCTGAGCATTGCAATTCTGAATACCAGGATTATACATATTAATCATACTACAAAGCTACCCAGAGAGTTCTGATTTCAATAATACTGTAACCAGAACATGGACCTTCTTCTGCTTCAAACACAGAGAAAAATGCATTATACCTATTTTTAAGTTGTTGCTTCCTGACCAAGCTTATCAATAAGTCTGGAAAATCCCAAGCAGTGAAAAACTAAGAGAAACCAGAAAACCAGTACAATAAGTATTAGAACTAAATTAGTATGTGGCTTTTTGGCTAGGAGTTTGCATATTAATCCCTATGTAAGGATAGGAAGCAAAACTCTCAGAAGTGGCCTTGCTCAATGAAAGAGGAACAGAAAAACTACCCCAGGAAGATAAGAAAGAGTATTTCCAAATCTCCCAAGAAAAATCTGTCAAGCCTGAAGTACAAATGGGTTGGGACTAAAAAAAAAAAATAATAATATTATATATAATTCCGGAATGAATTTCTTCACATGGGGATTCTGGAGTTATGTATAATACTTTTATAATAATTATATATAAAAAATTGTTTCCAGGTCAATGATACTATTGGGAGGCTTGTCAGAAACACTACAGACCTATTTGAATATCTAAATTTTTTTAAAAGACCATGACAAGTGTTAATGGCTAGGCGCAGTGTCTCAGGCCTGTAATCACAGCACTTTGGGAGGCCGAGGTAGGTGGAGCACTTGAACCCAGCAGTTCAGGACCAGCCTGACCAACATGGTGAAACTCCCTCTCTACTAAAAATACAAAAATTAGCCAGGCATGGTGGCACACACTGGTAATCCTACCTCGGGAGGCTGAGGTGGGGAAATCACTTGAACCCAGGAGGTGGAGGTTGCAGTGAGCTGAGATTGTGCCACTGCACTCCAGCCTGGGCTACAGAGCAAGACAGGGGGGAAAAAAAAGACCATGACAAGTATTAAGAAGAATGTACAGCAACTGGAACTCATACACTGACGGGGGGAACGTACAATGGAAAACAGTTTGGCAGAAATAGGTCAGTGATTGCTCAGGGAAAGAAAGAACAGGGAACAGTGACATTACAATGGGGAGTAAGAAAAGTTTTGAAGGTGGTAGATAAGTTCATTATTTTAATTATGGTAATGGTTTCATGAGGGTATACATATGTCAAAACTTAATCAAATTTATACTTTAAATGCATTTATGTATACACACAAATATTATGTGTGTCAATTATACTTCAATAAAGTTGTTTAATGTTGTACTTAAGGCATTCTGAAAGACACTCTCACTATCAAGAGTGAACGAGATTTCTGTAAAACAATTAGCCCCAGTAGCAAATAATCTTACAATAAAAAATTATAAAACATTCAAGATAAACCATGAGCAAACAGAAAGATTAGTACCCCAGGAACTAATAATAAGTGAACAATCTAAAACATATTTCAAAAGAAGAACAAATATAATAAATTATTATAAATCAATAAATAGACAAAAGATGAAATTAAAAACCCAAAGAAAAAACCTACAAAAGGTAGACTTTTAAAAGAAACAAATATTACTTCTAGAAATAAAACATAATCGTTAAAATATAACAAATCTCAAAAGGACAAATCAGAATAGACCCAAGTGAAGGGAGAATAATTAACTTGAATACAATTTTCAGGAAATTTCCCAGAATACAGCAAGAAGTCATTAAAAAAAAATGAAAATGTTGAGTAAAAAGAATTCAGAGACATTAAGATAAATCAGAGATGTTAAGAGATATAGATGCTAAGTGAAAAGACCCAATATTTATCTAATATAAGCTCCAAAAATGATAGAACCCTTTCCCTTCTTTGCTAATTCAGTCCTAAAGCCATGGAATATTAATAGAACAGAGCAAGAGTGGAGTGTTGGAGTTCAAATAGTATGAGGAGGGCATCAGGATAGGAAGACAGTGGAGTCAGAGGCCAGGGATGGTGAGTGAGGTGTCCAAATGTGGGGGCAGCTGCATGTAAGGTGCAGCCTCCAAGGAGGGTGAAGAGGAGTAATGTATACAGGGCTGTCTGGCACTGGGTATTGGAGCAGGAACAAGTGAGAAAGGAGCTCACATAATGAGGTTCCTCAACAAGGAGTGTCATGAGCCTAACAGGGGTGAGGACAGTGAAGGAAGTGGCCCTGCTGTGAGGGGCCAGAGCTTGGGCAGGGTGAGGAGGACATCAATTTACAAGGATGGTCTGGCACAAAGTGTTGAAGCCCAAGGAGGATAGGAAGGCATGCACACTGAGGGGTGTTGAGCATCCTGAGAGCACTTGTAGGATGAGAAAAGTTGCTGCCTGAAAATGTAATCAGATGTAGTAAAGGAATACAGGGATAAGCAGGATTTTCACATATTAGGCAGTGGACAGGTCCACAAGAAGTGTTAAAGCCAGAAAATGATCAGGAGGGCATCCACACAGAGGACAGGGTAGCACGTTTACAGGAAATTGGTTACATAACAGACTGATGGCAAATAATTAGTATATTGCTTATTTATAACAGGAATCAGATTTCTTACTGTTAGAAAAAAAGAGTTAGAAATATGGAAAGGAAAAAACTTGAATGATCCCTGTGGTACTGGAGTCGAATTAGAGGAACTGGTGTAAAACAAAGGTAGATGTAAAACACACACACACACACACACACACACACACACACACACACACACACAGACTTGCCATCTCTGTTAGCTGGAGTCTTGGGAGAAGCAACACTCCAATAGCAATGAGCTTACATAGCATCTCTAAATACTATTCTCTACTAAAAAGGAATCAGGTTTTATTGGGAAACTG
Organism: Homo sapiens; assembly: GCF_000001405.40. NCBI lineage: Eukaryota > Metazoa > Chordata > Mammalia > Primates > Hominidae > Homo > Homo sapiens. The sequence continues at coordinate 53,737,167 of NC_000015.10, forward strand.
GTTGATTCCAGGCCTGGAGCAGGGAAACACAAGATGCTACTGGACTAAATTGCTGTTAAAACAAGGAAGTGCTCAAATAGTGAGGATATATCAAAGGAACACAGAAGTCTGCTTGAAGGACCTCCCACAGGCCAAACCATGGACAATTTGAGCATCGGAATAAATAATGTTAGCAACAGAATGAATAAATGGATTAAACTTGCTAGTTAAAAGACAAAAATTATCAATTAGAATATATCCTACTATATCTTACTTACAAAAGATTCCTAAAATATTAACGTAGAAAGGTTGAAAATAAAGAGGTGAATAATAATGTACCAGGCAAATAGTAATAAAAGAAAACTGATGTAATACTGGACAAAATGGGCTTTAAAGCAAAACCACTGTTGGGGGAGGTGGTGGTCACTATATAATGATTAAATAAGTCATTCACCAGAAAAGGATAATAGTCTCTAGATACTCAACAGCAGAGTCTCAAAATACATAAAACACAATATAGCATAATTACTAAGAAAAGCTGGTAAATTAACTGTGACACGGAGAGATTTTACATGTTTCAATTAGTAATAAACAGATCAAGCAGACAACAAAAATTTAAGGATATTAAATACTTGAACCACATAATTTGTATTAGTAACATCACAAAAATATATAGATTCCTGCATCTAGGAATTAAATAAAAATACATTTCAATGAGACCACGCATACAACATTTATAAAACTGTGACCCTCCTGGACCACAAAACAGGTCCCAAAACATCTAAAAGGATTAATACCATTTAGGAAACATTATCTGACCACAATCAATAAAAATCTGAAATTGCCTCCTTCCCCACTCCTGTAACATATGCATAACACAAAAGTTTAAAATATTCCCTGTCTGAATGTTTGGAAACTAAAAAAAATTCTAAATGATCCCTGGGCTACCAAGAAAACATAATATAAATTCGATGTAGTTAAGACTCAAAAGTATGAAAACGTTGTATAATAAAATTTGCCAAATGTAGGTTTTGTATTAAAAAAATTACAGCCTTAAACACATAAATACATCAGTAAGAAAAAAGACAGCAAATTAATAAGTAAATAACAGCCAAATTAAAATCTTATATAAAAGAAGAGCAGGGTAAATACAAAGAATGCAAAAGGAAACAATGTAGACAAAACCATATATATTATAAAAACAACAACATATAAGAAATAATCTACAAATGAAACCCAGGTTTTGAAAAGAGAAATAACATGAGGAAATCTATGGCAAGTTTGATAAGGAAGGCCCTAAAAACATCAAAATTAATATACAGAGAAAATGAGTAAACTCAGATATCTTAAATGAGAATATTATTAACTTAATGCTAAAAATTTGGAAAGGTAAGTGAAATAATTTTTAGAGAAAATATAGATCACAAGCCTTTTTTTTGTTTTTGTTTGTTTGTTTGTTTGTTTGTTTGAGATGGAGTCTCGTTCTTGTCGCCCATGCTGAAGTGCAATGGCGTGATCTCGGCTCACTGCAACCTCCACTCCCGGGTTCAAGGGATTCTCCTGCCCCTGCCCCTGCCTCAGCCTCCTGAGTACTGGGATTACAGGCACCCACCACCATGCCTAGCTAATTTTTTTATTTTTAGTAGTGATGGCATTTCACCTTGTTGGCGAAGCTGGTCTTGAACTCCTGACCTCAGGTGATCTGCCCACCATGGCCTCCCAAAGTGCTGGGATTACAGGCGTGAGCCACTGTACCCAGCCAGAAAACACAGATTATTAAATCTGAATGAATAAGAAATAGAAACACAAATACTTGTAACCATTAAAATGGAATAAAATATGTAAAATTATGCACACACACATTTATTTTAGCAAAAACTTCATATTGGGTGTAATCTTGGGGAATTAACAGATACATTCTTATATATGAAAGCACATAGGACAAACCTACATAAATTCTCCTAAGTAAAGCAAAATGACAGCTCATTTAACAGCTCATTTATATCAAAATCAACAGATGAGAGACAGAAGGAGAATGAAGTGAAGAAAGTAGGAACATAATGATTTTCAACTGAAGTAAGCATCAAAAAAAAGTGAATCGGCAAAGAGAAAGGAGATCAAAAAGCCCACAAAACCTGCCATTAAAGCCGCAGAATCTGGCAGTCCTGGGACCCTTAGTGTAAGAGCAAATTGGCCTACATCTCTATCACTCCTGAGGGCTCCGCAGTCCTCTAAGGCCCGGACAATTACTGCCTCTGATGGCAACCACCTGTCTGAATAAAAGATGCTGAGATGTCCAATATACTCTACTATAAGAAGAGGGGGAAGTAGAAACTAGCAGTTTTAACTATTTCTAAGACAAGAGTTAAATAGATAGTAAGTTTCATTGACAAGGAAAATTCACCTTTGGGGAAAAGCTCACTCTCATGAATACCAGATAAATTGGATACAAGTGAAGACTGCAAAGCAGGTAGTGAGAAGGACACACATGGGCGTGTTTTAACATTCTGCTCCTAAGAACTACTGCTCCTGACTTTGTATTGCTCTTTTCACCACAGCTTTTAGTATTGAGACAACGAAAATCACCATACAAAAATCATTTGACCTTCATTCTTGGCTTGGCTAACGTGTGCTTAGCTAAGAATTAAATAGTGATACACAAGGGAAAGCTTCTGGGTCACACTGCTCCAAAGGAAACTGGGCATTTTTTTACGGGCAATGTGCACTTTGGCTCTTGTCCAAGGACTTGTGTCATTTTTTAAACTTTACCTAGGAAACTAGTCAAAGAAATTCACCCACCCTGCTGAGTAGAACAGTAGGAGAAGGAAATTCCGAGGAACATTTGCCAGGTAATTAATATATTTGTAATGATTAACATTACACTAAGGGATAAATAACTCTTGAGGTGCAGTATTTATATTCCTATTGCTCTGGAAAATTAGCTTCTCTTACTTGAATCTTTGCAACACTGTCTACCCAGTAACTAGTCACCTGTATTCCGGTTTTGTATCTCCCTGAAAATTATCCGCTCTGCATTGATGTCTCCCTTAATGAAGTGATACACTTCCCCCAAGGATAGAGATCAGTCCTTACTTACGTAGCATATTGCCTATCCCATAGCAGAAAATATTCTTTTCTACTGAAAAAAATTGATTCAACTAATTTTTTTTTTTTTTTTTTGAGACGGAGTCTCTCTCTGTCGCCCAGGCTGGAGTGCAGTGGCGCGATCTCAGCTCACTGTAAGCTCCGTCTCCCGGGTTCACGCCATTCTCTTGCCTCAGTCTCCCGAATAGCTGGGACTACAGGCGCCCACCACCGCGCCCGGCTAATTTTTTGTATTTTTAGCAGAGAACGGGGTTTCACCGTGGTCTCAATCTCCTGACCTCGTGATCCGCCCGCCTCCGCCTCCCAAAGTGCTGGGATTACAGGCGTGAGCCACGATTCAACTAATTTTGATGCTTCTTCCTTCTACATTCCTTCTGAAATATGGGAATCATTTCTTAATCACTCATCTATTCCCTACAATGCCTGAAGAACAGTGCTTTGAAGATAGGGACAAAATAAATATTGGTTGAATAAATTCCTCTTTTCATTATTTTTAAGCTCTGTATACCAAAAGAGAGGGAGTGGATTAAGAGTGTAAACTTGAATCAGGCTAGACTTAAATTTGAGCCATTTTGTCCCTCTGAGCCTCAGTTTCCTCATCTATAATATGTGAACAATAAAGATACCTTACAGGGTTGTTGTGAGAATGAAATGAGATCATGCACACAGTGTGGAGCAGAGAGCAATACTAATAACTTACTACTATTATTTTTATTTTGGCTCTCATACTTCTGGATAATCCATATGTCAAACTTTTTCACCATAACACTTTTGCTTTATTCTTATTCAAATTAAACTGACATCAACTTCACTTTCAGTAGATTATAAATTTTCTGAGGGCAGAGACTTCTGTCTCATTTGTCTATTGCTATAATTGCAGGGCCCAGAGCAGTTTCACAGGATATAGTTCTAAAGACTCACGTATGATAAAACATCCCCCCATTCAAATATTTACAAATGTTATTGTATTGTTAAAAGACAAGGAATTTGGAGTTTATGGAGGTGAAAGTAAATCAAAGCATTTCACAGGTTAAAAACCTTTATAGCCACAGGATTCCTAACACAACCAAATTAGAAAACAAAATGGACCAAGGTCAAAGCCACAAGAAATCAGATCCCTAGAATCGATCTCGAACAATCCAGATTTGCTATGTGTAGTGCAACATACCTGAAATTCAGAGACGTACTTCCAGGGCTGCTTTTACCATTTATAACCGTTATTACCACATTGTAAATACCGTAATTAGTAAAATTAGGTTACTACCACCTGAGCTGCCTACATTTCACTATTCTTATGAGGAACAAATACAATGATGTAAACAAAAGCATATGGGCAAAAATATACATATTATGCTATCATTATATTACCTTGCATATTTTACTCATAAACTCCCATAGGATTTAGAGCAAGTGGCCTTGGATCATTAATGTAATCCCCCCCTCACTTATAAGAAAGCTGATGATGAGAAATGTGATCCAGATTTTTTTTTTTTTTTGGATTAAGAGTCTTGCTCTGTCACTCACGCTGGAGTGGTGGCACGATCTCTGCTCACTGCAAACTCTGCCTCCCAAGTTCAAGCGATTCTCCTGTCTCAGCCTCCCGAGTAGCTGGGACTACAGGCACCTGCCACCACACCTAGCTAACTTTTGTATTTTTAGTACAGATCGGGTTTCACCATGTTGGCCAGGATGGTCTCAAACTCCTGACCTCAAGTGATCTGCCAGCCTTGGCCTCCCAAAGTGCTGGGATTACAGGCATGAGCCACTGCATCTGGCTTGATCTAGATAATTCTTACGATCACTTCTAATTCTGAGATTCTGAGAAAGACCAAATGAATTGTACAGTGAGGAGAAAGAACTGATTAAAAGCTTGCACATATCAGAAGTCACTTTCTTCAGACTCTTTATCTTTCCCCAGCAAAATTTAAAAAGTAACCCCAGAAACGTAGTGTCTTGCTATCAATAGGATAGAAAGCAAATCCATGTCTTCTGATATCCCTAATAATTCCCTAGGAATCTCTAAGTGAAAATAAACCTCAAAGGAAAAAACCATTTTATTAAAAACTCTCTATAGAATCTCTGTGGTGCGGAGGAGAAAGTTATGTTCCTGACAGAAGTACACCTGTTGTGTTTCAAATAATTATGTGTCTAGACAAGTTTTAAAGAAGTCTTTGGAAAAAGATTACAAACCTCTATCATAGCCCTCAATTTATAATTATTGTATACCAAATTTGAGTACCTGAATGATATTTTGGGTGTCTAAAGCAAGCTGGTAGGATTTTGTAGGATAATTTTTAAATCTCATCTATTTAAAGGCAATTCAAAATAAATACTTTCACTGGAGAAAATAAGTGTACACTGAGAAAGAAATATAGCATTACTTCTTGGCCTTTTGGCTAAGAAAAAAAAATAGGCATCATAGCCACAGATAGGGATAAAGTTAGAGACTATATTATAGAGGTCAAATGAATTTCTCTCACGGGGATCTCTAGTCACAGGACAAACAACAATACTGTAGTACATTACACTTTGTACGTAAATACTTGGTAAATACAAATAGTAAATAAATGTACTTAGTACATCTTAGTACTAAGTATATTTTGATATTGCATTTTGTAACATATAAGCAATGTAATCAACATTTTATCATATAATCAATACAGCTATGGAAATAATTATATAAACAACCAAACATACAGACATAAAACTTCTCTTAAGTAACTCTCAAATAATTCCTACACAAATTCTTGACTGCAGCCTACTCAGATACCACACTGGATTCTCAGGATGAAAGGATGAATGGGCTTCAGGAAGCTCACAGCCAGTAGGTAAAAAAACAATGTAAATGAATTACTTGCTAGTTATGTAGTTGCATTTATGTATATCCTACCATTTTCACATTATGTATGTATACAATTTTGTCATTTCTTGGTGGCATAATGAAAAAAATAATTCTAAGAAAAAATTTATTTTAGGTGTAATAATTATGAAAGTGTTAAAAAGCTGATTTTTATAGAGTTTAATTTATAGAGTTTAATTATATATAGATCACTGCAATTTATACATAACGATGAAATAAAAGCATAATATTAAATTTAAGCATGTTATTTTAGTATTACATATTTAATATAGATTGAAATTTAGGTATATATCAAATAAGACCAAAACAGCATTTGTGATATATTTTGGGACTTCCTACCTTTTATAGTTAATAAAGTAAAACTGTTCATGTTTATAATTTCCACATTTGTTTCTAAATAAGAGATGTTTCAAATCGTTACTTGCGAATGATTTTTAGCCATTCGAAATATAGGAAGTTCATGAATATTTTTACTTTCTAGAAAAAGCCATATGCAATGTTCCAAATCATTAGGATTTCCGGTTTTAATATTGATTTTTAAAGTACTAGTGATAGCTTGATATTCCACATAAAAATCTTTATCAGGCCAGGCACAGTGGCTCACGCCTGTAATCCCAGCACTTTGGGAGGCCGAGATGGGTGGATCACAAGGTCAGGAGATCAAGACCATCCTGGCTAACAGGTGAAACCCCGTCTCTACTAAAAATACAAAAACTTAGCCGGGCGTGGTGGTGGGCGCCTGTAGTCCCAGCTACTTGGGAGGCTGAGGCAGGAGAATGGCGTGAACCCGGGAGGCGGAGCTTGCAGTGAGCTGAGATCGCGCCACTGCAGCCCGGCCTGGGCGACAGAGCGAGACTCGTCTCAAAAAAAAAAAAAAAAAATTTATCAAATGAATCTTCTCTTCAGATCAAAGGAATACCTTCTTGTAGTAAATGTGCAGTAACGTTTCTGTTTTCATTCTCATTGACACAGGATTTTAGTAACGGAGTTCCCTGTGCTCCTTTCTATAACCAACACTCTATTGTGATACAAATCAGCTAAATCAGGGCCTCCCATCAGCATGCCATCGTACATAATGAGCTATGAAGAGTTTATAGGGGTGAGAGGAACTGAAACTTTCAACCTGGTGTATACGAAAATAATTATTTTCTATGTTTATGCTTTGATATGAAGAAGGATGAGAAGCATTGAATTACATAAAACTTGTCTAGAAATATAAATAATTTAAAGCCGTAGAGGGCTCAAACCATTATTGAGCTCACAAAACTATATCCACGTCTAAGAAATAAACCTCCCAGTAATGCAGTCCTGCTGATAGCCACTGACTGTTGCGCACTCACAGGATGACCTGCCAGCTCCCAAACTGTTCTGCTTTAAAGTGAAAATTTCTTTAAATAATATATTTTGAAATAGAAATAGCAATAGGCTACCTACTCTAGCAACATTAACTTCCCAATCACCTCCTAAACCATAGGGCCTCTCAAATCACCAGCATGGGGACACTTTGCAAAACTGTACATTACAGCTGGAAAAAGGTGGGTATGTCTTTTCATTGTTTGATCCCTAGTCCCTGGCACACTGCCTAACACATAGATGACATTCAGTAATATTTCTTATATGATGTGTTTGACCTGGATACTGAAGCAAGAGTTCACTAGAAATTGGAAGAGATGTGAAGAATGTAAAGCTGAACTCTTATTCTGCTGATGAGGAAGTGGAGGAAAGGTGGTGTGACCTTCCTAGGACCAAAGCATAGTCTTGCTCTGGAAGAAGTATATTCTGGGGAACGTAACCACCCCAGTTCCTCTCTTCATGTTCTACCAAAATACACAGAAATATAAAGTTTCTGATTCTGAGTTCATCATTAGGTTGTATCCAGCATGCCACTATTTGTATTATTTTAATTCAAACTATACTTTATTGTAAAAAAAAAAAAAGGGCAAGAAAATATTAATAGAATGAGTCAGATAAAGTTTTGCCTTCCTTTCCCACACCTTAGTAACTTGCAAATATTCTTTGAGCCTCAGTTTTCTTATCTATAAAATGGAAAAAAAAAATTACCTTGGAGAACTGATGGGGGTATAGGTGATTCTGCATAGATAACTTTTATCATTATTCCTTGTTCATAATCAGCACTCAGCATATGGAATGAATTGACTGGATGAGGCAATGAATCACTATAATTTTGTACTGTGGATAGAGATTTTGACTATCACTTTCTAGCAATACCTTTGAGAGTGTGAGATTTCCTTCCTTTACTTTTACAGTATTGACACTACAGTTTCTTTTCTTGAAAATACTGTGGCTATATGCTGGAATATTTGGCCATGAAAATATACAATTTGTTATTATTACTTCTAAACTATATGATGATCTTTAAATCAATGACTCCAAGCCAAATTAGGGTTGTCAGATTTAGCAAATAAAGATATAAAATGCCTAGTAAAATGTGAATTTCAGATGAACAACAAATAAGTTTTGTATAGTATACACTATGTAATATTTGGGACATGGTTATACTAAAAATTATTGTTTATTGTATGAGACATGCTTATAGAAAATACGTATTTTTCATCTGAAATTCAAATATAACTAGGACCTGTAGGCATAGTAGGGTCTCTGGTATCTCTAAGCTGAAGACAAAAAGGAGCCTTGTAGATCACAATTACCGCTCTTTCCTTCTACAGATGAGTAAATGAAGGCCCAGGGAAGTTGGTTACTTGGCCAAAGTAACCAAAGAAATGAGTGGCCGAGACAGAAACTGAACCAGGTTTACTAACAGCCCATCCAGAACTTGCTCCTTACACACAATTGCAAAGATGCCCTTGTCTTGCCCATCGGAAATTCTTAGGGATTTGCGATGTGAAATTCCTTCGTTATTTTGGTTGTTCTAAAAAAAGAAAAAAATCAAGCAAAACAAGAGCAATAAACCTCTTATTCATCCAGGCTCCAACATGGCCTTCATTGCCTTTAAAAGCTGAACTGACACTTCCTGATCCTCTCTCCATAAATACAATACCTGGCAAGAACAAGGAAGGACAACACGCCATTACAGCTCCCATCCTCCAGCCCGCCTTCATCTTCTTCCCCGTAACAATTTGTTTTTATCTTTCTGACTTGTCTGAGGGTAGCAGAATAATGAGTATGATGCAAATGTGGTTTTGTGGGTGGTGTCTACTGGACACTGGAATTGTTTACCTTGTCATAAATAGCTGTCTTCAGGGACACACCCAGACACTGAGTCTGCTTTACCAACCTCACAAACATAGACAAATCTCAAACCCCTTGACTGAGGACAGCCCACTAGAAACACAAAGGATAAAGTTCCTGGTTACAATGCATGAATTTTGACAATAACATCCTAACCAGAATAAACACTAAGAGGAAAGTAAATATAGTACAGCAGTGAATAATATGAGCTTTGAGATAAAATAGGCCTGGGTTTGAATCTCAGATCTGCCACTTATAGTTATGTGACCTCTGTGAATCCCATCTCTTAAGTGGAGAAGAATCCCACCTACTTTCTTCAAAACTCATAGGTACTGTGAGGGGCAAAGATGAATTACTTAAAGATTTTTTTTTTCCAGAAAACATACCTTGGTCATCTTTATCCCAGGAGGGAGTTTTGCTTTTAAAAGTTTGAGTTTAGGTGGAGATAAAAAGAGCTTTGGTGTGAAAACTGTACACTCAATTTGGAATTGTGCACTTTAAAAGTATGCAGTTTATTAAATGTATTATAAATTTACCCTAATAAACTTGATGAAACAAATGGATAGATAGGACAGCAGAGTAAAGTGGCTTGGCCAGTGTCACACAGCTAGCTAGTAAGTGGAAACAGTTTGGGAAAGGGCAAAGTTGAGCTTTAGGAAGGAACAAAGAACTCAAGGAAACTGAGGAAAGCTGGAGAAAGTAACTGGGTGTTCTGGTAGGCCAGAATGAGATCTACTTTAACCGTAGAAGACTATGAACCAAGCAGCCTCTGCAGTCCATAGGGCCTGACTTCAGTCCATGAGAACATACCAGTCCAAGCTGGCATGGGTCAGCAGAAGCCCTGTCCACCCAAAATCTATTTGAAAATGCTCCTGAAGCCAAAGTTATTATTTTATCAACAGATTGTAATTAGATCACTCCTTAGAAAAGGTAAAAAAATAAATTTTATGAGGTCAAAGAGTGTCCAAGGCATATTTAAATAACACATAACATTCTGTCTGGTCAACCCACTGGAACATGACTATTTCGGAATTAACCCCTAACCAACATCAACGCCAAGCTCCTCCAAAAATGTTGTTACTGAGTAATTAACTGCTACTTAGTAAACTCTAGAAAATAATGTGTTTTAGATAGAGAATATCTTAGCAGGTAAAGTCAAAGCTGAAACAGCCCAGAGATCAAAGGAGGAATTAAACAAATGTGCAAATTAATCTTTGAATTCCAAACACTCATGACCTGGAACACATATAAAGCAAAACAGCCAAGAAATCACATCTCTTTCATTACATGGATGAGGTTTCCATCACAGCTCACAGCTCTTCCAGACTTGTGAGTCAAAGATTTTCACAGAGTATTGCCTTCAAACTTCACCTCCTCGCTCAATAAGCTGTAGTGCAACAGAGCTGACACATTCAAAGAAAGGCCAAGGGTGTCTAATTCTAGTCATTGTCAAGGAAATGAGCATTAGATGTGGTAAGAGAAGTATGAGAGAACAATTCAATTCTTTCTGGGTAGTAACCTCACTTTTATTTATATTCAATTAGTGAACAAACAAACTGAAAAAACTACAATCCCCTTGTCTAAAGCTCAAAGTTCAGGCTTTAAGAAGTGGATATGTATTTAGCTTATACCACATTTAACCCTCTATTTACAGTGAAAATCTTTTTTTTTTTTTACTTAGATGTGGCTAACATAAACAAAAAATACCATTGTCCTAGACCATTCTTAAGTAAATTCAACAAATATCTATTGAGAACTAAATATAGCCAGGTGGTGGGTTGGGCTGCAGAGAACACAAAGAACAGAAAAACACCATCCTTGCCCTCAAAATATTTACCATGGAGTCATCTTTGGATTAATTTTAACTAAGTATTCATGCTACTAGACAAAACAATTGTTTTGCGTGTGTATAAATTCTGCAAACCTATTTCTGGTCTTGACTCATGTTTTTCTTTCCCATATCCAAAAACAATCTGGAAAACTGTTTGCCTAATATCTCTCTTTAAATTAACTTGCCTTAAGTATTAATTAAACTTAGGTAAGAAGAAATTAAGCTACATAAGTATATTTGTTTTGGAATCACCTTAATCATAAGTGTCCATAAAATCATGAGGTTTAATGTACAGGTTATATTTTTAAAATACACATTAAAAGAAATACTTGTCTATTAACACAAATACTTGGTATGTACTACCTAAAATCACATTGGGAAACGTAGCTTTAATCCTCCGTCATAGTCAAATCCTTTCCTCTACCTTTCAAAACTCCACCCTAACTGAGGTAGTTCCTCATATCCCAGCACTCTTAGTTGATGATCCTTTCTTTCAATTAACCAAGAAAATCAAGTCTCTCATACATGAGCTTCCTCATTACTTCAACATTCCATCACTTTTTCTTATTTTTAAGATTATTTTCTTCTGAGATATCCATACTAGTCTCCTCTGATAACATTTTTACCTTTATTCCAGATTTCATCTTCTATCAACTCAATTACTTCCTTTATTAATATTTATTTTGTCTTCAACTGATTTCTCTTCTTTGGTCCCTTTGCCTTTGTTTACATATATTTAGTTTAAAAATATTTATTATCTGCTACATGTCAGAGACTGTGCAAGGATTCTAGGGATGTAGACAAGAAAGACAAAGCAAGTCACAGACCTCAAGGAGCTTACTGGTGTCTAAGGAGACAGGCCTGCCCTGAATCATCCCATAGTGTGATAGGTGCTATGTTAATGTAAATGCAAGAGTGTCCAGGGAGGGAGCACAATTAGAGCTCGAAGCCAAAATTGGGAAGGATTTCCCCCAGGGGAGGGAATAAAACTTCATTTTATTGTACTTCTCAGATAATTGTGTTTTTTTACAAATTCAAGGTTTGTGGCAACCCTGCCTTGAGCAAATCTATAGGCACCATTTTTTCCAACAGTATGTGCTCACTTCATGTCTCCGTATCACATTTTGGTAATTCTCATAATATTTCAAACTTTGTCAATAACATTTTTATTATATCTGTTGTGGTGGTCTGTGATCGTAAATATCACTACTGTAATTGTTTTGGGGTGCCATAAATTATGCCCATATAAGATGGCAAACTTAATTGGTAAATTAAGTTTTTGTTCTGACTGTTCCACCAACTGGCCATTCCCCTGTCTCCTCTCTCCCTCTCCTCAGTCTTCTCTGTTCCCTGAAACAAAACACTATTAAAATTAGGTCAATTAATAATCCTATAATGGCCTCTAAGTGTTCAAGTGAAAGGAAGAGTTGCACTTTTCTCACCTTAAATCAAAGCCAAAAATGATTAAGTTTAGTGAGGAAGACATGTTGAAAGTCAAGACAGGTCTAAAGCTAGGCCTTTTGCACCAAACCATTAGCTAAATTGTGAATGCAAAGGAAAAGTTCTTGATGGAAACTGAAAGTGCTACTACAGTGAATACATGAATGATCAGAGACCGAAACAATTGCTGATATGGAGAAAGTTTTAATGATCAGGAAAGATGATCAAACCATCCACAACATTCCCTTAAGTCAAACACTAATCCGGAGCAGCACTCTAACTCTCCTCAATTTTATGAAGGTTAAAAGAAGTGAGGAAGCTGCAGTGGAAAAGCTGGAAGCTAGCTGAGTTCATGAGATTGAAGGAAAGAAGCCTCCTCCATAAAATGAAAGTGCAAGATGAAGCAGCAAGTGCTGATGGAGAAGCTACAGAAAGTTATCTAGAAGCTCTAAACTCAGATAATTAATGAAGGTGGCTATACTAAACAACAGATTTTCAATGTAGATGAAACACCTTTTTATTGGAAGAAGATGCCATCTAGGACTTTGCTAGCTAGAATGGAGAAGTCAATGCCTGGCTTCAAAGCTTCAAAGGACAAGCTGACTGTCTTGTTAGGGGCTAATGCAGCTGGTGACTTTAAGTTGAGGCCAATGCTCATTTATCATTCTAACAATTCTAGGGCCCTTAAGAATAATGCCTGTGCTCTGTATATGGAACCAGAAAGCCTGGATGACAAAACATCTATTTACAGAATAGTTTACTGAGTATTTTATGCTTATTGTTGAGATCTACTGCTCAGAAAAAATAAAAAAATCCTTTCAAAACAATACTGTTCATTGACAATGCACCGAGTCAACCAAGAGCTCTGAGATGCACAAGAGATTAATGCTGTTTTCATGCTTGCTAACATAATATCCATTCTACAGCCCATGGACCAAACAGTAATTTTGACTTTCAACTCTTACTATTTAAGCTATACATTTTGTGAGGCTATAGCTGCCATAGGTAGAGATTCCTCTGATATACCTGGACAAAGTCAATTGAAAACTTTCTGGAAAAGGTTCACCACTTTAGGTGCCTTGAGAACATTTGTGATTCATAGCAGGAAGTCAAAATATCAACATTAACGGGAGTTGAGAAGAAGTTGATTCCAACCCTCATAGATGACTTGGAGAGATTCAAAATTCCAGTGGAGGAAGTAACTGCAGACGTGGTGGAAATAGCAAGAGAACTAGAATTAAAAGTAGTCTGAAGAGGGACTGAATTGCTACAAGCTCTTGATAAAATGTAAATGGATGAGAAGCTGCTTCTTATGAATGAGCAAAGAAAGTGGTTTCTTGAGATGGAATCTACTCCTGGTGAAGATGCTATGAACATAGCTGAAATGAAAACAAAACATTCAGAATATTACATAAACTTAGTTGGTAAAGTAGCAGGGTTTAAAAGGATTGACTCCAATTTTGGAAAAAGTTCTGCTGTGGGTAAAAGGCTATCAGACAGCATTACATGCTACAGAGTAATCTTTCACAAAAGGTCTGAGCACAGTGACATATGCCTGTAATCCCAGCTACTTGAGAGGCTAAGAGGTGTGAGGATCACCTGAGGCCAGGAGTTTGAGACCAGCCTGGGCAACATAGTGAGACTACTTTAAAAAAAAAAAAGCTTTCACAAAAGGAAGAGTCAATCAATGCAGCAAACTTCATTATTGTCATATTTTAAGAAATTGCCAGAACCACCCCCAAACTCCAGCAAACCACCACCCTAATCAATTAGCAGCCATCAACATGGAGGCAAGACCCTCCTCCAGCAAAAAGTACAACTTGCAGAAGGCTCAGATGATCATTTGCACTTTTTAGCAATAAAGTACTTTTAATCACAGTATGCACATTGTTACTTTAGATATTATATTATCGTATACTTAATAGGCTTTGATATGCACTGGGAATCCAAAATAAATTGTGTGACTTGCTTTACTGCAATATTCACTTTATTAGAGACGCTTGGAATCAAACCTACAACAGAACCCACCATATCTCCAAGATATGTCTGTAACGCCTAAGTTTAAATCACAAATCTTATACATTTGCTGGTTTTGTGACCCAATGAGCTTATTTTGTCATCCAGGAAAGGGGATCAATTATCTATTGCACCCAGCCGTAATGAGTAAGGAGACAGCATGTACCGGTGGGTCAGGCCCTCCAGTCAGTGAGCCTGGATTCAAATGCCAACTCTACCAATCTATGTCCTTGGGAAGGTTATTTTACAACTCTGTGTTGGATTTTTATCAATAAAATGAGGATAAATAATAATATCAATCTAATAAGGTTGATGTGAGTAAATAATCCTTGGAAATCATTAATTAGTAAGCATTCAATAAATATTAGACTCTATTATCAGAAGGTTTTTCAAATCTCAAAATCTGTACATAAATCCTGCTAAGTAAACAATATTCCGATAAATGAAATTCTTGTCATTTATAATTCTTCATTCTATCATTCATAACTTACAGTAGATCCCATCTATTAAGTGAATTAAGTAGGAGAGATAAAGATAAAACTTCAAAAGTATCAAATTGGCAAAGTAAAGTAATTTAAATTTAAAAAACAATTTGATTTTTTCAAAAATCTGCCACATTCTCATCTAATATGAGTTGAATTGAGCCTATCCAAAATTTATATGTTGAAGCCCTAACTCGGAGTACCTCCAAGTATGACCTTATTTGGACATGGGCTCATTGTGGCTATAATTAATTAAGTGAGGATGAGGTAATACTGGATTGGGGTGAGCTCCTAATCCAATCTGACTGGTAGTCATATAAAACAAGGAAATGTGCAGACAGACACACACACAGAGAAAGTCAGGTAAAGGTGAAGGCAGACGTTGGGGTGACTTCTGCAGGCCAAGGAACACCAAAGATTGACAGCAAACCACGAGAAGCTAAGTGAGACATGGGACAGAACCTTCGTCTCACCCTCAGAAGGAACCAACCCTGCTGACACTGTGATTTCAGACCTCCAGCCTCCAGAACTGTGAGACAACACATTTCTGTTGTGTAAGTCACCCAGTGGGTGGTACTTTGTTATACATTCCTAGAAAAGTAATACAGCATTTGACAGACTTTGTTTCTTTCGAGTCAGAATGCAGATCTCAGTAACACATGTATCAATTCCTGAAACATATATTTAAATTTTAGTCTGAATCACACAATTGGTCATATACCAAAATCTATTCTCTACCTCTTTGTGTAATAAATCTCCTTTCCATCTACATTATCGGCTCCTTGAGAAAAGAATATATTCATTTATTAATTCAATAATTAGTATCTAGTAAAGCCCTACTAAATGAAAGATGAAAAAACACAAGTTCCTGCCCTCTAGGAATTCACAACCTATAAGTCAAATCCTAAGTATGTAAAGAACCAACGTAAAGTAGGTTGGTAGAAGCATTTCCGAGGCACAACAGCAAACCAAGTTTCATTCCCATGGCTGTCAACGGGTCATCCCTTACACTTTGGCTTCTCGTGTAAAAATACTGTGTTCTTCCAAGGACTAGTTATCTTCTTCCTTGGCCCTGACATCTACTTCCCTTCTTTCAGTTTCAGCACAAGTTGACATTGGAAGTCAGTCCACTGTAATTATAACAATCCATTTTTCCTCCTAGAATAAGCAAATGGCAGGTACTCCCATAGGCAGAAATACAGGCCTATATGGACAAGGCCTATTTGGAGAAGCCTCCCTAATGCCCACGATTCTAGTGTTTTCTGACTCTGTCCTAGCAATCAGGAATACCTGCCAGGGAAGACTTTAAACTCACCTTTTGCACTAAAGGATTCTAGCAGAAGCTAGGCCAAAACAGACTTTCATCAGCAAGGCTATGAATGCAGAATCCCAAGGTGGTTTGGAAAAAGTGGTAGAGGAAGTACAGGATTTGAGGCTCATAATCTGAAGGAACCATAGCCTTTGTAGCTTTTGTGAACATCTTTGTGGATTTTCTGTCATGAGCCAAGATAAGCCCCACCTCTGTTTCATAGTCCCTATCTCACCACTTGATTATTCAAAATTTTCTCTAGTCCTGGCTCTTCCTACTTTCCCTTATTCCTAAACACATCCCACCTTCTGTCTTCACTATCCTTGCCTCTTTTCTCAGTGTTAAGGCACAGTGTTGTATACTCAATTCAGCAAGTGTTTACTGAATGCCAACTGTGTTCCAGACCTTGTGCTGGTGGCTTTCCTATGCATTTTCTCAAGTAATCCACACATCTACCATTACTGTTATTAGGAAAAGAAGGCTAGGTAAATCTAAATCCCCTGGCTACGACTACATCCCTAGGGATTACATCCCTAGATTTGTATGACCTCAAAGCCCATACCACTTCTTAAAGGCCTTGAAAGTGAGAATTCATAATGATGACATCATCATCTGTTTACAGTTCCACACAGACAAGCCAGTCCACCTATTTCTTTAAAGAAAATGAAACAAAACAAAACAAAACAAAACAAACACAACTTAAATTCAACTACAGGGGTGGTTAAGATGCCAAATCACTCTTAGACTAAAGACTGTTTAGTCTAAGAGTCTTAATCTGTAAAACCTATTCATTATGTATGTGGAAGTGTATGCATGGGCCAGAATGTTTTCAAAGCATCAGAACTTAATACAAAAACACTAAAAAGCTCATCGTAACACTAGTGTCATGGAAAAAGACTCATAATACACAATGTGAGATTTCCACATTGGGGTGACTGCAATGCAGTTTATGACATAAGAGGTAGCAGAGGGAGACACGAAAGGGCTTGCCTGAACCTACAGGCCAACAAAAACCAGGCAATATGTGGCACTATGGCACTTTCTAAAACATCCTGGCCTCTGCTTATTCTAAGAAAAAAAAATCCGTGGCAAAGGGGATCCCTCTTCTCTGCTTGATTTCTACTGACCAAAGAAGTCACTGTCCAGTGATATAAAGAAATTCTGTCCCTAGGGCATAAATAAATATCCAACACCTATAGTTCATGGGTGTATAAGAGCCTGAGAGGCCTGGAATCGATCCAACCCATTTTAACTAGCAAGAAACTACCTGGTAATACCTTGTTTGTATTTCTTGGAGGAGGGACACAAGAAACACTTATTTCATTCCACACAATAATTCACCACAATCAGAGAGAGCACAGCAAGGGCAACACCATCTCCCAGCTGCTGATTACATCAAAGGCTTGCAGCACAAATTCAATTTTATGATGTTAATCTCAGCCTGCCACTCAGAAATTTTCTCTGAGGGATATGATTTTTCTCTGGATTTCATTTTAAGAATGATTTTCTTCATCCACAATCAATAAAGATATGTTTTCATCAAAAGACTCTATCTTGGCAGAATTCAATTGGCTATTTCAACCCCTTTTGGTGACACAATGTTAATTAAAATAGTTTATGTTGCACCTCAACTGGAAAAAGAGGCAGTGAAAATAGGAGCTACTCAGAACACATGTTCTATATACATCAACATGGAAGGCAGAAAATAATTTTCTCCTTCCCCAGGCGACAGCTATTAGCTATTCAAGAGAGTTGCTCTAACTTGGTTTATCTCTGTGATCTCACTGGAAAAAAGAATGAAGTCCTTCCTGTTTATATTTTTTTGTTCAATTGGAAATCAAAATGCATATAAAGAAGATACTTTAAATGCTTACATCCCAGTTCCTCAACAAGAGGAGAAATAATTATCTGTGCTCCTATGTGGCATAACGGATTATTAGGCATCACATTCATTATTTCCCTTAACTAAAAATTAATGATGCTATTACAAATTATTTTTATTTTCAATTTTAAATAATAATTACAGCTAAATACATTGTATTTCTCAAAAGCAGGCATATAGATTCTCAAAAGCGGGCATATAGAATTAGCACAGGGTTTTGCACATTTAAGAAAGAGAAGAAAACTATGCAATGCATCACAGAAAATAAAGCAATTTGTTTTAACAGTGGTTTGGGAAGTGGCAGTTAATTAATTTAACAAAGATTTATAAAGCACCTACTGTGTTCTTGACTCTGTTCTCCTCTTGAGAATGAGATGAAGGCCCCACTTCCTGTCCCATGATGCTGACAGATCATGGGGCCTCCATTACCGCAGAAAGAGAAGGGCTAGGCCTGGTTCCCACAAAGCAGGTAGAGAGCGCAGCAGAGGCTGCACTTAACCCTGCTGGGAGGAGATCAAGAAGAGTTTCTCCAAGGAAGTCCAATTACTGAAACATTCAGCTGGTAATTTACATATCCAGTCTAAAAAAGTGGGGGGCATAGCTCAGTCTCTAATAGAAAAGGTAGTCTCTATCAACCACACCTTCTCACTCCCCCATTCTGAAATTCATTATTCCTCTTAACATAAGAAAGTGGTAACAAAGAAAGTAGGAGTACTGATACCCTAAGGAGAATAAGGATTTCACAGGACTCTGTGTTCTAATCTATACTAAAGCAATCTAAAAATCATATCAGCTTTCTGGGCTAATATGGTTTGGCTTCATCCCCACCCAAATCTCATCTTGCAGTTCCCATAATCCCCACATGTGGTGGGAGGGACCCAGTGGGAGGTAATTGAATCATGAGGATGGTTTCCCCCATGCTGTTCTCGTGATAGTAAGGTCTCGCGAGATCTGATGGTTTCATAAGGGGCTTCCCCCTTTGCTCCGCACTCATTCTCTCTCCTGCAACCCTATGAAGAGGTGACTTCCGCCAGGATTGTAAGTTTCCTGAGGCCTCCCCAGCCACGTGGAAATGTGAGTCAGTTAAACCTCTTTTCTTTATAAATTACCCAGTCTTAGAGCAGTGTCCTTAGAGCAGTATGAGAAAGGACTAATACATGGGCCCTCACAACTCACTGCCGACTCACAAGCAACAAAATGTCAATTAACCAAAAGGTTGACTGGTTCAGTAAATTACATCTCCCTCATCCTGTACTCGCTTATTGTTTTAAACACTTACTGTGTAGGGCTTTACATTTCTCCCAGTTGAATTTCAACTTGTTAAAAAAAAAAGACAGAGAGAGAGAGGAAAAGTCAGTGTCAAAGTAAACAATTGCTACCACTTACTGACTATATGTTAAGTTGTAGACACTGTGCTGCTTAGATTACGTTCACTGCTTCATGCGGTCCTCATAATATCAATATGCATTATTATCACTATTCCAAACATGAAGAAAATGAGTCTTGGAGAACATAAGTAACTTGCCGAAGGTCAGAGCTAGGAAACAAACAGATCCATCAGTCTATGAAAAACTCAATTCTTAATCACTGCACTATGCTGGTTAGGTGGGGCAGAGGTGGTGGTCAGCATGTGAGGACAGCCTCTGGAAATGAGAGCAAATTCTGGAATCAGTGTTCCCCTACAGCAATGATATCTAGCTCTGTAAATGAAAATTTGCATTTTTTAGAAAAGTTCAAAGGGGCCCAAATGTCTTTTCAGACCAAAGATATCTCTCTCATTTTGAAGATAAACGTGACACATGTAAATAAAGAAACTCCTGGGTCCCCAAAGTTGATTAGGAAGAGGTCTTGCAAGGACTTCAAAGCTGACCTGGGCCTAGACCTCAGTGCACAGATAGATACTTTTAGTCCAGGTCTCCACCACATCTGCCTGCTTCCAATTCAGCCTAGAGAAGAACTGAATCTACAAAGCTTAACAACTGGGAAAAAATAACCATACATATAGAAAAGGCCTCCAGAAAGGTACCTTTTATGATGTAGCGATAGAATTATTCCTAAATGGCCAGGCACGGTGGCTCATGCCTGTAATCCCAACACTTTGGGAGGCCGAGGCAGGTGGATCACTAGAGGTCAGGAGTTCGAGACCAGCCTGGTCAACATAGTGAAACCCCACCTCTACTAAAAATACAAAAATTAGCCAGGCATGGTGGCAGGCACCTGTAACCCCAGCTACTGGAGAGGCTGAGGCAGGAGAATCACTTGAGCCCAGGGACCAGAGGGTGCAGTGAGCCGAGATAGTACCACTGCACTCCTACCTGGGAGACAGAGTGAGACTCCATCTCAACAACAACAACAACAACAAAAAATTAAAAATTAAAAAAAAGAATTATTCATAAAGGACATCCTCTATTGTGAGCAACATTATTACTAACATTATTATTATTAAATAACAGAAATTTCGAGTATATGAATTGTCAAGCTACAAAGATATCTGAATGCAACAAACTTGAAATCTTAAAATCTTACTGATACCATTATTTTCAAGGTTCCTTTAAGTTATTTCACAAGTCAAATGCACTCTTCCATTCCAGTAGGCATGTATAAACTAGAACGTCAGATTTCTAAAGCATTCAGTTCATTGGGTAGAGACCGTTAATGGAAGATTTCACACACAGGGAGAAACTTAAGAGTTTATTTTCTCTCTCTCTCTCTCTCTCTCTCTCTCTCTTTTTCTCTTTTGAGACAGGGTCTTTCTCCGTCACCTAGCCTGGAGTACAGTGAAGCATGCAATCATGGCTCACTGCAATCTCGACCTCTCAGGCTCAAGTCATCCAACTCCCTCAGGCTTCCTAGTAGCTGGGATTATGGACTGACGCACACCACCACACCCAGCTGATTTTTGTAGAGATGAAGTTTTGCTATGTTGCCCAGGCTGGTCTGGAACTCCTGAGCTCAAGCGATCCACCTACCTTGGCCTCCCAAAGTGTTTGAATTACAGGCATGAGCCACAGCGCCCAGCCTAGTTAATATTTTCTTGACAAAATACTTATAATTTTAAAATACCTTTTCCAAAAGAAGTGAAAGCTTTGGAACTCAATATAAAATATTAATTTTTAGGTTAAAAAAATCACTTTACTAGACACCTTCAAGGGCAGTTTCCCTTTCTCCTACAGCCTTTTACATTCTTTACAGAAGACTCTATTGGCACATTTTAATATTGAAGGAGTTAAAAAAAGACAAAGGAACAAGTGATGTTTACAAAAAAAAAGCTGCACAAGACCAACTTAACCACAAGTACTTGCATGACAGAAGTGGCCGCTTTCCTTTTCACTGGTTTGTAAGTGGTGAGAGCTGAACAGGGAAGAAAGGAATGGTGTTTTGGCAGTGACAATGGGAAGGGGTGGAGGAAAACACTTCAGGTAAAAAGATCCCCAACAGGTGACCTAGTCTCCAATCGGTGACCTTGAAGTCATTTAACACAAAACTGCGGGGGGGGGGGGGGCGGTGCGGGCGGGGGAAGACAAACGTACCATACACCTACGTTTTGTTTAACAGAACGTCGTTAACTGTATTGAAATGGATACAAAAATGCTATAATAAGTGGGGAAGATGGTATAAGTCAGCACCAGTTTCCAAAAGGAAGTATTCCCAGTGCATCACCTTTTCCAGATTTTGTCAGCACAGACAGTCCCCCCTTTATCTTCCTGCCTCTCATCCAACCTTACAAGGGGCAAAAGTCTTGTCCCCGCAGTCTTTATTGCCGACTCAGCCCAAGCGGCAGAGCAAGGAAAGTTTCGCCAGCCCCCGTCCCCACAGCCCCAAGCTGTCACACCCCAGCAGGCTTAGGCCCACCCGGTCGTTTTCCCTGCCCTTGAACTCAGCTTTAAAATTAATTCGACCTAAAATTAAAGTTTTAAAAATAAATAAATAAATAAAATTAATTCAATCGATTCCGTTCCATAGAAGTCCAATTCCCAAGTTCCAAGAAATTATCCTAATAGGGAAAGGCAGGTCCCTAACCGTATCTGGGGTAGACTCCTCCCAGGAGCATAGGTAGGGATACTGCGAGATGAGCGGCTTTGTTCACTCCTGATGCCACATCTGGAAAAGAGTTTGAAGAGGGACTTTTCCAGTTTCCAAGTGCAAGAACTTAGAGCAAAGGAAGGGGTTAGAGATAGCGCTGCGCACGCCCACCCTCTTTCCCGGCCCAGCTGTATCCAAGCGCGGGCCGTCCCCTCCTGCGCCGTGCTCTGAAGGCGGGAAGGCGTGCGGCTGCACCAGCCAGGGGCAGACGAAGACCACCAGCCTGGGACCCGGCAGCCCGACCTGCGCTCTGGGGGTGCCTGCCTTACCTGAGCCGTGGGGCGGAGGAGCGGCAGAGGCCAGGCAGGCTGGCGGGTCTCGCCCTTAGGGTCACGGGTACCGGCCCCGCCCGCCTCGCCCCGCCCCGCCCCGCCCCGGTCCTGCCCCCGCAGCGCGCGGACCGGGCTAGCTCTGGCCCCAGCCGCCCGCGGGCGGGTGCACCCGCTCTCCCTTCCTGCAACCTGGACCCGCTGCCTCCCTCCCTCCCTCCCTCCTTCTCTCACTTGCGGTGGCGGCTGGAAAAGGCCCGCCAGCAGCCTGCGGTTGCCTGTCCTCTCAGGGCTGGAGAGAATTAGTTAGGGGGGGTTAGATCAAAAGAGCCCAGGTGACGTGAACTCTTGACCCTAGGCATTGGCAGAGATGAGGCCTCAACCTTTTTTTTTTTTTTTTTTAAGTTTTTGGGGATACACAGTAGGTGTATATATTTATGGGGTATATGCCGTATTTTGATACAGACAAACAATGCGTAATAATTACATCAGGGTAAATGAGGTTTCCATCACCTCAGCATTTATCCTTTGTGTTACAAACAATCCAATTATACTCTTTTAGTTATTTTTAACTGCACAATTATATTATTATTGACTATATTCACCCTGTTGTGCCACCAAATAGTAGGTCTTATTCATTCTTTCTGTTTTTTCTACCCATTTACCATTTCCACCTCCACCCGACTCCCCCACCCCCCACTACCCTTCACAGCCTTTGATAACCATCCTCCTACTCTCTATCTTCATAAGTTGAATTGTTTTAATTTTTAGCTCCCACAGATAAGTGGGAACATGTGAAGTTTGTCTTTCGGTGCCTGGGTTATTTCACTTAACATAATGATCTCCAGTTCCATCCATGTTGTTGCAAATGACAGAATCTCTTTCTTTATATGGCTGAATAGTACTCCACCGTGTATATGTACCACATTTTTCTTATCCATTTATCGGTTGATGGACAACTTAGGTTGATTCAAAATCTTGGCTATTGTGAACAGTGCTGCAATAAACACAGGAGTGCAGATATTTCTTTGATATACTGATTTTCTTTCTTTTGGATGTATACCTAGCAATCGGGTTGCTGGATCATATGGTAGTTCTAGTTTTAGTTTTTTGAGAAAGCTCCAAATTATTCTCCGTAGTGGTGGTACTAAAGAGCTTAAACAACTCAATAGGAAAAAATATAATAATTCAGTTTTAAAATGGGCAAAAGGCCAGACACAATGGCTCACATTTGTAATTCCAGCACTTTGAGAGGGCGAGGTGGGCAAATCACTTGAAGTCAGGAGTTCGAGACCAGCCTGGTCAACATGATGAAAACCTGTCTCTACTGAAAATGCAAAAATTAGCTGCTCATGGTGGTGTGTGCCTGTAGTCGATGCTACTCCAGAGACTGAGGCAGGAGAATCACTTGAACCCGAGAGGTGGAGGCTGCAGTGAGCTGAGATCACACCACTGCACTCCAACCTGGGTGTCAGAGTGGGACTCCATCTCTAAATAAATAAATAAATATAAAAATAGGCAAAAGACCCAAAAAGACATTTTTCGAAAGAAGGCATACAAATGACAAATAGGCATATGAAAAGGTGCTCAACATCATTGATCATCAGAGAAATGCAAATCAAAACTACAATGGGATATCATCTTACCCAAATTCAAACGGCTCATATCCAAAAGACAGGCAATAACAAATGCTGGCAAGGATGTGGAGAGAAGGGAACCCTCATACATTGTTGGTGGCAATATAAATAAGTACAACCACTATGGAGAACAGTTTGAAGCTTCCTCAAAAAAATAAAAATAAAACTACCATATGATCCAGCAATTCCTCTGCTGGATATATACACAAAAGAAAAGAAATCAATATATCCAAGATCTTTTGGTAAGGGATGGAAGGACGTTTTCCTCAAGACTGCATAGGCATGGTGGCTCATGCCTGTAATCCCAGCGCTTTAGGAGGCTGAGGTGAATAGATTGCTTGCTCCCAAGAGTTTGAGACCAGCCTGGACAATAGGAGGAGACCCCCATCTCCACAAAAAATACAAAAATTAGCCAGGCGTGGTGGCTGTGCACCTGTAGTACCAGTTCCTCTGGAGGTTGAGTCAGGAGGGTCACTTGAGTCTGTGAGTTGAAGGCTGCAGCTAGCTGTACCACTGCACTCCAGCCTGAGAAACAGAGCATGACTCTGTCAAAAACAAAAACAAAAACCCAAAGCAGAAAACCCACAAAACAAAAAATGCAGCCTCTGAATAGGGAAAAGCCATTAAAAGTATCAAGAGTGGGTGAAAAATTCAACATTGAAACCAGCATCCTAGCCTGTTGTGAATAGACTAAGTACCTAAACTGAATGACTGGGTGGTTTAGTAAAATGTGGGGTGGGGAGACACTGCTTTTTTTTTTAAGGTTTCTCAGTTACATGACTTTACCCTCCAAATCCTATTGGCTCCTTAGTCTTGGATTCTAATACTCCTGGAAGCAGGTTGGGAGAGATTTTAACTCCTCCTTTTTTTCACTGATATCTGGCTTCCCAAATATTAAGGATATTTGGCCAGGCCCAAGTAAGATCACAGGTTTTCCATCTCTTAAACTTCACATATCCTGGGTCTTCCTGCATGCAGTGTTTCCTACTAGAGCACTCCTCTCGCCTTCTGCATCCTTTGGGACTGGTTCATTTCCATTCTGGATTCTCACTTCCCTCCTGCAGGTTAGATGTGCTTGTTACTCACTCCTAATTACCTTGCTTCCTCTGTCATTACACTTGTCACAACTGACTACCATTGCTTGTGCATTGGCCTCCCCTGCTTGACTGTAAGCTCTGTAAAGGCAGGGACACCAAGCACGTAGGAGATACAGAATAAATGTTGTTGAATGATGTGCCTGTGACAGTCAACGGTTAAGGCATTCCCAGCCATCAACTCTTTAATGAATTTCCCTCACCAATCCTTTCCTTCTAAGTCTGCAGGTTCTTATATCAAAGTTAATATCCCCACACATCCCCTCATCCCCAAGCCTTCATCCTACCTCTTGAGCAGAGCCTTCTCCATAGTTTTCATAGTCGCAAATGTAGAAAGAGGTCTAGACCTAGTTGCTCTTGTCTGAGCTCTGCTGTAGCTAGCTTAGTGGTCTTAGAGACCCTCAGCCTCTCTGTGTCTCAGATCAGGGCTGGCTTATCCATTAGGGACGGTGCCCAGGACCCATAATAATTTGGGGGCCCACAAAATGGGGGCAGAGAGAAAAGAACAAAAGAACATTTAAGTCAAAGAAAGTCTTGTAATATATTATTTTAATGTGTTGGTCTTTGTACCAATGTAGTCACTGACCATGTTGAATTTTACCCAAGTCCTGTGATCCTGGAAAACATGAAGGGTTAAAGGAACCCTCCCACTCTTTAGTGTTCCAGAAAACAGCTTATACAAGGAAAGATCCTCCCCCATGTGACTTAGTTAAGACTTGCTGATGCCAACCTTGTTTTTTTAATGACAAAGCTGAACATAGACGCTCCACCATTCCGTTCTTTGCATCATTAATGATTAGCTGAACTGTTTCACCCACTGACCAATGTGGACAGAATATCTGCTACCTTGACTTGACCCAATTTTAGTTAGAATTCTCTCTTTCTCCTGGCCCCTGAGCTTTGACCTGCCCTTTGCCTGAGCCATGATACAACCCCTCCTTAAGAGCCCCTCCTGAAAATCGGGTGATCATAGGGTAGAATTTTCTCTTTTCTACTGTAAGATCATTCACCCTAACTCATTCCACTTTTCGACATCCTGTTACTTCCAGTATTGTTTATTCCTTCCTAGAAAAGAAAAGACCTTTTCTGCCTAACCTTTGAGAGGTTTGTATATCTCAGGATCAAAGTTTTCTTCTAATTGCAATAGTCCCCTTCCTCCTACTGCAAGTCACTTTCTCTCCATTGCAATACTCCTTTAGAATAAAAGTCTTTGCTTACCCAAGTCTATATTTTTAATTTGACATTGTAAGATATAATTTTTAATATTGTTTATAAATGAAGAGGCCTCCCCAAAGCAAAAATGCACACTAAAATCATAATGTGAACCTGCCTCAGATTCCTCACTGTTAAATGGAGAAGCTGAATTAGGTAGACCAAGATACCTTTTGCCAAAATTAATGAATTCAGAAGCAGAATTATCTGCTCTTGGTTAGTCAGTAGGAAGCAACTGACAGAATGACATGCCCACCTCATTTATTACACATCTTATTCATTGCTACTTCTTTGACTGGACTCAGGGCTCTTCCTGTGCCTGACTTATGGGATAAAATAGAGGTCTCTCAGGCTTCATTTCTGAAAGTTCCGGCACACAAATAAGACCTTTGATTGTGTACCAACCTATATGTATTTCTTGGGTCCTGACACAGTGGGTATTGGTTATAGCAATAGTTTATCCCTTCCTCCCTTTATTTCTTGTTTTCTTATTCATGTAGCATATGATATTATAACTGAAAAAGCTCCA
Source organism: Homo sapiens (assembly GCF_000001405.40). Lineage (NCBI taxonomy): Eukaryota > Metazoa > Chordata > Mammalia > Primates > Hominidae > Homo > Homo sapiens. Next base: position 53,764,105 of record NC_000015.10, read on the forward strand.
TAAGTTCTAAAGTAAAAACAACATGATATGCAATTTGATATCTCACCCATTCAGATGAAATTTCATAATTTCCCCACTTCTTTAAGAAGAGTTCATTTTGTGCTTGCTTCGACAGCACATACAGTAAAAATGGAATGATACAGAGAAGACTAACATCTCCCCTGCACAAGGATGACATCCAAATGTATGAAGCATTCCATTTTTCAAAGTGAAATAAATCATAATTTTTTAAAAAACAAGAGGATTGGACTTTTAGTATAATTTGTTTTCCAAGATTAAATAAATATACATTAAAATAAATATATAGAAGAGGAAGATAAAAAATATATATCTCAAACAATAGCAATCTAAAAGAACTTTAGTATCTTTTTTTCAGTGTATTTCTTTCTTGCTTCACTGAAAAAGTACTTGTTTATGTATTTGTAATGTTATACAGGTACAGTTTATATCCTTTCCCTTAAACATTACATTATAAGAAGTTTACCTTGTTGCTACATTGTCTTCATAATTATCCTTTTTAATAGCTGCATAATAGACCATCAAATAGATGCTTTGTAATACGACTGCTTCCCATGCTTCCCACTTGCTGGGTGTTTGTTTCTAAATTTTAACTAAATTATGCTGTGTTGAATATTTTGTTAGGACAGATTTCCAGAAGCAGAATTATTAAGTCAAAATGTATCCCTATTTTTTATGCCTCTCCATACAACTTTCCAAGTTGATTTTTAATAGTTGGAGCAAATGCTTCCATCAGTGTGTGAGAGCCAATTTCTCCACCAAGGAAATATTTAACTGGGGATTAAATATACATATTCTCAGTGTTTGCAAATTTGATGTACTACATTGACTATTAACTCCATGAGGGGCTATGTCTGTTTGTTCACCATCTCCTTGCTCAATAATTATTTGGTAAATAGTGAATAGAAGACTGAATGAAGGAAAAGTTGTATCTTATCACGCTGTTGAACAAACTGCATTTTGGAATGCAATGAACTAACACAGTTTATAAGTGCCATAAAATATCCTTATTTTTCTTTGGTCTTAATCCTTGGACTGAGAAGTGGTCATTAAAAACTCATCTAGAATTGGCATTCAAGGCAGGGTTGAATAAAATTGGAGGTTCTAAAGCAATGTTTCTGAAAAGGCCTTTTCTCCTTTGAATAAAGAAAAATTAATAGTGCACTGAATATCTCAAACCCAAACATGGATGTTATCGCCTAAACCACAAAGAATTTTTGGGAAGTATTGTGCCTATTTGGTCTTGTTTCCAGTGTATGAATTTCTATACTGTCGAGGCACAGGTAGCCTCAACACAGCATGATCAAAACTGGGCTAATAATAAACCCGGAATGACAGCCTATTTAAAGAAACATGGTGCCCCTAACACATGCCCCTAGAGGGGATGCATATGAGACCAACTGCCTTGGACAGCAAGAATGTGTTCAGTGTAACAGATGGGAGAGGATGAAGAGAGCATGCCCTCTGTCTCTCTCTTTAGATGATGGAAGGGGTCGTGCAGTTAATCCTTAGTTTAGGATATAAGGGAGAACAAAAAGAAAGGAACCACAAGGATTCCCTTAACTTGCTCATTCCTTACATCTTTATTTTTCCCAAAGAAAAGCAAGTTAGAGCTTAGACATCAGCAGGAAGAGCAAGCTGGCAGGTGAAAGCCAAACTGGACACTGGAAGGTGATTTGTTTGGTTGGCTTGGTATTGGTGCTGTTATTTTTAACTGGCATTTGAATGTTGCAGGCCTCGCCACTCCCTGTAGTCTTCACCCATGTATACTACCTGCTTGGCCTCTGAAGACACTCAACTTTGTGTTCCTAGAATACTTTGTGGTTCTCAGAAAAGTGTCCTGATTTTAAAAACTACCTCCTACCTTTCCTCCCATCACATTAATAAGGCTAGCCAGACAATGATGACTTACTTTATAATCTGTTAATCTCTGTACTGCAGGATTCAGGTGTTTGAACAAATGACAAATATTTCACTTATAGTTGAAATGTGTTTCTTTGCTGATAAGATGCTATGCAGTGTGAACCCCTCTTCCTTTTAAGCACTGAAAGATTTTTGCCAGATACAATAAATATCTTTGGAGAAGATGTGGTAATTTCCAATCAGAAAGATGCTCTGACATATTATAGTACAAAAAATGACTAGAAATAATGCCTAAGTAAATTAGTTTGGTCAGTCTATGAAATGATAAAAATAACTCGTGATGGTTTAGTATATGCCCAGAAATTATTTGAAACTCCTCCCTCTGGTGAAGCCTTAATTCTCTCTGCGGGCAATATTTAGTGACTACCTTCCAACAAGAAGAACACGGTAGATATGATGGAGAACAACTGTGAAATGTAGATTGTAAAATGACAGTGTAACTTCCACCTTGTTCTTTCTGCTGCTGGGGTCATTCTCTCTGGGGGAAGCCACTCCAGCAGCTCTATGGAAAGACCCATGTGTTCAGGAACAGAGGTCTATTTCCAGCAGCCGTCAAGAAACCCAGGCCTCCTCCTGTGAATGCGCCAGCTTGTAGACAAATCCTCTAGCTTCAGTCAGACTGACAGTCCCAGCTGGTATCTTGACTGCAACTTTATGAGAAACACTGTACCAGAACCACACATCTCAACCACTCCTGAATCCCTGTCACATAGATACTCTGCAATAATAAGGCCTTTTCATTATTACATATACCCCACTAAGTTTTGAGGGTAATTTGTTACACATTAATAAATAACTAATACAGAATTTATTCAGGAACCTTCCTTGATGAGGATGTGCTAAGGATGACAATAATAATAATAATATCTGGCATTTTCAAAGTTTTCTTTATTATAATGTCATGTATCTTCTAAAAACCTTTTGGTTGCCTAAATTATGTGGGCATTGGTCATTCTTGTTGATGATTCAGTTTTTGCCCCTGTTTTCCATGGTTGGAAACCCACTTCCTTCTTTAGGAGTCAGAGCCTGTATTTTTCCTGGAGAAGTTGTAAACAGTTCATTGCTTACTCTTCAGTGTTCCATTATACACACGGCTCGAACACATGTTCTAGCTTCTGCCAATCAGACCCACAGCTCTAGACAAAACACATTCTTGTGAGGGAGATGGCAGCACCACAGCCACACCTGATTTTCAAAGGCAGTGGTGCAGTGTCTAGTGGCTGCATCCAAGGACACTAGCAGAGTGTCAGTGGTGCAGGATCCACTGTCTATGCCCAGCTGGTGACAGTGATGATGGTACAAGTTCTGCAGTATGATTTTCGATTTTGTCAGGATTGCATAACATTCAAACTTAGTTTTCTATTTCCTGGGAGAGATCCAACGCCCTTTCATAAAATCCTTTTCTATTTAGATTCGCATGTCGCTTTATTTTGCACACAACTAAAAACTGTGACCGATACAGGCAGCTCCATTTTACAGATGGGATAATTGAGAACCAAAGATGTTAAATGATGTGTTGTTAGATATAAGTAGCAAGTGATAGAATTGAAATACATTAACTAGTACAGATTGAACTAAGCAAATAAAGTAATATTCAAATTTAGAATTAAAATGCAAAGGCTTTAGATACTTAAAAAAAACCATATTAATTGTTTTCCTTTAAACTAGATAAAGTGCTAGTTCCCTGTTCTAATCCATATATTAATTGTCAGCATTATGGCATTGAAGCCCTTGCTGCTTCAGAAATGGACCATGCTTTTCCACGCTTTCTTGATTTTACACAGATACCTCTTCATGGAAATGCTTTTATCTGTCCATCTCTGCCTCCCACTCATTAATCAGTTTGCCTGGAGGTTACTTCGAAACCCAGATGTTGTGATGATTATTCTTTGAAGCCTCTTCTGAGCCCTCGGGAAAAGGTATTTATTCTCATCCACCTCTAATGCTTTCCCAGAGTTCTGTTTCTATCCATGATAAAATGCTTAAGTTTGTTTACCTGTCTGCCTGACTTCACCCCATCTCACCAACAAAAGGAGTGGAAAGACCCCAGACTCTACCCAACCAATGGAGGGACATTAGGACAAAGTCTACATATGGAACAGGGATCCCAAGGCTGGAATGACAGCTATAAGAATGCTGACAGCTAGGCAGATAACCCCTGTACAGGATACTGGAGACATTTTCTCAAAAGAAATTGAATGATTCCAGAAAAAGTCCTCAAAAGCATGACATTTGCAAGTTTCTCAAGCAAATGGGTGAGTATACATATGATTCTGAGGATTTGCCAATCCACACCTTACAGGAAGAATGCCAACTCAGATTGTAGTACTTTAAATTTACATTATAATAAAAAACAAAGGATCATCAGAATTATGTAGAAAACTTCCAATAAGAAAGAGATCAAAACACATCAATTAGAAATGGAAAAAGGAAGAGGAGACAGAGCAAGATGCTCAAGTAGAAAAGGAAAAGGGAAGAAATAATTTAGGGAGCGGGAAAAAATTTTAATCAACATAATGAAGAGACAATCTACCAAATGGGAGAAAATATTTGCAAACTATACATCTGATAAGGGGTTAATATTCAAACTATTTAAGGAACTCAAACAACTTCATAACAATTAAAAAAATAAAAAATGGACAAAAATCTGAATACACATTTCTCAAAAGAAGACAGACAAATGGCCAAGAAGTATCTGAAAAAATGCTTAACATTAGTAATCATCAGGGAAATGCAAATCAAAACCACAATGAGATCTCACCTCACTCCTGTTAGTATGGCTATTATCAAAAAGACCAGACATAAGTGTTGGTGAGAATGTGAAGGAAGGGGAACACTTTCACTCTGCTGATAAGTCTGCAAATTCATATAGCCATTAAAGAAAATGGTATGGAGTTTCCTCAGATTAGAAACAAAATTACCATATCATCCAGCAATGCCACTATTGGATACATAGCCAAAGAAAATGAAATCAGTATGTCAAAGAGATATCCGAAATACCATATTCATTGCTGCAGTATTCACAATAGCCAAGATGTGTAATCCTCCTATGTGTCTATCAGCAGATGAATGGATAAAGAAAATATGATAGACATACATAATGGAATACTATTCATCCATAAAAAAATAAGGAAATCCTGTCATTTGCAAAAACATGGAAGAATCTGGAGGACATTATGTGAAGTAAAATAAGTCAAGCACAAAAAGACAAAAATACCACATCATCTCACTCATATGTGGAATCTAAAAAAGCTGATATCTTAGAAGTAGAAAGTAGAACAGTGTTTACTACAGGCTGCAGTGGTTAGAGTGGAGCCAGCTCAGGGAGATGTTAGCCAAAGTGTTACGAGAAAGGGGTCCCCATCCAGACCCCAAGAGAGGGTTCTTGGACCTTGCATGAGAAAGAATGTGGGGCAAGTCCATAAAGTGAAAGCAAGTTTATTAAGAAAGTAAAGGAATATAGAATGGCTACTCCACAGGTATAGCAGCCCCAGGGCAACTGGTTGGTATTTTTATGATTATTTCTTGATTATATGCTAAACAAGAGGTGGACTATTCATGAGTTTTCTGGGAAAGGGGTCAGCAATTCCCAGAACTGAGGGTTCCTTCCCCTTTTAGACCATATAGGGTAACTTCCAGATGTTGCCATGGCATTTGTATACCGTCATGGCACTAGTGGGCACGTCTTTTAGCATACTAATGTGCTATGATTAGCATATAATGAGCAGTGAGGACGATCAGAGGTCACTGTCATCACCATCTTGGTTTTGGTGGGTTTTAGCCAACTTCTTTACCACAACCTGTTTTATAGGCAAGGTCTTTATGACCTGTACCTTGGGCTGACCTCCTGTCTCATCCTGTGACTTAGAATGCCTTCACCTCCTGGGAATGCAGCCCAGTAGGTCTCTGCCTTATTTTACTCAGCCCCTATTCAAGTTGGAGTTGCTCTGGTTCAAATACCTCTGACAAAAGGAGATGTAATTACAATTAGAAAAGAGGAAAAAGTACAGGAGATATGTTATACAGCACAATGATTATCGTTAATGATGATATATTCTTGAAAAATGTAGAGTGGATGTTAAATGTTCTCACCACAAAAATGATAACTATGTGAGGTAATACATTTGTTAATTAGCAAGATTTAACCATTCCATAATATTTATGGATTTCAAAACATCATGCACATGCTAAATGCTTATAATTTCATCTGTCAATTAAAAAATAATAGTATCAAAGAAATTGACAGACATTCTAAAATTATAAGAAAAGGCAAAGAACTGGAATAGTCAGCAATTTTGAAAAAGAATAATTCTGGAGAACTCACATTCTCTGATATCAAAGCGTACTATCAAGCTACAGTAATCAGGACACTCCAGTGGTGGTAAAAGCCCAGACATATACATCAGTGAAGCAAAACAGCATCCTGAAACAGGCTCAAATGTGTAGAGTTAACTGATTTAAAAAAAAAATTTTTTTATTATTATTATACTTTAAGTTTTAGGGTACATGTGCACAATGTGCAGGTTTGTTAAAGTTGCTAAAGTAATTGTATGGAGAAAGGATAGTCTTTTCAACAAATGATGCTAGAACTATTGTCATCCATACACTAAATGAATTAATGAATGAATACATTTTAACCTACACCTTGCACCTTAAAATTAACTCAAAATGGATCATAGCTCTAAATGTAAAACATAAACCTGTAAATCTTCTGTAAGAAAACATAGAAGAGATTTTTTGTTACTTTGAGTTAGGCAAAAAGCAATATCCATAAAATAAAAAAATTGAAAAATAGTACTTTATCAAAGAACTTCTGGTTTATGAAGAACACTATTGAGGGAAAGAAAAGAAAAGCCACAGATCGGGAGAAATTATTTGCCAATCATATATCTGGTAAAGGACTTCTATCAGAATACAAAAGAATGCTCCAAACTCAACAGTAAGTACACTAACAATTGAATTTTTAAATCTGTTAAAAGATTTGGCCACTTCACCAAAGAAAATGTTACTGATGAAAAATGAACAGATGATGCAATGCCCCACATCATTTGTTATTAAAGAAATGCACAATAAGCCACAATGAGATATTACTAAGCCCCTATTGAAATGGCTGAAGTTTTTAAAATATTGGTATTATGAAATGCCAGTGAGGATACAGAAGATTTAAAATTATCATACAGCGGTGGGGGATTGTAAAATGAAACAGAAATTTTGGGTAATGTTTTCCAGTTTCTTCCAAAGTTAAACACTTGCTTTGTGATCTATCAATGCTACTCCTTGGTAAAGTGATAAATGAAAACTTATGTTCATATAAAGTCCAGTTTGTGAATACTTATCATAGCTTTATTCATAAGTGGAAACAGCTTAGATTGGTGAGTATACAAACTCTTATATATCTATATATTGGAATGCTACTCAGTAATAAAAAGGAACGGATTATTAATGCATGCAACAACATGGCTGAATCACAAGTGCATTATGCTACATGAAACAAGCCAGGTTGGAGACTATATACTTTAGTGGTTGCCTTGGAGATGGAATAAGTATTTTGGATAATAAAACTGTTCCATATCCAGACTGTGTTGGTGGTTACACGACTGTATCTATTTGCCATTTTTGATAGAATCAAACTCCACAAAGTGTGAATTTACTGTAGGTAGACTTAAAGAAAAAACCTAGGAACTAAAGGGTCATTCATTTAACCATTAACCATGTATTAAATAGAACTAAGCAGAGACTAGAATGTGTTTATCACCAGTGTAATAACAACTCACCAAAAGAAAGCAAAACAGTTCAGTGACTGAGTAGACCAAGAATCATTTCAAGAAATATCATATCAGGATGACACTTTACAAACAGAAAAAGAATGGGTTCAAATGCCTCTTTTGTGCAACCTTTACAATATGTATTTGAAATTATTTGCACTTGAAATTATTTACTTTTATGCTTTGGTAGATAATCCCTGAGTCTTCTTTAAAGCAGAGACTTCCTTTTATTAAAACCTGAAATTACTTGAAATTCACGAAAAGAGCCAGAGATTTGTGATCTGTGAATTCTGGGCCTGACATTATGTATGTGACTGTAAACAAATCACACAATCTTCAGAAACATATTTAACAGTCAGGGGCTCATATATAAACTGTAGGCAATATGCACATGTGAGACATAAGAATTACTAAACTAATTCTGTCTCTGCAGAGGTGCAGACACAGACATGGAGTCTCTTCTCTCTCTCTCTCCCCTCTCTCTCTCTCTCTCTGTCTCTCTCTCTCTCTCTCCCCTGCATTCTGGCTTGCTGCTAGGTGACTAGGGACAAGGCATCCTTCTAATGACCAACACTAGAACTGCACATAATACCTAAAGGAAGGTATCTTGCCTTAAGGGCAGGATCTCTGCACTTTAGTTATAAAACTCTGTAAGGTCATGCATAATGAGTGTATATCAATTTTCACTGACGAAAGCCTATTCTATAATTGAGACCAAGGATGCCAACTGACCACCTGATCTCAAAAGGCTTGTTAGAGATCCTTGCTCTAAGCAGTTCCCAAACTTTAAATTTCATAGGTCTAAATAAAATTTCAAAGAAAATGGGGGTTGCCAATTTTTATTTTCTGAAGTAACATCATTAAAAATAAAACACATTAAAATTGTTATTCAGCAAAAAAATGTACATTATTATTATTGTGAATTTACAGAATGCCAGGGTTTACGAGGACATTCTAAAAACTTTCAGAGAGAAAAATAAAGGTTACCTGCAAAGGAACAAGAAGTGTAATTGTTTTAGACTTTTCAGCAGCAATGTGGGATAATAGAAAACAGGTTATCAAGGCCTTCACAGTTTTAAGAACAAACTATTTTCAGATTTGAATTGTATATTCTGCCAAGTTAACAACAATTATAAGACATTTTCATAATGCAGGAACAAAAATGTAAACCTCCCATACACACTTTTTAGGAAGCCACGGAGGTTATCTTCAGGTAAACAAATATATTAACCAAGAAAAAGGAAAGCATGACATCCAGGAATGATGGGAATGGGAATCGATTTGAGAAAGCAGTGAAGGCAAAACACAGCATGAGATACGTGCCCAAAGCCCAAATAGTAGCCAGTCTGTATAGCAGGAAAAAAGCGATGCAGAATAGTCTTTAGAGGAGAACAAGATAGAATAGATGAATTACTTGATATGTATGAGCATTTCAAAAATTATTGGTAAATATTTGACTAGTCGGTTTGAACGCTGGGGAAAAATACTAAAAAATTACCCAAATGCGAAACAGTACAAGTACTGAATTCAACATTATTTAAAATAAAAGATAACAATTACAAAGATAATAACAACTAACATTTATACATAAAAATATATAAATAGCCAGGTGCGGTGGCTCACGCCTGTAATCCCAGCACTTTGGGAGGCCAAGGCGGATGGATCGCCTGAGGTCAGGAGTTTGAGACCAGCCTGACCAACATGGTGAAACCCCATCTCTATCAAAAATACAAAAATTAGCCGGGCGTGGTTGTGGGCGCCTGTAATCCCAGCTACTCAGGAGGCGGAGGCAGGAGAATCCCTTGAACCCGGGAGGCGGAGGTTGCGGTGAGCCGATATCGCGCAACTGCACTGCAGCCTGAGTGATAGAGCAAGACTCCATGTCCAAAAAAAAGAAAAAAAAAAATATATATATATATATATACACATATGTAAAGTTCATTCTACTTAAAATTTGCTATGAGAAGATTATAATGGACATTTACTCTTCTTTTGGGTTTCTCAGGTTCTTGGGACACTATTTGTAGTTGGGGAAAATTTCCCTCTTAACCCACTGCTACCTCCCCAAGATAGAAGGTAAAATATCTTTCCCAGTTTACTTTGAAGCCCGGGTTCAGGTACATAACTTAGGCTTACCAATCAGATGCACCCATAGATTAGCATCAATGCAACAAAGTAGGTGCTTGCAGAATTCAGCCACATTGGCAGCAGAGACCTCTACTTCAGAGGCATCTGTGGCAGTGGCTCTAGTGATAGGGTCCAGAGTACAGCAATAGTGGTGAGAATTCTGCTTCCTGTGCCAATAGCAGTGGTATTCACATTTCCACAGAGCAGTTCTAAACTCTTAAGTTGTCCTTAGCAGTCCTCACGATAGACTTAAATAAATTACTTTTCCGCTTAAACTTCTGGAGTAGGTTTCTGTTGTTTACTAGTAAAACTAAAATCATCAGTGAAGAATAAGAATTTAGCATTTACTATTGACATTTCACATGCATACTTTCACTAGATTTTAATCCCCTGGATCAAGAATATGTAATAGGAAAACTATGATAAATACCTGATAATAGTAAAGAATTGAAGAGACTGCAAATGTGTCTTTCTGATCAATCATCAGAGAGGAAAGTCCAGGATTTTCCATTTTTATGCTATTCCACTAAAGTCCTAACTGAAAATTAAAGAATTGTAAACATTATCAAGTCCAACACCGTATTTTAGCTAGGATATTAGAAGCCTTAAGAAGTTAAGGGTTTTCATCAAGGTCATGCATTTCCTTTTGACAAACCTGGGCTCAAGTATCAACCTCACTGGTCACTGATCTTTCCCCTAATCCCCATTGTCTCAGTTAAGACTTAGATAATGCTAGTAACTTCTCACTTATTACTCAAATCAAGGACTTAATGTGTTTATAAAAATGAATTTGTAAAGATATGTGGCTTATAAAATAAAACTGTAAAGATAGCCACCCGTGTGTGTATGTGTGTGTGTCTTCTTTCCTGAACTGGCAGTGGAACTGAAGATCCTTGGAATGACTTTTAAAGAAGTTATAAGCCTGTATAACTAGGAGCTTAAAAAAATGATGGCAGATTCTTTATTATAGCCATGCCATTGAGCAGCCCTATAATATAACATTTTAGGTGAAAAGTAACATTTAGACAGGCTATTTTTCTAGCAACTGATTTCAAGGTCAAATACATTTCTTCTTCATGTTTTGGAAGTGCCTATATTGAAGGCAAAATGAGAAAAGACAAGTCAATGTATTTTTAAATGACAGAATTCTGTGTCTTAAAAAAGGTGAACATTGAACAATTTGAAATTGTTACTATAACAGTGGTAAACCTAGTTATTTTCCATGCTTTAAATGCTCTGTGCAAGAGCAGAATAATTGCCTGAGACGATGTTATAGAATAAATGACCCAGATGCAGTTTGGATTTTGCAGTCTCCTTGTGAATTATTCTCAGCTGCCTATATAAATGACTGCAATATTGTGTACTTAATCATCAGCAAATGGAAGTTTCCAGAAGAAAAACTGTGCTATAGATTATAGCACACTCTGACATGAAGGGAAGTTAATTCCCAGAACTTAATTATATTAACATCCCAGAAAAGGTCAAAGAGCAGAGTAGTCTATAGTTAGTATCCTAGTCCTATATTTGTTATCCTGAGAAAATCAATTTAGAACTAGGACTGAATTCCAATTTATGACAGCAACAACAATGCCTTACATTTGGATAATGCTTCTTTAACAAACTTTCATCTATATTATATTAACTGATCTAATGAAAGGAGAAGATACATAAATAGTAGAGAAAGAATATGACATAGAAATCATTTGCTTTGGACTTTGCATTGTTTTTGGCAATTTTACGTGATGTCATCATTTTGAAGTGAACAGTAATTGTCATCCTGAGGAGTTGTTCTTTTGGAATATCCTCATGTCTTTGTCTTCTTAAATAATCCAGCTCATTTCATGGATAATATAAACTTCCTTCAGCTCTCAACTTTACATTCTCAGAAATATTCCAGATCATCTCCAATTTATCACTCTTTTTTTTAGAGTAACAGATTTTATTTAATTAAAGTAGATTAAAAACAGACTATAAAATAATTAGCATTCTCAATAATTTACTATTATTTACATTAGCAAATGTCGGTCGTTAGTAGAACCTGTGAGGAGAGAAGCTGACAGAACTGGGACCCTCCACTGTAGGCAAGGGAGCCCCGGCTTCCCTCTTGCTTCTCGGTCTTTCAGGTTCATTATGGCAGCTCCATCACTGAAGGCACCAGGGCAGTGACTACAGCACCGGGACCCATGCTGAAGGCCAAGAGACCTCAAAAGCCAGGAAGAAATTCCTTTCCTCTGGGGAGAATCATCAACGCTCAGTCAAAGCTCAGATGGGCACCTGGTTGGCAATGCTTTTGCCCTCCCTGTAGCCAGTACTCCCCACTGTGCTGGGCCTTCTGCAAGTACTCTTTGGGTTGACCCAAACTCAGTTTCTACATAACCTCTCCTCCATCCCCTCCCACGGCAACCGCACAAAACATTTTAGGGAGGATTTTGACAATTTATCCACTCTTAAATGCTGATCTATCCTTTTATGTTTCCTGATTCTTTAACAAACTTTCATATATGTTATTTTAACTGATTTAATGAAAGGAGAGGATACATAAATAATAGAGAAAGAATAGGACATAGAAATCATTTGCTTTTGACTTTGCATTGTCAAAACCTATGACATATTTAGTTCTGAGTTTCTACTCCCATTATTTCTCTTCCTATTTTCTCACTATAGCTCCCATTTTTTTCTTTATAACAAATGTGAAAATAGTTGTTATATATTTTCTTATTGTTTTCCTCACTGGAGTATTATAAGCTCCATCATGGCAGTGACTGAATCAATTTCAGGACTGTACAGTTAGTAATGGCCAGAGTGCTTAGCACATATTAGATGGTTAATAAAACTAGTTAAATAATGAAATCAATTACTGAATTTGTGTTACTAATTCAGCACTTGTAAATAAATTAAAATTATACCCTAACTCATATCATATTAAATAATTTTCAAATGAACTATAGATTCAGAAGTAATGAAAAAGAAACTACAAAATGTCTTGAGTTAAATATTAGTAAATATTATAAAATTTTAGTGTGGTAAAGAGCTTTCCTTGTCTATATTTTCCCCCATCTCCTCCACTTTTTTATTTCTTCTTTTTCTCTTCCTCTTTCTTTTTCTTATATTTTTATAAAAAAACTTATAAAAATCATACACATTTATTATCTTTTTAAAATACCAAAAGATTATGAAGAAGATGAATCTCTTCATAGTCCATGCACTTCCCACCCAACACAAACCAAGATATCTTTTTTTTTTTTTTTTTGCTTTTCATTTAAGAAGAAAATTTTGTATATGGGCGAGAAGTTGGGATAATCTCAGAAGTGACTGACAAATTTTACTGTGTATAATTTAAAATCATCTACACATCGAATCCATATGAAAGTTAAAGGGCATATGACACACTTCAAAAAATACTTTTAAGTCACATTAAAACCATTATGATCTGTAGTAGATGTAAGATGGAAGCAAATTATTTGTCACTCCTCCATTGAGAGGTATCCTTTATTTCCTATCCTCTTGTATCTGGGCTGGCTCTGTAGCTGACCCTAAGTCCTACTATTCCATGAAGAGGGAGAGAGGGTCAAGCATCTGAGCTTCCATTTCAGCCTCCAAATAAATCCAGCCTGAGATGCCAATGATGACATACTTGAGAGACATCCCAAGGGAAATTAGAAGGAGAATTATCTTACTGATCCCAGTCAATTCCACAACTGGGAGATATAATAAAAAGGTTGATGTTTAAGATCTGTACCAAAATATCTCATGTACTCTAAAAATATATACAGCTAGTATGCACACGCAAAATTTTAAAAAAATTTAAGGTGCTGCCATAATGAAAAACCTAAACCACATGCCACTGGCTTTGGAACTAGATCAGGAGTCAAAGCTGGAAGGAACTCAAGAAGACTGCGAAAGTTGGTTTAATCATAAACTCAATTGTACCCTCAAGACATAGCACAGTGTCCAGAAAATGGTATAGATGCTAAGTGTCTGATGAATAAACAAATGAAGTCTTATAAGCTAACAAGTAAGATGAGTATCTCTTTTACTCATGTTATAAGATGGGTACAAGACGGGCAAAAAGAATGTTTTAGTCTGCTCTTAAACCACTAATAAAGACACACTTGAGACTGGGTAATTAAAAAGGAAAGATATTTAATGGACTCACAGCTCCACATGGCTGGGGAGGCCTCACAGTCATGGCAGAAGGCAAAGGAGAAGCAAAGGCATGTTTTACGTGGTGGGAGGCAAGACAGCGTGTGCAGGGGAACTCCCTTTTATAAAACCAAAAGTTCTGAAATAATCTCCTTTGACTCTATGTCTCACATCCAGGTCTTGTTGATGTAAGAAGTGGGTTCCCGCAGTCTTGGGCCACTCTGCCCTTATGGCTTTGCAGGTACAGCCCCCCTCCCAGCTGCTTTCACGGGATGGTGTTGAGTGCCTGATGCTTTTTTAGGTGCATGGTGCAAGCTATTGGTTGATCTACCATTTGACGGGGATAGAGAATGGTAGTGCTCTTCTCACAACTCCACTAGGCATTGCCCCAGTGGGGACTCTGTATGGGGGCTTCAATCCCACATTTCCCTTCCACACTGCCCTAGCAGAGGTTCTCCATGAGGGCCCCACCCCTGCAGCAAACTTCTCCCTGGACATCCAAGAGTTTTCATGCATCCTCTGAAATCTAGGTGGAGGTGGCCAAACCTCAATTATTGGCTTCTGTGCACCACAGGCCCAACACCACACATAATCCACCAAGGCTTGGGACTTACACCCTCTGAAGCAATGGCCTGAGCTGTACATTGGCCCTTTTTAGCCATTGCTGGAGCTGAAGCAGCTGGGATAAAGGGCACCATGTTGCCAGGCTGAATAAAGCAGGGGGGGCCCTGAGCCTCGCCCATGAAGCCATTTTTCCCTCTTAGGCCTCCAGTCCTGTAGTTGGAGGGCCTGACAGGAAGGTCTCTGACATGCCCTGCAGACATTTTCCCCATTGTCTTGGTGAATAACATTTGGCCTCTAGGTACTTATGCAAATTTCTGCAGCTGGCTTGAATTTCTCCTTAGAAAATGGAATTTTTTATTGCATTGTCAGGCTGCACATGTTCTGAACTTTTATGCTCTGCTCCTCTTTTAAACATAAGTTCCAATTGCAAGTTATATCTTTGTGAATACATAAAACTGAATGCTTTTAACAGCATCCAAGTCACATCCTGAATGCTTTGTTGTTTAGAAATTTCTTCTGGCCGATACCCTAAATCATCTCTCTCCAGTTTAAAGTTCCACAGATCTCTAGGGTAGGGGCTAAATGCCACCAGTCTCTTTGCTAAAGCATGACAAGAATCACCTTTGCTCCAGTTCCCAACAAGTTCCTCATCTCCATCTGAGACCATCTCAGCCTAAACTTTATTTTCATGTCACTATCAGCATTTTGGTCAAAGACATTCAACAAGTCTCTAGGAAGTTATAAACTTTCCCACATCTTCCTGTCTTTTGAGCCCTCGAAACTGTTCCAACTTCTTCCTGTTACCCAGATCCAAAATTGCTTCCACATTTTCAGTTTTCTTTACAGTAGCTCCCCACTTCCCAGTACCAGTTTACTGTATTAGTCTGTTCTCATGCTGTGAATAAAGACATACCCGAGACTGGGTAATTTATAAAGGAAAGAGGTTAATATGGTTTGGTTGTGTTCCCACCCAAATCTCTTTTTGAATTGTAACTCCCACAATTCCCAATTGTCATGAGAGGAACCCAGTGGGAGATGATTGAATTATGGGGACAGGTCTTTCCTGTGCTGTTCTCATGATAGTGAATGAGTGTTATGAGATCTGATGGTTTAAAAAACGGGAGTTGCTCTGCACAAGCTCTCTTTGCCTGCTGCCATCTATGTAAGATGGGACTTGCTCCTCCTTGCCTTCTTCCATGATTGTGAGGCTTCCCCAGCCATGTGGAGCTGTAAGTCCAATTAAACCTCTTTCTTTCATAAATTGCCCAGTCTCAGGTATATCTTTATCAGCAGCATGAAAACAAACTAATACAAAGGTTTAATGGGCTCACAGTTCCACATGGCTGGGGAGGCCTCACAATCATGGTGGAAGGCATAAGTGAAGCAAAGGCACATCTTACATGGCAGCAGGCAAGAGAGTGTGTACAGGGGAATTCCCCTTTATAAAACCGTCAGCTCTTATGAGACTTATTCACTGTCATGAGAACAGCATGGGAAAGACCCACCCCATGATTCAGTTACCTCCCACTGGATCCCTCCCACAACACATGGGAATTATGGGACCTTCAATTCAAGATGAGATTTGGGTGGGGACTCAGCCAAACCATATCAACTTACAAATATGGTGGAAGAGGAAGCAAACATGTCCTTCTTCAATAGTGGCAGGAAGTAGAAGAATGAGAGCAAAAGGGGAAAAGCCCCTTATAAAACCATCAGATCTCATGAGAACTCACTATCATGAGAACAGCATGGAGGTAACTGCCCCCATGATTCAACCACTTCCAACCAGGTCCCTCCCACAAGACATGGGGATTATGGGAACTAAAACTCAAGTTGAGATTTTGGTGGAGACACAGCCAAACCACATCATTCTGTCCTGGGCTCCTCCCAAATCTCATGTCCTCACATTACAAAACACAATCATGCCTTTCCGATAGTCCCCCAGAGTCTTAGCTCATTCCAGTATTAACCTGAAAGTCCAAGTCCAAAGTCTCACCTGAGACAAGGGAAGTCCCTCCACCCATGTGCCTGTAAAATCAAAAGCAAGTTATTTACTTCTTAGAAACAATGGGGGTACAGGCATCAGAAAATATACCCATTCCAAATGGGAGAAATTGGCAAAAGAAAGGGGCTACAGGCCCCATGCTAGTCCGAAATCCAGTAGGGCAGTAATTAAACCTTAAAGTTCCAAAATGATCTCTTTTGACTCCGTGTCACACATCCAGGGCACGTTAATGCAAAAGGCGGGCTCCCACAGCCTTGGGCAGCTCTTCCCCTGAAGTTTGCAGAGTACAGCCCTTCTTCCAGCTGCTTTCACAGGCTGGCATTGAGTTTCTGTGGCTTTTCCAGGCACATAACGGAAGCTGTAGGTGGATCTACCATTCTGAGATCTGGAGGATGATGGCCCTCTTATCACAGCTTCACTAGGTACTGCCCCAGGGGGAACTCTGTGGGGGCTTCAACACCACATTTCCTTTCCACACTGCCCTAGCAGAGGATCTCCATAAGGGCCCTGCCCTTGCAGCACAATTCCTCCTAGACACGCAGGCATTTCCACACTTCCTCTGAAATCTAGGTGGAGGTTCCCAAACCTCAATTCTTGACTTCTGTGCACCCACAGGCTCAACACCATATGAAAGCCACCAAGCCTTGGGTCTTGCATGCTCTGAAGCCATGGCCTGAGCTGTACTTTGGCCCCTTTTAGCTGTGGTTGGAGCGGCTGGGATACAGGGCACCAAATCCCAAGGCTGCACACAGCAGGGGGGCTTTGATTCTGACCCAGGAAACCATTTTTCCTCATAGGCCTCTGGGCGCTTGATGAGAGGAGATGCCATAAAGTCCTCTGGCATGCCCTGGAGACATTTTCTCCATTGCTTTGGTAATTAGCATTCAGCTCCTCATTACTTATGCAAATTTTTGCTGCTAGCTGAATTTCTCCCCAGAAAATGGGATTTTCTTTTCTACAGCATTGTCAGGCTGCAAATTTTCCAAACTTTTATACTATGTCACCTCTTGAACACTTTGCTGCTGAGAATTTCTTCCACCAGATGCCCTAAATCATCTCTCTCAAGCTCAAAGTTTCACAGATCTCTAGGGCAGAGAAAAAACGCCACCATCCTCTTTGCATAGCAAGAGTGACCTTTACTCCTGTTCCCAACAAGCTCTTCATCTCCATCGGAGACCACCTCAACCTGGACTTCATTGTCCATATCATTATCAGCATTTTGGTCAAAGCCATTCTGTAAGTCTCTAGGAAGTTCCAAACTTATCCACATCGTTCTGTCTTCTGAGCCCTCCAAATCTCTAGGAAGTTCCAAACTTTCCCACATTTTCCTGCCTTCTTCCAAGTGCCTCCAAACTGTTCCAAACTCTGCCAGTTACCTAGTTCCAAAGTGGCTTCCACATTTTGGGTATCCTTATAGTACTGTCCCACTACCTGGTATGAATTTCCTGTATTAGTCCATTCTCACACTGCTAGTAAAGACATACCCGAGACTGGGTAATTTTTAAATAAAAGAGGTTTAATTGACTCACAGTTCAGCATGACTGGGGAGGCCTCAGGAAACTTACACTTATGGCAGAAGGGGAAGCAAACATGTCCCTCTTCACATTGCAGCAGAAAGGAGAAGAATGAGAGCAAAAGGGGAAAAGCCCTTTATAAAACTTTCAGATCTCATGAGAACTCATTCACTATTCCGAGAATAACATGGAGGTAACCACCCCCATGATTCAATTACCTCCCACCAGGTACCTCCCACAACATGAGGGGATTATGAGAATTACAATTCAAGATGAGATTTGGGTGGGGACACAGCCAAACCATATCAGAGAATAAACTGGCATTTCACTCACAATACAAGTATTTCATAGATATATAAAAACTTGCTAAATCTCACTAATATTTGAACAAATTAAAATGGTATCCTGGCTGGAGTTTTAATTCTTTTTTTGTTTGTTTTGACTATGAAATTGATCAAAAGAAAATGGAATGATACTATTTAGTGTTAGTGACAATCTAGCAAGATGTCCACTATTTGCTTGTGTGACTGAACATCAGTAAGACATTTTTTAGAGGAAGGTTAACTGTATGTACTAAATGCCTCAAAAATGCATATGCTCTTTGACCCAACAATTGTATTTTTAGAAAATTTTCTTGAAAGAAGAAATAAGAATGACACAAAGTTTCAGCAACAAGGATAATCTGAATGCAGCATGATTTTATTGTAATTTTTAAAAATCTGACTTTTAGTAAAACTATAGATTCAGGTGAAACATGTGTAGGCTTCTTTCATGGATACATTGCATAATGCTGGGGTTTGGGCTTTGATTGAACACATCACCCAAATAGTGAACATAGTGTCTGATGTTTCAACCCATTCCCAACCTTCTTTCCTCCCCACTTTGGAATCCCCAGTGTCTAATGTTTTCATCTTCATGTCCGTGTGTACCCTTTGTTTAGCTCCCACTTATAAGTGAGAATATGTGATATTTGATTTTCTTTTTCTGTGTTAATTTACTTATGAAAATGGCCTATAGCTGCATCTGTGTTGCTGCAAAGAACATGATTTCATTCTTTTTTATGGTCAATGCAGCATGTTTTTATAATAATAAAAATTTGTTTCTGATTGGTTTAGAAATGAATGTCACTGTGGTGCAGCAAAAGTGATGTCACACAATTATATTTATGGGCTTGAAAAGATGTTCGTAATACATTTCTAAACTAAACAAGCAGATAACACAATGATGTGTTTGGTATGATTTCATGTTTATTAAAATATCGTGTAATATCTAATATAACAATATGTAATATTATTTACACATATATAACCTTTCATTTCAAAATCTTTTCTTTCTAGTCTTCCTTTTCACATATATATTGAAAATATATGTATGCTTTTCAAATATATATATTTGAAAAGAAAAAACGTCTGAGAAAGCATCCAAGGGAGTACTAACATGGTAACTGCATAGCGTGAGTGAGGCTGGAGATGCAGGCAGATACCAGCTCACCCAGGGCCTTCAGTCTGTGGTAGAAAATTTGATTATTTCCTCTATAGAAGTAAAGAGTCTTTGTAACATTTTAAAGCGGGGTGACAATAAGATTTGGTCATAAGTTGTATTAGTCTGTTCTCACGCTGCTAATAAAGAATACTTGAGACTGGGTAATTTATAAAGGAAAGAGATTTAATGAACTCACAGTTCCACCTAGCTGGGGAGGCCTCACAATCATGGCAGAAGGCAAAGGAGAAGCAAATGCACAAATTACATGGCAACAGAAAAGAGAGAATGTGCAGGGAATTGCCCTTTATAAAACCATCAGATCTCATAAGACTTATTTACTATCACAAGAACAGCACAGAAAAAAACACCCCATGAATCAATTACCTCCCACTGGGTTCCTTCCATGACACCTGGGGATTATGGGAACCACAATTCAAGATGGGATTTAGGTGGAGACACAGCCAAACCATGTCATTCCACCTCTGGCCCCTCCCAAATCTCATGTCCTCACATTTCAAAACCAATTTTGCCTTACCAACTCCCTAAAGTATTAACTTATTTTGGCATTAACTCAAAAGTCCAAGTCCAAAGTCTCATCTGAGACAAGGCAAGTCTCTTCCATCTACGAGCCTATAAAATCAAAAGCAAATTAATTACTTCCTAGATACAATGGCGGTACAGGCATTGGATAAATGCTCCTGTTCCACATGGGAGAAATTGGCCACAACAAAGGGGCTACATGCCCCATGCAAGTCTGAAATCCAGCGGGGCAGTCAATACTTAAAGCGCCAAAATGATCTCCTTTGACTTCACGTCTCACCTCCAGGTCACGCTGATGAAAGATAGAGGTTTCCATGGACTTGGGCAGTTCTGGCACTGTGGCTTTCCAGGGTACAGCTTCCCTACTGGTTGCTTTCACAAGCTGGAGTTGAGTGTCTGTGGCTTTTCCAGGCTCATGGTGCAAGCTGCTGGTGGATCTACCATTCTGGGGTCTGGAGGACTGTGGCTTTCTTCTCACAGCTCTAGTAGATAGTCCCCCAGTGGGGACTCTGTTTGGGAGCTCTAACCCCACATTTCCCTTCTGCACTGCCCTAACAGAGGTTCTTCATGAGGGCTCTGCCCCTGCAGCACACCTCTGCCTGGTCATCCAGGCATTTCCATACATACTCTGAAATCTAGATGGAGTTTCCCAAACCTCAATTCTTGTCTTCTGTGCACCTGTAGGTCCAACACCATGTGGAAGCTGCCAAGGATTGGGACTTGCACCATCTGAAGCCATGGCCATACCTTGGCTCCTTTTAGCCATGGCTGAGGTGGCTGGAACACAGGGCACCAAGTCCTTAGGCTGCACACAGCAAGGAGAGGGTCTGGCCCTGGCCCAGGAAATTATTTTTCCCTCCTAGGCCTCTAGGTCTGTAATGGGAGGCGTGGCCCTGAAGGTGAGACATTTTCCCCATTGTCTTGGTGATTAACATTTGGCTTCTTGTTAATTATGCAAATTTCTGCTGCAGGCTTGAATTTCTCCCCAGAAAATGGGTTTTTCTTTTCTATTGCATTGTCAGTCTGCAGATTTTCCAAACTTTTATCCTCTCCTTCCTCTTGAAGGCTTTGCTGCTTAGAAATTTCTTCTGCTAGATACCTTAAATCATCTCTCTCAAGTTCACAGTTCCACAGATCTGTAAGGCAGGGGCAAAATGCCACCAGTCTCTTTGCATAGCAAGAGTGACCTTTACTCCAGTTCCCAAGAAGTTCCTTATCTCCATCTGACACTGCCACAGTCTGGACTTTAATGTCCATATCACTATTAGCATTGTGGTCAAAGTCATCCAACAATTCTCTAGGAAGTTACAAATTTCCCACATCTTCCTGCCTTCTTCTGAGTCCTTCGGACTCTTCCAACCTTTGCCAGTTACCCAGTTCCAAAGTTGCATCCACATTTTCAGGTATCTTTATAGCAGCACCCCCCTCTACTGGTACCCGTTTACTGTATTAATCTGTTCTCATGCTGCTCATAAAGACATACCTGAGACTGGGTAGTTTATAAAGGAAAGAGGTTTAATGGGCTCACAGTTACACATTGCTGGGGAGGCCTCACAATCCTGGCAGAAGGCAAAGGAGAAGCAAAGGCACATCTTACATGGCAGCAGGTAAGAGAGCATGTGCAGGGGAACTTCCCTTTATAAAATCATCAGTTCTTGTGAGACTTATTTACTGTCACAAGAACAGCACAGGAAAAACTTCCCATGTGACTTAATTACCTCCCACTGGATCCCTCCCATGACACATGAGGATTATGGGAACTACAATTCAAGATGAGATTTGGGTGGGGACACAGCTAAACCATATCATAAGGAGTGCTGTGTGAAATTATTTTGAGTTAAACAAGAGTGAAAACAAGGAGACCAGTTTCGAAATTATTGTTTTCATCCAAGCTTTGGTCTGTAATCTAAGCTAGCCTTTGATTCTTGATTTAGGGAAGAATTGTGTTTTCGACTCAGACTTATTTATTAATTTAATGAGGGCATTTGGTGGATGGGGAGGGAGGGGGTTGGACAAGAAGCAGGTTGAATTAGGAGGATGGCCTACAGAGGGTCCAAGCTCCCAAGCTGTTCTGCATACCTCCCTTCACATAGTGCCCTCACCATGGCACGCTGTACACCATGTGTGTTGTCTTAAACTTAGATTTCATGACAACCCTAACAGGTGAGTATTATCATCCCATTGCAAAGGTAAGAAAACAGCAGAGTTTCAAAGAGATAAGTAACTGGCCCCAAATCACACAACTAGGGAGTCAGTGTGCTGCGATTTAAATACTAGGCCATTCAATTCCAAAGCCCTTATGCTTTCCTTTACACTGTCATTTTTTTCTGAGGGGTTGAACTTTGCTCCAGCGAACTTAACCATCAATCTATAAAAACTCCCTATGTTTGAGGCACTGTGCTAAATGCCTTTATTACATCATCTCACTGCCTTCCCTACTTTATGAGCAGTGGCTGTAGTATAGTGGCTAAGGACTTGCACTCCAGAGCTAGTCAGTCTGGGCTGGAATCCCAGCTACTCCACTTACAAGCTATGTTACCTCAAGCAAGGTATTTAACCTCTCAGGACCCCTGCCTTCATCTTCTACAATATGGTGATAGTAATAGTACCTGCTTTCCAGGAAGGCTACAGATTAGGTATTGCAATATAAATTATTCAGAGTAAGGCTTAACACACATTAAGCTTTATTTTTTACTGTAATTCTCCTTTTAAAGATAAGGAAACAGGCTCACAGAGGTAAACTAACTTGCTCAAGACCATACAACTATAATATTGCAACAGTGGTATAGCTTGGTGTTGATGATGAAGTGGAATGATTGGAAGTTTCCTGGGTTACAGTGTGGCAGTGTGGCATGCCCCATCACCAATTAATGTCCCAAAGGAAGAAAAACTACTATTGAAAATGCAACAATATATCATGATGGCACCTGCATATGCATATGTCTTATAATAATAATAATAATAATATATGTAAAACTTGAGTGAAGTTCTGTGTTTTTCTCTGACTGCTGTAAATATTGAATATTTTTATCAAGATAAAAATACAAGACTAAAAAGTAACAAAGTATACTATACCCTGGAAAGTTTTACCCAAACTATGCTATTAGCTCCCTCCAATGCAATGCTTTTACTCCTGAATTTGGGGAGGAAACAGTGATATACACTCCTCTGGGATTTGAACCTATAACTGCCTAACCCCAAAGTTTATGCTTAGTCCATTGATTTACAGGCTTTCACGCCTATTAAAATACATCGCTGTGTGGTCGATTTAGGACTCCTGAGATAACATTATGAGAAGCTCAAATCTCTCTGAACAACACAAAGTGCCAGAGATGATTTACTGGCAGGTCTGGCTGTTGACAAACTTGTCAAGTGGAAGAAGCTGGTGTAACCTTAGCCTTTGGGATCTCTCAGCCAGTTTGTTTATTCCGGCTCTCACTTCAACTTATTACCACTCTGACAGCACTCCTGTTCCTAGCTTTCCTCCTCCTAAATCCCATTCATTAGCGAGGACATTATGCCCCCGTATGTCACTTTAGCCTGTGCTGATACACCAATGGTGCAGGTGGATTATTCCATTCTGTTGTGCATTCACATACAACATTTGAGAAATGTTTAGCCTCTTATTACTTACTCAACAAATATCTAGTGAAGGTCTGTTATGTTTGAGGTGTTGGAGAAGAGACAATGAACAGGCTAAAGACCTTATTACTGTCTTATAGATTAAAATACTTGCATACTTTCAAACTGATTATGTGAAAGTGTAGGAATAATTTCTCCCAAATAAATCTCTTACTTTGTATTCCCCCATTACTCTCTCTTCCTTTCCTTTTGTTTACTTATTCTCCATTATGTATCACAGAAAAAGGTAGAGGTATTGACATTTTCTGTACTCCTTAGCAGAGAATCAAGGCATTTTTAGCTAATGTAGTAACCAATAGTTAGTGTTTTTATCTGTCTTTCTTAGTGGAAAATATTATAATTTTCAGAGCCTTATGAAGAACCTACTAATTTTAGGCTATTTTAAAAACTGATTAGTCCTTTCTTCTCTACTCATTTCTGCTTAAGACATTAATTTGAGTTCCTTTGGGTTCTAGAGCATGTACAAGAGTGCTAAAATGACATTGTTTTTACCCAGATGAAGAATCAAGTGATGAAATATCAGACACCATAATGGAGCCCAAAAGATGAGAAAGAGTCACATTTAGAAAAGGAATCCAATTTGCTTAACCTCCTAAGACACTTCATGGGTGCAAATACAAGTGAGGATTATTAAAAAAAATACTCAAATTAAGAAGCCTCTGCTTCTTTTGCAGGATGATAGAATGGTAAGGAACTTGAAAGAGCATCAGGCAGTAATTCTCCTCTGGCGGCCGTAACTGCCCATTGTATTGGTTGTCACAATGTTTGAGGTTGTTCCTGGCATTTGGTGCCGGGGCCCAGGATGGTTGCAGTGCAGCAGTGCTCTAATATGCAGCACTGCTAGTCTGCCCCTTTGTCGACAAGGAAGGAAACATGAGTGGATCTTTCTCCCAAGGTCTTATGCCCAGCTATAGCGTCAAAGCTGGAGACAGAACTTGCAACTCTATTTCTAGATTTGTTTTTTCCACTAGAACCAATTCTCAGTGTGACTGTTCCACAAGTAGCCAAAGGAAAATTGTCCCACTCAAAAGAGCTTCTTTAAGATGTGATATTCTCAGTCACATCGGATGTCATTTCTCTTACTCTAAATTCTTCTTTCAGAATGGTTTTTAGTGATATTTCAAAAACCACATAAAACCAGTCTTATTATTTTGTAGTTGTAATTTTTTGGGGAGGAGCAAGTGGTTATTTTGTTTGTCACTTCAAAAATGCTTTTATTAAGCTTGATCAGTGATTTTGTTTACCCCCACTTAAACTTTGACTTCTTTAGAAAATCAAACCTACCTTCAAATGTGTAAGATGTCCTGCTTTTAAATATCGAAAGGAATGAACACACGGTTCTTATTCAACATATAACATATATTGCAAGTGTTTCATAAGCCAGGTTTGTGTTAGGTGCTAAGGGTGCAAGAGATATGATCTTAAAGGAAAAAACCATGGTTCTTTTCTCAGAAAGCCACTTAGTTAAAAACAGACAGGAGAGAAGGCAAGTCCAACATTGTGGTCATAGGAGCATGATGAAATGCAGAGAAAGGGCTCTTACCCCAAAGTAGGTGGTCAGAAAGCCCTCCTGAAAGGTTGGCAACCCAGTGAAGAAATGAGATGGTGATCAGACGAATGTCAGTAAGAAGGGGGTTAGGCGGGAGGCAGAGTTTGCAGTGACAGTGAGCCGAGATCATGCCACTGCACTCCAGCCTGGGCGACAGAGCGAGACTCTGTCTCAAAAAAAAAAAAAAAAAAAAAGAAAGAAAAAAGAAGGGGGTTAGGGCAAGAAGAATGGGAGATGGAAATCTAGACAGAGAATGGAATCTGCAAAGTTTAGGTGTAAAAGGAGATGTGTTGCCATTCATTAGATGTAGAGTACATGGTTTGAAATTCTTGTTGAAATTAATCACATCCACTTCCATCAAGGTTGTAAAATATGTTTCTGAACCTGGATTGAGTTTGGCATGGATTGTTTTTCCTTCCTCCACTCATTAACAAGACCTTGTCCCCAACCAACACCCTAATTAGGGCTTATCAACCCTGGGAAGAAATGTTGTCATAGTAAAACATAAGGAGACATTAGTTCTGAGTACATTAGGACAGTGTCAAAGAGGGAGGATTTATTGCATTATTGTACACACAACATAATTAAATATTAATAAGAAATATCACTTTTCCTGTCATTACCAGGCCTTTATTTTGCAAAGAAAATCTACAGGACCATAGGGTGAAAGATTAACAGTGTTACTAACAAGAGTGTTATTAACAACACTTGAAAATGGAAAAAAAATGCTTTCACAAATTGCTAAAGGGTAAACGAGGAAAAAGTGATCACTGGAGATACATGCAATAATTAAATAAGTGTTTTTGAGTACTGGCCAAGAACTGTTTTTAATGAGTAACAATAGAAGTACTCTACTGACATTCTTCTGCATTAAATTAACACACCAGCCATACCCACAATTTTACTTTGTAGGTGCTGTTGCATTTCACATCCTGATGTACAAGTGAAAATTCAGTTTGAGCTTCGATAAAATGGAAGAGAAACATTCTCCAGAAGATTAACTATGAAAAGAAAGTAATAAACATGGTAGTGGTAGAAAAGTAAAGGTTTTCTCAAGATAGAAGAGCTTTGTACTTGTTTAAAATCAAATGGCAAGAACACAGGCGGCAAGAGATTAAAGATGCTTCAGAAAATTAAAAAAAAAACAGACCGTTTAGTTTTTTCTGAGACAACATAAAAGTATGAAAGAAAATAAACTGAGAAATAAGAATGTAGAGACAAGTGGGTGAGAAACAGAGTCATTGTTTATTTATACTTCATCTATTATCTAAAAGAATTTGAGGCAGCTTAGAAAAAGAACATAGAAATAATGAAGTTAATAAACAGAAAAAAAATCAGGACTTAGAAAGAAGGAAGAAGCAAATATAATAGCCAGCAGAGTTGGAGTGACTGAGTATCAGATTTGGCTCTGAAGTTCTTGGCAGTCAGGGACAAGGGGAATTGTGATATATTTCCATGTACCTTTTGTTGCATAACAAACCACTTCAAAACAATGACTTGGAACATGAACTTATTATCTCTCATGTTTTTGTGAGCAGCCTGTAGGTCAACAAGGAGGTTCTGACTCTAGGTCTCTCAGGCAGTTGTAGTCAGCAGCTAAGCCTTCAATCATCTGCAGCCTCGCTCATTCCCACATCTGGTGCCTGGGCTGGGAAAACTCAAACTGCTGGACTGGACAGCTGGGGACCCTCAGGTGTCTCTGTCTCTATGTGGTCTTTCCAGCTTGGCAGCTTCAGGTAGTTCCAAAGGCACATGATCCAAAAAGAGGCAAGCAGAAGCCATACTTCTTTTATGACTTAGCCTTGGAGGTCACTCACCATTGCTGCTCAGTAATTCTTTAGAAGCAAGTCTCTAAGGCTGACCTGTGTTCAAGGGAAGGGGAACTAGGTTTTCCTTTTTGAAGGGAGAAATGCCAAATAATCTCTAACATGTTTTAACAGATTTAACCATATGGTGTAACAGATTTCTCATTATCAAAAGGGTAGGAGCATATTCAATTGTCCAAGCTCACATTTGATGTTGTCAGTCTTTTTTTTTAGGTGAAGTAAGAAGGAAGATTATCAATCATAATAGTAGAGATGAAGGGAAGGACAGATTAGGGAGAAATGTGTGTTTGGAATATTTCTTTATAGAGCATATAACACCAGCACACTAGAGCCTTGCTTCTTAAAATATGGTGTAGGATCAGCAATATTCATCTACTAGGAGCTTGTTAGAAATGCAGAATATCAGACTGTTGGGGAAACCAGCCCCACACCACCCGGCAGGTACCCCGAGTCCAGCGGAGACAAAGGAATTAGAAGGAGACAGAATAAGAGTTTAAAAGGCAGGTCCAGGGGACCGGAGCGTCGGAGGCTTCCTCACTCCCCGAGCTCCTGGCCTCCACCCAATTTATTGGTTCACAAGCTCTTTGTTCTTAGGGCAAATGGGAGAGGGAGGAAGGGATGAGGAAAAAGATTAATCAGTGAAGGAGAACTCGTGAGTCATTCAATAAGATATATAGCAGTGGCGGTTTCTGTGAATTTCCTCAAGCCTTGTGTGTCTAAACTACTTAAGAACTTTAACTTATCAGGCCTGAAATGGGTGGGAGTGGATTTCAGGAGAAGCCAAGATGTTTGATTATACTCCACTGCTTCAAGGCAGTGTTATCTCCCTGAGCAACCTGTGGAATGCCGCAGAGCAGTTATGCTCTCGGAGCACAAAGACATGAAGGCAATAAGGAGACTTTTCTCCTCAGAGGCTGCCCATGGCTTCCCATGGGTGTCTCACACAGGGGAGACCAACTCATCTGGCATCCCAGAAGCTCTCTGTCCCACACAGACCTCACTCCAGACCTTCTGAATAGGAATTTCACCTTAACAAAACCACAAGTGATTCCTACACTGGGTAAAATTTAAGAAGTACTGCTCAAGAGGTCAAACTTGCTGGGCAGTGGAGAGGGACAAATTATTGCTGGGTACACACTTAGAGCAGGCCACGTGTGGGACAATAACAGAAGGTGATTGGGAATGAAGACATTACTACATAGATCGTTTAAAGTTCGAAATTTCATACATTCACTTACCAGAGTGTTTAGGCTGTGTCTTGGAAATACAGGTGGAATTGAAACGGGAATAGGATCTAAATGAGGACAAGGTGCAGTTATGGAGGCAGCAGCGTGAAAACAATAGTGGGCCAGGCGTGGTGGCTCATGTCTGTAACCCCAGCACTTTAGGAGGTCCAGGTGGGAGGGTGGCTTATGCCCAGGAATTTCAGACCAGCCTGGGCAACATAAGAAGACCCTGTCTTAGAAAAAAAAGAAAGAAAGAAAGAAAAGAAAAGAAAAACATAGCTGGGCATGGTGGCATGTGTCTGTAGTCCCTGCTACTCAGGAGGCTGAGATGGGAGGATAAATTGAGCCTGTGAGATCAAGGCTGCAGTGAGAATCGATGGTGTTACTGCACTCCGGCCTCCAGCCCAGGTGACAGAGCAAGACCCTGTCTCAAAATCCCCCCAAAAGGTTACAGACAAAAACCCCCACAAAACAAAGGTTGGAATAAGACTGGAGAGTTGACATTGCAGAAATACGAACAATGGTATACAAATAGGTAGCCAGAAGAAGAAAAATACCAAGTTAGTTTTCAGAGAAAAATAAATATCATTTTTGCATGTTGAAATTGTGTTGTACAGAATGTTACTTGAAGCAAGTAGATTATTTGCTGAGACATTAATTTTGTTTTACAGAAATATCTTCAGAAATGACATTTGTTAGAATGATGAACATCCTGTATATAGTTAAAAGCAGACAGCCAATAGGATAGTATTAAATATTAGCAAGTTGTAGTACATCATTACTGATATTTCAAACAGGCTTGCATGTGTGGTTTGTATTAAGACTATAGGGCTTAAAGAGTATAGGGATCCTTGAAGAAATGGCAGATACCAATTTTGGGCCAGGAAATGCATAAAATATATCTGAAATATTCTGTCTTACTGAAAGACAAGGAAGCTATTGGAAATAACTGGGTTCATGTTAATTGGATCCCAGATCCAATTTGAAGGGGAGTACACTGGGAAAATACTAGCAACAAAAAAAGAATAATAATGATAATACATTAAGACACATCAAATATACTAAAACTCATTAGTTCTTAAGGATACTCACATACAAAAACTCTCAATCACCTTTGGAAGATGCTATGAACCAATACTTTATTGTAAAAACTGGTAAATTGAGTAAAATGATCAAGCATTTACATCATATTTCTTGGACAAATAGTATTTTAGGGTGCCAAACAGTTAATTAAAAAAAAAAGACTTTTAAAAAGAATTACAGCAAATAAACCAGAAAGCAATAGTATAATTAGAATATCATCATTTAACTCCTAATGAAATAATGGATTTAGGTCATAGTTATCAATGGCTACTAAAACCATTAAGTGAATTGCTGATAGGGAACTTTATAATGGTGATGAGGATGACAACAGCAAACCTAATGCCCAGCCTTCGTGCCACAAAAAAGGGAAAGAACTAGACATTATGTGTCTCTTAATGGAACAACACAACACCCATATACAATAGTCATGCCATAAATCTAAGTGAAATCGGATCAAGATGTTAGCTCTACAGATAATAAAGAAGCCAGAAGAATGTGTGAAAACTCCCCATAGGAGAAAATAAGCAAATTTTAGAAGGTAGGAATCTCTAAGAGGTGGCCCATTTTCCTTTTCTTTTTCTTTTCTTTTTTCTTTTTTTTTTTTTTTTAGACAAGGTTTGCTCTGTTGTGTAGGCTGGAGTACAGTGGTGCAATCATGGCTCACTACAGCTTCAACCTCCCAGGCTCAAGTGATCCTCCTGCCTCAGCTTCCCAAGTAGCTGGGACCACAGCTGCATGCCATCACACCTGGCTAATGTTTTGTTTATTTTTAGTAGAGGCGAGGTCTCACTATGTTGCTCAGGCTGGTTTTGAACTACTGGGCTCAAGTGATCTTCCTGCCTCAGCCTCTCAAAGTGCTGGGATTACAGGCATGAGCCCCTCCACCTGCCCTCCCACTTTCTTCAACAAACATATAGTGAAAGAAGATAAACAGTAAGAGAAAATTTGCAGATTAGAAGGTATGTAACAGACTTACAATTTCAGCTCCAACATAGATAGAGCTTGGAAATCATCATTCCTGTCCCTAGAATAATTAAAAATGCCTAAGAAACTGAAAATCAGTCTTTTCTTAGACCCATCTGGGAACTGAGGACACAGGGCAAGAACACCCCAAAACCTGGCAAGATAGGTAAATACAGAGAATCTCAGCCATGGTCAATTTACATGGAACAGAAGTCAGTAGAGCCATAAATAGGTGAGAACACTAAAATGATAGTTTTGATGAATTTCTGTAGGCTGAGTGTGGATTAGCTTGAGAATGAGAAACCCTGGAGGCTCAGGCTTTGGAACCCTCCACACTTTTGTAGGTTTTACCTCCATAAGCCCACTAGGTTCTCAAGGTAAAGATCTAGAAAAATCCCATTTTGGGCAGGAGGAAGGAAAAGTAACCATTTGAATTATGGTCAGAGAGAAACAGCTTTTGAAATATTCCCATAGTAGATTTCATAACAAATACTGGTCTCCTTAATTTAAGCAAGGGTAAACACTTTACCAAAACATTATCTAACCTGGGGGAAGGGAAATTAGCCAACTTTAGGTTCTCTAGCCTTCCTATCTCATTTAAAGAGAGGGGAGAAAATGGCTAAGAAAAACTTGTGACATTTATAGCTCAGGAAGACAGTCCCACTAGAAATCTAAAATATTATCAAATGATTATAGAACGTTTCTTCTTCCCACACCTTACCATCTTGTTCTTATCTGTTCATGGCTCCAGGAAGCTCAGAGAATACCAAATACAATAAAGAACAAGTAGAATAAATACCAAGAAATAAGCATATTTTACCAAAGCAGCAGAAATTCAAAGACAAAGAGAACATCGCATAAGAATTCAGAGGACAAAATAAAACCAAACAAAGCACCTTATCATTAAAACAACAAGAAGAATTACAGTGGAATACTTGCTGAAACCATGCAAACAAGAAGAGAGTGGAGTAAAATGTAAGTATTGAATAAATAAAAAAGCCACCAACCTAGAATTCTATATTCACGAAATTTATCCTGCAAAAGTGAAGAAAAAGAGTCTTGCTCAGAAAAGCAAAAACTGAGGGAATTCATTAGCAGTAGATATGTCCTGCAAGAACTGTTAAAGAACTTCCTCAGAGATAAAAATAATATAGGTCAGAAACTCAGATCTACATGGAGAAACAGTTCATAGAGAAGGAATAAATGAGAGTAAAACGAAACATTTTATTTTTCTTCTTCTTAATTGATCCAACAGATAACTGTTTGTCTAATTAATAATAGTTAAAATATGAAGGCATTATAGCATATGGATAAGTAAGTAACAGTAATAGGGGATGGGAAAGAGAAATTGAGAATGTTCTGCTATAAGATATCTGCACTACTGGTGAAGTGGCACAGTGTTATTTGAAAGTGGACTTAGATTATTTGTAAAAGTATGTTGTATACTGTAGGGCAACCACTAAAAAAAGGAAGAAAATAATTATAATTGATTTCCTAAGAGATAAAATAAAATGGAATCATGTGAAATGCTCAATTAAAACCAGAGGTGGCAGAAAAGGAGGAAGATTTAAAAAAAAAGAAAAAACAAATGCAATAAATAGAAAACAGGTTAAAACATGGTAGATATTATTTCATCAATATCAATAGTCACTTGAAATGTGAATGTTCTATATTATCAATTAAATGACGGAGACTGTCATAGTAGATAAAGACACAAGACTCAACTATCTGTTATCTACAAGAAGTTTACTTTAAATGTACAAAACCAGATAAATTAAAAATAAAGAGATATAGAAGAGTATACCATGCCATAATAAAAAGAAAGCCAAAGTAGCTATATTAATATCAGACAAAATAGGCTTCTGAACAAGGAAAATCACCTGGGATAAAGAGAGCATTACATAACGATAAGTGAGTAAAGTTTCCAAGAAGATGTAACAATACTTGACTTGTATGCACCAAACAACAGAATGTCAAAATTTGTAAGGTAAAAGCTGAGAAAACTGCAAGGAAAAATAGGAAAATCTATTATTATGACTGAAGAATTGAACACTCCTCTTTTAGAAATTGATAGATCCAGAAGGCAGAAAATCGGTAAGGATATGACCAAACTGAACAGTATCATCAATCAACAAAATCTAACTAAAATTTATAGAATATTTCATCTAACAACTGCAGAATACACATTTTTCTCAAGCTCACGTGGACATACACTGATTGACTGTGTTGTGGACAATAAAGCACATCTTAAACTTTTTAAAAAAATAGAAATAATTCAAGTTATGTTCTCAGACCATACCGGAATTAAGCGAAAAATCAATTATAAAAAGATAGCTGTAGGTTAAACAACTCTATACTTGATATTAGCCAAGTGGCAGAGAAACAATAACAAACACTTTTAAGTAATACATGGGTCAAAGAAGAAGTTTCAAAGGATATTAAAATATT
The DNA here is from genome assembly GCF_000001405.40 of Homo sapiens. NCBI lineage: Eukaryota > Metazoa > Chordata > Mammalia > Primates > Hominidae > Homo > Homo sapiens. The sequence continues at coordinate 53,796,923 of NC_000015.10, forward strand.
TTAAACTAAACGAAAATAAAAATACATCTTATCAAAATTTGTGGGACGCAGCAAAAACAGTGCCTTGAGAAAAATTTATAGCACTGAATGCATATTATTAGAGAATAAGATAGATCTAAAATCAATTTAAACTTCCAACTTAAAAGATTAGTGAAAGAAGTACAATGTAAACCTAAAGCAAGCAGAAGAAAATAAATAATAAACATTAGAGTGAAAATCAAATAAATTGAAAACAGAAACTAGATAGAGAAAATCAACAAAACCAAAAGCTGGTTCTTTGAAAATATTAATAAAGCTAATAAACCCTTAGCCAGGCTAACCATGAAGAAATAGAAGACAAAATTTACTAATATCAGAAACAAAAAAGGGGTTCGCACGTTGATATTATGGGCATTAAATAAATAATAAATGAGAGAAAAAAACAAACAGGTGGAGCAACATGGCAGAATAGAAAGCTCCACTGATCATCCTCCCCATAAAGACACCAACAACTATCTACATAGAAAAAACAAACAAACAAACAAACAAACAAAAAACACCTTCACAAGAACCAAAAATCAGGTGAGCACTCATAGACCAAACTCAACTGACACCGGCCCACAGGAGTATTTAAAGCAGCCCTAGCCAGTGGGGAATCAAAGATCCAAGCAGTCTGAACTTGAGTGCCCACAAACCTCCCCACCAAGGCTTAAAGGGCTCTTGGTCTATAAGTAAACTTAAAGGCACTCTATGCCATAGGACTACAGCTCATAGGTGAGTCCTAGGGCTGAAGTAAGCCCAGAGAGAGTGGACTGGGGGTGAAAGGGAATGACATACTGAGACACCAACTGGGGCAGCCAAGAGAGTGCTGGCATCACCCCTCCCCTAACTCCAGGCTGCACAACTCGTGACTCCAAAAACAACACCCCTTCATTCTACTTGAGGAGAAGAAAGAGAGGGGAGGACATTGTCTTGCATCTTGGATACAGACAAAATTAAAAATTAATACCAAGAGGAATTTTAGAAACCATAAAAATGCATGGAAATTAAACAATATGCACCTGAATGGCCACTGGGTCAATGAAAATATTAAGAAGGAAATTAAAACATTTCTTGAAGCAAATAATAATGGAAACACAATACACCAAAACCTATGGGATATAGCAAAAGCAGAACTAAGAAGGAAATTTAAAGCTATTAAGTGCCCACATCAAAAAAGAGAAAAAATTTCAAATAATCCAATGATACACCTTAAAGAACTAGAGGAACAAGAGCAAACCAAATCCAACATCTGTAAACAAAAAGAAATAATAAAGATTGGAGCAGAAATAAATAAGATTGAAATAAAAAACACAGAAAATCAATGAAACAAAAAGGTAGTTTTTTGAAAAGTTAAACAAAATTGACAAACCTTTAGCCAGACTAGCTAAAAAAAAAAGAGAGATGATCCAAATAAATAAAAGCAGAAATAAAAAAGGAGACATTACAACTGATAGTGCCAAAATTCAAAGGATCGTTAGTGGCTACTATGAGCAACTCTATGTCAATAAATTGGAAAACCTAGAAGAAATGGACAAATTCCTAGATACATACAACCTACCAAGATTGAACCAGGAAGAAACCCAAATGCTGAACATATCAAAAACAAGTAATGAGATCAAAGCTGTAATAAAAAATCTTCCAGTAAAGAAAAGCCCAGGACCTGATGGCATCACTGATGAATTCTACCAAACATTTAAAGAAGAACTAATACGAATCCTACTCAAACTATTCTGAAAAATAAAGGAGGAGGGGATACTTTCAAACTCATTCTACATGGCCAGTATTATCCTGATACCAAAACCAGACAAAGATACCTCAAAAAAATGAAACTACAGGCCAAAATCTCTGATGAATATTGATGCAAAAATCCTCAACAAAATACTAGCAAACCGAATTCAACAATATATTAGAAAGATCATTCCTCATGACCAAGTGGAATTTATCCCTGGGATGTTTCAACATATGCAAATCAATCAATGTGATACACATATCAACAGAATGAAGGATAAAAAAACTTATCTTTGTTTTGTAACTTTGTAACTTTCAAGCAATTGGTAAATTTCATATAAATTATTAGAATCATGAGTATAGCATTATTCTTAACATTCATTTATTAAGATTTTTTAATCCACCTCCTCAAATGTTTATCCATTGAGTTGCAAACAATCCAATTATACTCTTTAAGTTATTTAAAAATGTACAGTTTTCAAATGTACATCATTTCAATTGATGCTGAGAACGCATTTGTTAAATTCAACATCTCTTCATGATAAAAACCTTCAAAAAACTAGAGATAGAAGGAACATATCTCAATATAATAAAAACTATATATGACAGATCCACAGCTAGAATCATACAGAACTGGGAAAAACTGAAAGCCTTTCCTCTAAGATCTGGAACATGACAAGGATGCCCACTATCACCACTGTTATTCAACACAGTACTGGAAGTCCTAGCTAGAGAAATCAGACAAGAGAAAGATATAAAGGGCATCCAAATTGGAAAGGAGGAAGTCAAATTATCCTTGTTTGCAGATGATGTGATCTTATTTTTGAAAAAAACTAAAGGTTCCCCAAGAAAACTATTAGAACTGATAAACAAATTCAGTAAAGTTACAGGATACAGATACAAAATAAACACACAAAATTTGTGGGATCTAAAAATCAAAACAATGTGAACTCATGGACATAGAGAGTAGAAGGATGGTTACCAGAGGTTGGGAAGGGTAGTGGGGGGCATATGGGGGAGTAAGGCATGGTTAATGGGTGCAAAAAATATAAAGAATGAATAAGATCTACTATTTGATAGCACAACAGGGTGACTATAGTCAATAATAACTGTACATTTTTAAATAACTTAAAGAGTATAATTGGATTGTTTGCAACTCAATGGATAAACATTTGAGGAGGTGGATTAAAAAATCATAATAAATGAATGTTAAGAACAATGCTATGCTCATGATTCTAATAACTTATATGAAATTTACTAATTGTTTGAAAGTTACAAAACTTTCAATGCTACCCAAACTCACACAAGGAGAAATAGGTAATCAGAATAGGCTTATATTTATTAAGAAATTAAATCAAGAAGCAATAACTTTCAGATGGGTTCAGATGGTTTTATTGGTGAATTCTACCAATTATTAAGGAAGAAATTGTTCATGATGTATACCAATGATACTCCACAATCTCAGAAACACAAAGCGTAGGGATCATTTCCTAATTCTTAAGAGGCCTGCATTATCCTAATACCAAGACATTACAACAAGGAAACTTATAGACTAATATCTCTCAAAAATATAGATATAAAAATCCTGAACAAAGTAGTAGCAAATTGATTGTAATAATATACAAAAAGGATTGGATATCACAAACTAGCAGGATATCTCCCAAATATGCAAGGCTGATACAACATTTGATTATCAATTAACACTATCAATCACATCAACAGGCTAAGGAAGAAAAGTGATATGATCATTCAAATAATGCAGAAGAAGCATTTGGCAAAATACAATACCGATTCATGATAAAAACTCTATTCAAACTAGAATTGGGCGAGCTTTCTCAACCTTATAAAGAACATCTAAAACAACCTACAGCCAACGTGATACTTACTAGTGAAAAACTAAATAATTTTCTCCTAAAATTAGGAGCAACAAGGTGACTATGGCTTTTCTCACCACTTCTATTCAGCCTTGTGCTAGAACTCATAGATAGTGTAATAAGAAAATAAAATGAAATAAAAGTGATACACATTAGGAAAAAAAGGAATAAAACCATTTTGATTCACAGATGACATGATTCTGTATCTAAACAATTGCAATTAGTTGACCAATAAAACACACCACAAACCCCCAAAACCACCCAAAAACCAACCCCTGAAACTAATAGGGGATGATAGCAAGGGATACAAGGCTAATACACAAAAGCATATTATGAAAAGGTGGTCAACATCACTAATCATCAGGGAAATGCAAATAAAATCTGCAACGAGAGATATAACCACACCAGTTAGAATGGCTATCATCAAGAAGACAAGAGACAAATGTTGGCAAGGATGTGGAGAAAAGGGAATCCTTGTACACTGTTGGTGGGAATGTAAATTGGTACATCCATTATGGAAAACAGTATGGAGGTTCCTCAAAAAATAAATTAAAACCAGAACTACCATATGACCCAGCAATCCCACTCATGGGCATGTATCCAAAGGAAATGAAATTAGTATCTCTAAGAGAATCTGCTCTCTCATGTTCATTGCAGCATTATTCACAGTAGCCAAGACATGGGAACAACCTAAACGTCAGTTGATAGATGAATAGGGAAAGAAATTGTGTTATATACAGAAAATGGAATATCATTCAGCCTTAAAAAAGAAGGAAATACCACAATTTGTGACAACATAGATGAATCCTGAGAGAATTATGCAAAGCAAAACAAGTCAGACAAACACAAATACTGTATTACCTTACTTACATGTAGAATTTTAAAAAGTTGAACCCATAGAAACAGATAATAGAATGGTGATTGCCAGGAGCTGGGGCTAGAGGAAATGGGGAAATGTTGGTGAAAGGGCACAAATTTTCAGTTATAAGATGAATACATTCTGGGGATCTAATGTACAGCATGGTGACTATAGTTAATGATACTGTATTGTACACTTTAAATTGTTAATAGAGATCTTAAATTGTTCATACCACACACGTACACACAAAAGGTAACTAGGTGAAGTGATTGATGTGTTAACTAACCTAATAGTGATAATCGTTTCACAATGTACACATATCAAATTATCACATTATACACCTTAAATTTATACAATTTCATTTGTCAATTATGCCTCAATGAAGCTGGAAAACTTTTTTAAAAACACAAAAGTATGTGGATAAACAAATAGTGGTATAGCCATACAATAGTGTGTGTGTGTTTATATATATATATGAAAGGATGAAGAAGAGGCAACGGGATCAGGGAGGCAGGGATGGAAGTGAGGCAGCCACAAGTCAAGCGAGGATTGCTGGCATTGGCCAGAAACTAGAAGAGGCAAGGAATAACTTCTCACCTCCAGAGAGAACACAAGTTGGCCAACATTTGGTTTTTGTCTCAGTAAAACTGATTTTGGACATATATATATATATATATATATATGTTGTTGTTTTTTTTTTTACTCTTGTTGCCCAGGCTAGAGTGCAATGGCGCAATCTCAGCTCACTGCAACCTCTATCTCCCGGGTTCAAGCGATTCTCCTGCCTCAGCCTCCCGAGTAGCTGAGATTACAGGTATGTGCCACTAGACCTGGCTAATTTTGAATTTTTAGTTAGGACACACATCTATTTTTTTGCTCTGTTTCTCCATGTTGGTCTGGCTGGTCTCGAACTCCTGACCTCAGATGATACACCTACTTCAGCCTCCTAAAGGGATGGGATTACAGGCGTGAGCCACTGCGCCCGGCCTTACAATAGGATATTATTCAATTATAAGAGGAAATGAGCGATTATGCCATGAAAAGATATGGAAGAAACTTAAATGCACATTTTTAAGTGCAGAAAGCCAAATTGAAAATGTTTGCAAATATATATGACATTCTGGAATAGCTAAAACTACAGAGATAAGAAAAATATCAGTGATTGCTAAGGATTTTGGTGTGTGTGGGGGTTGTTGTTGGGGGGATGAATAGGTGAAGTATGTGGGATTTTTAGGGTGGTAATACAATCCTGTATGATACTGTGACGGTGGATACTTGACATTATGCATTTGTCAAAACTCGTAGAACTTGACAATAAAAGGAGTAAATGTTAATGTATGCAAATTAAAAAATCTATCAGGGTGTTTTGGAGTCACAGGAAAAAATGCATATTGTGAGAAGATAATCTAGCTGTATCACAAATGTATGAAACAAGCACACTGAGGGATTTGGGGAAAATTGCTGACCTAAGTAACTTTGGAAATAAGTGGAGTCTGTGAGACTAAAGGCAAAAGGAACTGTACATAAGCACTATGTGCAGTTGATACGTTTGTTTCCCCTAAGGATATGGAGTAATGATTCTCATACTGCCATACATTATACTAGAACTGAACAATGAATGGTGGATGGTGGGAGCCAGGTTTCTCAGCATTGTTTTGGGAATATACAGATAAGCAAGGGGAGAAGGCTAGAATGATCCATATGGTAATGGATTACATTAGTAAGAACTCATGTTTAATTTAAAAGAGATACAGGTGATTACATATAGAAATATTTATGAATATGTATATATACATGGGTTAGGACACACATCTATTTTTTTTCTCTGTCAGTTTCTCTAAACTGACCCTAAAAGAAGCAACACTCTAGTAGCAACTAGCATATATAGTACACAGATCATAGTTTCTAATACCATTCTCCAGTGAAAGGAAGTAGGGCTCCTTGGAGCAATGGCTAATTCTAGGACTATAGCAGGAAATACACAAGATGAGCCTGGAGCATCTTGTAGTGTTAGAATGTAAGGAAATGCTCAGAAAACAAACAAAGAGAAGAGAAAAGAAACCCACAACCTACCTTGATATGGGTATGTCAAAGTGGCACAAAAGCTGTATTAAGATAAATAATGCCACTCAAAAGGTATCAATCAGTTTCTATTCCCTGTAACCTGGTAATGCTACCTTATGAGGAAAAATGGTTTTTGCAGAGTGAATAAGTAAGGAATATTATTTCAGATAATCTGGCTGGACCCTAAATACAATCACATGTATCTTTTTTTTGTTTTTTTTTTCTCTTTTGAGACAGAGTTTCGCTCTGTTGCCCAGGCTGGACTGCAGTGTTGTAATCTCAACTCACTGCAGTCTCCACCTCCTGGTTCAAGTGGTACTCCTGCCTCAGCCTGCCGAGTAGCTGGGACTACAGGCACACGCCACCACTCCGGGCTAATTTTTGTATTTTTTGTAGAGATGGGGTTTCACCATGTTGTTCAGGCTGGTTTCGAACTCCTGACCTCAAGTGATCCACCCACCTCGGCCACCCAAAGTGCTGGAATTGTAGGTGTGAGCCCCCGCGCCCAGCTGACATGTATCTTTATAAGGAGGCAGAGAGAGATCTGACACAGACACAGGAATGAAGAAGAGGCAACGTGATCAGGAAGGCAGGGATGGAAGTGAGGCAGCCACAAGTCAAACGAGGATTGCTGGCATTCGCCAGAAACTAGAAGAGGCAAGGAATAACTTCTTACCTCCAGAGAGAGCACAGATTGGCCAACACTTGTTTTTTGTCTCAGTAAAAGTGATTTTGGACTTCTTGCCATTAGAATTTTGAGAAAATACATTTCTGTTGTTTTAAGCCATGGAGTTTGTGGTAATTTGTTACAGCAGCCCTGGGTGATTAATACAGAAGCCAACTGAAAGAGCTCCCAATGTCCAAAGCTGAAAGAATTTGAGTAACAAAATAAAACAAGTAGTACTCAGTGATAACTCAAAGTAAAAAATAAATATCCATGAATCCATACTGATATAAATAAATGATTGAATAATAAATAAATAGGAAGAAGAGATAAATCTCCCATGTAGAATAATTCCAAATAAATTATGCAGATACTCCCACATCCAACAAGGTGAAGCATAACTCTACTCTTTAAGCGTGGGATGTGCATAGTGACTTCCTTCCAAAAAGTACAGAATGAAATGGGAGAAAAAGGAGTATCTTTTCAAGCACTATTTCAGTCTGGTGATCAAGTTCACCATTATTAGTCATAAATCATGTTAATAGTCTATACCCTTGATATGTTATAATAAAAATGGCACTTTACCTCTGTTATCTTTCTCTCTAAAACTCATAACCCCAGTTGAATAATGAGAAACAAAATCAGAAAAATTCTTTTTCTTTTTTGCTTGTAGTAGTAGCTTTATTCATAATTGCCAAAACTGGGAAGCAAACAGGTTGTCCATCAGTAGATGAATGGATGAATAAATGAGAGTTAGTATATTCAGACAACAGAATATTTTTCAGAGCTAAAAAGAAATGCATTTATCAAGTGATGAAAAGACACTGAGGAAATTTAAATGCATATTACTAAGTAGAGGAAGCCAGTCTGAAACGGCTACATACTATGTAATTCCAACAATAGGATATTTGATCTTAAAGTCTCTGAATACTCTTAAATCATGCCAAATAATAACTTTATTATTCTATGTAAAGTTAATACTATGCCGTACATTTACTACACTTCAGATTCATAGAGTTGAAAAAGCTTTATAAATGTAAATACTAAGGCAGGAGTTAGGCACAAGTGTATACAAATGTAACCTATTTTTTTTCTTAGAGACCCTGGTTGATACTGGGTCTGATGAACACTCACTTTAGAGAGAAATATAGTTTATTAAATATTATGAAGCTAAGAGACAAGCTGATAAAGTGATTTAAAGTTAGAGTAGATGAGACTTGGGGATAAGAAAAGATACGCAAGAATCTCTGGCTGAATATCTATTTAAAACCAGAGAGTTCACTATCATGGGAGGTCTTAGAGGTTATCCAAGTCACCAGCTGTGTTCTAAGGGTGACAAGGAAGCATGCCTGGAAAAATTAAATGACCCACACATCACATAAAAGAATATAAGTAGATGTTTAACATCATGTTCAGTATACTTCTCAAACATCTGAGGTATGAAAGAACCCTGACCTTTGAAAGTATACAATCTTGACTTTTAACACCCTGATTTATACACCTACCAGAAATATGAGCTTCAGAGGAAAGTATCTAACTGGAGAGCCTAATTGGAAGTATCAGTTTTGACTGTATTTCCAAAGTGGATATGACATTTTTCTTTTTTTTTTTTTGAACAGAACAGAGCCCTCAGAAATAACGCTGCATATCTACAACTATCTGATCTTTGACAAACCTGAGAAAAACAAGCAATGGGGAAAGGATTCCCTATTTAATAAATGGTGCTGGGAAAACTGGCTAGCCATATGTAGAAAGCTGAAACTGGATCCCTTCCTTACACCTTATACAAAAATTAATTCAAGATGGATTAAAGACTTAAACGTTAGACCTAAAACCATAAAAACCCTAGAAGAAAATCTAGGCATTACCATTCAGGACATAGGCATGGGCAAGGATTTCATGTCTAAAACACCAAAAGCAATGGCAACAAAAGCCAAAATTGACAAATGGGATCTAATTAAACTAAAGAGCTTCTGCACAGCAAAAGAAACTACCATCAGAGTGAACAGGCAACCTACAAAATGGGAGAAAATTTTTGCCACCTACTCATCTGACAAAGGGCTAATATCCAGAATCTACAATGAACTCAAACAAATTTACAAGAAAAAAACAAACAACCCCATCAAAAAGTGGGCAAAGGATATGAACAGACACTTCTCAAAAGAAGACATTTATGCAGCCAACAGACACATGAAAAAATGCTCATCATCACTGGCCATTGGAAAAATGCAAATCAAAACCACAATGAGATACCATCTCACACCAGTTAGAATGGTGATCATTAAAAAGTCAGGAAACAACAGGTGCTGGATAGGATGTGGAGAAACAGGAACACTTTTACACTGTTGGTGGGACTGTAAACTAGTTCAACCATTGTGGAAGTCAGTGTGGCGATTCCTCAGGGATCTAGAACTAGAAATACCATTTGACCCAGCCATCCCATTACTGGGTATATACCCAAAGGACTATAAATCATGCTGCTATAAAGACACATGCACACGTATGTTTATTGCAGCACTATTCACAATAGCAGAGACTTGGAACCAACCCAGATGTCCAACAACGATAGACTGGATTAAGAAAATTTGGCACATATACACCATGGAATACTATGCAGCCATAAAAAACGATGAGCTCATGTCCTTTGTAGGGACATGGATGAAATTGGAAATCATCATTCTCAGTAAACTATCGCAAGGACAAAAAACCAAACACCGCATGTTCTCACTCATATATGGGAATTGAGCAATGAGAACACATGGACACAGGAAGGGGAACATCACACTCTGGGGACTGTTGTGGGGTGGGGGGAGGGGGGATGGATAGCATTAGGAGATATACCTAATGCTAAATGATGAGTTAATGGGTGCAGCACACCAGCATGTCACATGTATACATATATAACTAACCTGCACATTGTGCACATGTACCCTAAAACTTAAAGTATAATAATAATAAAAAAGAAATAATAAAAATAAAAAATAAAAAACAACAACAAAAAAAACAAAAATTCTAATAAAGGGGCATCCTACAATATAGTTGACCAATGCTTCTCAAAATTGTTAAAGTTACAAAAATGCCAGAAAGTCTGAGAAACTGTCACAGCCAAGAGGAGCCATTTTGTTCAGTATTTTGTTTAGTATTTAGTATTTTCATTTATTTATATCCATTATGTTTCTTTCACTTCTCTGCTAATCGTACTATTTGAGTCATTTTGAGATGGGTTTATCTTGACTCTTTTTGTTCTTTAGCATTGGTCATGTGCTTCCATTTCTTTGCATGAATCATACATAATAGACTTGGAGAAGGCTGATTTTTATTCCAGTCAACAATTAACATGGCTGGACTCAAACTCCATCTGTGTCCCCTGAAGTCAACAGTTTCCCTAGGATCTGTAGTTTCCAGCTGCTGCTTTTTAACTAGTTCCCCTGTGAAGTTTAGCTGAGTGGTCAGCCTACATTTCAGGCCAATATTAGCTGCTATTTTGGGACACACCCACTACATGACCCCTTCTCTTCCAAGCTTCCTGGCTGCTCCCCAAACCCTAAACTCTGGCCTTTTATGCTTCAGAGCAGTAAGGCTGCGATGTTCTGCTGCTCTGAGCTGCTGTGCAGACTGGAGATTGTCCTCAGGCAGGAAGCTGTACATTCTCCAATCTCACCAGCTGCAATTTTTGTTTTGTGAGGGCTCCTTTCAGCAAATGGAAGGGCTGGGATCCAATCCAGGAAGTTTTGTCTCAAAGTTTGCACTCTTAATCTCTAACAATGCTTCCTCTCAAATTTATTTTCCCTGAAGATGAAATACTGGGGATAATTGCTAAACCCACTTATATTTTAGTCATAGCTAATTCTTGTGTTCTATTAAAAAAACAACAACAGAGAATTAACTCGGAGATTCTGATTGCCCCTCAAATCATGCCGTATAGTCTACAGTCATGCTCTTTATGAGAGAACACAAAATAGAAACCTACATCAAGATATCTTGATTGTAGGGCTGGCTCTACCATTAAGTTCATATGTACCTTTGGTAAACTGTCTCTTATCTCTCAGCTCCAGTTTACTCACCTGTGAAATGGAGTGATAGTACATTTTACTCTAACAGTAAAGTTACAGAACCATCAGAAGTCATCCACCTGTGTATTTCCTTTTAGTCTCCACTAGAGGGAGAAGCAATACCAAACAGATTTGCTAAAAATAAAAAACAAAAAACCTGACATAGAATCTCCAGTGTCAGTTTATTTAAACATTTTTTTCTGATTATTGAACCCTCTTCATTATAGAAAATGTAGAACATATGAAGAAGCATAAATAACCAGAAAACATCGCCAAAAAAAAAAATCACTGTTGTGTACATTTTTCATCTCTTTTGGCTGCCTGACATCAGAACCTCTTTCGCTGTAGAGGTGAAAATCCCTGCTTTCCCTACCTCCTCTTGCAGCTGGGATGTGGACACATGACTGAGGTTCTGCCCCAGAAGTGGGTCTGAAAACAAGAGAGCATAAGCAGGAAAGAATCCACGCTGGTAAGAGGTGCAGCGCCAGGGAGTAGCAGTGACCTTGGCTCCTGAGGCGGCAACGTCAGTGATGCAGGGGGCACTGATGAAGCCCTGCCCTGCCCCTGGCCCAGTTCATTTGGGAACTGGGGTTTATTGAGTTTCATGGATCTTTCACCAAATTGAGGAAATTTTCAAACAATGGATGGCACAGTGGGACCTCACTAAACTGCTTTTGGGACGATTTTGAACATTGCTCTTGGATTCTTGAACTGGCTTCCTTTTAGCCCTTTGTGCCACGCCCAACCACTTCCTGCCTCGAGAGTCCGTGAACTATTTAAAATCTTCTTTTTAAATCTCCTTTTTACTGTTTAAAACAACTAGTTTTTTTTTCTTCTTCTAGTACTTGCAACGATAAATCTTACCCGAAGCCAACTTTCCTGGAGACAATCACTGTTGGTATTTTGGTAAATTTTAAGAGAGTCTTTAAATAATTTTAAAGAATTTGTTAAAGAGAGGGATGTATGGGCTCCAATACAAGTTCCCCAGATGTATTTTTTAAAGTGTTCCAGGTTCATCGAGATGTATTATGGTTGGAGGACCTCTAGTCTTCTGGATACCTCCACTGGAATGTGGATATTCCATGAAGCTGAGTTCACTTCATAACCTGAAAGTTTGCTTCACTTCCTGTATTCCCTCCTCCCACCCACCTTTTTAATGGAGCCTTCTAGTTACCTAAGTTAGATATCTCGGAGACCTCTTTGCCTACTGTCTTTCCCTCACATTCTATACTTAATCGTTTACATTTATATTTTATCGATGTCTGCATTTTACTGCTGCCTGTTACCTGAGGTGTAATACAGATTTCAGCTGGTTTAGAACTAGATTCTAATGTGGCTAATACGTGGAGCTAGTTTTTTCTTCTCATCTTATCTCCATGACCTCTAATTGTTCTGACAGACTGATTTTCAGGAAAATTGAGGACACTGATGGTCGTAAAGCATGAACTCTCTTCACATTTGGAGTTCAGACAGGGCTGCCAAATTGAGAGTTAGGTTACAGGCAGGTAAGAAAGTATCAGGTTGGTGCAAAAGTAATTGCGGTTTTACCAGTACTTTTAATGGCAAAACCGCAATTACTTTTGTACCAACCTAACACACACACAGAGAATTCATTCTAAGCCGGGAAGTTACCTAGCATGGACCTTCAGCCTCACCCAAAGGGACTAAGGGTCAGAGTGGTGCAAGGTACCATGTAGTAATTGGTAGGTAAACCCATTCCAGCTCAGCTATCCTGGTGATATGTGTGTTCCCTGGGAAAAAACAAAAATGAATTGTTTGTACCCTAAAGACCTCTGTCACTAAACTCTATAGCACCCCATTGCTCAATCTACCCTGCTATGGATGCCCCTCAAATACAACAGGGGTAGGGGCCAGGGGGATGAAACTCCTTTCCACTTAATAAGAGATTGCTGGGCACGTGCTGTACCCTGAGGACCAAGAGCAGTGGTGGCCAGAGAAAATCAGCAAATTTCTAATTTCATCGTGGAAGATGCTAATGGCAAGCAGCAACCTGAAATTTTTGTTGTTGTTCTGTAAACATATATAAGAAATCGGTTGCAAACTCCCAGACATTTTTTGGAGTGTCTGTGCAGAGGAAGTGCTGCTTCTCTAATGCCCAACCTTGTTTTTACTAACCCTGCTTTTTGACTCTCCCTTAGCTAAGAGAGCCAGACAGACTCCATCTTGGCTCTTTCACTGGCAGCCCCTTCCTCAAGGACTTAACTTGTGCAAGCTGACTCCCAGCACATCCAAGAATGCAATTAACTGATAAGATACTGTGGCCAGCTATATCCGCAGTTCGTCCAGGAATTCGTCCGATTGATAACACCCAAAGCTCCGCGTCTATCACCTTGTAATAGTCTTAAAGCCCCTGCACCTGGAACTGTTTACTTTCCTGTAACCATTTATCCTTTTAACTTTTTTGCCTACTTTACTTCTGCAAAATTGTTTTAACTAGACCCCCCCTCCCCTTTCTAAACCAAAGTATAAAAGAAAATCTAGGTCCTTCTTCAAAGCCGAGAGAACTTTGAGCATTAGCCGTCTCTTGGCCACCAGCTAAATAAACGGACTCTTAATTCATCTCAAAGTGTGGCATTTTCTCTAACTCGCTCAGGTACAACATTTGGAGGCCCCAGTGAGACTATATTCAGGTACAACACTTCTGCAGGTGGCACTTGGAGCTAGTAAGATTAGAAGATAAGGGTACATGTAACTCAATCTGCCCTCGCAGGTTTGTGAGGTTAGAGAGCCCCAGCTTCCATAGACGCCTCAAATGTGTCTCCATCCCTCTCCTCTCCATGCTGCTGCTTATGTTAGCTCTTCATTATTTCTCACCTGGAATACTGTGCCAGCCTCTTAACCTGGATCCTGCCTTCTGTCTTTCTCCAACTTTTAATCCATGCTCCACGAGTGCCAGATTAATTTTCTGTGGCACAAGTTAGATTATGTCATTCTTCTGCTTAAAATCACAATGGCTTTCCATTTTCTTTAAAAAAGCATCTGATCTCCTATTGATTTGCAAGATTTTTTTATGATTTGGCTTCAGTTATGCTGCATAGACCTTTCCTGAATTCAGCTTTCCCATCTGGCACCTTACACTTTCGTCATACTTTACTGTTGGTGGTTTCATGAGCTTAGCATGTATTTTATATTTGTGCATTTGAATGTCTTCCTTATCTTTAGATGACTAAAAGAGTTAACTAAAATGTTTGACACAATTCGTTTTATAGGAGAGTCACAATTAAATCCTCTAAAAATTGGTCTTTAGCAAAAAAAGCACAAATCTTTCTTTTTATTCAGAGCCAAGCATCATCTTGTATATGTGCATTTACAGCATTAGCAGTATCTCTGGATCCAACTATTTAATTGTGAGGATCCACTTTGAATAGTTTGTGTTTGGGGTTAAGAGTCATGTTTTCTGTCCACTTGAGGCACAACTTCCTTTTTAAATTTTTGACTCTTTGAGAACTTTTAAAGTGGGAATCAGAAAGAAATTTATACTGTCTTGATAGATACCTTAAGACTGTCTGTCCACCAGATGTCACCCTGACTTCTTAAGAGCCATAGAAAACAAAAGAGCTAGACTTCCTTGTTTGTTATTTTTGACAGTGCATATATAAACTGATGATAGATTAAGTCTTAAATAGGGGCCGGGACAGGTGGGATTGGAAAAAAAAAAACCAAGGTTTATTTCCTTATATATGTGAGACGGAGTTTCTCTTTTGTTGCCCAGGCTGGAGTGCAATGATCTCGGCTCACTGCAACCTCTGCCTCCTGGGTTCAAGCGATTCTTCTGCCTCAGCCTCTGGAGTAGCTGGGATTACAGGTGAGTGCCACCATGCCCGGCTGATTTTTTGTGTTTTTAGTAGAGACACAGTTTCACCATGTTGGCCAGGCTGGTCTCGAAGTCCTGCCCTCAGGTGATACAGCCACCTCGGCCTCCTAAAGTGCTGGGATTACAGGCGTGAGCTACCACACCCGGCCTTTATTTTTTTGATTTTATTAATTCAACTTTTATTTTAGATGCAGTGGGTGCATGTGCAGATTTGTTGCATGGGAATATTGCTTGGTGCTGAGGTATGGAGTAGGAATCTCAAAAATTACCGAGATAGTGAGCATAGTACCTGACAGGTAGATTTCTAACCCACCCCTCCACCCTGTAGTATTCCATGGTGTCTATTGTTCCCATGTTTATGTCCATGTGTCCTCAATAAAACCCAAGTCTTTATGTTTCTCCAAATCCCTGCTTACCTGAGAGAGGCAGCACCTTTCTAGATAACACTGTCAATTCAACTTTCCTTTCACTGCTTAGTTATAGTTTTAAAAGTACTCTCAGTTAAATTCACAATTCAATTTACAAAACTTTTGCAAATAACCTAAAGTACATGGCCATTCTGCAGATCACATAAGGCTTCTCTTAATTTCAGTGAAACATCTATTTAGACATCATTCACGGTGATAGTCTTTGATGGAGGACCATTGACACAACTTCCAATCAAGTCAGACTGCTGGGTGGTCTCACAAACAAGCAACATGTGTTTTGCTTTTACTAGTCTCTATTATTACAAATAACATTTTTCACTGTCAACAATTAGCATCCTTTTATTCTGCTCTAATTTCCCCTTCTTTTAAGGATTCATCTATTGTGAGCTTTAATTGGTGTATGGGCGTGTGTGAGTGCTCATACACTCTATAATAACAAACCAGAACTGCCCTTTCTCATCAGAGATTTTCTACTATCTTCCAAACCGTGTACTTTGATATTTTAATTGTTTACAGCCGGGCACAGTGGCGCGCGCCTGTAATCCCAGCTACTCGGAAGGCTGAGGTGGAAGAATTACCTGAGCCCAGGAGGTGGAGACTACAGTGAGCAGAGATTGTACCACTGGCACTCCAGCCTGGGCAACAGAGTACCACTGCACTCCAGCCTGTAAAACAGAGACCCTGTTTCAAAATAATTAAGTGTGGATAAAGAACCAAAACTTATGTAGCATCTACCGTATGTCAGGCACTTTATATATATGATCCAAATATGAGTTAAAGTCTTCTTTGTTTTCTGAGAGATTTGCCCCTGATTGATAGAAAATCCCAACCTGGTTGGGTGCCATGGCTCACGCCTTGTAATCCCAACACTTTGGGAGGTCAAGGCAGGAGGATTGCTTGAACTCAGGGGTTCAAGACCAGCCTGGACAACATAGTGAGACTTTGTCTCTATAAAAGAAAAAAGAAAAAAAGAAAATCCCATCCCATGCAGAGTGAGAAAACATCTGCCTGAGAATTCTTTTTCTTTTTTTCTTTCTTTTTTTTTAAGACAGAGCTTTGATCTTTCGCCCAGGCTGGAGTGCAGTGGCACAATCTCAGCTCATTCCAACCTCCACCTCCCAGGTTCAAGTGATTCTCCCGCCTCAGCCTTGGAAGTAGCTGGGAGTACAGGTGTGTGCCACCATGCCCTGGCTAATTTTTGTATTTTAATAGAGATAGGGTTTCACTACGATGGCCAGGCTGGTCTCGAATTCCTGGGATCAAGTGATCCACCCTCCTCGGCATCCCAGAGTGCTAGGATTACAGGCGTGAGCCACTGTACCCAGCCTGTCTGAGAATTCTTTTTTGTTTTCTTTGAGACGGGGTCTTGCTCTGTCACCCAGGCTGGAGTGCAGTGGTGCAATCATAGCTCCCTGCAGTCTTGAACTCCTGGGCTCAAGTATCCTCTTCCCTCAGCCTCCCAAATAGATGGGACTACAGTAAAGTGACATCATTCCTGGGCTAATTTTATTTTTGGTGGAGATAGGGTTTCACTATGTTGCCCAGGCTGGTCTTGAGCTCCTGGTCTTGAGTGATCGTCCTGCCTCAGCCTCCCAAAGTGCTGGAATTACAGGCATGAGCCACTGTGCCTGGCCCATCTGAGAATTCTTGTTGGCAGAGAGAGTGGTGGATGGCTCAGTTTTCTTGCTTGCTTGCTTGCTTGCTTGCTTGTCTTTCTTCCTGTCTTTCTTTCTTTTTCTATTAAAAAACAAACAGATTAATTGACCTTTAACTTTTAAACCAAAAAAATAAAAACAACAACAACAAAAAAACTGTACATATTTAACATACGCATAATTTGATGAGCCTGGACATAAGCATACACCAGTGAAGTCATCACTACAATCAAGTAATAGATATAACTACCATCTCTAAAAGTTTCCTTGTTTCTCTTTGTTTTGTTTTGTTGTTTGTTGTTGTTGTTGTAAGGACACCTAACATGAGATGCACTTCCTTAACAAATTTTTAAGTGCGCTATACAGTATTGGTAACTATATGTTCTGTGTTGTACAGCAGATCTCTAGAACTTATTCATCAAGCATGACTGAAACTTTATTCCCATTGAAAGGCAACTCTCAATTTCCCACTCCCGCCAGCCTCTGGTACCCTTCATTCTACCGTCTGTTTTTTTCTGTGGTTATGACTATTTTAGATAACTCACATAAGTGGAATCACACTTTATTTGTCCCTCAGTGGCTGTCTTATTTCACTTAGAATAATGTTCTCTAGATTCATCCATGTTTTGTCACAAATGGCAGGATTTCCTTCTTTTCAAAAGCTAATATTCCATTGTATTATACTATGCTTTCTTTCTCCAAGCTTGGCTTTCTACAATAGCTTTGCTATTGTAACTAACACTGCAATAAATGTAGGACTGCAGATATCTTATCAAGATCTTTATTTTAATATTTTACATATATACGCACAAGTGGGATTGCTAGGTCCTATGGTAATTCTGTTTTTAACTTTTGGAAGAACCTTCATATTCTTTTTGATTGCACTATTTTACAAGGATTCCCTTTTCTCCACATCCTTACCAATGGTTATTATCTTTTTTTTTTATAATGGTCATACTAACAGGTGTGAGATGATATCTTGTGTGGTTTTTGTTTTCATTTCCCTGATTATTGGTGATGTTGAGCACCTTTTCATGTATTTACTGGCCATACACTGAGGGAAAGGAGAGTCTTTTCAATAAATGGTGCTGGGAAAACAAGTTATCTACGTGCAAAATTATAAAATTGGACACCTATTTTTATACCATACACAAAAATAAAGACAAAATGAATTAAAGGCTTAAATGTAAAAACTGAAATTATAAAACTACCGGAAGAACAAATAGGGTAAAGTTTCTTGACATTGGTGTTGGCAATGATTTCTTGGATATGATACCAAAAGCAGAGACAAACAAAACCAAAATATACAAATGGGATTGCTGTAAACTAAAAAGTTGAATGAGAGAAAATATTTACAAACCATATATTTAATAAGGAGCTAAGGGCCAAAAACAAAAACAAACAAACAAAAAAACTCCTACAACTTAGTAACGTCAACAACAACAACAACAACAACAACAAGAACCCAACGAAGTTTAAAAATGGGGAAAGGGCTCTAATAGAAATTTCTGTAAATAAGTAACATTTCTTTTTCTTACTCTGGCTCCATTTTTTTGGCTTCCTGCTGAAGCCCTGATCTCACTTGTGTCTCCCTTTCTAAGATTGTTCTTCTCCATGCTCTCCAAAGATCCACACGTGGGACAGAACATGTTTTCCTCTATTTCCCTCCAACCACTAGTCAAAAAGAAATTCAGAAAGTTTAGGTAACATGCTCAAGAGAGCATGGTGATGGAGCAGGGACATACTTCAAGGTTTTCTGCCTGAAAACCAGAGCTATTCCTATTCATCTTTCTTTCTGATGTATTGGCCAATGACATATGGTGGGCAGGGAACTCATGAAATGAAGTGAATTTGACTTATCATGAGATAGTAAAACATTCGAAGTGGTGAAAATTTAAATATTTTTCAAAGAGAAAACTTTTAATATTTAGAGCAATGATTATTTTACTAATATTCATTAATTGGGGATAATGTTCTTATTATCATTATGTAAGAGTTATCTATAAATAAAATTATCTAACGTTTCAATATGTGGCAAAGTATTTAGTTTCTTTTTTTTTTTTTTTTGAGACAGAGTCTTGCTCTGTTGCCCAGGCTGGACTGCAGTGATGCGATCTTGGCTCATTGCCACCTCTGCCTCCCAGGTTGAAGCTATTTTCCTGCCTCAGCCTCCTGAGTAGCTGGGGTTACAGTCAAGAGCCATGGCACCTGGTCTTCATCAATAATTTTTAGTGTATAGAGTCATGAAACCAAAAGATTTGAGAACAGCTTTTGTAGCCTATACTGAATTTTTAGGATTTTCAAGACAGCAAAAGGAAATACATAATGTTTTTCTGCTTCATACCAGAGATTTTACATATTTAATCATGTTTTATAAATTTTATCTTTTCTTAATTATCTTAATAGAATTGTAAATTTTACACCCATTCCATAATTGAAGAGCTTGAGATCTGGAAATGTTACTTAAAATCCTCATAGGTTAACAAAGGGCAGAAGAGAAATTAAACCTAGGTCTGAATGACTACAAAGACCATTCTGTCCTGCACTTAAACGTGTAGAACTACAGCTGTGATGTGAAATGAGGTGGGCTACAGACATGGCTTTTCAGGTACAGAGAATAAAACAATCTAGGAAGTCCACATCTACCAATTGTGGCTGTAGCTCAGTACACAGTTTTCCAAAACATGGTTTCATTCTTGACAAAATGAAAAAAAAAATCTTGTTTGGAATAGGAAGTCAACTTGATTGGATGCATTTTGGGGCCACGAGATCAAACAGAAGACCTGGATAATCTTTTTGTTATATTAATATTTCACCCAGTGTTTTACCACTGCCTATGGGCAAAGAATTGAATTTGACCTGCCTTGGAATTAGATTTTCTTTTTAAATTTTCCATTAGGAAAATATTGCTGACTCTTGTCCTAGATTTTCAGTCTATTAAAAAATATTCTCATCCATGGCTAAAACACATAGAAATTTTTATATTTTAAGTTCCTCCTTAGAACTTAGTGTTTTGGTCTCCCTTTATATCACAATTGGAAAAACATTAAAAATATGAAATTAAAGCAAAATACCTGGAAGCAACTGTATATAGAATCACAAATCATCTATCCAAGAGCTAAGACATTGCTGCTTATTACTATTTATATATACAAAATTAATTAAAGATGTGATAGTTCTCTTCCAAGCTAAATCCTGAGTACCCTTGGAACAGAGACTGTCTCATTCTCTTTGGTCCTGACCTCAAGTGATCCGCCCACCTCAGCCTCCCAAAGTGCTGGGGTTACAGGCGTGAGCCGCGGCACCCAACAGTCGCATTCCCTTTGGCTAGCCCATTACCTGCATAGCAACTGGAACTCAGGAAGTACTCAACACATTTGTTTAATTGTCAAATGTAATTGACTTTATTTAAAATGCATTTTTTTCCTGATTTAAATGTCTTTATTCTGCTATGTAATTCAACTCATTATATAATATACTCATTTCCATATCATCTAATTACTTTGGAAAAACAATAAGAAAAGTTGTTTGGTTAGGATCAACGCATTGAAAATTCACAAAGTTTTCTTCTATATAATATAGCTTCCCTAGCAGTTTTTAAGATTTTTCCTTTATCATTGGTAGAAAACACTTTTCACAAATAGAACTTTTTGTTTTTAATTGTAATTAAGGCAGATGGCTAACTTAGTAAATGGGTATTGTTGGGGAAATATAACTAAAAACAAAAACTCCTTATCTAGAAATCATCTCTACAAAGGTAATAGGAAAAGAAAACATTTTTAATATTGAAAACATTGAAACATAATGTAATGGGTATCACAGGCAATCCACTAAGACATTGCTCACCCTTATATACAGCCAAGCAGACAGGACCCATTGTATGCATGTTTTCAAGATGAACAATAACTCAAGTAAGAGGACTTGATAGCGCTGTATGTCACACATAGGTTACCATAATTGTACCTGTTATTTGGGTACAATTAACTGTGCTAGTTAATTTGCTTTATCCAGAGGAAATTCAAACTTCTTATATCTTTAGGACAGGAAATAGTTTTGCAACTTGGAGCAAGGTGCCCATCTAAGTCAGACTTAAGCCTACCCCAAAGACTGGGAGATGTAGGTACTATCCTCCTTGATGTTTACATTTCAAAGAAATGGCTACCAGGGACTTGAGAAAGATATTTCTAGATTACATAGCTGACAAAATGCCAATTTAGTCTTCAAAAGAATTTATATACCTTTCAAAGAGAGGAGAAAGAACTTGCAATAATAAGTTTTCTAAAGTAAATGCTCAAAGTAAACGGAGAGAAAGAGGTATTTTTTCTTATTTTCAAAATGAGTAAGAGTCTGATTTTAAATGTGCATTTGTCTTTACAGTATTTACTGTCTAGTTACTTCATGCAAATATTTATGGTAATTGAGTGGGGAGGTGAAGAGAGAGAGGAAGCACTACTGTCATCTCACTCATATGTTGTTGCTTTTTATGATTTGCTTTGTTCTCATGTTTCTGAATGTTAAATTTGGCATTTCTTGGCCTATTCATGAGCTAAAGTAACTACTGCTGTGTAGGGGAAAAAGGATCCTTTAGGTTTGTTCTTCAAGATTATGGCCTCTGAGAGTTCTGGGAACAACTTACTTGACCTCTTAATTGCTCTCCGTTCCCCTAAATGGTAGAAAATCACACAGTTATAGGTGCATAAATACTAAGTTAATAAATAAAGAGGTTAACTCTCTGTTGATGGAGAAAAGAAAAAAAACTCTGTAAAATATTTGAACAGATTTATTCTGAACCAATACAAGCAACTGTGGCCCAAGGAACAGTCTCAAGAGGTCCTGAGAAAGGGTGCCTGAGGTGGTTGATGATTGAGTTACAGTTTGGTTTTATACATTTTATGGAGAGCAATATTATAAGCAAATATTTAAATCAATACATTGGTTCAGACCAAAAAGGTGGGACATCTTGAATTGGAGGTAGGGTGGGAGAAGTAGGGTAGGCTTACAGGTCATAAGTGGGTTCAAAGACTTTCTAATTGGCAATTAGTTCAAAGAGTTAAGCTTTGTCTAAAGGCTTGAAGTCAATAGAAAGAAATTCTTGAGTTAAGATAAGGAGGCTGAAGAAGACAAGGTTCTTGTTTCGTTATGTAGATGAAGCTTCTAGGTAGCAGCCGTCAAAGAGAAAAAAATCATAAATATTTCTTTTCAGACCTTTAAAGGCATCAGACTCTTAGTCTCTCCTAGATGGAGAAAGTCCTGGCTGCATTAATGGAGATTCTTTACAGAAGTAAACTTCCTCCGGAAAGGACAGCTTTGCAGGGCCATTTCAAAATACGTTAAAGAAATATATTTTGGGATAAAACATTTTGATTTCTTTCAGGGTCTGCTATCTGTCATGTGATGCTATACCAGAGTCAATTTGGAATTTGGTATCTTATTGCCACAAAGCGTCTATTTTGTCAGTTTTATGATCTCCATTTTAACGTTAATACTGGTGGTCAGTTATGACTGAAGTCCAAAAGGGAAGCGGTATAATGAGGCATGTCCAATGTCCCTTCCTGTCATGGCTAGAAATTCAGTTTTTCAGGTTCCTGTGGCCCAGAGGGGCTCATTCATTCGGTTAGGGGGGTGCATAGGATTCTATTTTTGTTTGAATGTCCCTTTAATCATCACCCAAACTATGTCTTTTTTCCCTTTTTTTTCTCACGTTGAAAAATTATTCTTTGTTACAATCTCCTACTTAAAAGATTTTTGTTGTTGTTACAAATGGCACATTCCAGGTACAGTCCAATAGAAAGTAGGGTTAAGATCATACCTTTAATGAATGTGTCTGGAAAAGCTTTCATCTCTTGCTTCTTGTGACGCTATACTCTCCTGGTTTTTCTCCTACTTCCCTCACCACCACTTCTCCGTTTCCTTTCAGGTTCCACCTTTTCTACTTGACCTCAAAATGATGGATTGCTTCTGGGCGGAGTCAAGAGTTGTCTGTTTATTTATTGTCATTCCATAGGTGGTTTCTCTTAGTCCTGTGGATTTAAGTACCGTGTGATATTGATGAATCTAAATTTCTACACCTCTGATCTCTTCTATTAGTTTCAAACTTGTATATACAATAGCCTACTTGAAACCTCAATTAAATGTCTGATAAGCAACTCACATTTAATATGTAGAAATAGGACTCTTGTTATCTCTCAATCTGCCCTTCCCCCAGGCTTCTTAATAGAATGAATGACACCATTACATTCAATTGCTGAATCAAAACACAAAACAAAATATAATAAAACAGAAACAAAAATCTAGGAGTCATTGACTTACATGGTCCATAACAAACCCATCAGTAAATTCTGTTGTTTCTACCTCTAAAACATATGCTATATCCTCTCCCTTTTTTCATCTCTGTAGCCACCACCCCAGTCCAAAACACCATCCTTTCTTATAAAGACTACAGTTTCCTTTCAACCAGCCTGTCTGCTTTCACTCTTTAACCTCTTCCCCTGTTCTTTCCCCATATATCAGTCATCATGATTTTTTAAAAAATATGAATTGCATTAATTCAGTAATCTCATGATAAAACTTTAAAGACTTTCCATTGACTTAGAATAATATTAAAAATCTTTACTGGCATGTTCTTAACACATTTTGTTCAAATGACCTAGAAATTTAAAATGGACAACTAAGAGTAAATATTGGAGAAAAATTCCTGGCATTAAAAAAATAATATTTTAAAATAAAAAGGTCATATTTCTTCTAAAGATATCCAATTAATTGTTAAAGATAATAAGCAAAATATTTTGTAATATTGTCTCTTAGTGAGATGGATGGGACTTTTTTTTATTAGACCATATTTCTAGAGATTAACTTTTTTTATAGCTAGAATAAGATGGAGTTCAGAGTTCAGCATTAGTTTCATCCCTAATGTGTGCTTTAGGATTATTTTTTGCATAGGCAAATGTCAATTATATAGGTTGTCCAAATATGCCTTAAGAAGCTTAATAATTCATCTTAAGAGATGAATTCTTAAGAATTCTTGTATGTGGTTACCTATGTAATTTTATTTCATAGTCAAAAACTATTAAATCTGTAATTATGCATTTGACAAACCAAGCACATTCTTATCAACATCTGAGAGAGTGGAATTCAACCTAATTAAACAAAACTTTACTTCTATATTTCAGAGCATAACTTTCTGGATTGTAATTTGGGAACATTTTGTTCTACACCTGTACTTCAATGGATATTAGAGAGGACTTTAATCAACTTTGTAGAAATTAACAGCAGCAATAAGAGAATGAATTAAGTATGAGCTTATGAATAATACACTATTTACAGAAGAATCTGTAACATTTGATTGTAAACCAAAAATAAAATTCTAAGTCCCCCAACCATCTAAATGGACCCTTCTTCTCAGCCAAGGGCATTCCAAAGTTAACCTGGAAAACTAGTTCAGGCTGTGACAGGAAGGAGTTGAACATACCTCATTACACTCTCCTCCCTTTTGGAATTCGGGCCCACTTGACCAGCATTAATATCAACACAGACCTTAAGACTGATAGACTGTCTGAGTCTGGCAAGAAACATTTACAGTCTATTCTCTGAAGCCTGCTACCTGGAGGCTTCATCTGCAATAAAACCTTGGTCCACACAGCACATTATCTTAACCCTGACATTTCTTTCTGTTGATTTTAAATCTTTAGACAATACTTAACTCTTTTAACCAATTGTCAATCAGAAAATATTTGAATCTACCTCTGACCTGGAAGCCACCCCACCACCACCTTTCCGGACCAAACCAATGTACCTCCTACATGTATTGATTGAAGTCTTATGTTTTCCTAAAATGTATAAAGCCAAGGTGTAGCCTGACCACCTTGCGTCCATGTTCTCAGGATCGCCTGAGGGCTGTGTCATGGGCCATTGGTCACTCATATTTGGCTCAGAGTAAATCTCTTCAAATATTTTACAGACTGTACTAGTTAGTTTTCATACTGCTATGAAGACATACCTGAGACTGGGTAGTTTATAAAGGAAAGAGGTTTAATTGACTCACCATTCCACATGTCTTGGTTAGCCTCAGCAAACTTACAATCTTGGTGGAAAGCATCTCTTCACAGGACAGCAGGGAAGAGAATGAGTCCCAACTGAAGGAGGAAGGCCCTTATAAAACCATCAGATCTCGTGAGAACTTACTATCATGAGAATAGCATGGGGGAACTGCCCCCATGATACAATGATCTCCCACTGGGTTCCTTTCACCACATGTAGGGATTATGGGAACTACAACTGAAGATGAGATTTGGGTGGGGACACAGCCAAACCATATCACAGAGCTTGACTCTTTTCATCTATAGATTATTACATTTAAATCTGTTAATTGAAATCTAATAAATGAATCATGGGAATAAATAAAAGAGTAGGTAAGTGACTGAATGACAAACAGGAAAATTTCACCTAGTAAAATAAACAAGTATGATTTTATAGTATCCAATCATCTTTTAGCAACAATAAATGAGATGTATCTTTTCCAATGCTGAATAAATATTTAAGAAAAAGAAAACCCCTCCATCTTATCTTAAATATATGTGTACCTTCTTTTTTATATAATATTGACATGAAGAAAATAAACTTAGAAAATTATTTGACTCCTTACTTAAAAAGATCATGCAAAACATGCAATTGAGACACAGGCTAACTCATGGACAGAAGTAGTGTGTAATATCTCTTGGCTGTTTTGCCAGAACTCACCCCAAAAATGGCTTTCCTTTGTGAACCCTGAATATCTGAGACAGGTCTCAGTTAATTTAGAAAGTTTATTTTGCCAACGTTGAGGATGTGCACCCATGACACAGCCTCAGGAGGTCCTAATGACATGTGTCCAAGGTGGTTGGGGCACAGCTTGGTTTTATACACTTTAAGGAGACATGAGACATCAATCAATATATGTAAGATGTACATTGGTTCTGTCCAGAAAGGTGGGACAACTCAAAGCAGGGAGGCAGCTTCCAGGTCACAGGTAGGTGAGAGAAAAATAGCTTCATTCTTTTAAGTATCTGATTAGGCTTTCCAAAGGAAGCAATCAGATATGCATCTATCTTAGTGAGCAGAGGGATGACTTTGAATAGAATGGCAGGCAGGTTTGCCCTAAGCAGTTCCCAGCTTGACTATTCCCTTTAGCTTAGTGATTTGGGGGCCCCAAGATTTATTTTCCCATCAAATTTCCCCCCTTTTCTTTTAAAAATATTTGGAGGAAGCATTTTAGAAGACAGTGAGTCTCTGGTCTGGTCTCTCATGGCTAGGACAGTTTATTCCTAGATGGGTAGGTTTTAGGTTATTAGGAAAGCTCATTTTTAGCAGCTTGTGAAGTCTCATGTCCTGTGAAGAGAAAACAGAGGGAGGAAGGGAGAAAAACAACAACAACAAAAAGAACAATCCTAGAAAATTAATATAGCCACATTGCTCTGAAGTCCATATATCAATAGGCAGGTATGAAAGCGGCTTATGTATATAAATAAGTTGTTATTTTCTTCTGAAGTTTAAGTTGTCTAGCTTCAGTTTGCTAGGATTTAAGAAAGCATGGCTTAGTTTCCAGTGATTTCAAACTAGGAAAAATGGGGAAAAAAGGTAAAGAAAGAAAAAAAAATTGAAAGCATTATTTTGGAGACTTATAGCCAGGAAAAATTAGAATTCAGTCCAAAGTGTAGAAAATAATAAAATTTGAAAAACATTAGGCAAAACTAGAATGTAACAACAAGTATGCTGTAGTTTTTGAAACATATTTTTTTCTCTCTCCAGTTTCCCATTTTTACTAAAGACAAATCATGGTAGGACCAATTTGCTTTATTATACTAGGCCAGATTATTTGTATAAAGTGCAGCAGGAATAATTATTTTTTCCACATAGGCTTTTTAAATTGGCTTTGATGAAACTTTGTTCCATAGAGGGAATCTCAGATAAGACTACTGTAAAACCAAGCCCAGCCATGGATTTGTACCATCAAATATCTACGAGTTGGGTGAATTCCACTCCTCTTGTGGTCCCCAAAAAACCTGGGGCTCCTGGGCCTGTCAGAAAATGACATTCTTTACTTACCACAGGACAGGAACTGGGACAGGAACTGCGTAGACAAGGTATGAAGCCAGTTTTCCTAAGGGGCTTTTATTGGCAACTCTATAGGTCAAGTTTAATTTCTTAAAGGAAATCACACCATTCCAGTCAAAGCCTTGGTAAAATAAGCAGTTTCTCCAATTGTGTTCTGTTACAAATGAAAACTGATTCTTATTGCACTTATGCAAATAACTATTGCCATAGTTAAGAATACTCACAAATAGTTTCTGAATTCTGGAGAAATAAGGTAGAGAGAAACAAATATGCTCCACATTTTGTTCAGGAGCATACTTAATTGTTAAAAGCTGTCAATAGCTCAAAATAAAAGTTTTCTTGACTCTGAAAAACAAAACAAAGGATCAGCAATGTTTTAAGCAAGAAGTCTAAAAATCACTTCTGTCTTCTATTAGTTCAGCCCATGCAGCTAATTCCTTGATACTCATGAACATTTCAGCTCTCCATGAGTCCTGAAAATTTTTCCTCTATTCTGATATCACAGTCTCCAAACTTGTCAGAAACCTGCATTCAATAGCACCTGTTAGAGTTTTATAGCTGATTATAAAACCACCTTCTAAAGTGGACCAAAACAAAACAACTGTCTGTAGATGACAAGATGTTTTAGGGCAGCCGTTGTCAAAGACACAATTGACAAGGAAATTGTTACGTCTGTGGCACACAATAATTTAACATAACAATTATGATTAGTATGGATAATGTACACTAAGTCATATCAGAATTACAGGAGTTATTCATAATTTTGGAACACATACCAATAACATATTTATACGACTACAGCCGAAAGAAAACCAAACACCATTTCATATTTGACAATGCTTCCTGTACACTTTTTATACTAAATAAGCCAAATATCTCATTTTTGGACTTTAGGGAAGCTAATATCTTAAAGGATTAATTAGGTCAGAAAAAGACATAATTTATAATTTGATTTTGGAAAGTTTGTCAAATATCAAAGGTTAAAATACTTGATATCACAACATAGGATCACAGGTCATTGTCAGATAAGTCATTCATTTAACTGGAGTGATAGCTCAAGGATTTTTTTTAAAAATAGTGAAAACCTTCATTCTTTGAGAGAGGAGACTTAATTTTCCAAATACTAAGCCCTAATACAACAGGATGAAGCCAATTAAATTTGTTTTTCTAAACAATCTATAAAATTTTAATTTTGACCATAAGATATAGCTTCCGTAAGACTTTTATAACCATTATTAAGGAGTCAGTTAATGCTTCAAGAAAACCTTGTTAACCTGACACAGGGGCCCATATGCTGGTCTTGTATCAGTGTGTGCTTGACATTGATGGTTAATTTATAGAGAAAATGTAATTATTTTCTCTCTCAAAATTGGCCCTTACAATCTCACACACCCACCTCTTCTGCAATAGTCCCTGAGCCTCGAGGAGTTGAATAGCTTTAATTTCTGGTCCTGTGTGTCAAGAACACAGTTTATTTTGATTGGCATCTTCTACTGAGCCTGAAGATGAGGCTTTCATTGCTGTCAGTGTTTAAGACTTACCAGGACTTGATGTCCTTTTTAGACCTAGGAATCAAAGCCCTGTAACTCAGTGTCACAAGGACTTTAAAAGCACATACAGAAAGATACGCAGGTGTAATAACCTTAATTAAAAATAATTTTAATCTCAAAGTTTTTTCTAAACAAACCAAAACTTAATAATAATGGCATAGGAATTACTCAATAAAAGATAAAATCTGTTAGGTCAGTTACCAGAAGGCAAAAGAAAAGACCTGCAGTGCACAGAAAATTATGTTGGAAGAAAACATTTCCTTTATACCTTTAAGAAAACATTGTTAGCATCAGGCAACAACAAACAGAACCTGAGGGGGAAAAAACCTTAAATGAGCTGAAAATGAGTTGAAGGAGAGTGTTACTATCTAAAGTGGGTCTTTGGTAAAATGAGGCTCACAGTCACTGATTCTTAGAGTATACTTCAGATACAGATTTTAATACATACCTTTCTCTTCAGATTTTTTTCTAAAAAGACTTAGAGTTATAGAGTTTCAATGGATACCATGGCATTTTGTTTAATTTTTTCTACTTACAGGGTCAGTATCACTTTCAGAAAATTATAGCATTAAAAATGTATAATTTTAAATAGTATGTTTTTTCCAGAAAAGTTTTTTAAAATTTAAATATAATTGAGTAATAATTTTTAAAAAGATAAGATGGTTTCATCATTAATTTTTTTTTTCAAATCAGATACTTTATGCACCTGTGGTTTTCTTTTTTTAGCTTAATTCTTTTAAAAATTACAATTCAGATTGCAGATACGGTCACAGCAGGCTACCTTTTTAAGGTACGGGTCATTGTATGAGAACATATGTACTTGTTTGTTCTCAAAAAACAGATTCAGCAAGAAATAGGGTATGGTATTTATTCATGCAAGATAGAGTTTTGTAAAATACATGGTAACTTTAGGATATATTTTGTATATTATTTCGAACTTGGTATATGAGCCCATTAATACTATTTTATTTTTCTACATGACAAACAAGAAATATGGATAATCCTAGAATTTTTTTTTTATTGTAAAAGTAAAACATATCAAAGATGGGGAAGTTGAAGGAATAAAATACCATACCATTGGCAGTGCAATGGTTTGGAGCACAGACTTTAGGATCTAATTGACTAGATTCAAATTTCACCTGTGCCATTTACTAAAAGCATGTACTTGGCAATGCTATTTTACCTGTCTGGGCCTTAGTTCCTTTATTTGCAATGTGGAGATCATGTTAATAGTAACCATACCATAAGGTTGTTGTGAGATGAAATGAGAATTCAGGTAATCCATCTGGCTGTATTCACTAAGTATTCACTAAGCATTGCTAGCATCATTTAAGACTACCAGCTGATGATTTCCTAGTGTGCTTTTCCTCATGTATTTTTTCACATTTGTTATAAAAATATATGTATGTACATAGATAGCAACTTGATTTTCTTTCTTTTAAAATTAACATGTAATAATGCTTATTCTTTATAACTACAACGTTGCTAAACACTCTTTGTAGTCACACACAAAAAAAATGCAGACAACACACTGGCTCAAAAATCTTGTCCTGGTCATAGTAACCATTTAAAGTGCTTTTCCTAGAGCATCTGAGAACACTGATCCAAGTAACTGAGAGCAACCCTTTTCATCTGTGAGAAGGCACAATGTTACAGAAAATTAGATGCTTGTCCCAAGGGAAATTAGATATTCATTTTCACAATGTGTCTTCTGAGGGCACTTATAATGGGTTCCTCATGCTGGCTGCCTCAGTGATAGCTATGTGACTTAAGCCAGTGTCTCTTAGGGAAACTCCCGTTTTCCCTCGTCATCAGTTGCTATCTTGTTTCACCCAGAATGGAATTCCCAGAAGACTGCTGAACAAGAAGAAAGCTCTAACATTTTGTGGATTAGAAATATCAGAAGGCTGCTATATTCTGTAGGAGGGAAGAATAATTCAGAAAATGTCAATTCTGGCTGGGCACGGTGGCTCACACCTGTAATCCTAGCACTTTGGGAGGCCGAGGTGGGCAGATCACTTGAGGTCAGGAGTTCGAGACCAGCCTGACCAACATGGTGAAACACTGAATCTGCTAAAAATACAAAAATTAGCCAGAAGTTGCTTGAACCCAGGAGGTGGAGGTTGTAGTGAGCTGAGATTGTGTCACTGCACTCCAGCCTGGGCAACAGAGCAAGACTCCATCTCAAGAAAAAAAAAAAAAAGAAAGAAAGAAAATGTCAATTCTGTAATCTGGGTGAGTGCATTCTCCTTTTTCTCCTGTGGGACAGAAAGGGAATTTCTCCATTTTGTTTAACATCTGACATAATGTGATCATGAAACATGTAATGAATGCCTGCTGTGGGTCAGGAACTTTTCTAGGTCCTGGGGCTTGAACTCTGTTCTTCAGAAACTCCGATGTGTCGTATGTATCCAGACTCATCCTATGATTCAAGTTTTTTCATGATTTGACCTTACCCATTCAGCCAAACTTACCTCCTACATAATGCTCCACTGTGACCAACTCACCTGACTTCATTTATTCATGTCACAGATCCTAGTGAGTGCTTACCACAAGTTGGGTATGTTGTAGGAACTGCAGATATGGAGGCAATCTAAATGAAGTCCCTGCTTTCATAATTTTTAAAACCAGTATGAGATTCAGACTATAAACAAACATGATAACAGTAAATGTCATTATGCAGAAAAAATAAGAATGGAAGGAGAGAAAGCAACTTAGATGGATATATGTGCTACTTTGGATAGGGTGGCCAAGGAAGTGCTCTTGGATGAGGGGGTCATTTAAATAGATGCTTGAATAATTAAGCGGGGTAGTTGTGTGACTATTTAGGGAAAGGGCATTCCAGGCAGAGGGTAGAGTAAGTCAAAGTTCTTGAAATGGAAACATGCATGAGGTATTTGAGGAATAGCAAGCTGATCAAAGTGGATCAGGTGGAATAAACTAGGGGAGACAGTAGT
Organism: Homo sapiens; assembly: GCF_000001405.40. Classification (NCBI taxonomy): domain Eukaryota; kingdom Metazoa; phylum Chordata; class Mammalia; order Primates; family Hominidae; genus Homo; species Homo sapiens. Next base: position 53,828,699 of record NC_000015.10, read on the forward strand.
AGGAAATGTAATTAAAAAAATAGCCAGGGGCCAGATCATACAAGACCAGGGGCATGGTAAGGTCAGCCTTTGAGGTTCCTTTCAAGTATTACGGGAAGCCCTTGGGCGTCTGGGTTGGAAGCGTATTGAGAATAGAAGGTGGCAGATCAGTGTGAAAGCAGGAGGCATTGTTGGCTACTGCAGCTGACTGGTTTGGAAGACCCCTAACTATTATGCTCCTCCCATTTCTGCTTCTTCCCTTTGCTCTGACCCCTTCTGTGGGTGTTATCCCACTCTTCTCTCCACTTACTCAATTATTTGTGATACACCTCATGTCATTGACTGATTTCATTCACTTCCAGTATATTTTATACTGGAAAAGATATTTCAGGGAAATCCTCTTCACATCTTTCAAATAGTTTAACATTTGTGGATTCTGACAATTAAATCTCTGAATTTAAGAATGATTTTCTTTTATTTTCATCTTTAAATAGATTGGCAGAATTTTTAATGATGAGGATTTGAAAAGAAATACTAAAACTTGATTTAAAATGAATCTAAACCATTCAAGCTTAACCTAAATATCTCATTTTCTTATTCCACATTTATGATGCTTAAAATATTTTTTTACTTTATTTTTTACGATTCTGTCTACTAAAGTAACATTTTTCTTACCTACATAATTCTGTTTACAAATAGAATGCAGAAGAGAACCCAGAAGAATATGCCTCTGGGTTGCCAGAAAGGACGCCCAAACTCCATGCTCTCACGTCTACATATTTTCCTCTTATAACCTCATTTCCACAAATAACAGAAGAGTTACATGCTAAATGTCCATGGTGCACTGTGTCAGGAAGCTTCCTTCCTTGCTTGTTCATAGGGATCTCACTTATTATCACACCGGGTGCGAAGAGGAACTTGTTTCTCCCCAGCTGTTGGAATGGTCCACGCAGCACACTGAGCACCATGCAGGGTGGAGTCAGTTCCATCTTGTCTAAACCACTCAATAAGCAGGAAATACTGGGGACACCTGCAGGAACAGCCTGAGGCATTCTGACTGGAAGGAGCAAAGATATATCTGACTTTTTTTTTTTAAGTTGAGAAATGAAGGGTCATGGGAAAACTGTCATTGACAAATTAGAAAGCATTTCTAAACATTCTGTTATTTTATCCCCACTTCTACTTATCTGCACTGTTCATCTTCCTCTTTGTCTATTTGTTTTCCATCTCCCTACCTGGGAGAAAGAAGGGTGGGTTTTGTGTATCATCCTCTCTAATTGATTGGGTTTTTTTTTTTTTTTTTTTTGAGAACTAGAGAGAGATTTCTGGAAATAATGAAAAAATAGAGCAGAATCCATAGAAACATCTCAGGAATGCCTGTGAAAGCACTATTCTTGATAATGGCTTCTGCATAATGCATCTGTATACGTTTAGCATCTATTTTGTATGTTGTAGAGTTGGCACCTGAATTAATCAAAATTAATGAGCTGGTCCTGCAAATAATGAGCCGTGTCTCAATGACTGTGGTGTTCTCAATGAATGCCTGTTGAATTTAATTCAATTTCAATAATAATCTGCCTCATTAAATGAATGACACAAGTCCTGAGAAAGGCAACTGTATATCTGGCTAGTAATTAGGATAGCTGTGAGCAGATAGATAGGCCCTTGTGGACTCCTTAGACAATAAAATGGGCATTTTATTCAGGTTTTCATCAGGGGAGAGTGTGCTAGAACTGCTGTGACATGGCCTTGGACTCTAATAGATCTGGCTGGAAACCTGATATTACTAGTTATCAGTGACATGAAGTATAATTTCACTCAATTTTCTTATTTATAAAATGGTAGTACTGACTGATACTCCCCTTAGACTTTGACAAGAGACCCTGCATTGGACCCTTCCCTGGTGCTTTTCTGGCTGTGTCCCTACAGATGATGTGAAGAGTTAGCAAGGTAAAGGAGATGTGCTACCCAGAGGCTACAGTGCCCCTCGCTCTGACCCATAGACTGACTCCAAGTATGTGGGACTCAGAATTTCATGTTTGAAGGACTTGGAGCCTGGTTTTGGAGCCTGCAAGAAGCGGCCAAGGACTCCATTTGAGAGGTAAGAGGAGTGTAGATGAAGCTTGTATGTTCTGTCCACAAATGTGGGTGTCCACAAACATGCATTTTAGAGAACAGGGAGGAGAAGAGAATAGGAGTGCTTCTGAGATGGGGCAGCTTTCCTAGGCAGCTGTGTTCCCATGGAAAATTCCAAGTCAGGGTATCTGAAATTTGAACCTGGTGTAGCAGGACGAGCCGCAGACAAGAATCCCTCAGACACCGAGTCGTGGAAGGAAAGGGCTTTATTCAGCTGGGAGCATCGGTGGACTCACGTCTCCAAAAACCGAGCTCCCTGAGTGAGCAATGCCTGTCCCCTTTAAGGGCTTATAACTCTAAGGGGGTCCGCGTGACAGGGTCGTGATCGATTGAGCAAGCAGTGGCTACGTGACGGGGGAGCTGCATGCACCAGTAATCAGAACGGGACAGAACAGGATAGGAATTTTCACAGTGCTTTTCCATACAATGTCTGGAATCTATAGATAACATAACCAGTTAAGTCAGGAGTCAATCTTTAACTACCAGCCTGGGAATGCAGCGCCGGGCTGTCTGACTACTGATTTCACTTCTGTCTTTTCTTTAACTCCTACTTTTTCTTTGAGGCAGAAATTGGTCATAAGACACTATGAGGGGTGGTCTCCTCCCTTACTGGAATTCCAGGTAGTTAAGAGGCCTATTTTTCAAGGTAGGAGTATAGAATATATTTTATTTAGCAGCTTGTCGCTTGATTTTTAAACTATTTTTAAAGATTTTAAAAATTTATGATAATTGTAGATTCACATGCAATTGTAAGAAATAATGCAAAAAGATCATTTGTACACGTTGTCTATTTTCCCCCATTGGTAACATTTTGCAAAACTACAGCATAATATCACAATGAAGATACAGACATCTATACAATCCAAAGATCTTATTTTGATTCCCTCATTGTACTTGTATTCATTGGTATGAATTGGAGTGTATTAAGCTCTACACATTTTATCACCTATGTAGTTTCCTGTATTTGCCTCCATGGTCCAGACACTACACAGTTTTAACACCACAAGCTTTCCTTGTGGGCTTATTTTAAATAAATAGATATATAGTGAGCAAGGAAAAGAAAATCTCAGCACCCTAAACTCCCTATGCCAAAGGGAAAAATTAAGCTTGGAAGCTGAGTCATGCACAAAAACAAACAAACAAAAACCCCAAAACCTGCCTTTCCTTTTGTTCCTAAACAGTTACAAGATAAAAGGCCGCATATCTCCCCGGGTGGCATCCCTCACCCTGAAAATGTAAATTAACAGCTTATCTTTATGAGTGTGGGACAAGAGGAGACTAGAAATTGTCCCCTCCACCCTAAGGCAAATGCATATTTGACTTCTTCCTCTACTCTGTGTTTACTTTATCTTATGTAAAGTGCAGTTTTACTGAGCAAATACATAACTGACTGCTCCTCTACTCCCTCATTTTCATATGCAACATGTGGATTCCGTGAGCGCTAATGAAAGCCTCACAAGAATGTGACCATACTCTTTATCTCTCTTTTTTTCTTTCCTCCTTCCCCATCCTGCCCACTTTTTTCTCTTTAAATATTGAAGCTCTCAAAATTCTCTTTGGAAAAAGTGCAGGCCGCAGATCCTACTGTGCCTTGTGTCTCTTTTTCCCAGGTGCATCCTCAACCTTGGCAAAATAAATCTCTAAGTTGATTGAAGCTTGCCTCAGTCATTTTATTTGGTTTACAATAGAAGTCCCTGGCAAATGAGGGGGAATAGCACTACAATTACATGTTTGGCTTAGGCTGAATTAAGAGTAACATGCCAGAATGGAAGACTCTTCTCAAGGGGAAAACTCTTCCCAAAACAGAATCCTTGTACTAACCCACAGATTCTACTGAGGATGGTTTGTGTTTAAACCACAGATTTTACTGGGGGTAATTTGTGTTTAGAGATGGAGATTGTGGGAGAATTTGCTTCAAGCTGCTGCCTCTGGTTTCTGGGACAAGTTCATACTCTGTCCTTTACTGCTCAGTACTCTACATCTATGAACACAGGAAAAATTAACCCTGGGCTAACCCTTATATTTCAGCAAAGCCCTTGGGTTTCCTGGTAGCTCTGATTTCCAAGAGCTTGTAGGAGGGTTAATGGCCATCTTGCTAATCTTTCAGGAGCCCATAGATTTCTCAGTCTTGCATTCTACTCTAGGTATAGACTTTTGAAGCAACCAGACCAACTCAAGTTCTACTGGGGCAGTTAAGGCAAAAGGAATTGTATTACCTGCTAATCGTGGGAGTTATATAAAGGATGTGTGAAAAAATGGGAAGCACCATGGGAGGAAGAGATAAAAGGTAAAACTCTCATGGGATGTAATCAGATGAAAAGAACTGTAGTTAAATCATAGCCAGCGTTCAGGTTTGGAAAATTCCCACCTCTAAGCTCCCTGTAGCTTTTCCCAGATGTTCTGTGGTCTGCACTGGTATCCCCTTAGTGGTTGGTAGGGGCTTCTATTCTGCCTCCTCCACTAGCTATAGCCTGTTTGCTAGTGGACAGTCTGGCTCATTCTGTGAACTCTTTTCCAGTCTTTTGGCTTCTAAGTCTCTGCTTTTTCAGCAGTTGGTTGACTACTAGCAGAAGTTAAGATCTAATCTGGGAATGACGCCAGGGTTCAGAGCAGCCAAAAGGCAAGAATTCGCTGTGAAAATAAATCTAGTCTGCTTCAGTGACTCTGGGGATGTTTAACAATGTTATGAAAGCAAACCATTTGTTTATTTTAGCGTCCATATTTTTGGTCCATATTCCAAAAATGTGGACCCTAAAATAAATAACTGGTTTTCTTTTGTTTCTGTGTGTCTGTGTGTGTTAGACAAATGACTGGGATCCCAAATTTAGTGTGACTGCAAGCGTGTATCATGAGTAGTTGCTAAGAACATAATTTCAGGTAGCAAAATTATGTAGGGAAGAGCAGGGGGGAACAGAAGGCAATTTTATTTGCAACTTGAGGGCTGTCAAAACGTAGTTAAAGGACAGTTTATTTCAGTCTTATAAACCTTTTTAGTTGCTTTAAATTTTTAAATACACAAAAAATTATTAATAAATAAAATTATCATTTTACCATACAGAGGAAAATCACCATTAGTCTTTTGTTTTAGTTTCTTTTATCTGTATATTTACCGTAAATCATATTTGTAAGAATTTTAAAGTAATTTATGATAATTATAGAATATATAGGAAAAATAAAAGATAGGAAGAAAATGAAAATAATCTATACTTCTATGCATAACACCACCACTGACATTTTTGTTTATGTATATTGTTCTAAAATATGTATATGCCATTTGTTAAAACGTATGCAATATATAATTTAACAAAACTGAGATTATAGTACATTTTATAATCTACTTTTTCTACCTAATGGTGTATCTTGAACATTTCTTTTATTCTTATAAACCATAACTTTTAATTACCTAATACTATTTTATCACATAGGCATGCCATAATTGACTTAACAGTTTTCTTCTTTTGGATACTTCAGTGGTTTCTAATTTATAATTGTGGAATAGAAAGTGGCAGAAAGTCAGCCCTTCTGCATTTGGCGTCAGATGGCCTTGCTAAAAATGACTCTCCATTCTGTCTGGTGCTTCCAGCCCCTGCTGTTTCTGGAAACTTGTTGTATCTGCACATGGATCTTATTATAAGATGGTATAGTGTCGGGACTGAGAGTGAGGCTGCAGTAAGGCTAGACAGAGCTGGGTTCAACTTTTAACCTGAGATTTTCCTGCTCTCAAAGACTCAGTTATCTCATGATTAAAATAGAGTTATTATGAAGATTACATGAGGTAGTGTATCTCAGTTTATGTAGCTACTTAGCTAATAGTTGTATTATCATTTATTGGTTCTCTTTTTGAGTTGTATTTATTGAGCATTTTAATGTGACAGGCATTGTGCTCAGTGCTGAAGATAAAAAGATGGGAAAAATAAGTCCAGTCCTGGTCTCGTGGCTTTTACAGTCTAGTATTATAGAAAATCATCATGTAATTATGTTTAACAAAATTCAAAATTGTGGCTATGCCAAGTGCTGAGAAAGAGAGATACCTGTTCTCATGAGACCTTTTAATAGGGGATTGGCCATAGTCACAGATGGGCTTTTGTGTTCTCATAAAAGCTGGTCAAGAGAGGGCTGTGGGAGATTGATATTCAGCAGGAAACATACTACTTGCTCTAAGATCTTTTTTATCTTCTCTCTCAGATGAGCAGAAACTATATGAATGTGATTTTGCAATAAAATGCTCCAGAATGGAACCAGAAAGAAATATTTTTAACTCTTTCCTGCCTGGTGCATCGCCTTTGATCATCTTTCTTGTTTATGGCATCTATGCTCACATAGCTTTTTGCACTTGCCTCCGGGATGAACAACTGTAGGAGGCTTCTTTGCCCAAGTGTCTAGTGCTTCCCACCTTCTTTACCTTGCCACCTTGGCAATCTTTGTATTGCCAGCACTTAACAGGGTACCTGGTACACAGTGGTTCTCACAATGCCCAAAGCCAGCTGACTTAAAAGTTAATATAATATTTCAGGGCAGGGCAGACAACACCTGCCTAGGAAGATGGAGAGAGGAAGGAAAGGACTTCTCTTCCCTGAATATGCCAGAAATATAAAGCAAGGAGTGGAATGAAAACATCAAGGGGCAGCTCCTTGAAAGAGTTCAGTGAATCATCTTGTGGGGAAGATAAGAAATGTTTTGAAATATGTCTGAAAAGGGAAGAGGGCATTCCAGATACAGGAGACATCAGGTACGTAAGTAGGAAGGTATGAACAATATCACCTGCAATGGAAAGTGTCACGATATGGGTGTGCCAGGAACAGAGAGAGACTGGGGAAAGGCTGTTAGATGAATAAATAGGAGATGACCTGGGGAAGTAGTTGGAGCTGAGTTGTGAAATATCTTATGTTTGTCAATAGTTTAGATTTTTTATTATAAGAAACAAATATACATACAGATTGGGGAAAAGCATAGGGCTTTGCAAAATACAAAATTCAGTACTGCTAATATCTTACAGAAAAACAACACAGAACAAAACAAATCCTCCCAGCTGTGATCAGCATGCTTAGATCTTGTCTTGAACTTCACAAGCCTCCTAGGGATGAAAACCTACGTGGTATGGTACCCTTGCTCCTCTTGCAACCACAGAGTTAATATCAGCTTCACTGTGTGAAGGTAAACAGGCCTTTACACCAGAGAAATATAGCATCTTGTTTTTAAAAATACGTCTTTTGTTAGTTTTAATATTTTTACTTTAAAATATATATTAACTGTAAGATTTTGTAACTATTCCATGAATGTATTCCCTCATTATTATCAAAATTCTTCATATACTAACAGATTAGAAAGTTTTTTGCATAAAAAGTTTATGCAAAAAAGAAATCTGGCTATTACTGGAGTAAATAAGTGCCTAATATGCCTGCTTCCATTTTGTAATCTATGAACTACAAGTAAGTTTTATGTGAACAGATTCTTGTGTGTAAACTGGTGGTTCCCAATATCTCACTTAATTACCTCTCATCCTATTCCTAGAAGCACACTTAGGGACACATATTGGCTGGGCTGTGGGACTGCCAGCTACCTAATTCTGATCTCTTTGAGGATTCAGAATTGCAGACCTCAGTCAGAACAGGTTACACTAACTAGTACACTGTCACACATATTTTGCCACCAAACATTCTGATTCAGTGCCATGGTTGGGGAAAAATAGGTGTATAAATCAGAGTGCAAGAAAACAGATGTTATGTTCCAATTAGGATAATTTGAAAAGGATATATTATTTATGAGGAACTAATGACAAAATTTTGAGAGATTGAAGTTCATATCAGAATTTCTAAGGGCCAGAGTAACTGCTTTAATACCCAGCTTTGCATGTTGTTAAACAAAGTTTAGTGGAGGCCGTTGCTGTGAACTAGCCTCTTGCACTTGCTCTTAGCAGACCGGATCAAACCAGAATGGAGTCACTTAGACTAAGGGACGGTAATCAAACAATTTTGAAATGGGCCAGTTTTCCAAAACACAGGAGATTCCAGTCTGCCTGACTCAGCATAGTAAGGAAGTTCCCTCAGTTTTAACCCTATGAGGATGGTAACTTTCCAATAACCAACCCGCCTTGTGTTCTGTATTTCTGCTTTCTTCAGCCATTTTCTGCTTATAAAGCCAAATTTGTCTTCTCAACTCATCAGAATACTCACTCTATGTTATAGAATCACAAATAAAAGTCAGTGAGATCTTTAAACTAAATTTGTTGTAATTTTGCCTTATAATATCATTGTCTGTTTGGAAAATAAAATGCAACATACCTGTGTGCATACATCAATTATTTTATGGACAATTGACAATTGAAATGAATCGAGAAGGGGGAGAATTGAAGACAGAAGAAGATCTACCACAGCAGTCAGAATTTGTTGAGTCAAATCAGTTTTCTAATTATGAATGCATCACTTCAAGGGAATACAGTTTAAGCAAAAAGCAGTCATTTGTTGTTTGTTTATGAGACACCCCTGTCTGCTGCTGGGACACATCAGCGGCATCATGAGTCTCTAGCTCCAACTCTGCAGGTGTGTTTGGTTTACTGATTGGCTGCCCGCCAAATCAGGAGCTGTTCTGCCTTATTGAAAAGCCCTGTGGTTCACAACATGTTTTCCTAAGTTTACTAAGTGGTATAAACCTCTTAATCTTAAACTGCTCTACAGCACCTGCCCTGCCACTTCAAATTAACTTGGTCCTTGTTCTCAATCTCGATTCAGTGCATAAGCTTTTCATTGGCCAAGGTGAGTGCTGAAGTAGTTTTAGCTGCTTTTTTACCCAAGAGGTACCAGGCAGCACCAACTAGCACACAGCCAGCATTAGGAGGCAGTAGTAGAGGTAAATGACAGTCTCTTCTGAAAATTTTAATGCTTTGCTTTTGTATCTGAAAATTTCACTGGAATTGATTTCTTGTGTGTAGTATGAGATAGGAATCCCATTTCACTTTTTACATGGCATTTCCCCAAAGGATCATTTATTGAATAGTCCATCTTTTCCCTACTGGTTTGAAATGCCACCACTGTTAAAGATCACATTTATGTTTATATGTGTTGATCAGTTTCTAAGCACTGTATAGTATCTTATTGGTCTGAGTTTTTAAAAAATCAATGCATTATTTTAAATCAAAACTTCATTAACTCTTTAAACTTATTTAGCTTAATCTTACTATTTTGTTGAATAATACTCCCTTGCTTAATCATCAATTTTTTGAATTAAAAAATTTTGCTATAAAAATATAATTTTTGCTAAAAAAGTTCTATAAAACTTTTAAATTAGTTTATAATTTTTCCATGAAAATATCTTGTTGGGATTTTAATTGGAATTACATAAATTTATGAGTCAATTTGGGAAGGATCAATATCTTTAATGTTTGTCTATAAATACGATGTGTTTATCCATCATTTATGTCTCCCTTAATACTTTATACAAACTTTATAATTTTCTCCATAAAATATCACAAATCTTTCATGCCACTCACTCATTCATTCATTCCTTTATATTTTTTAGAAGGCTTACTTGAACCAGAACATTTGCTAGCATACTTGTAGCATATAGATTTTTAAAATGTTTTTTCCATCAATATTTATGGTGCTTACCATAGATTTTTATGGATATGTTTTTATCAGGTTAAATGTGCTCCCTTCTAGATTTAACTTTTCCTATGAATAGATGTTTAATTTTATTGAATGCTTTAACTCATCTGTTGAGACAGCTAAATCGTTTTCTTCTTCAAACTTAAAGTGGAAAATTATACTAATTGATTTTTAACATCTCTAATATACATTCAACTTGATTATAATGAACTATATTTATATATCTTTTAATTTGGATTGACAACATTTTATTTAGGATATATGCACTATTTTATAAGAGAAATTGACCTATAATTTTTTGTTCTCTAATTTTTTTATCCTTATAAAACAATTTAGTGAAGATTTTCTCATTTTCTGTTCTCTGGAAGAGCTTGTTAAAACATGTAAACGTTTAGCATAAATTACCAGTAAGTCCTAAAGTCTTAGAATTTTATGGAGGAGAGAGAGTTGGTTAAAATTTATTTATTCAACTTCTGGTTAAGGTATATTCAGACATTTAATTTGTTATTAAGTAATATTTGATAAATACTTTCATAGGAAATTGAAAATTTGTCCAAGTTTTCAAATTTACTGGTGTAGTTATTCAAAATATTATATTACTTTCTAAATGTTACTTTATCTTTAGCTATGAGCTTTTCTGATTCCAAATATCGTATATATGTGTTTCTCCTTTTTTTACATGATTTCTAAAACGTGTAAAATGTGTATATGCATGTATATATGGGCAGGTGTGTGTGTGTTTCTTCTGCTGTGAGAAATCTGTCTCCCAGCAACATGTTTACTATTTTTTACTGTTCTTCCCATCCCCCAATTAGGACTCATATCTGTAGGTTTCTAAAAACTGCTAACATTTCCAGTGATTCTTTACTTATAACAAGATGAACAGGATGAAAGGGCAACTTCTCCAACTTCACAGTTACGTGTCTCTGCTAAGATTCCAATTCCTTCAACCCTATATAGAATTAGCAATTGATAACATTATTTATTATTTAATTTTATAATGCATTTAAGATAGTTTTAGAATTGTTTCATTATACTATTTAGTGTCACTCTTTACAAGAATGCTTTTGGTCTTAAAGATAATTTTTTAAATAAAATGTAGCTTTACTAATTTTCATCATTTTCTTTTCAACCTTTCAATACCTTTATATTTTAACGTTGACTTCTATAAACAGTATATGAATTTTGTTTATGTACTGTGACAGTCTCTGTTTTTTAACCTGTTATTTTAGTTCACCTACATTTATTATGCTTACTGTGGGTATTTGGGCTTATTTCTAACATCTTATATGGTGCTTTCCATTTTTTTTCCCCCTTCTGCTTTCTCCCCTCCTATCTTGCCTTCATTGGATTGATCATTGTTGCTCTGTTTGGAAGTTATATATACTATTTTGGTTTTTTGAAGGTTGCCAATTAAATTTTGATACGGATGTGTAATTTAATAATGTCTCATATTAATATCTTTGTTAAAGATTTATGGAAGACTGAACTCTTATCACCAGTCTCTCATTTTGCACGTTATTGCTGGCAAGTATTTTATTCTATCCTGTTTTTTACCATTCTTCCCATCCCCCAATTAAGACTCATATCTCTAGGTTTCTAAAAACTGCTAATATTTCCAGCGATTCTTTACTTATAGCAAGATGAACAGGATGAAAGAGCAGCTTCTCCAACTTTACAGTTAGGTGTCTCTGCTAAGATTCCAATTCCTTCAACACCATATAGAATTAGCAACTGATAATATTATTTATTATTAAGCATAGAGAATTGTTTCCTACAACAAAAGAATACTAATAGGAAGAAGAATCCATGTTCAGTATTTTAGCTATGAGAAAATGTCTTGAAGACTGCACTATATGCCTGAGAAATTTTCTTCTTATTCTAAATGTCTAATAATTACCTTTTATTAGGACTTTAGCTCTGTTAAATAGAGATTAATGTGCTAAACTCAGTAATTTACTGAGCGCTTGCAATGGAGTTTGTCAATATTCTCTAGAAAGCCATTAAGACTGAGATCTCTTTCTAGCCAAGCAAAACTAGAGTCATAATAGGAAGGGGCATGAAATAAAAAAACAAGGAGAAAGACCTAGAACAGAGGACTGTAAGACTTGAGCAGTCATGAGGCAAAGTATTAAGCACCTGAGGTGAAGCCTGAGGACAGGGTTCAAGACCATAGTAAGCAGCAAATGGTTAACACTATCTCCTTTTGCCTTGATGTACATACAGGTTCTAATAACACTTGCATGCCTCTTCTATTAGCATCATGTGTCCCATTTTGACTATGAATAAAGGCACTGAGGAAGTATCAATGTGAGCCTTCAAGTTTGGGATGGAAGGACAAAGAGAAACAGATGTAAATAAGCAGGATTCCATGATTACTCATATGTGACCAGAGCAAGTATAAGTATGAGGCATAGCATGTACGCCATGGCCTCATACTGCTCTGCTCACATAGGAGTAATCATGGAATGTATGAGAAGTATGAGGCATAGCATGGGTACATCATCCTAAAGTATTGGAATTCCAGTGTAGTAACTGCAAGTGCCAAATTCAGAGGGTTATTCTGGCTCAAAGCTATCAGCAGTGAGTGAGAAGTCCAAGTCTAGGAGCTCTGGTGTTGGTGAAACCAATGCGTGGATGGTCTCACAAACAGAAATGGTTTGCTTTCATTTGCCTTTTTGACCACCTACTGTGTGCCACGCAATTCATATACATTATCTCTAATGTTTCCAAGAACCTTAGAAAATTGGGGAATTACAGATCCCTATTTTATATTAAAAAAAACTGAGATTAAAACATATCAAGAGACTTGACCATTTTACAACTACCAATTGGTGGAGCTAGGATTTAATACCAGTTTATTTGACTCCAGAGTCTCTGCTTTCCCCCCTACCTTTGCCATCTCCCAGTGAAATAAACTCCCATTCCTTCCAATTATATCTTGAAAGCTTCAACCAAAAGCAAGGCTAAAAAAATACACATTTTTTTCCTTCTCTAAAATATATATCGTGTGGATGATCTTATTCTGCACTTTTACTGAATATCTTCTTTCTCAAGACATAATCTTTATTAAGCACAAATCTGCCGGCAACTAATAGACATTAAAGAAGTTAGTAAAAAAATAAGATATTTTTGTTGAGAATAAGTATATGAAAAAATTGCTACCTACTGCATGAAATTTTGAAGAAATTATGGCATATGTGACAAGAGCTCCCCACAAGGTAGCTGAGGAATAGAAAGTTTATGATTCTTGTTAGGAAAAAAATGTTTTAACATAGATCTGTAGTTGTATTTTTATTTTTTAACTGAAAATGAGGACTGGAAGATCGTCAGGGGTCTCATGTGGATTTGCACTACTTGCCAGAGAAAGTAAATAAGATTGTCACTGCAGCTGATTAATTTTCAGGACAAAATTTGCCTCTTCTGTCTTCAGTTACTGTTGCCATGGTGATGTTATGACATCAAATTTTGCACAGAAGGTTACTACTTCTTAACTGTAGACTCTTGCTTTAGCTGGATAGGAAGAATTTCTGGGTCACTTTGGGGAAGATCTTTATATGTTAAAGCAAGTGTAAGGGTGGAGAGTTATCCATTAAGATGTTGATGTCTTTTTAAATATTCTGAACATGAGTAAGAACATTGAACTCTGACTTGTATTTGCATAAATTGAAGCTTTCAGTAAAGTGCTTTTCTTTGACACTAAAAGTGCAGAATCTCTTACTAGCACTGAGCAGGAGAATGGGAAGCCTCACATAGTGAAAAGAGTATTAGTCTTAAGAGGGGGAAATGAAAATCCAATACTGTCTTTTACTATGTGACTGAATTTAATTCCTCTGACTTTTACTTTGCTCATTCATAAAGTATAAATAATTTATGTTGTTGAAAAGATAAAAGGAAACTTTACAGATATAAAGTATCATTGTAGATACATTTTCTGGCCACTAGCATTCTGATTTACCTTTGGGGAAATTATCTCTACTATTCTCAATTCATGATGTTCAGATAGGGCTGACAATGTCCTAAGATCATTGGCTGAGTTTGTGACTCAGAATTGGCTGATTAGAGTTCTGCATTCTTCTGGGCACAATAAATGGTCAGGATGGACTTGGATTAATTCAAGCCGGGCCACTGAACCCTTCTTGAGACTTTCGTTGAATACATGGAGAAAGTTACATTGTCTTTCAGGTATGTTGCTTAGGTGGTAGGATATAACTCTAAATTGATAGGCATCTTTGTTATGGTTGGAGATATTAAACCTGAAAATGAAGTTGACACACAGAGAAGCTGAGCTGAGAGAGAGATAGAAATTGTATAGTTTGACAACTTGCACCCAGAAGTGACTGACATCTGCTCCTTAACTTTCCTCAAACTATAGTAGCTGATTTATTGCTTAAGCCAATTTGAATTTGGTTTCTATTACTTGAAACTGAAGAAATTTTGAACACCAGGATCATTCTTGTGCTTATTTATATATAATTTTAAGTTTTATATATATATATATATAATGTAAAAATTAAAATAGATAATAAAAAGTTCTTTGCAATTTAAAAATTAAAATAAAGAACAGAGAAATTTTGCTAAATAACTAGAATTTTACTCACAACTAGAATGGTCAAAAGCCAGCCATCTCTGACTTTGAAGTCACTTGCCCTTTAGATGTTTCTCATTCGAATATTTCTTTTCCCATATTAATATTTCTATTTCTGAACAATGAATTGGGTCACCTATTTGGTAAATATAATTCACTTGTGCAGTGGCTTAGGCCTGTGATCCCAACATTTTGGGAGGCCGAGACAGGCAGATTGCTTGAGTCCAGTGAGTTTGAAACCAGCCTGGGCAACATGGCAAAACCCTGTCTCTACCAAGAAAAAAAACTGCAAAAATTATCCAGGCATGGTGGCTCATGCTTGTAGTCCTAGTGACTCAGGAGACTGAGGTGGGAGGATTGCTTGTGGGAGGACTGCTTGAGCCCAGGAGGCAGAAGTTGCAGTGAGCTGTGAGCGTGCCACTGCACTCCAACCTGGGCAGCAGAGTGAAATCTTATCTCAAATATATATATACATATATCACTCTTTAGGGTGGCTCTTTTTTTTTGGTTTGTGTGTTTTACTTATTTTTTTATAAGCAATTAATCATGAGATTAGTAATGCTGTTCAAGGAGGGACCAGTGGGTGAGAAAAGGACCAAGGCTAGAGGTCTGAAGAGGATACTATGTTGTATATGTGGAGAAAAAAGAGCCCATGAAGAAGACTGAAAATGAAGGCCATGTGTGCAGAACAAAGTCAAAGGAGTAAAAGAAACATGTAAGAAACATGTTAATGGCCAGCACATCCCAGGTCAGCACAGAAGCCTGATAAGTTAGATACTAAAAAGTTTCCCTTGAAGTCAGGATTTAGGAAGTCACTAGTGAGAGGAAGTCCATGAGATTTGTTGAGAGGCTCTATTTCAGTGGAGTGAGAATTAAGTGAATATTAAAAAGTGGGCATTGAAAAGTAGAGATAACTCATTGAAGATTCATGGAATAAGAGGAGAAAAGAAATCAGACGGAGTTTAAAATCTTTTCAGAACAGAAGAGCCTGAGCATGCTGATTGGCTGAGGAGCAGCCAGTTTAAAGGAGATGTGACATATAAAAAGGGGAACTGATAATGGAAGGTCCCAGCTGAAGGGAAAAGAAGTGAATCCCAGAGCATACGTAAATGTGTTTCCTGGAGCAGGAGAGACACAACCTCTGAAATCAGAGAAAAGAAGGAAAAAGTGTGTGTCACTGTAGATAAGCATGTTTGTTGCAAATCAGAGAGCTAAGGAAGATCACCACTGAGAATTTTAATATTCTTGGTGAAGTAGAAGGCAAGGTTATCTATGAGATAAGGAAATTTGGTCACTGTTAAAGAGAAACAGAGTCCAATGTCCATTAAAGGCAGCAAAGCAGATTTTATTCAGACTACTGCAATGAGAGAGAAATACTTTGGTATTGACTGAGCTCAGTTTTGTTGAAACAAAATGTGGGATTGTTTGTTTGCTGGGGTGTGACAAAGGAAAAGTACTGAAGGACACTGAGGCAGGGAAGGTGGGTCAATGTGATAAGGTCATCTGTGTATTTGTTAACTGGTGTTTATCGAAGTTAGGCTCCTGCACTCTCATATAGCCTGGAAGACAGAGCTTTAGCATTCTTGACGATGACATTTCAAAGGGCTGACTTTCAGGTTCTTGAGAATGACATTTTTGGGTTGCAGAAGATGCATCTCAAAGGGACAAATGTTTTACAATTGCAAGTTTTCTCAAGTAGAAGGAAGGGTTCCTAAGAAAAAAGAGATCAGGGACCTATAGTCAGATTTCTGCTGGAACGAACAGTAAATTCTTTGGCCAGCATTAAGCTTTTTCAAGCAGGCATGTTAAGGGGACTAGTGACATCATCCTAGAGGCACTACCTTGAGCTGTGAGAAGCCATGCTAGAGGTTGGACAAGGAGAGAGTGTTTGTCACCATGTTGTCTTTGACTTTCTCAAGTTCATACTGAAATGGATGATACAGGTTTATATCCAGGTGTTAAAGCAGTGAGCCTGAACGTATGAGCTAAGTTTAAGCAATCTCAGAGAAAGCTCTCTAAACTGATTATATTAAAAATTGAAGGCGGGGCACAGTGGCTCACGTCTGAAATCCCAGCACTTTGGGAGGCCAAGGTGGGTGGATCACGAGGTCAGGAGTTCGAGACTAGCCTGGCCAATACAGTGAAACCTCGTCTCTACTAAAAATATAAAAATTAGCCCGGGTGTGGTGGCATGCACCTGTAGTTCCAGCTACTCAGGAGGCTGAGGCAGGAGAATCACTTGAACCTGGGAGGCTGAGGTTGCAGTGAGCTGACACCACACCATTGCACTCCAGCCTGGGTGACAGAGCGAGAGTCTCTCAAAAAAAAAAAAAAAAATTATAACAGAATGTTCAGCATGGAACAGTATAGAAAACTGAAATAGAGAAGTAGATCAAAAAGAATACAGCCTCACAACTAGAATCAGAAGAGACTGTGAAGCAGAGCTGGAAGACAACACAGCCCTCCTACTTTGCCTACAGCCTTCAACACAATGTCCTATGATATGAAGTTGGTTTTAATACCACAGCATATTATTTCCTTATGCATTCAGTGTTTTGATCATTCATGAAATTTATTGAATGCTTACTCTATGCTAAGCACGGGTCTAGGGATGCAAAGTTCAATATAATTATAACTACTTATTAATTATGTGTTGTATGTGTTATGTTTAAGCTTAATTTAACTGTCAGTAAATTGTATGTGATTCAGTCCATGAAGTGGTACTGTTTTATGAATGAATCTTTTTATTTCCTATAATGCTATGAATCCAGGGAAATTTTAGGTATTAATAATGAGACATGTTTGAACTGTGGCAGACCCAATTGACACTTGCAGGCAGCATCATTTTTCATTTTTGGGGCAAAATCCTAGCATAAACAGTTCCCCGCTTAGGATGGTTTGACTTACTTCTCTTTTTTTTTACTTTACAATGCTACAAAAGCCTTACACACTCAGTAGAAAACATACTCCAAGTACCAATAAAACCATTGTGTTTTTCACTTTCAGTACAGTATTCAATAAATTACATGAGATAGTTAACACTTTATTACAAAATAGGCTTTGTATTAGATGATTTTGCCCAATTGTAGGCTAATATAAGTGTTCTCAGCCCATTTAAGGTAGACTGGGCTAAGCTATGATGTTCAGTAGGTTCGGTGCATTAAATACATATTTTCAATTTACGATGGATTTATTGAGGCATAACCCCATTGTAAGTTAAGGAGCAACTCTACTGACATGATTTGATCAGATCTTTGCATTCACATGGCATTGTGTAGTGTGATGAGGTTTACAACACATAACTAATGAATCTATGCGATTGGTAATAATCTTCATTTGGTAAATCAAGTTCAATTTTTATGGTGGATTTTTAAAAAATTTGTCTGCATGCACTTTACATCGTTTTTATGATAACCAATGAGTCCATGAGACTAGTGATGCCACAAACTTGGGTTTGAATTTGTGCAAGTTACTTATTTTCCACATTTGTGGATTTGTGCAAGTTACTTATTTTCCACATTTATAAGAAGAAAATTTTAGTATTTACTTTACAGAGTTAGATGGGAATTAAATAAATTTTTGTAGGCTACTCATACAGCCAAAGCTGAGCATATTTATGTATTAATATGGTAATATCTGTTTGCTTTAAGACATTTTTAGGTAGTTTTAATGAATGACAAATTTTTAAAAAAATTGTCCAGATTGTACTATATAGAAGAGATACTTCATATGCCTTATATCCTAATCCAACTTATTTTCAGAAATAATATTTTCAGGAAGGTAAGCCATTTAATAATTCCAAGATCCTTTAGGTAGAAGCTTTAGTTATCCTGTGGTGATGTATAATCAGACTGAGAGTGAGACAGAGATGTCTCAGAACACCTCAGCAGGAGAGCAAAGCTCCGTGACTGTGAGTCCATAATCTGGCTTTGGAGGAGTCAAGTCTCACAGTGTAGGGCCCAACTGCAGAGGTCAGCGCTGAGAATAGTTGTCCTAGAGAGACCTCACTAGAGCCATTGTTCTGGTCTACAGGTACTTGAGTGCAGGATTGGACCATGATGTCAAGAACAACAACAACAACAAAAAACAACAAATGCTCAAGGAAGGGGAAACTAGACCCTACATAAAAACAAACAGTTATAGGGACTTTGTGCTAAAACATAATAACTTATTAACTTTCTACAAACAAAGTTAAAGATTTAGCCTAGATCTTGGAGTAGAGCTGAACTTGCAGGTTTTTAACTTTCACTACTTACCAATTTGTATATCAAGAACATGGAAGATGTTAAATAATTCAGGCTAACAAAAAGAGAAAGGTTATAGAGTATGAACTAGGTAAGGCATTTCATTAGCTATTTTTTTTTTTTTTCTGAGATGGAGTTTAGTTCTTGTTGCCTAGGCTGGAGTGCAACGATGTGGTCTCCCCTCACTGCAACCTCTGCCTCCTAGGTTCAAGTGATTCTCCTGCCTCAGCCTCCCAAGCAGCTGGGATTACAGGTGTCCACCACCATGCCTGGCTATTTTTTTTTTTTTTTGTATTTTTAGTAGAGATGAGGTTTCACCATGTTGGCCAGGCTGGTCTCGAACTCCTGACCTCAGGTGATCTGCCCACCTCGGCCTCCCAAAGTGCTGAGATTAGAGGTGTGAGCCACTGTGCCCAGCCTCATTAGCTAATTTTTTATATCCTCCCTAGATTGAGAGGATATGGCCTTTAGATATAGGAAAATCAGCTTCAATACAGGGATGACCCAGTGGAACAAATACCAAAGATGAAATAGTAAGGTTAAACATGCACCATTGTGATAAGATAAGCATATATTTTCTTTGCCTACTCAGGACCTCTCTCTCATTGATTGTGTGTTTTGGATGAATTTGAACCTCTGGTGACAGAGGTAAACATGCAAAGATACTTAAGCCAATCAAAATACTTCATGACCTTGACATAATTTATTGAGGATGGGCACATGACATTTCATCTAAGTTATTTTAGTAGTCATAAAATTGTTCATATTTCCTTATCACCCTTATAATGTCTGTAGGATGTCTAGTGATGTTCTCTATTTCATTTCGGACATCGGTGATTTATTTGTATTCTCTCTCTCTCTTATTGATCAGTCTAACTAGTGGTTTATAATTTAATTACTCTTTTTAAAGAACCAGTTTTTTATTGATTTTATCTATTTACTTTTGTTTCACTGGTTTCTGCTGTTATTGGTTTTATATTTTTCTTTCTATTTGAGTTTAATTTGCTCTTATTTTTATAGGGTCTTTTAGTAGAAGATTAGATTATTGCTTTCGTCTATAGCTTCGCCCTCACAAATTATGTCATGTTTTCATTTTCATTCATTTAAAATATTTTCTAATTTGACTTGTGATTTCCTATTGAGATGTGTGTTATTTAATTTCAAATATGTATTTTGGACCTTTTCATAGATAGTATTCTGTTTTATTGCTCAATTTAATTGCATATTGTCAGAGAACATACTTTGAATTATTTTGTTCCTTTTAAATATATTGAGACTTATTTTGTGGATAAGCACATGGTGTCTACTGGTGAATATTCCATGTGCATTTGAAAAGAAACTATATTTGTCAGATGTTGGACAGGGTGTTCTCTGTGTCAATTAGGCCAAGTTGATTCTTGGCGTTTTTTAGGTCTTGTGTGTTTCTATTGATTTCTCTGCCTTCTTGTTCTATCAACCTGTTTAGAATATGAAGTACTGACATCTCAAAATGTAATTTTGGTTTCAACATAATTATGGTTTTTAACTACTTCTGTGTTTACATCTTTTACTTCATGTGTTTTGAAATTACGTTACTAGATCATGCTTTTTTATTGTATTTTTATATCTTCTTGATGAATTGACCTCACTAACATTACCAGCTTCTCTCTCTATTCATTGCAGTATTTCTTGTTATTAAGACTCTCTTGTCTCATATTAAGAACAACACCAGGTTCCTTCTATTAATGTTTGCATTATATAACTTTTCCCATTACTCTTAATCTACATTTTTATATTTAAAGTGAATTTCTTGTAGATAGCTGCTTATAATCTATGTAGATTTATATTTAAAGTGAATTTATATATGTATTTTTATATTTAAAGTGAATTTCTTGTAGATAGCATGTAGTTGAATCTTGTCTTTTCATCTAATATGATATTTTCTGCCTTTTGATGCATTTTGAACATTTAAAATTATTGTGATTATCTATGAGGTAGAATTAAACCTACCATGTTGTTGCTTATTTTTTATCTTCAGCATTTGTTTTGTGCCATCTTCCTTTATTTTTTCCTTCCTTTGGAGCAAGCAATTTTTATAATTACATTTTATGTCCACTATCAATGTATTATTTATATGTCTCTATTAGTAATTACTGTAAGGTCTACAATATAAAACATAATTTTATGGTCTACCTTCAAATAATATTATAAAACTTCCTTATCAAATATAAACCTTATAACATTATACTTTAAGTCCATTCTACTTTTTAGAACAATATTGCCGTTAATTTTAAATTTTCATAGGTTATAAACTCCAGAATACATTACTATTGCTACTGTTTTTCCTTTGAGCACTTATATATTTTTTCTTTTTTTTCCAAAAAAGCATTTTCAGACCAAAAATATTTCTTCTTATTGCATGTTTTCATTTTTAATGAAGACAAGTAAGCCATTAGATGATGAGTCACAAGATTCCCATTCTTTTCCACAAAATGTATTCTGGCAGCAACCATCAATTATCATGGAAGGGCAACCCTTGTGCTTCCAGGAGATGACATTACAGGGGCTCCTAAGACATTGGCAACTAAGGGCTCTGGGCGTGATGCAGGCCACTGTAAAAGGCCAAGAAGAATAAGCAATATGCTACACATACATATGTGAGACAATGAAGAAGGTGGGCCATGTGTTTAAAAAAATTAAACAATGAATAAAGCATATATTTTAATATTTTCCCGCAGCGTTACCACTTACAGCCTTCTTTGTCTTGTCTGTAGATACAAGTTTCTTTTTAGTGTCATTTTCCTTTTGCAAGAACTTCCTTTAACATTTCTTGTGCTGCAGGTTTGCCTTAGTTCCTGTTTGCCTTCATTTTTGAAAGACTTTTTGCTGGATATAGAATTCTAGGGGGCGCTGGGCATGGTGGCTCACACCTCTAATCCTGACACTTTGGGAGGATGAGGCAGGAGGATCAATTGAGGTCAAGTTCAAGACCAGCCTGGGCAACATATCGAGACCCCATCTCCACAAAAAATAAAAAAATTTAGGCAGGCATGGTGGCATGCACCTATGGTCCCAGTTACTTGGGAGACTGAGGCAGGAGGATCACTTGAACCCCGGTGGTTGAGACTGCAGTGAACCATGATTGTGGCACTGCATTCCAGCCTAGGTAACAGAGCAAGACGCTGTCTCTAAAACTATTTTTTTAATTAAATTTTCATTAATTAAAAATATTTAGGGGTGTATAACAACCCCTACTCCCACTTAAGTTCTTTAAAAGGTTGTCATTTGATTGTCTTTCAAAATGTATATTTCTGATACGAATCTGCAATCATTCCTTGTTGCACTGAAACAATGTCTTTTATTTCTGGCTCCCTTAAAATTTTTCTTCTTTATCACTGGATTTTGGCAATTTGATTACAATTAGCCATGTGTGATTTTCTTTATGTTAATTCTACTTAGGTTTTATTCAGCATATTTGATGTGTGGGTTTACCATTTCCATCAAATTTGGATAAATATTGTCTATGATTTTCTTTTTTTTCTTCTTTCCTGTTCTCTCTTCTCTCTTATAAGGACTTCGTTAGGCATGCATTAAATCTTTGATATTTTCCCACATGTCATTGAGGCTCTGGTCATTTTTTCCAACCTTTTTTTTTTTCCTTTTCTACATTTCATTTTGGAAAGTGCTATTACTATGCCTTCCAGTTTACTGATCTTTACTTATGCAGTGTCTAATCTGCTTTTAATTTTATTCTGTGATGTTTTTATTTCAGAAATTTTATTTTTATATTTCTTGGAGTTCTAGTATGTTCTCTTTCGTATCTTCTATTTCTCTTATTATTTAAATTTTTTCTTATATCCTTGAGCATATATATCATATTTAAGTAAACTGTTTTAATATCCCTTGTTATTTATAACTTTGATCATCTATGTCATGCTTAAGTGTGTTTTAATTGCCTTTTTTCTGGTTATTGGTGACATTTTTCCCACCTCTTTATCCAGTTATTTTAAATTTTCCATTTCTGAATGTTTAGATTTTGTTGTTTTCCTGCAGAGTACTGGACTTTGTTCTGGGAGACAGTGAGGTTAACTCATTATCAGTTTGATCGTTTTGAGGCTTGATTTAAAGCCCCTTCAGGTTAAAAGTAACAGGAGCTACCTTTACTTTAGCCCCAGTTTTAATGCCTAGCCCCTTATGCAGTTTTTAATGAATACTCTTTTTGTTCACTGGGATGTTCAACCATGGTTTCTGGCTCATAACTCTCATAGCCCCTGTTACAGTAAACAGAATCTCTCTCTCTCTCTCTTTCTCTCTCTGTGTCTCATCTCCTCCTGTCCACCTTTCACCTGCCCAAGGCAGGACTCTAACCTGATTGTGGGTCATAAACCCTCATTCCAGAGGGGCCGTGCCCTGTACCCTGGAGGAAGGAATGCTGCACAGAGAGACCAAGAAGAGTCTGAACAGCAAGCCCTTGCAGGCTTTAGATCATGCCCTTTTTGTCCAATCGCATTGTGACGTGGTTGTCCATCGTTCAATCACGCCTGTCCAACGAAGTCTCCATAGAAGCCCAAGAAGACAGAGTTTGAGAGCTTCAGGACAGCTGAACATGTGGAGGTTGCTGGAAGGTGGTGCGTCTGGGGAGGACAAGGAAGCTCTGTACACCTTCCCCTGTACCTCATCCCATGCATCTCTTCATCTGTGTCCTTTTGTCCTTTGTAATAATACCTTATAATAAGCTGGTGAATGTGCTTCCCTGAGTTCTGTGAGCCACTGTAGCAAATTAATGGGATCCAAAGAGGGAGCTGTGGGAACCCCATCTTGAAGCTGGTCAGTCAGAAGTTCTGGAGGCCAGAGTTGTGACTGGTATCTGGAGGTAGGGACAGTCTTGCAGGATTCAGCTTTCACCCTGTGGGATCTGACATTTTTCCCAGGAAGATATTGTCAGATTTTAATTGAATTAGAGGAAACCCAGTTGGGGTCTGACGCTTGGTGTGTGGGGTAAACCCCCACACATTTGGTCACAGTGTCTTCTGTGCTGATTGGATTGTTGAGTAAGAGAATAGGTAAAAACACTTTTGAGTGTGTTTGACATTTTTTCGAACAGGGCTTTTACTCTAGCTACTGGAAGCTTGAATGATTCCAGGCCTTATGTGAGCTCTAGAATTTTTCAACTACGGTTTTCTACAATTACTCCTTTCCTAGAAGTTTTCCCTAGCTTGACATCATGGGGTTTCTCCCTACGTATGTACAGATGGATATTCAGCCACAGACTTAAAGTCACCCCAACATAAATTTCTATAATGTTTTCTCTGCATATTCTATATCTGTGGAAATTTTAGCCACTTCTGCCTCTCTGAAATCTGAGCTCTTTGACTAGGCTCTTCCAGATCACTCTCACCCCTTGCCCCATGCTGCTGTCTGGTAATTGCCTCAAGGTAGAAAATGTGAACAATTACAAAGTTTACCATATCGTGTCCATTCTGTCTCTGCCGTCATAGCCCTGCACTACCTATATAGTCCAACATATGAAAATAGTGTTTATTTTCTATCTATTTTTTAGTTTTCTAATTATGGCAGGAGATTAATTCTGGATTCTAATACTCCTTCATGATTGGAAGTGGAAATCTAGTTACCTGTTTATTTGGGTAGCTAATGGTGAAAGAAAGAAAAATGTGTTATTTATCTAAGAAAATTGCTACAGAATTAATAATAAGGGGTAATCTTTTATGTGTGTGCACGCACTCTGCCTCCTCCCCCACCCACTTAAGGAAATATCTTTTTTTTTTTTTACTTCAACTTTTATTTTAAGTACAATGGTACATGTGTAGGATGTGCAGGTTTGTTACATAGGTAAACTTGTGCCATGGTGGTTTGCTGCAGAGATCAACCCATCATCTAGGTATTAAGCCCAGCATCCATTAACTATTCTTCCTGATGCTCTCTCTCCCCTCACCCCCAACTGCAATAGGCCTCAGTGTGTGTTCTTCCCCACCATGTGTCTATGTGTTCTCATCATTCAGCTCTCCCTTATAAATGAGAACATGCAGTGTTTGCTTTTCTGTTCCTGCATTAGTTTGCACCACCCATGCAGATCAAAAGACATGATCTTGTTTATTTTTATGGTTGCACAGTATTCCATGATGTATATGCACCACATTTTCTTTATCCAGTCTATCATTGATGGTCATTTGGGTTGATTCCATGTCCTTGCTATTGTGAATAGTGGGGCAATGAACATACGTATGCATGTGTCTTTATAAGTGAATGATTTATATTCCTTTGGGTATATGCTTATTAATGGGTTAAATGGTATTTCGGCCTCTAGGTCTTTGAGAAAACTCTGGTCTGTCTTCCACAATGGTTGAACTAATTTATACTCCCACCAAGGTTGCAAAAGCATTCCTTTTTCTCTACAACTTCGCCAGTATCTGTTGTTTTCTGACTTTTTAATAATAGCCATTCTGTCTGGCAGGAGATGGTATCTCATTGTGGTTTGATTTATATTTCTCTAATTGTCAGTGATGATGAGCCTTTTTTCATACATTTGTTGCCCACATGAATCTCTTATTTTGAGAAGTGTCTGTTCATTTCCTTTGCCCACTTTTTAATGGGGTTGTTTGTTTTTTTCTTGTAAATTTGTTTAAATTCCTTGTAGACTCTGGATATTAGACCTTTGTCAGATGGATAGATTGCAAAAATGTTCTCCCATTCTGTAAATTGTCTGTTCACTCAGATTATAGTTTCTTTTGCTGTGCAGAAGCTCTTTAGTTTAATGAGATCCCATTTGTCAATTTTTGCTTTTGTTGCAATTGCTTTTAGCATTTTCATCATGAAATCTTTGCCTGCGCCTATTTCCTGAATTGTATTGCCTAGATTTTCTCCCAGGGTTTTTATAGGTTTTTTTTTTTTTTTTGAGATGGAGTTTCACTCTGCCACCCAGGCTGGAGTGCAGTGGCGCAATCTTGGCTCACTGCAACTTCTGCCTCCCGGATTCAAGTGATTCTCTTGCCTCAGTCTCCTGAGTAGCTGGGATTACAGGCACACACCACCATGCCTGGCTAATTTTTGCATTGTTAGTAGAGACAGGGTTTCACCATGTTGGTCAGGCTTGTCTCGAGCTCTTAACCTCGTGATCCACCTGCCTTAGCCTCCCAAAGTGCTGGGATTACAGGTGTGAGCCACCATGCCTGGCCAAGTTTTGGGTTTTATATTAAAGTCTTTAATCCATCTTGAGTTAATTTTTATATATGGTGTAAGGAAGGGGTCCAGTTTTAATTTTCTGCATATGGCTAAGCAGTTCTCCCAACACCATATATTAAATAGAGAATCCTTTCCCCATTAATTGTTTTTGTCCGGTTTGTCAAAGGTCAGATAGTTGTAGGTGTGTGGTCTTATTTCTGAGTTCTCTATTCTGTTCCATTGGTTTATGTGTCTGTTTTTGTACCAGTACCATGCTGTTTTGGTTACTGTAGCCTTGTGATATAGTTCGAAGTCAGGTAGCGTGATGCCTCCAGCTTTGTTCTTTTTGCTTAGGATTGTCTTGGCTATTTGGGCTCTTTTTTTGTTCCATATGAAGTTTAAAGTAGATTTTTCTAATTCTGTGAAAAATGTTAATGGTAGTTTAATGGAGATGGCATTGAATCTATAAATTACTTTGGGTAGTATGGCCATTTTAATGATATTGATTCTTGCTATCCATGAACATGGAATATTTTTCCATTAGTGTGTATCCTCTCTGATTTCCCTGAGCAGTGGTTTGTAGTTCTCCTTGAAGAGTTCCTTCACATCCCTTATTAGCTGTATTCCTAGGTGTTTTTTTCTCTTTGTAGCAATTGTGAATGGGAGTTCATTCATGATTTGGCTCTCTGATTGACTATTGTTGGTGTATAGGAATGCTTGTGATTTTTGCACAATTATTTTGTATTCTGAGGCTTTCTGAAGTTACTCGTCAGCTTAAGTAGCTTTTGGGCTGAGACAATGGGGTTTTCTAGATACAGAATCATGTCATCTGTAAGCAGAGACAATTTGACTTCCTCTCTTCCTATTTGAATATGCTTTATTTCTTTCTCTTGCCTGATTGCCCTGGCCAGAGCTTCTAATACTATGTTGAGTAGGAGTGGTTAGAGACGGCATCCTTGTCTTGTGCCAGTTTTTAAGGGGAATGCTTCCAGTTTTTGCCCATTCGCTATGATATTGACTGTGGTTTTGTCATAAATGGCTCTCATTATTTTTAGGTATGTTCCATCAATACCTAGTTAGTTAAGAGTTTTTAAAATGAAAGGATGTTGAGTTTTATCAAAGCCCTCTTCTGCATCTATTGAGATTATCATATGGTTTTTTGTCTTTAGTTCTGTTTATGTGATGAATTACAGTTATTGATCTGCCTATGTTAAACCAAGCTTGCACCCTAGGAATGAATGATCGTGGTGCATAAGCTTTTTGATGTGCTGCTGGATTCGATTTGCCAGTATATTATTGAGGATAATTCACCATCGATGTTGGTGAAAGATATTGGCCTGAAGTTTTCTTTTTTTGTTGTATCTCTGCTAGGTTTTTGTATCAGGATGATCCTGGCCTCATAGAATGAGTTAGAGAGGAGTCCCTCCTTTTCAATCTTTTGGAACAGTTTGAGTAGACACGGTACCAACTCTTCTTTGTACCTCTGGTAGAATTCAGACCTGAGTCCATATGACCCTGGGCTTTTTTTATTGGTAGGCTATTTGTTACTGCCTCAATTTCAGAACTTGTTATTGGTCCATTCAGGAATGCAATTTCTTCTTGGTTCAGTATTGGGAGTGTGTATGTGTCCAGGAATTTATCCATTTTTTCTAGATTTTCTAGTTTGTGTGCATAGAGATGTTATAGTGTTCTCTGATGATTGCTTGTATTTCTGTGGGGTCAGTGGTGATATACACTTTATCATTTTTGAACGTGTTTATTTTATTCTTCTCTTTTTTCTTCTTTGTTAGTCTAGCCAGTGGTCTATTTTATTATTATCATTATAAAAAACAGCTCCTGGATTTGTTGATCTTTTGAATTTTTTTGTATCTCTATCTCCTTCAGTTCAGTTATAATCTTGTTTTATTTATTTATTTATTTTTCTTGTCTTCTGTTAGTTTTGGGGTTTGTGTGCTCTTGGTTCTCTAGTTTTTTTTTGTTGTTGTTGAGATGTTATATTGTTAACTTGAGATCTTTCTAGCTTTTTGATGTGGGCATTTAGTGCTATAACATTGCTTTAGCTGTACCCCAGAGATTCTAGAATGTCATCTTTTGTTCTCATTAGTTTCATAGAATTTCTTGATTTCTGCCTTAATTTCATTATTTACCCAAGAGTCATTCAGGAACAGGTTTTTCAATTTTCATGTAGTTTTGTGGTTTTGAATAAATTTCTTAATCTTGAGTTCTAGTTAGATTGCACTGTGGTCTGAGATACTGTTATGATTTCAGTTCTTTTGCATTTGCTGAGGAGTGTTTTCATTTATCTGATCAATTTTAGAGTAAGTGCCGTGAGGTGATAAGAATGTATATTCTGTTTTTGGGTGGAGAGTTCTGTAGATACCTATCAGGTCCACTTGATCCAGAGCTGAGTTCAGGTCCTGAATATCTTTGGCAATTTTCTGTCTCAGTGATCTGTCTAATAATGACAGTGAGGTGTTGAAGTCTCCCATTATTTTTGTATGGTAGTCTAAATCTCTTTGTAAGTCTCTAAAAACTTGCTTTATAAATCTGGGTGCTCCTGTATTGGGTGCATATATATTTAGAATAGTTAGTTCTTCCTGTTTAATTGAACCCTTCACCCTCACCTCGTGATCTGCCCACCTCAGCTTCCCAAAGTGCTGGGATTAGAGGCGTGAACCACCGTGCCCGGCCCCAATCTGGCTATTTCTGTACCTAACTTCCATTTTCTGTATATCACTTTCCTTTTTGTGCCCATGAATCTTTTTCCACCATGTGGTCACACTGGAGTCTCTGAGCCTACTCTGGCTCAGGAGGCTGTCTGATTCGTGGATCTTTGCTCAATTAAACTCTTAAATTTAATTCAGCTAAAGTTTCTCTTTTAACAATATAATTACTTTTCATAACCCAAATTTTTAGTAGAGTTTGTTAGACACCAAAATAAATGAGTGAATTTTATAGAAATTAAAGAAGAGAGTTAGTTTGTACATCTGGACTGGCACAAGGCAGAACACAAATAGCATGTATGAGATGGCAAGGCTATCCTAAACTAAGATAATATTGGGACCAGAAGCTCAGAATCAGATTTGGGAAAACTCCTGAGAATTTTTAGAAGTCTTAAGAAAGACATTACATTTGTCAAACTATAAGGAACAGAGCTTTAGCAAATTATTATTGCAGATCTATTGAGCAGAATGACCCTAAGTGACCTCTGTGTTAACCTTAGGCTCTGTGCTGTCTATACCAGTAATATTCTAAGATGCTGAGCATCTATTATTAACCAACTGCTGCTGGCAATGGCAGTCTGCTGGGAGAAAATTATGCAGAGAAAAGATTCCATTTCTCTCTCAAATGTTGGCAGATGATTAGGAGGAAAATTATCTTAAAAGTGAAATTATATAAATGTTATCTGATTAACATTTTTGGTGACACTTCATTTATCAAACTGAAAGTACAATGGTGAGCTGATGTTAAGATTTTCTTCAGTATTATTTAACAATAATGAATGCAGAGTTATTTTTAAAACAACTTAGTCACCCAGAATTTATTTCATTCCCTAAGGTAGTTCATATATTAAGATTTATGCTTAACATGCTGCTTTCTTAATTTGGAACATGTTATTAAAAGAAAATGACAAACATTGTTTTAGGGCTTTTAATTTAGCTCTTGCTGAAATGATAATTTTAACCTCTATATGAATGTCATATGTCATGTTTAATTTCTTCATTTTTGATATGTACATCTATAATTTTGGTGGCTAGATAAGGTAGGCAACATATTATCTAGCATTCCATCAATTGGAACTCTATAACATTTACATATTGAAAATTGAAGACAATATAAAACACTGAGATTTTGATATGCATTTTAAATGTTTGCTTAGGAATAGTATTAAGTTAAATTATGTTTGGTTTCACTTTAGTATTTTGACATGATATATAATTTTTATTAAAAACAACTTACAGTTGTGTATTCATTATCTCATTTTCTCCTCATAATGAGTTTTTTTTTGTTTTGTTTTTGTTTGTTTTTTTTTTGAGATGGTGTCTCGCTCTGTCGCCCAGGTTGGAGTGCAGTGGCATGATCTTGGCTCATTGCAACCTCCACCTACCGGGTTCAAGTTATTCTCCTTCCCCAGCCTTCTGACTAGCTGGGATTACAGGCATGCCTCACCGCATGCAGCTAATTTTTGTGTTTTTCATAGAGACGGGGTTTCACCGTGTTGGTCAGGCTGGTCTCGAACTCCTGACCTCATGATCCACCCGCCTCAGCATCCCAAAGTGCTGGGATTACAGGCATGAGCCACCACACCTGGCCCAGATAATGAAATAGGCTCAGAAACAAAAACATGTTTATCTGTGGCCTAATGGCTAACACACTGCTTCTTAAATTTTATAAGTATAAATATGCATATGGTTAATATTAAGGAGTCATTTTAATACTCAAAATATTCATACAGTAGTTGGAATAATTACCCAGCATAACTTGGTCATAGTCACATGATTCAAACTATCATTTTATGCCATAGATATATTTTACTTGATATTAAAATATTAAAAATTATTGTGTTTAGATATATTTATGGGTAATGGTAATTAATATTTGAAGTCTGATAAATCTAAATATTGAAAATAATTATCTTTTATTTTTTTCTTATTTGAGTTTTGTAAATGGGCATGTACAACTCATAGAAGAAGAAAGCTAGTTAACTAGCATTCACCAAAGCATTACCAAAATAACTAAATGAAACAAAAAAGAACCCTATGAAGTCTTTGTAATATTTTAATGTTAATTTAAAAATTTTTAATGTCTCATCGTTAATAAAATAATGTTTTGTGATAGAAATAATTTGTATAATTATTGCTAGATGAATTGATTCTTTTCAAACTTTTTTCTTTGGTCCAAATATATCATCCTGACTACCTCACAAAAATTACAAATATGAATGCATGTTCTGGGCCAACCATTTCCAGATTTTAAAATTTCACAGACTACTGAAATTACAAGAAAAACTAATGGAAGGGATAGCCCAGGTTTGTCGATATTTCTTATTCCCACTGAAAACATTAAACAAAACAAATTCTTTGCATTGTTTTTGCAAAATTCTTTATCATTATTTTATAAAACAGAGGGTATTAAACACCAAAAAAAGAAAAAGATAAAAGGAAGGTTGTAATCTTATACTGAAGGAGTCTTTGATAAGAATGATTTATAAAATAAGTACAGGCATACACACACACACACTCATATTTAGTTTTCATTTTTAATGCTATGAACTTCCAACCCCGTATTCAGAAAACTTCATCTAAATGGATACCCAGGGAAGACAGTTCTAGGCTGTTTCCCAGATCCTGCTTTTATCTCCCTGGCCAGATTCTTGGCTCCACGTCTCATTTCTGATACCTATTTGTATTATTTCCATTGCTGAATCCTTCTGATTTCACTCCAGGCTTGGGGGATCTGTTTTCTCTAACGGTTTTGGACTATGTGTTCTCCTACGGTTTTGTCTTTCTCTGGTTCTTTAGGGTGAGAAATATCTGCACTGTCCTCTTGCTCCTTGGAATTCCCACACTAGCTGTGATTCCCCCAGTTTTGATAAGAAATCCGGATATGTTTTTGTCTATCTGAATTCTCTATCACATTTGAGTTCTGCTAATTATAGCAGCACAGACCATCTTCTCTTTCTAGATATTGATGACCCCTTGTTGACAATGACATTTAAAGTAAGAATGCACGTTGTTCAATTGTATTATATAGTTATCTCTTTGTCTTAAGCTTTCAATATGTGTGTGGATTTTTTACTTTAATAATTTATTGAGGTTAGATTCAGATGATAATCATGATATCATGTGATAACTCACATGATATCATTTTCAAGCAATATTTTACAGGTTGCTTTTATGACCTAAAATGTTAAAAATTTCAAAATTAAAGAAGGATATTTTGAGGATCCTCAGGGAGGTAACTCACAATCGAAGGGACCAGTAGAAGTCATTGGTCCATCATCCTAGCCACAATTCAGAATCATGATAAATGAATTAATTGGTCATGCAACCCCTATTTAGATGCTTCAGTCATGGGGAGGTAATTGCCCCATAGGGTTTCTCATTCCATTCTTGGCCATCATCATTGGAAATTTCCCTCTTAGAATGACCTGAAATCTGAATCTCTCTTAGAATGACCTGAAATAGCCCTATTTGAAGATAGCTGTGAAATCTCCCAGGAGTCTTTGCCTCTCCAAGTTAAACATTCCTAATCCTTTCAAACCATTCACTCTTCGTATAACATGCTTTTCAGATCCTTAATCTTTTAGACTTTTTTTCTGAATATGTCGATAATTTTAACAGTCTTACATTGTCTTCCAGAGCTGCAATCAATATTCCTGAAAAAGTCTTATAAAATTGAGCATGGTAGACTATTATTTCAGGTCATCTGGACAATGTGCTATTATTGATGCATCTTCTTGAAGAGGAGATTCACATAAATGTTGTGATCAACTGAAGTTCCTAGATTTAATCTTTGCTGCTGAAATAGGTTCTTTCTACCCAGTTGATGTACATTTGATTTTCTGAACCAAAATATGGGGCTTTAGACTTATATTTGATAAAATTCACCTTGTCAATGTATTTAAATATTCTCTGAAAGCTAGAGATACTTTACATTATAGAATGACATCATTCTGAATCTTAATTTTATTCAAAATATCATATATTTCTCTTTATTTCATATTATTTGCACATTTGGTTTAGCATTTAAAATAAATTTATGTCAATGACAAGCATTAAAATGAATATGTTCAAGGACTCTATATGTGAGACCTCCTGCTAAGTTTATACTTTGTAATTAATTTGTATTACTTGGGTATAGTTATCTAAAAGGTAAGAATCGAATCAAGTATGTTTTATTATTCAGTCTTTGTGTTTATACAAGGATATAATTGGAAACTTTATCACTTGCTTTCTAAAAGATAATGGTATTAAATAGCCATCTGAAACATAAAATGACTCAACTCCATATTTTTTGCGTGTTGTTATTTTTGTTTTTTTATAAGTTCATTGGATTTCTTTCTATCATAATAAAAATATATCATCTTTATCACACTTGTTCTTAGTCAAAAGGCTGAGAAGCAGTATATGGTGCTTGTCAAAAACTCATTTCTTAGCATGGGTCGTCTAGAAAACAGAGCCTGGGGCAACAATTAAAGTATTGCTGCCTATAGAGGTGCAAACACATGTGTGTTAAGATAAAAGAAAAAAGAAAAGTGAGGTAAAGAAAGACATGAAACACAATGAGTTGGAAGCAGATCCAGCACATTGCTCAGTGGGCATGTTAGCTTGGCCTTCATTACCTCTCCAGAAGAATTGTAAAGAGGAATCATAACCTCAGAGTAGTCCATGGAAGATAGGTAAAAGGGAGAAATGCAACTGCCTACCTTTCTCTTGTCTCTTGTTTTGTATTAGTTGAAGTTCACCCACACTAACTCCCCATAATTCCCACCAGCTCCACTATCTTGTCCCTCCAACTCAGTCCTTGCCTGGTATGTTGCTACTAGCCAGTGTATCATCAGGAGGCATTAAATCTCGGCTGTGAAATGACACCAGATGTATTAGTCTGCTTGGGCTGCTATAACAAAATACCATAGACTGGGTAGCTTAAACAACAGAAATTTATTTTTCACAGTTTTGGAGGCTAGAAGTCCAAGATCAGAGTGGCAGCATGATCGAATTCTGGAAAGGGCTCTATTCCTGGCTTGTAGACAGCCACCTTCTTGCTATGTGCTCATTTTCCTGCACAGAATGAGGTCCAGCTGCTTGTTCTCGTGGTCCAATAACCAGATGCAGACAGACTTGGAACAAGGGTGTTTATTTCTGCAACTGGTTACAGGGAGAAAGTCAGAGTAAATCACCAGACAGACTCAAAATTACAAGTTTTTTTCTAGTGCTCGTGTATATTTTAAGCTCAATGCCTACATGTGGGAGTGCGGCCATAAGCAGGAGTGTTTCATTCAATCTATATCTAATCTTTAACTAGAGCCTGGGGTCTGGAAAGCTTTCTCTAGAGTCTTGGAAAGTTTCTTAAGTGTGTTCTGGTACAAAGTGCATGTTTAAGAATGCTATTATTCTATCAGACTTTAGGGTCTGAGAAAACCCAGGCAGGGTCTTAATAGGTTTGTTTTCACATTCCTGCCCTCATACACCCAGTTTCTCCAGTTCTTTAATGTTTAACTTATGCATTCATCAAAATTATAGTAAAAGGTTAGTGGAAACCGACTGTTCTGGTTGCTACTAGAAACCTGGCCTGCCACACTCACGTTGGGGAGACAGAGCGAAAGCAATCTCTCTGGTGTCTTGGGGGCTTCAGGACCTCATCTTAAACCTAATTGTCTCTCAAAGACTCCATCTGTAAGTAACATCACTTTTTAGGTTAGGGCTCCAGCATATGATTTGAGGGGTAACAACATCTAGTCTGTAGCATTCTGTCCCTGGCTCCCCCAAATTCAAGTCCTTCTTGCATGTAAAATACATTCATTTCATCCCAGTGGCCCTCCAAGTTTTAACTAATTCCAGCATCAACTCTAAAGTCCAAAGTCTCATCTAAATATCACCTAAATCAGATATAGGGGAGACTGTAGGTATGATTCATCCTGAGGTAAAATTTCTCTCCAGCTATAAACCTGTAAAATGAGACAAGTTAATGTGCTTTCAAAATACAATGGTGGACAGGCCTAGGATAGACATTCCCACTGCAAATGGAGAAACCAGAAGGAAGAAAGAGGTGACAGGTCCCAAGCAAGACCAAAGCCTAGCAAGGCAAATTCTATCAGATCTTAAGGCCTGAGACTACTCCTCTTTGGACTGATGCTCTACCCTCCAGGCTGTCTGGGGCGGCAGAGTCATCCCCAAGTCTATGTAGGTTGGCCTCACCCTTCAGATCAGTATTGGGCAGGAAACTGCAGAAGTGACACACATTTCTAATTGTGTAAATTAGTACAATCTTTCTAAAGATCAACTTTGTGATACAAATCAAAAGTCATAAACTGTTACATATCCCTTGATGCAGTAATTCAAGTGATAGCTGTTTATCATAATGATATTGTTATACAGGCACAACAGATTTTAATACAAGAATGCTTATCACAATTTGTATATTATAATGAAAAAGTGGAATCCTCAAGTGTCAACAATCAGAGATTTGTGCAATCATTCAATAGACTAGTATGTAGCCAAAAGGATTGATAATTAATATCATACTCAGAGCATTTAATACTCCATAGAAGATTCAAGGTGTAATAAATGAACAAAGCAGGTTGCCAGACAACATTATATTTGTAACAGATGCTATGTATTATGTATGCCACACTTGTGTATCTTCACCCTCACTATTCCAGCATGTGCTTACTGTGCTTCTAATTTCCAGCATCGACTTCTCTTTGTCTAAATTTTCTTTGCCCATGTGCTTAGCAGGCCAGTGATGCCCCTTGATGAACACTCATTCAATAACTGGTGGAGTCCACGATGTAGCCCCAGTGGTGAGGTTACTCACCACTTTGTTAAGACAACTTTGAGGTCCATGTTCCATGCTGGCTGCCAGAGTTCCTCATTTGGAACATTTCAGCTACCACAGTGGTAATGTCCTTGTACATACACTTTTTTGGCTGCTTTCTATGCCTTGTTTTACTTTTCCACTGTCCTTTCTGTGTCTCCTGACATCTTCACCCACATAAATGACCAGCACTTGAATCCCTGTCTCTAGGTCTTTTTCCAAGGAAATCCAACCTAAAACACCAATTCAAGCAGAATTTTATTGAAAAACAATATTTATTGAAAACTGACTGAAAATATGTCCATAAGCAATATTATTTATTACTGAGGTTGGTGTGATCACAAATGAGTATTTTCTTCCTTTTGCTTATCTGCATTATCTTTAGTGATTCTGGAAAGGAAAATAATAATAAAAGTTGTGTCAGACAGGCAAAATCAACCAATACTTTTTCCTCAGTTTACTCTTTCTCAATCCCATTCTTTCTCTTAACCTCTTTCAAAGAAAGCTACCTAATATGAATTCCATTGATTCATAGCGCAGACTTATTGCATGATTATATAATGACTTTTAGTCAAAGGAATATTAAAGGCAATATAGGCCTCAAGTAGTTCCTGTGAATTTCAGTTTTAAACTTTCAACATTCTCTCTACCTAGGCTATATCCTTACATATTTCAGATCTAAGAAATTCTTTCCCTTTTTCATCAGAAGAGGATTGAACTGAAGAAACCGATAGTATTTGCAGAATCGTAGATACAGATGTCCCTGAAGAAATACCCTCTTCCTAGATTGTGTTATTTGTAATAAAGTAACCCTGATTTATTCTGGATAAAATGGCATTGGAGACCATATGACAGGCTTCAGAAGTATTCATTTCAGAAAGCATGAAAGGCAGTTGTTTGACTATCATGCAATTCGGTTTGTAAGGGTAGAGAGAAAAGTAAATATTCTAGACAAATCTGAGTCTATATAATGAATGGTGTAGTAAGTACAAAAGGGCATTAACCAGGGGTCAGAAGTCCCGAATTCTTAGCCTTGGACCAACTACCAACCTCAATTTGTTCAGCTGTGGTTTGGTAAATTTTAGGCAGAGAGAAAAGAATGAGCAATGAGATAAAGTCTGTTGGGAACAGTCAAGTTACACAAATGAATAAATTGATTGAATTTGTACTATTTTTTATTTTTCTACTTTGATGGATATTTAAGTACTGAGAAACATTTCTGTAGCTTAAGAATATCAACAGTGCAGGTGTGACTGATGAATAGCAAATGCATTTGGCCTCAGTCATAAAGCTGTGGCAGGAACTTCATTCCATTGAGTGACCGCATTAGTCCACTCGGGCTGACAGAATACAGACAGGGAGGCTTAAGCAGCTGAAACTTAGTTTCTCACGGTTTTGGAGGCTGGAAATCCAAGATCAAGGTGTCAGCAGGTTTGGTTTTTCCTGAGGCCTCTCTCCCTGGCTTGCAGATGGCTGCCTTCCCATTGAGTCCGACTTGACCTTTTTTGTGTGCATGAGCCCCTGGTGTCTCTTCTTCTTCTAAGGACACCAGTCATATTAGATTAGGGCCCCAACCTAAAGGCCTCATTTTAACTTAATCACCTCTTTAAAGACTTTATCTTCAAATAGGCTTATAGGTGTTGGGTGTTAGGATCTCAACATATGAATTTTGATGGGGAAAAAATTTAGCCCATAACAGTGACATGAGTAGGAGAGCAAATAAATGCTGAAGGCTTCAGTATTAAGATCCGCTGAACTCCATAATTTAATAATCAATAAAAATCTATTTAAAATCATACACTGTATTTTAATATAGCTTTGAAAATGTATATCTAAAAGTATATTTATATTTATTTTATTTTGAGTTATGGATATAGAAGTTTTATAAAAATTGGCTCCAGTTAAATGTAAGTTGACTGTGAAATATTCACATACAAAAAATTGATTACATATCAAGCCAAAAGAAAAGTGTGAATAAAGTTCCCAGAGTAGAAATTCTGAACCTATACAATAGAATAACAAATAAATAACTAAAAGATGGCAAAAACAAAACAAAGTCAAGGAAGACAGTAGAATTACCACAAAGAAATAATTTTTAAAAATAAACTTCTAAAAACTCAGATTAAAGAGGTAAGTAAAAAGTATGTGGTAAACAGGGATAGTAGAGAAAACTTTTCAACTGCTATTCTTCAGTACCTACACGTTATTTGTGATGTGGTTATATCACATAAAAATAAATTAATAAATGCTTAGAAATATGTGGCAGTGAAGACAAAACATTAAACCTTTCAAGTTTTGAAAGATTTAAAATATATGTGCTATACATTTCACTTCAGAAGGCAGATGAATTGCAATGCTAAAGGAATAAACACAACTAATGAAGATAAAAGCAAAAATTAATAAAATGGAAAGCAAAAATATTGTCTTCAGAGCTGTTTAAGAAGACCACATAGACAACACAATATGCAACATCAGTAATGAGGAGGTGTTTACTCAGAGAATAAAGAGATTTAACAAGTTTAAATGAATACCAACTATACATTTATACCAATGCGTTTTAAAATGTGGCTTAGATAAGTAACTCTTGTGAAAATATTAGCAATTTGGGTTCAAGAATAGTTAGAAACAATAAGGAAAGACAGAGTTCTTTCTCCCAGCTTGCCCCTGACCCGCAGGCACCAGATCCAATGTCTGAGCAGTAAATCCAATCCAATCGAATCTTCGAGGCACAGAAAATTCAAGACATTGAAGCTACTGCAAAGCATAGATAAATTAGTTGCTAGAAATTTACTCATTCATACAAATTAACAACTCATTCTATGAAAGTGGTAAGTCACTAATTCTGAGAGTGTTGAAAGATAGCACTAAAAAATAAATTTACAGACTTTTCTTACATATGAACACAGAACCAAAAATATGTAAAACCATCATCTAACATAATCTAGCAGAACCTTAAAACCACACTATGCCATATTTCAGAAATGTAAAGATGGGTCAACATTTGGAAATGGTTTCAGGTTGTTCACTGTATCAGTAATTAAGGAGTCAAAGTATATGATAGTTGCTAAAAAGGCCATTTGATGAAGTTCAACATCCATTTCTGAGGAACATCCTCAGTAACTTGGAAATCATATGGCTTAATTTAAAAGCAACATTTTATCAGCAATTAACAGTTGAAATCATATTTCAGTGAGAAACAATAGAGGAATTTCCAGTAAATTTAGGAAAAAGGCAAGGATGCTCACTCTCATTACTGTTATAAAATATCAGATATCATACTGGAGGTCAAGGAATACAAATATGCTGGTACAGGAACACAAATAAGCAATGAACAATAAACATGAGAAAACATCTATAGTAACAATAGGAACAAAAAAACTATAATGAACTAGAATTTTTAGGTATCAGATAAAACATTAACAACGTTTGATTTTGATGAAATTGCTTCCATTACTTAAGCCCTTCTTAGGGAGGCATCCACATCCTGCCTCCCTCTCTCCGCAGCCCAGCGTCTGTCTGTACAGATTAGTGAAAGCCGCTTTACAACTTCTGCAGTTCTTTACTAATTCTGAAGGCTCGAGGTATCCACTGAAAATCAATGTCTTTCTTTTCTGGTGAGAAAAGACTTTGCAGGTGAGAAAGTTATGAGTAATTGACAGAGGGATGGGATAGGATTGCGGGGGCAGGGAACTCTGGTCCTGTGGATGATGGCTGTATTTTTTCTTAAATCTCCAAGAATAAACTCACCTTGCCACTGTGAGGATTGATTTCCTTCCTGCCTATTAATATGATTTGAATCCTATTTCCTGTAAAATAATAACTTTTGCATTATTTTGCTAAGGTTTGCTCTTGCCTTTCTTGTTCAAGGTTAAATAACAAATTTTGTTTTATTTTTTAATTTTTTGAGACAGGATCTTGCTCTGTCACCCAGGCTGGAGTGCAGTGGTGCTCCCATGCCTCACTGCAGCCTGGATCTCCCAGGCTCAGGCAATTCCTCTGCCTCAGCCTCCCAAGTAGCTGGGACCACAGGCACCTGCCACCATTCCTAGCTAATTAAAAAAATATATATTTGTAGAGGAGGGGTCTACCTATGTTGCCCAGACTGGTCTTGAATTCCTGGGCTCAAGCGATCTTTCTGCCTTGGCCTCCCAAAGTGCTGGGATTACAGACATAAGCCACCATTCCTGGCCACAAGCTTTTATCATATTAAACTATCAATGGGAAATGGCCAGGGAGCTGCTCTCTAATCCCCAGAAGTTTCTGCTGACCACCCTGAATTTGCAGGCAGGCTGTTGGGAGTGGAGGACATTGCAATGCACTTTCCCTGAGAGCAATTGGAGGAGCAATTGTATTACATTCTTGGACTGATCCGCACAAAACCCAGCCAGGGACCATTTGAAATGCCAGTCTATGGTTCTTTATAACAAAAGGACTAATTTAAGCAAATAAAGTAGGTGGAAAAAATTCACTGGAGGATCTGTCCCTGGGTGATCTTTGCTGGATGTGGAGGTGAATGCTGGGTCAATACTGACTTGTGCCCTAGGGGTCAGGTGAGAAGGAGACTAAGGAGGCCCGGCCTATGCAGTCTGCTCCCCACAGGGTTCTTCTCTTAGCTTAATGTATAAGATATTCCTGCTTATGAAAATGCCCTGTCCACAAAAAGTCATAGATCTCTCCCTGTTTAAGTCACAGGCAGTTAGGGTTGTTAATTTTGCTCTTGGTCAATCCTTAA
Source organism: Homo sapiens (assembly GCF_000001405.40). Lineage (NCBI taxonomy): Eukaryota > Metazoa > Chordata > Mammalia > Primates > Hominidae > Homo > Homo sapiens. The sequence continues at coordinate 53,868,677 of NC_000015.10, forward strand.
AGAAGTAAAAATGACCCATGCGGTCTGGAGGGAAAAAGTAAATTTAAGAAAAGAATAAGTTAACTTTGAAGCAGGAGATTCATATTACTCAGAGGTATGGAGATGTCATTTGAAGTTTTCTATAGAGGTCTCACTAGGGCCATATTAAAAACAAGAATGGGTGGGGCTTTATGGCTCGTGCCTGTAATCCCAGCATTTTGGGAGGCCAAAATAGAAGGATCATTTGAACCCAGGAGTTGAGACCAGCCTGAGCAAAATGGCAAAACACCATGTCTACAAAAAATTTAGTCGGGCGTGGTGGTGCATGCCTGTAGTCTGGGCTACTCAGAGGCTGAGGTGGGAGGATCACATGAACTTGGGAGGTCAAGGCTGCATTGATCCATGATTGAGCCACTGCACTCCAGTATGGGAGACAAAGACCCTGTCTTAAAAAAAAGTCATAAATACAGAAAGCAAATTGATAATCCATCATTTTGGAAAAGAGATAGACCCTGGATCATGATCTGGGATTTGAAGATACAAAGCTTTAGGGCCCTGGGTGACCTGCAGTTACGTGGATGGCCACATGGGGAAAGCAAACCATTGCAGTCATGAAGTGACCAGTGCCTCCTGTTCAATGCTGCCTGTCCTGAGCTGCCTTGTAGCAAGTGGTCATACACAGGCATATACATTCATGACATTGTTTTCTTTTGATGATGTTTCATGAGTAGAAGAAAATCATTAATATTTTACTCCACGATGTCATGCCAATAAAAAGGGTAATTCATACTAATTCCCTTGTGGGCTTAATCATTTTTCTTTCAATGTTAGGATGAATATTAGAGTCTTCATTAGAATAACTCCTTGAAAACAGTTAATAATATTTAATTATTAATTAGTAATAAGTAATAGTACTTAAATTAATTCTTACATGCGGGGGCTGTCCCGCAGACCCTGACCCAACGACAGATGAATAATATATGCTGACACAGATATTCTGCCTGTCAGTCTGGCTAAGGGTCTGAGCCCCTCACAGATACCAAGGAAGGTGCTGTAAAGAGTAGCAGCGGCAGCCCCCTCAGCCAGTGAAGCTCGCATTTATTCAGTATAGATTAAATGACAAAGGTCTTGAGTAAACACCACTAGAGGGTAATTGACCCAGTTGCTAACTCCCCAGAGTAGAGAGAAATTATGCACCAGCAGTTGATCAAAGGTTGGTCTTGGGACCACATGAGTAAACAAGCTATTTAGATAAACTCCTCTGCATTCCTTTGTACCTACTGTGAACTATTTACACAAGGTAAGGATTAGACTGCTTTCAGCCATAACACTGTCCTAAGACTTTTGCAAAATCTTCGAGCCTTCCAAGAAGATTTGTGTCTATATTCTATAACTTCATTTTAAAGTTTTTCCCACCAGCCTGACTGTACTCCTACGCTTACAATGTCCCTTTTACATGAAAATAAATCCTTTGAGTTCCTCATTGTCCTTATATAATATAGTTTTGTCTAAATCCTTCTCCTTTGATAAAATTGGAAATGTTTTAAGTTTAAAACTTTTTATGTTTCAAGTTTACCAAGTCTCACCCAACAGAAATGAATTTTTTCTATTTTTCTCCTCTCCTTTGAGAAGTCACTTTCTATTTTTCTATAATATTAACATATATCAAGTATTGCTAGTGGCTGATTGTCCCCTGATATGCATTCTCACCTTCTCTGTACTAAAAGGCACAACTGCAGAATTTGGACATGCTGTCCTTTTTCCTTCCCACCCCCCACCCCCACACTGGCTGGAGTGGAGATATCCTGGACCATGTGGGTGAGTGCCTCATCCCAGTGATTACAGAGCAACAAGGCAGAAGAGTCCATGGCCATTCAGCTTACCTTCCTACCACTGCTTGTACCTGGATATAAGAAAAATGCACTTCTGTCTTATATAAGCCACTGTAGTTTTGGGCTTCTGTTACAGCAATTGAGACTACGTCCTAACTCATAAAAACACCTGACATATGCCAGGCAAGAGTTCAGCACTTCATGTACTTTAGCCCATCTTCACAAGCCCTCTAAAAAGAGGGTCTTATCCTGATTTTTATTTTACCAATAAGTAAGCCAAAGCACAGAGGTTTAAGAAGTTTGGCCAAGGTCACACAGCAATTAACTGAATTAACTGGGAGAAGCAGAGTTCCTGCCCTAAAACAGCACACCATACTTCTACTCTAGGATGCTTCTGTCCCTTCCTCATGTCTTTCCTATGATCAAGACCAAGGCCTGCCCAGTGCCCTTGACAATAGTGTTGGAGCCATCCTACACAATAACTCCAACACTATTGTCATCCTCATGCCATCTAATTGCTTTCCCAGTTGCCAGTCATGTTGTGCTCTAATTCTAGTTCATTCTCATTTAGTCTCCAAAATTACCTGCCCCACTCCCCCAAATAAATTTGATTGCTGTGTGTGGCCCTTGATTTCTTCTCAAATTCCTTTACAAAGATGTTCATTGCTGATATGGGTCCTGAATGTCTGTATGACCTCTCTATTTTTACCCCTCTTCCTCTGCCAACCCCATCCCTATGCCCCCATTTTCTAGGCTCCAGTGATGTTCATTGACCTTCCACACTTATGCCATTTTTAGCCATGCTTATGTTCATTCTTGTCTTGTGACTTTTGCCTATGTAATATTTTATAACTTCTTAACTCCCCCTGACTAACTTCTCCTTCTTACTTAGGTTCAGCTTACATCTTGATTCTGGGAAGCACTTTCTCATCCTCCCAGTCTAAGCTGGCTGATCACTTCCACAGCAGGCTCTGCTCATTTATATCAGATATCACCTTCTCTTTTCTTGTCTTTGGTGCCTTCTATGCAAGGCTGTGAGCAACTTGAGGGAAGGTCTATTTTGTTCATTGCTGTGTTCCAGTTGAGAGCACAATGAGTGGCACAGAGTAGGTCTTTAGTAAATATGTTTTGCATGAGCGAATAAATGAATGAGGTGAGGAGGGGGCAGCAAATTTCCAGGAGACTCCCTAGATAGCCTGTGGCTGGACTTGGTTCAGGTCTGAAATTGTGAATCCCAGAAATTGGACACATTGATTTCTTATGGTTTCTTCATGCTCGCCTAGCATCTTGATTGAAGCAAGTACTTAAGATAGTCTGCTCCAACATCAAGCCTGACGCCAGTGGAAGTCATCACAGTGAGTATTGTGGAAGTGGGTGCTTGTGTTTGAACTCTTCAACTTGTACACACACACACAAAAGAAAGTTGTGCAGGAAAAACTTCCTCTGCTGCTAGTTTCTACAGTTGATGGTGTTAGAATGCTCCTGCAGTGTGTGTATGGAGATGATGAAACCCTCCCTTCTTCAGGAGAACCTGCAGAGAGCAACTATTATGATGTGTTGAAATGACATCTGATCTAAGATTCAGGAAATCTGGATCATTTTCACATTTCTGGACTTGTAGTGAATCTTTCAGAGAGCCATGAGCCTTCCTTACCGCCTTTGTTTCACATTCAGTAGATTCCACCATATGCCCCAGCTGCATTTTCAGAGCAGGCAAGAATTTGTGGTGGTGGTAATAGCATTTTTGGGAGGAATATGTCAGATAGGGAGTGGAGAAGTTTTTAATGAGTTGGAAAGGTGAAATGACTCTAAGACACACACATCTCTTCATATTTCTTTCAAAATGACCGCCATTCATAGATTTTTTTTTTTCTTCCAGGTAAGGGGTTGGAGAAATGAGGGAGTAGTGGCCAATGGTAGTCATAATCTAGGTTGAAGAACTTCAACTCAAGTTAGAATTATCCTTTATTCTTACTCCCTAGATTTAGATGGTTGTCTAAATATTTTCATTCCGCATGTAAAATGCCACTGCTGTTTATCTCTTTTATGCCGTTTCAACAGTTGTCCCTGTGGTGTAGGCTCCAGTTACTATGAGTCATCAAAATTATTATGACAACTTCCTCTCCAGTCTCCATGCCTCTAGGCTCTGTGTCTTACAATCTACCCACAGACTACAGCTCAATTAATTCTCATAGGGGCCTGTAGTGACCTGGCCCCAAATCTTCAATGTTCTTGTTACTTTCAGGATGAATTTCAAGTCCTAATAATTCAAGATTCTTACAATCTGGACTCAGTTTATCCTTCCAAAATCCTCTCTCATTATCCTTCTAGGCTGGTTATAATGAAATTGATGTTGTTGGGGGCACACACATTAAACCATATTATTTTCTCCAATCCTTTCTTCAGCAAACTGAACTTATTGAAATGACAACGTTTTGCCATGTTCCATGGCTTTCAGATTTTTGGTTGCTGTAGTTCTCAGAGCATCCAGAGCAATTTTAGACTTTTTCTTGTCCTTCCACAGGCTTCATCCATGTCTAGGAGAGCTTCAGGATGGGAAGATATTCCCAGCTGTTGCCTTCCTCTTCCTTTCTTCTCCTGGCTATAGATCCTTTGGTGTGTTGAGGAGGAGAAGGGGGACAGGGACACGTTTTTTTTTTTAGTGGCTATTGTTGTAGTCTTTCCTCTGGGCTCGGTCCTGTTTCTCTAACACCAATCACATTCAATGCCTTCTGAGTTCTAGGCCTTCAACTGTTGGTTCTGGGGAGGGAGAGTTGTGAGTTTTCTGCGGAGACTGGGGTTCTTGCAAAAGATCCATTCTGAACCTACCTCTTCTCATCCTGTCTCATTCCCTGACTAAGTAGTACCCCGCAGCTTGCTCCTGGAGTATGCCTCTCTTGTTGCTCGCAAGATCGCTCAACTTGCCTCCTCTTCCACGATGTCCATCTGACCCACAGGAAACTCATGGAGCAGCTTTGCCTTGTCAAATTGTGAGCTTGGGAGCTGCTCCACAGCCACACTGCTTCTTCCTTTCCCTCCCCTCTTTTGGATTTTTTTTCCTCAGCTCAAAGAGGCTCAGAAGGCAAATCATCTAGCAGTCTATATAAATATACTTCCAATTGTGGGAGAAGATATCAGTTACCCTGATGCACGAAGTGATTCTCTTGGAGGCCCTCTCACTTGGCTTTAGGTCAGGGTACTGAGCAACACCTCCCTCCTTCCATGAGGCGGAAAGGGGGAAAATAAGACACACAACTATGTTGCCCAGGCTGGTCTTGAACCCCCACGATCAAATGATCCATGCTGTAGTGTAATCACCCTCACGTGATTACAGGCATGAGCTACTGTGTACAACCAGCATCTATCCCTCTCTCTCTCTCTTTCTTTCTATCTCTTCTCTTCCTTCTCTTTCCTTCCTTCCTTCCTTCCTTCCTTTCTTCCTTCCTTCCTTCCTTCCTTCCTTCCTTCCTTCCTTCCTTCCTTCCTGTCTTTCTTGTCTTTCTGTCTGTCTCAGGGTCTTACTCTGTTGCTCAGGCTGGAGTGCAGTGATATAATCATGGCTCACTACAGCCTTGACCTCTAGGCTCCGTCAATTTTCCCATCTCAGCCTACTGAGTAGCTGGGACTATGGGCATGTTTCACCACACCCAGCTAATTTTTGTATTTTTTGTGGAGACAGGGTTTTGCCATGTTGTCCAGGCTGTGGCATGTTTCTTATAGTAAAAATAATAGCTAGATTTTACAGGGAATTTACTCTGCTCCAGGTATTATACAAAGTACCTTAATACATTATTTAATTTAATCCCCCTAACAACCCAATGCAATGTGCATAATTAGTATTATTCTCATTTTATAAATGAAAATAATTGAGTCTTAAATAAGTTATGCAACTTTTCCAAAGCTACACATGTGGAAAGTGGCAGTACCAGGAATGTCTGACTTCTATCCCCAAGGTGTTTACCTCTATGACATATCTCTCCAAAGACACCATGGACTATGCCTTTACTTATGTTACTGAAATTGGGCTTTAGAGATTATCCAACTAGCTATTTTCATTATGCGGGTGAGAGATCCTTTACCCAGAGAGGACAGGTGAACATCAAGGTCACACATTAGAACTTTCTTTCTTGAAATGCCTCCTTTACCATCCTGTATATCCAAAGTCTATTAGCCTTCAATACATAGCTCAATACCTACTTTTCTGCCCAAAGCCGTCTCTCACATTCCTTTGAAACTTATACCAGGTACTGCTGGTACCACTCACTTGGCACTTCCACATATACTTGGCACTTCTTTAATTGCCATGTAAATAATTTAAAAAATCTTGGCTAGGCGCGGTGGCTCACGCCTGTAATCCCAGCACTTTGGGAGGCCAAGGCGGGCGGATCATGAGGTCAGGAGTTCGAGAACATACAGGCCAATATAGTGAAACCCCATCTCTACTAAAAATACAAAAATTAGCCGGGTGTGGTGGCATGCACCTGAATCCCAGCTACTTGAGAGGCTGAGGCAGGAGAATCGCATGAACCCGGGAGGTGGAGGTTGCAGTGAGCTGAGATTGTGCCACTGCACTCCAGCCTGGTGACAGAGTGAGACTCCGTCTCAAAATTAAAAAAAAAATATCTTATATGCATGTGACTTTCCCCCACATCTATTTTAAGTACATTGAGCAGTGCTTTAAAAATATTTTCTTATATGGCAATTTCAATTTAGCTTATTGAAAATGTATTGAGCACCTACTAAAGTTGTGAGGAGAAAGAAAAGCAGTGTTCATGGTAGAGCCAAGGGCTTACTATGCCATCCTGGGGTGCAGTGTAGCATCTCAGCAGGTTGATGGCAGACTAGCGCAAGATTTCTTTTTTCAGTTATAATCTGAATGTTGTTGGGTATGTTCTGCCTAGTCTGTATGCTCACTGTAGTTTTGCAACAGGTTGCTGCACATTTTAGCTTGCCTGCCTAGACTCTGAAGATGCTTGAGTGAGGACAATAGCAGGAGGTTGCTGGTAAGGTGATTTGAAGGCTCATATTAGATCAGGGGTGAAGATTTTCCAAAAAACAAGTCACTGGGGAGTAACTTGAGTTTTTAAGCTAGAGTAATGTGATGGGAACTGCATTTGAGGATGATGTATCTGATAGTGATGTGTAAGATTGATTGAGCAGGGAAATGGGGCCAGGTAAGAAATTAATGCTCCCTTTGTTCCCTCAAAGCTGTGGCACATGTAGTTATAATATAATTCTGCAATAGTTTTATGGTGTGCATTACACCATTTAGCACCATCCTGTGTTCGATTTTCTGTTGTGGCATTCTTTACTCAAGCACTAGGGTCTGGGCCATGCCTTGCATCTTTTTTGTGTGTCACACAGTGCTGACACATGGCAGACACTGCAAGAAGAGTTGTTTGACTGACACTGAAGTGTCAATGTTACTTCCTTGGAACAAAAGGTGGTAAGGAAAGGATGCCAATTCATGTGCTATGTCAAGTTAAACTAGAAGTTCTCTCAGATATCTGAGCACAGGGTATGTGTTCTAAAGTGCTTTTGTTTGGTTTTGTTCCCACGTAATGATTTTTTATGCTAAATACTCTCTCCTGTTTAAGATAAAATATTTTTCTTTTTCTAGTGTGACAAACATTCAGATGTGATCTGAATTATTCATGATGACTTTTAGCTTTTGCTCATGTTGCATTTTGAAGTCCAATATTGCACAGATATTTTGGCAGAATGTGGCACTAAACGAACTCATCAATTCACTGGTATCTCTGGTTTTCTAATTCAATGGAATGTTCAAAGCTCAAGTACCAAACTTCCATTATATTTCAGGGAGGCACCTGCTCAGCTGAGCCCTTCTCAAAATCGGACCTTCTCATTTCAATATTATATTTAAAAATGGAGGCTCGAAGGATTGACTGAATGCCGTGTTAATCTTTGTAGAAATAGCAAGCAGGCCTAGCAATTCAGAGGCTCCATGTTATCTACCATATTGCAAAACCAAAATGTTGACATATTAAGAAAATGTTACAGACGTGGATCAGTTTCTTCCCTCTAAAGCCGCATGTCTCGTTAATGCTTACACAGCTGCCATCTTGGAAATCAAAACAGAAGAGCAGGAACTTCTGTTTATGTCAGGCTTTTTTTTGGTTTCAAATGGTTTTTACTACTTTTTTTTGAAAAGTCTGCTCAGATTTATTTATTTTTTCAAAATGAGGGCCACAAAGTGGGTATAAACTGTTATAATTACCCACTCATCTCCATCTTATTGTAGAAGTATTTTATGGTATCTTTAGTCTTTTTATGATTATAAAAAACAACATAGTAACTGTAAAAGCAAAACCACAAATAAATACAGAGATGAATAAGATAAAGAAGGCTTTCTATTATTTCTCTTTCCAGAGATAACTATTGTCAACAGTTCCAGTTTGATGTCTAGTGAGATAGATAGATAGAGATGTGCCAAGAGAGTAAATCACGGCATTTCTGTATGTCTGACTATGGAATATTCTTCAGAAATCACTGAGACCATTTATTTTACATTGGAATTTCATCTTGATCTAAGATCCATCAACTTTAGTAGGTAAGTTGGGTTTTGGTGAACTTCCCAAGTCCTAGAGATTCTGAAAGTGGTTTCTGTCAGTAATATAGCAAGTTGTCAAGAAAAGGTCCTTCTGGTCTAATATGCCAAAAATCCGTGTTAATAAGTTACTTTAATATAATTACTCAATTTGATTAGCTGAATTATGCAAAAGCACATCAGTGTTCCACAGGGGCTTGCAGCAGAGCTCTGAAGGACTCCTGTTCTCCTTTGCCTTGCCCTCTCCAATGCCTTCTGCCCCATCCAGCCCTTCAATGCCATGTTCCCTCCCTGAGAGTGAGAGAAACTCTTAGAAACATAGGCTCAGGGAAGACAGACCCTAGTTCAGGGAGGTTTCTGCTCTGAATTTCAAAGGACTGGGTAGGGTTAATCCAGCCAAAACCTAGGTTAATATTCATAGAAATTAAAGAGAAAGGGCTTTACTTCCTCAGGGACTAGAAGAGGTCAGGAGAGAAACTAGGTTAAATAGGAAGGCTAGTGTGTTTGTGGATACAGAGAGAGAGAGAGAGAGAAGGAGAATAGGGAGGAGGAGGAGGGGTGAAGGAGAAGAAACACGAAGAGAGAAGAAGGGAAAGTTGACCTTTTACAAAACATGTTGAGGTTAAGTGTATGTATGAATAGAGAAATGTACAGATGTTAAGCATAGAATGAGATGAGGTTTGACACATGTACTTATCCGTGTAAACAATACCTAATAAAGACATAGACCACTTTCCTTTGCCTCAGACAGTTCCTTCATGCCCCTTTGTACTCAATATGCCAATTCTACCCTCCTGACCTCGTAACTATGGGGATTTCCATTACTATAGATTCATTTGGACATTCTTGAGCTTCATATAAATGGAATCATACAGTATGTTCTCTTTTGTTTGTTTCATTTATATGTCTTGCTCTTTTTGTTCAATATACATTTTTTAGATTCAACATGTTGATCTACCATAATGCTTTTTTGCTTAGTATTGAATATGGTTCCACTTTATGAATATACCACATTTGTTTATCCATGAAACTTGCATTTTTTAAAAAAATGGTTTGTCTCATTTGTCTTCTGGTTGACACAATTTCAAACTTTGAGCAGGACATACTTGTGTTCACAGGATTGCTTGGAAATGGATGATAACTGAAATTTGCTGTCAACTTAGAAACTCCATCTGTGATCACTATTATCACCTCCTCACCGCCAAACCTCAAACCAAAGCTGTGCCTTCTGAATCCATTTGTGGTAAGAATTTTTCATACTCATACAGGACTCTAGAGTTTCTGAAGCATTTTTATACACAACATTTTCTTTTACCTTGATCAACACTCAGAATTTCTAGGTGCCAGATTTTGAAATAGAGAGTCAGGAATACAGACTTTCTGTTCTCTTTCCTCAAAATTCTAATTTTGTGATGCGATGTTCTGTCAGATTGATTTGGGCCTGCAGCAGGAATTATCATTTCTCTGCATGGCCATAAGGGCCTGGCTGGGGTTCCATTTAGCCAGCCCTGTCGTCCTGCTGATGAGATCATGTATCTAGCCATGCACTTCTTGTCTGTGCTGCTGTTTGTCTACTTTTGGGCTTTCACACAATAATTTTAAGAAATATTTGGAAGCTATCCTTAAAAAAAAAGAAAAAGAAAATGGAAGAGCTAGCTGCCATAATGATGATATTCCTAATTCAGTTTACTTCTGAAATCACTAAAGGAAGAAACAACTTTTGTTATAAGTGTCTTATTGCATTGATAGAGATTTACTACTACAGGTCTTTGCTCATGGAACCAACCAACCAAATGAACCTCTGAAGCAATGAATATGCAGATAGAAGCCATTTGATATCTGAAATAACTTTTAGAAAATTTGCAATATTATATTATGAGCTCTTTGACTCTAACTTTAAAACAATTTTTTGCTTTTGAACAGTTAAATCAAATCTGAGTATGGCTCCCTGAAAAAGAGTCACCTGCAAATTCTTTTTATGATGATGACATACCTTGAACATTCTGATTCCCTTGTAAAAATAGTACATAAAAAAATTACTTTTTTTAGCAAAGAAAATAGTCCTCCAAGATTTTTAAATGGGTTCGATATTAATTCATTCATTCATTGATTCATTTATTTTTAGACACAGGGTCTCACTCTGTTGACCAGGCTGCAGTGCAATAGCACAATCATGGCTCATTGCAGCTTTGACCCCCAGGGCTCAAGTGATACTCCCACCTGAGCCTCCTGAGTAGCTGGGACTACAGGCACACACCACCACACCAAGCTAATTTTTAGAAAATTTTAGTAGAGTGGGTTCTTGCCATATTGCCCACGCTGGTCTGAAACTCCTGGGCTCCAGCAATCTTCCCACCTTGGCTTCCCAAAATGCTAGGATTATAGGGGTGAGCTACTATACCCAGCCCTTTTTCAATTTTTATATCAAATGCATGTATGGAAATAGTATTTATGTTAATTGTTATATATAGGAACTTGGTGCTTGCAGCTCTTTTAAGTATACTTGTTATTTTTTTTAAGTAAATGCTAATTCTCTCTTTTTATTTTTTTTGAGACGGAGTCTCGCTCTGTCGCCCAGGCTGGAGTGCGGTGGCACTATCTCAGCTCACTGCAACCTCCACCTCCCAGGTTCAAGCAATTCTCTGCCTCAGCCTCCCAAGTAGCTGGGATTACAGGCATCCACCACCATGCCAGCTAATGTTTGTATTTTCAGTAGAGATGGGGTTTCACCATTTTGGTCAGGCTGGTCTTGAACTCCTGACCTCACGATCCACCTGCCTTGGCCTGATTCTCTTTTTAAAACTGGAAAACAAAATTATTATTAGATACAAGCCATGTAATCTAACATAAGACATACGGTATAGTGGAAAAAAATTTATCATGCTGCGTGTGTGTGTTTGTGTGTGTGTGTGTGTGTATATACATATATATGTAATTTTTCTTTTTTGTTTTTAGGGAACACTATTTATCAAGGATGACTGGCATTTTTGTTTAAATCATGTAGTTACTCTGCAAGGTCAAAGGAGGGCCACTATCATGTCCATTTTTACAGACAGGGAAGATAATTCTGCATTATTAAATGGCTAGGAAGAACGAGGCTGGGATTAAAATGCAGGATCTCCGAGACGTATTTTCTAGTGCTATTTTTGCTACAGTTGCAAATGGCAGAATAAGAGCTCTTGAAGCACGGTAGTTTTACTAGGATCTGAGAACCAGAAGTTGGCTAAAACAACTACATTATAAAGATTGAAGGAACTAGATAGCAAATCAATATTCACACAGAATAAACTGTAATGACCGATTACTTCAATTTCAAAGAAGTTAACTTGTGTTGCGGCTGCTTTGCAATTGTTTTCTGAAGAGCTGAAGGAATAGCTCAATAATGTCCGAACTACACGTTTGGTTTTCAAAGAGCACTGTGTGCAGTGATTTAGAATACAACGGCGGGTCAGCATTTAGTGACAGCACGAACAGCCTTCAGCTTCAAGAAGCTTCCTGTGAGGTCAGCTGACAGCTCTCTCGGGACCAAATCCTGATGTATTATAAGGATAACCCAGTCTGCTCTTAAAATGAGAGGATTTCTAACAGGAATTAATCACGACCTCTTTTTCCTCTCTTTAAAAGCAAGTTGCTTTGTCATCTTTTTTTTTTTTTTTCTGAAATCATCACAAAGAAAGAGTCTGAAAGGGAGTTGTTCTGCTTAAAATATTGCAGCAGATAATAGACAAAATAAGATGGCAATTATTGCTTACTGCCCCTCCATTGCCTCTTACTCTCCTTACAGAATACCCAAGTGGGTTTTAGGATAAAAATCGCTGGATTTTTAATGTTCATGAATAAGAGAAGGTTGTAAGTGAGAGTCTGAATTTGGAAGGCAATAAAGAAGCATAGCAAGAGAGAAAAGAGCTGAATTGGAGGGAATAAAATATAAGCAACCCTTTTTCTGTATTGCCCCAAGTGATGCTGGCCTTGTCAAATGCATCACAGTCTGAGCCAAGTTTTCAGCAGTGTGTGTGAGCCACAGAAAGGAAATAAATCTATCATTTAAGGGCTGCATTAACTCCTCTAAGAAGTTGGGGATTGTGTGTGTGTGTGTACATGTAAATTTAAATCTAATTGGTTTTGTTTCTTTTGCTCTGTGAAGGAGGAACATATAAAGTGTCCAAGGTTTTATTCAGAGCCTCAGGGTAGCCATACTGTTTGGAGAGCGTGCAGCATACCAAAGCTTGCGTGGTTATGGAGTGTTAGAGCTGGAAATTGTGTCCAAGCATGTGGAATGCTTCCCGTATTGTCAAAGTGGCCATTAAGTATCTTAAAAGTTAAATGCTTTGTCTTGCACTGGGATCATTACTTCTGATTTGAAGACACTTGAAATCAAATTCATGTAAATTTTAAAGAAGTTCTGCTTAAGCACACCTCACTTTCAGCCACTTTAAGTCAGGTTGCTATGAATGGGAAATAATGCAAAGAACAATCTTCAGAGAATGAATAGAGGGTGTCAACTTCTAATTCCTTGGTCACAGTTGGATTGTCCAGTGGTGGACACCTGTCTTTAGCCAGTGATCGGAGCTTTTAAGCACCTGATTTGAAAGTCCTTTAGCCAGTTCTTTCTTGTTAAGGAAATTGTGAAGTTTGAAGGCTAGATTTTGTTACTTGTAGAGTCCCAACTAATACCTTCATTCATTCGTTAGAGGGCTCATGTTCTCAAAAGTTTTTCAATGGCGTTCCAAGAAGTGGGATATTCCTACTTGCACAAAACCAAAAAGGACCTTGTTAAAATACAAATATTATCAAACAGGGCTGTGCATCATGCCTATAACCCACATGATTACTTTCACATTAATTATCTGTCTGCTGTCCAGTCAGAAACCTTTTCAAGTCTTGATAGAAAACTCAGCACAAGCCACTTTTGAAAGAAAAGAAAGGCCAGAAACAAGGGTCATAGTAGGTGGAGATGAGACACTTAGGTTTGAGGATATCCAGAACGTGCATGATTGTGAGAAATTAACCTCTAAAATGCTTATAAAATTATTTCACTCTGAGAGTTGAATGAAGATTAATTAGGAGAGTGCAGTTTAAGGTACGGAATATGGAATCTAGCTTTTATTTCATATTCAGTAAATGTCATCTATTATCACAATAAAATACTAAATGTTTAACATAATTGAATGTTTTTGGTTTATGAACAAGTTCAAAAGCTTCCATTACCTAATGGTTTGATTTTTATTGTACAGTTCTGTATACAAATATAATATCTTTGGGATTTGCAAGTCTAGGAATTAGTTTTTTCCACACTACTTTTGCTTATAATAAAATTTATATATACCCAAAGTTTTTATTATAATTCATTATTTATGATACTTCATGTAACCCAGTCATTATTTCTATTTGAGTTTGTATATATTTGTACACTTAATTTTATAATATGTCTGAGTCATGACAGGGAGTCAGAATTACTCACATTGGCAAGCCTTGATGACTTGTATAGTCCTTTAAGAAAAGACATTTCAATACTATTCTACTGCCATTTGGTACGATAACAGGGCCAAATGAAGCATAATTTACATTTATTGAAAATGCATTTGGTGATGGTGGCCCACTGTCATCCCAAAACTTTGTCAAATCAATATATCCAGGACACAGTTTTGGTGGAGTAAAACCAGTGTATTCTTGGGTTCTTGAGTTACGGATTGATATAATCTCTACAGAGGTTACTAAGCATTAAATAGTTAAACAGCCTTTGGAAAACTAGTGTTCTTCTCCACTGAGGATGGTACTATTATTTTTATTAGTAAACTGCTTCTGGTCATTTTGGAACAACACACACTGGGGCCTATCAGAGGGTGGAAGGTAGGAGGAGGGAGAGAAGCAGGAAGAATAACTAATGGACACTAGGCTTAATACTTGGGTGATGAAATAACCTGTACAACCACCCGTATGACACACATTTATTTATGTAACAAACCTGCACATCCCGCACATGTACCCCTGAACTTAAAAAAAAAGTTAAAGGAAAAAATTCAGAAAATCTGGGAAGAGCACTATAGCTACCACACCAGAGAAAACTAACTCTGTAGGAAAAGATTTAATAGTGAATCAGCAATTGAATTTTTTTTCTACTTAAAATGATGAAATTTATTATCTTACTATGAGGCTTTAATATCAGCCTCAGAAAAGGGCAGTAAAGCTACTGTTAGAACTGAATTGCTAGCTATAACTTTGGGAGCCTCAAAAATGCGGAATTGGTTTATTTTCACTTCTGACATCAAATACTGTTGCTGTTTGCTTTGAAATATTTCCTCTTGGTATCAGCCACAGCCCTGGAAGGGCTGACAAGTAGGATACATGTCTCATGTTTTGGGGCGGAGTCACAAGCAAAAGATAACTTTAAAGATAACTGTCTTTTGGCATGGGGTTCAAGAGTTACTTTAAATTTCTTAACCTGAAAGGAGAGGACCAAATGCCAATCGGGTCTATCACACATCCTTTCATAGAGCTATTGGTAAAGCAATCAAATACATAAATGACAGAAATGACAGATGTTGGTTCCTTTATTGCTATTTAATGCAGACAAAGCATGTTCTTTCCCAAGATTAGATTTTGTGACAAGACTTTTTCTTTTAGTCATTATATAATACGAATGGTTATTTGTCAAAGGAGTTATATTTGTCTTTGGCTGTTGCAGAAATCTCAGAGGAAAAATCCTCGGGCTTGATTTTACTTTCAAGAAGTACATAAACATTAACAGTGAGTTTTTTCTTTCAAAATAGGTTTTGTTTTGACTTTGAAAGCCTCACTATTTCCTCAAAGCATTCTAATATTTGGAATAAGTATATAAAATATTACAGGGTACTTGTATTGCTCTTCCATCATAATTCAGGGCTAAAATTCCTACAGAAAGTCTGAGGGTAGGTTCCTTCTGTTTTTCTCTCTACTATTTCCAGTTTTGCCAAGTTGCCTTGATGCTGTGATCCTGGGGAAATGATGCCGGTACCGTGCATGGCTGAGTTAGGGTGCCCACGAGACCAGTTGAGACCATCATTGTTGTTACGATGGTTAACAAAAGAGGAGTCACAGAGTGCTTAAGGCTGGGAGGGATGGACCACATTAACTATACAATCCTGTTATCTTTCAAATGGGAAACTGTGGAGCAGGAAGACGAAGGGACCTGTCCAGGTCATATGATCAGCAAGCATGAGAGTTGTGATCCAGACTTAGTTTCCATCAGGCAATTTTCTCAGTAATTTCCCAGGATCCTAAACTCTTCACTCTTCACTCTTTCCCCTGCCTATACACAGGGCCTTGTTCTGTCATCCAGGCTAGGATGAAGTGGCACAATACTAGCTCACTGCGGCCTGAACTCCTGGGCTCAAGCAATACTCCCACCTCAGCCTCCTGAGTAGCTGAGACTACTGGTGCATGCCACCGTGCCCAGCTAATTTTTTGTTTATTTATATTTTTGGAGAAATGGGGCTCACTACATTGCCCAGACTAGTCTCAAACTTCTGGCCTGAAGCAATTTTCCTGCCATGGCCTCCCAAAATGCTGGGATTACAGGTATGAGTCATCGCACCTGGCCAACTACTTCACTCTTTACTTGCTTCCATTCCATTCCATTCTGCTCTTTGAATATATTGAGTGAGTGGGATTTTCTCACCTTGAGTCTTGGCATTCTCTGAGTAGTTTTTACTTGGACTTACTCTTTTGGAATTTTAGTTCCTGACAACCTAAAGAAGGACTCTCTTCTCTAGTTCCCCCCTCTTTCCCTTTACTCCTACTGCTGCTACTTCTCCTCCTACCAAATGCCTTCTGGAAAAGACAAAACTGTTGAGAAAGATTCATCAGTGGTTGCCAGAAGTTCAGGGGAAGGCAGAGAAGGAAGACTAGGTGAAATCAGGATTTTACAGAACAGTGAAACTATTAGTGACTAATACTGCAATGGTAGAATCATGAGAATATGCATTTGTCAAAATCCATAGAACTTTATCACACAAAGAGTGGATCTTAATATATATGCAAATTAGTTTTTATAAATAGAAAGTCAGGGGATTTCAGGAAGCAATGTGACAAGTGGATACCCCCAAAGTAGGGCGCCTTGTCAGGCTCAGTTCTTTGAACAAACGGAAATTGGAAAAGCCTCAGAACCAAGGTCTTTCTGAACTTCTCCTGCCTTTCTGTTTCCCACCCAATTTTATTACCCAGTGAGAGTCTTAGAAATCAGAATTCTTCTTCCCTAAGGTGGGGCATAAAAACCAGAACCTCTCTCTTCCAAAGCAAGCCATTAAATCTAGACAGGCCACTGTCTACAGGCTGACTTCTCCTTTAAAGACCCTTATTCCAGAGGGGTTCTGTTCCATACCTGGGAAGGTGAAATACTATGCAGAGAGGCCAAGAAAAATCTCAACAGACAGGCCTTACTGCATTTGGTGTCAGTCTATTGTCATTGGATCATACTCTTGTGTCCAATCACATTTCTACACGACTGTCTGTTCTTCATAAAACCTAAGCATAAAATAGTTTTCCCTGGGTCTTTGGATCTTTATTTCTGAAGGCTCCTATGTCACATAAAATTTTGATGACATAAATTTGGTATGCTTTTCTCTGGTCAACCTGTCCTTATAGGAGAATCGATCATGACCCTTATGATGGGTAAGAAAAGTGATCACACCTTTCTGCCCCTACAAAAGAGAAAATAAATGTACCATAAATGTGTGAAACAACCTCACTGAAGGGAGTGGGGGAAAAAGATGCTGACACAAATAAGTTTGAAAACCAGTGGAGTGTGCAATACCAAAAACAAAAGGAGTTGGTCATTAAGTCCTGTACTCTCATTAATAAGGTTGTTTCTCGTTGGGTATGGTTAACAATTCTGACCCTGCTATACCTGTGTACTGGAATTGATCAATTATGTGAATGAATGGTGGATGGTGGGAACAAGGTTTCTGACTGTTGGGTTGGGAATTTACAGATAACGAAGAGGAAGAGGCTGGAATGATCTATATGGTAATGGATAAGAGTTGGAGACATTGGTGGGAACTCATGTTTAGATGGTTACATACAGAAATATTTATAGATATGTGTATTTCTATTGGTATATATAAGAAATGACACCTTAGTACCAACAAGCATACCGAACACCCAATCCTGGTTTCTAATATCATTCTCCAACAAAAAGAAATAGAGCTTCTGGGAGAAATGACTGCTTCTAGGACTGGGGCATATACAAGATGAGCTTGGAACATTTGTAGTTCCAGAGAGTTATGAAGTGAAAGAAAACCAAACAAAAACAAACCCAAACCTACCTTGATAGGGATATGTCAAAGGGTCACAGGAGCCAACAAAAAGAGCTTTCAATGGCCAAAGCTAGAAAAAGGTGAGGAACAAATGAAGTAAAGTAGTATTGGACCACAACCCCAAGTATGAAATAAGTATTCATGAGACCATACTTCTATAAGTAAATAACTGAATAAATTAATAAGCAGAGGAGGAAAAATCTCCCGCACAGAGGAACAACAAGTAATCTATGAAGACACTATACCCTAAAAGAGAGGCAGTATAATTCTTCACTCCTTAAGTTTGGGCTATGCATTGTGATTTCCTTCTAAAGAACACAGCATTAAAAAGGGAGGTAGGGGAGTGGAGGAACTCTACAGTGGAGAAAACTGATAAACATTATTTCAACTGGATGATCAAGGTCAGTATCACTAGTTACAAATCAGGTTGATAGTAGGTACCCTTGTTATGACATCATGAAATTGACACTTTACCTCTGTGATTTACCTCCCGCAAATACATGACTCCAGTCTAATCATGATGAAAACATCAGATAAGTCGCAATAGGGCAGCATCCTACAATATATGTGAGGAGTACTCCTAAAACATTTCAAGGTCATCAAAAACAAGGAAAAACTGAGAAACTGTCACAGCCAAGAGGTGCCCATGGAATTATGACAACTAAATGCAATGTGGTATCCTGTATGGAATCCTGGAACAGAAAAAGGACACTTGGTGAAATTAAGAAGATCTGAGTAACTATGGACTTTGGTTAATCCTATATCAATATGGCTTCATTAATTATAACAAATGTGCCATACTAATCTAAAATGTAATAATGTTTGTGTGTGGAAGGAGAAGGGTTATGGAAACTGTCTGTACTATCTTCTCCATTTTGTAAATCTAAAACTGGTCTAAAAATAAAGTTTATTAAAATATTGACTGCATTAAAAATGTCAGTTATTGATATCCTTAAAATCCCCCGTTATTTAATATGTTTATTCTTTTTATTCTAAGGTAATTCATTTTATTATAGGAAATGTGAGGAAACAAAGTATATTAGGGGTAAAATAAACACCCCAAACCATTATATTAAGTGTAACTCTTATTAACATTTTTTACTGCTTATCCTCTTTTTTAGATATACATGGGATTTCATGATTTTTGCTTTTTAATAAGTTGAAGACGTATCAGATATGACATTAATATTAGGCAATCCCCTTTCTTCATGTTGCATGGGGTCTGTTTCTTTTTGTTTTTATTATACTTTAAGTTCTGGGGTACATGTGCAGAACATGCAGTTTTGTTACATGTGCCATTGTGGTTTGCTACACCCTTCAACCCACATACATTAGGTATTTTCTCCAAATGCTATCCCTCCACTACGCCCCACCCCCCGATAGTGTGATGTTCCCCTCCCTGTGTCCATGTTTTCTCATTGTTCAACTCCCACTTATGAGTGAGAACATGTGGTGTTTGGTTTTCTATTCTTGTGATAGTTTGCTGAGAATGAAGACTTCCAGCTTCATCCATGTCCCTGCAAAGGACATGAACTCATCCCTTTTTATGGCTTCATAGTATTCCATGGTGTATATGTGCCACATTTTCTTTATCCAGTCTATCATTGATGGACATTTGGGTTGGTTCCAAGTGTTTGCTATTGTGAAGAGTGCTGTAATAAACATACGTGTGCATGTGTCTTTATAGTAGAATGATTTATAATCCGTTGGGTCCATACCCGGTAATGGGATTGCTGGGTCAAATGGTATTTCTAGTTCTAGGTCCTTGAGGAATCACTGCACTGTCTTCCACAATGGTTGAACTAATTCACATTCCCACCAACAGTGTAAAAGTGTTCCTATTTCTCCACATCCTCTCCAGCATCTGTTGTTTCCTGACTTTTTAATGATCACCATTCCAGCTGGCGTGAGATGGTATCTCATTGTTGTTTTGATTTGCATTTCTCTAATGACCAGTGATGATGAACATTTTTTCATATGTTTGTTGGCTGCATAAATGTCTTCTTTTGGGAAGTGTCTGTTCATATGCTTTGCCCAATTTTTAATAGAGTTTTTTTTTCTTGTAAATTTGTTTAAGTTCCTTGTAGATTCTGGATATTAGCCCTTTGTCAGATGGATATATTGCAAAAATTTTCTCCCCTTCTGTAGGTTGCCTGATCACTCTGATGATAGTTTCTTTTGCTGTGCAGAAGGTCTTTAGATTAATTAGATCCCATTTGTCAATTTTGGCTTTTGTTGCCATTGCTTTTGGTGTTTTAGACATGAAGTCTTTGCCCATGCCTATGTCCTGAATGGCATTGCCTATGTTTTCTTCTGTGGTTTTTATGGTTTTAGGTCTTATGTTTAAGTCTTTAATCCATCTTGAGTTGATTTTTGTATAAGGTGTAAGGAAGGGCTCACGTTTCAGTTTTCCATGTATGGCTAGCCAGTTTTCCCAACACCATTTATTAGATAGGGTATCTTTTCCCCATTGCTTATTTGTGTCAGGTTTGTCAAAGATCAGATGGTTGTAGATGTGTGGTGTTATTTCTGAGGGCTCTGTTCTGTTCCATTGGTCTAAATATCTGTTTTGGTACCAGTACCATGCCGTTTTGGTTTCTGTAGCCTCGTAGTATTGTTTGAAGTCAGGTAGCATGATCCCTCCAGCTTTGTTCTTTTTGCTTAGGACTGTCTTGGCTCTGCGGGCTCTTTTTTGGTTCCATATGAAGTTTAAAGTAGTTTTTTCCCAATTCTGTAAACAAAGTCAATGGTAGCTTGATGGGGATAGCATTGAATCTATAAATTTCTTTGGGCAGTTTGGCCACTTTCACGATATTGATTCTCCCTATCTATGAGCATGGAATGTTTTTCCATTTGTTTGTGTCCTCTCTTATTTCCTTGAGCAGTAGTTTGTGGTTCTCCTTGAAGAGGTCCTTTGCATCCCTTGTAAGCTGTATTCCTAGGTATTTTAATTCTCTTAGTAGCAGTTGTCAATGGGAGTTCACTCATGATTTGGCTCTCTGTTTGACTGTTATTGGTGTATAGGAATGCTTGTGATTTTTGCACATTGATTTTGTATCCTGAGACTTGGCTGAAGTTGCTTATGAGTTTAAGGAGATTTTGAGCTGAGACAATGGGGTTTTCTAAATATACAATCATGTCATCTGCAAACAGAGACAATTTGACTTCCTTTCTTCCTATTTGAATACCATTTATTTCTTTCTCTTGCCTGATTGCCCTGGCCAGAACTTCCAATACTATATTGAATAGGAGTGGTGAGAGAGGGCATCCTTGTCTTGTGCTGGTTTTCAAAGGGAATGCTTCCAATTTTTGCCCATTCAGTATGATAACGGCTGTGAGGTTTGTCATAAATAACTCTTATTATTTTGTGATACATTCCATCAATACCTAGTTTATTGAGAGTTTTTAGCATGAAGGGTGTTGAATTTTGTCAAAGGCCTTTTCTGCATCTATTGAGATAATCACGTGGTTTTTGTCATTGGTTCTGTTTATATGATGGTGTATGTTTATTGATTTGCATATGTTGAACCAGCCTTGTGTCCCAGGGATGAAGCCAACTTGATCGTGGTGGATAAGCTTTTTAATGTGCTGATAGATTCGATTTGCCAGTATTTTATTGAGGATTTTTACATCGATGTTCATCAGGGATATTGATCTGAAATTTTCTTTTTTTGTTGTGTCTCTGCCAGGTTTTGGTATCAGGATGATGCTGACTTCATAAAATGAGTTAGGGAGGATTCTCTCTTTTTCTAGTGTTTGGAATAGTTTCAGAAGGAATGGTACCAGCGCCTCTTTTTTTTTTTTTCTTTTTGAGACGGATTCTCACTGCGTCACCCAGGCTTGAGTGCAGTGGTATGATCTTGGCTCACTGCAAGCTCCGCCTTCTGGGTTCACACCATTCTCCTGCCTCAGCCTCCTGAGTAGCTGGGACTACATGCACCTGCCATCACGCCCAGCTAATTTTTTGTATTTTTAGTAGAGGTGGGATTTCACTGTGTTAGCCAGGATGGTCTCAATCTCCTGACCTCGTGATCCACCCGCCATGGCCTCCCAAAGTGCTGGGATTACAGGCATGAGCCACTGCGCCCAGCTACCAGTTCCTCTTTGTACCTCTGGTAGAATTTGGCTGTGAATCCATCTGGTCCTGGACTTTTTTGGGTTGGTAGACTACTAATTACTGCCTCGATTTCAGAACTTGTTATTGGTCTATTCAGGGATTTGACTTCTTCCTGGTTTAGACTTGGGAGAGTGTATGTGTCCAGGAATTTATCCATTTCTTCTAGATTTTCTAGTTTATTTGCGTAGAGGTGTTTATAGTATTCTCTGATGGTAGTTTGTATTTCTGTGGGATCAGTGGTGATATCCCTTTTATCATTTTTTATTGTGTCTGTTTGATTCTTCTCTCTTTTCTTCTTTGTTAGTCTGGCTAGTGGCCTATCTATTTTTTGACCTTTTAAAAAAACCAGCTCCTGGATTCATTGATTTTTTGATGGGTTTTTTGTGTCTTTATCTCCTTCAGTTCTGCTCTGATCTTAGTTATGTCTTGTCTTCTGCTAGTTTTTGAATTTATCTGCTGTTGCTTTCCTAGTTCTTTTAATTTTGATTTTAGGGTGTCAATTTTAGATCTTTCCTGCTTTCTCTTGTGGGCATTTAGTGCTACAAATTTCCCTCTACACATTGTTTTAAATGTGTCCCGGAGATTCTGGTATGTTGTGTCTTTGTTCCCATTGGTTTCAAGGAACATCTTTATTTCTGCCTTCATTTTGTTATTTACCAGTAGTCATTTAGGAGCGGGTTGTTCAATTTCCATGTAGTTGTGTGGTTTTGAGTGAGTTTCTTAATCCTGGGTTCTAATTTGATTGCACTGTGTTCTGAGAGACTGTTTGTTATGATTTCCATTGTTTTGCATTTGCTGAGAAGTGTTTTACTTCCCATTATGTGGTCAATTTTAGAACAAGTGCGATGAGGTGCTGAGAAGAATGTCTATTCTGTTGATTTGGGGTGGAGAGTTCTGTGCATATCTATTAGGTCCACTTGTTCCCGAGCTGAGTTCAGGTCCTGGATATCCTTGTTAATTTTCTGTCTCGTTGATTTGTCTAATATTGACAGTGGGATGTTAAAGTCTCCCACTATCATTGTGTGGGAGTCTAAGTCTGTAGGTCTCTAAGAACTTGCTTTATGAATGTGGGTGCTCCTGTATTGGGTACATATATATTTAAGATAGTTAGCTCTTCTTTTTGAATTGATCCCTTTACCATTATATAATGTCCTTTTTTGTCTCTTTTGATCTTTGTTGCTTTAAAGTCTGTTTTTATCTGAGATTAGGATTGCAACTCCTGCTCTTTTTTGCTTTCCATTTGCTTGCTGAATATTCCTCTGTCCCTTTATTTTGAGCCTATGTGTGTCAATGCATGTGAGATGGGTCTCCTGAATACAGCACACCGATGGGTCTTGACTGTTTATCCAATTTGCCAGTCTGTGTCTTTTAATTGGGGCATTTAGCCCATTAACATTTAAAGTTAATATTGTTATATGTGAATTTGATCCTGTCATTATGATGCTGGCTGGTTATTTTGTCCATTAGTTGATGCAGTTTCTTCGTAGTGTTGATGTTCTTTACAATTTGGTATGTTTTTGCAGTGGCTGGTACCGGTTGTTCCTTTCCAAGTTTAGTGTTTCCTTCAGGAGCTCTTGTAAGGCAAGAGCCTTACACCACCACCAGGTGGTGACAAAATCTCTCAGCATTTGCTTGTCTGTAAAGGATTTTATTTCTCCTTCACTTATAAAGCTTAGTTTGGCTGGATATGAAATTCTGGGTTGAAAATTCTTTTCTTAAAGAATGTTGAGTATTGGCCCCCGCTCTCCTCTGGCTTGTAGGGTTTCTGCAGAGAGATCTGCTGTTAGTCTAATGGGCTTCCCTTTGTGGGTAACCCAACCTTTTTCTCTGCTGCCCTGAACATTTTTTTCTTCATTTCAACCTTGGTGAATCTGATGATTGTGTGTCTTGAGGTTGCTCTTCTCGAGGAGTATCTTTGTGGTGTTCTCTGTATTTCCTGAATTTGAATGTTGGCCTGTCTTGCTAGGTTGGGGAAGTTCTCCTGGATAATATCCTGAAGAGTGTTTTCCAGCTTGGTTCCATTTTCCCTGTCACTTTCAGGTACACCAATCAAATGTACATTTAGTCTTTTCACATAGTCCCATGTTTCTTGGAGGCTTTATTTATTCCTTTTTATTTTTTCTCTAATCTTGTCTTCTCACTTTATTTCATTAAGTTGATCTTCAGTCTCTGATATCCTTTCTTCCGCTTGATTGATTCAGCTATAGATACTTCTGTATGCTTCATGAAGTTCTCGTGCTGTGTTTTTCAGCTCCATCAGGTCATTTATGTTCTCTAAACTGGTTATTCTAGTTAGAAATTCATCTAACCTTTTTTCAAAGTTCTTAGCTTCCTGGCATTGGATTAGAACATACTCCTTTAGCTCAGAGGAGTTTGTTATTACCCACCTTTTGAAGCTTACTTTTGTCAATTCATCAAACTCATTCTCCATCAAGTTTTGTCCCCTTGCTGGTGAGGATTTGTGATCCTTTGGAGGAGAAGTGGTGTTCTGGTTTTTGGAGTTTTCCGCCTTTTTGAGCTGTTTCCCCCCATCTTTGTGGATTTATCTACCTTTGGTCTTTGATGTTGGTGACCTTCAGATGGGGTCTTTGAGTAGACTTGCTATTCATTTCTGTTTGTTAGTTTTCCTTCTAACAGTCAGGCTCCTCTGCTGAAGATCTGCTGGAGTTTTCTGAGGTCCACTCCAGACCCTGTTTGCCTGGATATCACCAGCGAAGTCTGCAGAACAGCAAAGATTACTGCCTGTTCTTTTCTCTGGAAGCTTTGTCCCAGAGGGGCACCTGCTAGATGCCTGCCAGAGCTCTCCTGTATGAGGTGTCTGTCAGCCCCTACTGGGAGTTATCTCCCAGTCAGGATACACGGGGGTCAGGGACCCACTTGAGGAGGCATTCTGACCCTTAACAGAGCTTGAATGCTGTGCTGGGAGGTTTGCTGCTCTCTTCAGAGCTGTGAGGCAGGAATGTTTAAATCTGCTGAAGCTGCACCCATAGCCACCCCTTCCCCCAGGTGCTCTGTTCCAGGGAGATGGGGGTTTTATCTATAAGTCCCTGACTGGGGCTGCTGCCTTTTTTTCAGAGATGCCCTGCCCAGAGAGCAGAAATGTGGCAGTCTGGCCACAGCAGCCTTGCTGAGCTGCAGTGGGCTCCGCCCAGTTTGAACTTCCTGGCAGCTTTGTTTACACTCTGAGGGTAAAACTGCCTACACAAGCCTCAGCAATAGTGGATGTCCCTCCCCCCACCAAGCTCAAGCATCCCAGGTCCATCTCAGACTGCTGCTGTGCTGGCAGCAAGAATTTCAAGCCAGTGGATCTTAGTTTGCTGGGCTCCATGGCATGGGGCCCACAGAGCCAGACCACTTGGGTCCCTGGCTTCAGCACCCCTTTCAAGGGGAGTGAACGGTTCCGTCTCGCTGACATTCGAGGTACCACTGGGGTTTGGAAAAAAAACTTCTGCAGCTAGTTTGGTGTCTGCCCAGTTTTGTGCTTGAAACTCAGGGCCCTGGTGGGGCAGGCACTGGAGGGAATCTGCTGGTCTGTGGGTTGTGAAGACCATGGGAAAAGTGCAGTATCTGGGCTGGAGCACACAGTTCCTCAGGCTCCTTCCCCCACGACTTCCCTTGGATAGGGGAGAAAATTCCCCGACACCTGTGCTTCCCAGGTGAGGCGACACCCCACCCTGCTTTGGCTCGCCCTCTGTGGGTTGCACCCACTGTCCAATCAGTCCCAGTGAGATGAACTGGATACCTCAGTTGGAAATGCAGAAATCACCCACCTTCTGTGTCAATCGCGCTGGGAGCTGCAGACTGGAGCTGTTCCTATTTGGCCATCTTTGCTAATATTGGTATTTATTTCTTAATGGCTTAATAATAGTCAGTTGAATGAATGTACAACTGTTTACCTAAATATTCTTATAGTTGCTTTGGCAGACACCGTAGGTTGGCTCAACAAACCCAACCCCTTTATCCCTTTCCTGATTACTATAGAGAAAGTGAAAATCAAGTATCAATTTTCCAGCTTTCCTTATAGCAAGAAGTGGTCATCTGACTGGCCTGGAGTTATGGGCGAAAGTCTGCTGGCACAGTCACTTTCCCCTCTTACGCCTTGAATGGAGGCATGATGGTTGAAGTTGTAGCTGCTGTCTGAGAAAATAAGGAAGACAATTGTTGAGAGACCTGAGTATCTTGAGACTTCTTGCTATTATGGAAATAGACCCCCATTTATTTATGTCACTTTGGTTGGGTTTTGTTTTAATTATCAGTAGAAACATTTCTTTCTGAAATATTTATTTATTCATTTATTTGACTGTAAATGAGTTTTTTATAATTTTGTAAAACTTTTATTATAGCAAACTTTTGATATTTACAAAAGTCAAGAGATTAGTGTAAATTATTGCCCCATTAACCCTTCACCATGTTCAATAATAATCAACTCATGGACTATATTATTTCATTTAAATATTCCTTGATCACAATTTGTTCCACATAGTATTATATTGATAATTATGTTTATCAATATTACATTAGATATCACTAGATAAATATGTAATTATCTAGTGATCAGTTTCCATGAATAAAGCTTTTACTGTTATTAGGATCATTCCTTAGAAATTTTTTGTCGAGGCTGGGCGTGGTGGCTCATGCCTGTAATCCCAACACTTTGGGAGACCAAGGTGGGCAGATCACTTGAGGTCAGGAGTTTGAGACCAGCCTGGCCAACATGGTGAAACCTCGTCTCTACTAAAAATATAAAAATTAGCTGGGTGTGGTCGCAGGCGTCTGTAATCCCAGTTACTCTAGATGCTGAGGAAGGAGAATAGCTTGAACCCAGGAGTCGGAGGTTGCCACTGCACTCCAGCCTGGGTGACAGAGTGAGATTTCATCTCAAAAAAAAAAAAAAAAAAAAAAAAAGAAAGAAATTTTGTGTCATGTAATGGTCTTTGTCTTTTGGAAAACAGGTTGTAAGTAATTTAGGCATGGTCTACTACTGCGTAAATCTTAGAAGAGATCATTGAATGTTCATAAATTGATAAAATAAAAACATATATTTTATAAATATATTTCAGACTGTTTTAATAAACATAATTAAAAGATATCCCAGCTGAAGTAAGCTGTATATCTAATTAGTAATACATACAAATCCCTTGTAGACAAGTTTTCTATTCTCCAGCTGTCTGTGAGATTAGAATGTGTGCAGATAGCTGAAGAATGAATAGTGCTTTTTGTGTTTCTTAGGCATTACAGACGAGAAGGATTTACTCGACTTTGAATTCATTATATCATTACTATTTCCTCCAGTTTTATAATGTCAATTCCAAATTATTCAAAGGTTTGTGAAATTGCTGTTCTTTGAGCATTGAAAATATGAACTAAGACTAACATTAATCCATTGTTCAATCTTAATGTCTTTAACAAAGATCGGTCTCTTGTAAAATGTAAAAAAATTAAGTCTGAGTCTGTAGGTAAGATTGAGGCCACTTAGTCCAGTATATTTTAACTTTAGCATTCTCTTTCTTCAGAGCTCTGCCAACATTTTATTTGATTTTTACTTTAAAATGCATCTCAAACAAAATGATAATAAAAACAACACATGAATTTAAATATGCTAATGTCCATTAGTGACCATCATCAAGTCAACTTTAATTGCCAATGTAGAGTTCCTTAGGAGAACACTTCTCTAGTCATCTTCATGAATACATTTGAATATCATATAAACACATTTTTCGTTGAAAAGTGTGTAACTATCACTGTTTCATTTGGTGTTTGATTTTCACCTTACTTGTAAGAAATGTAAAAAAAATACTCCTAGAGCATATATGTACCAAATACAATTAAGTGACAGTAAGGCAAGATCTAATAATGAATTGTGCCACAGTCTTTCATTGTAGTGTTAGCACTTCCTCTAAGTTGAGTGCTGCTGTGCTCTTCTGGTTCAATTTAGTCAATTTTTCTGAGCTTGTGTATTTGTTTAGCAAAGGTGTCATTTGTAAATACTTCTTTGTGAATCAGTATTTTCTTCTTAATGTTGGATATTAGTATGAGTATTATTACAATATTCAATGTTATTATCATAATAATACATGGGATGGTGAAGTGGATATATGTTTTTCACCCCTAAGCCTTATGGCAGACTAGATACTTACTTAATTTCCACTCCATCCCTCTTCCTTAAAGGGAACCAGGTCATGTTCAGGGCAACTAGTTGCTCAGCTGAAAAGTATTCATGTTTCTCAGCCTCCCTAAAGATGTAAGGAGTGCCTGCTGTGGATTTTTAGAAAATTCTGGCTTTCTAAATGTGGGGACTATCCCATATTCTTTAGCAATTCCTTTTTTATTATGTCTGGCATCATCTTCCATTAGCATTAAAAACCACACCCTAAGGTGAATAGAAACATCAGAGACACCCGGGACACTGATGACCTCATGAAACTACTCCACCTGTCCTGGATGACCTACCTCCTAACTTTTTCTCTAATGAGAAAAATAAACTTCTATTTGGGAAGCCAACATAGTTAGGTTACTGAGGTTTTCTGTTACATGTAATTACTTTAAGACTGTGGAAATCACTGACAGAGTCCAGCCTCCTCATTTTGTAGAGAAAGTAACTGAACCCTGCTTTCCTCCCTCACTTCATAATACCTTATCCAACAGTGAAACTATATGTTTATTTACTATTTGTCTTCTTCACTAGAATGTAAGTTCTATGAGGTCAAGGACTTGGTCTTTCTTATCTATTGCTATATCCCTAGCACCTAGAAGTCTTGTCTCACACAGAGGAGACAATCAAGCTCATTGAATAAATGAAAGAATCAGTGAGTCCTCAATGGGGTCCAATGGACTGGATCCGGAAAATGGTAAAAATAGAGATTAAGATCCAACCTCCTGATTACCAGCTCAGTCATCTCTCATTATACTACTTGATGCTTTGGGAACTTTTTCGAGTACATGGATAGCAACAATAATTTTATACATACATTTATTTTATTGTTTCCTTGTTTTTGTAGGGATGAGGGTCTCACTATGTTGTCTAGGCTAGTCTTGAACTCCTGGCCTCAAGTGATCTTCCCATCTCAGCCTCCCAAATAGCCAGTATTATAGGCGTGTGCCATGGAACCTGGCTATACATACATTTAAATGGCAATACATTACAACTCAACTGAATTGATCCACAAGGTCATCACACTGTTATAGCATCATCTATTCAGGCCTTACCCAATGCCATTTTGGCCACTTTTCCTGAATTTCCTTGATGAGAAGCTATCCCTTAAATGACACTCTACGTAGACCCCTTTCTTGGAAAATCAGAAAGTGTATTAGCATATTAAAAGTTCTTCTATGTGCTGTAATTTAAAAAATCCATTTAACTTTACCTTGACACTTTCCAGATTTATTTTCTCTGAGAATGCCCCGACCGCCTTCATTTTCTGTCTAACCCCTACTAAAAATCCTGGGGGATTAATGTTGTACTTTGAAAAACTCTTGGTCTTGATAACTGTAGTTCTAGTTGAGTATTTTAAGTCCTTTGATTTTGTATAATAAAAACCTTGCTGAGCACTGGCATCTTGTGATAAAAATGCTGCTCTATACAAATGTTCTCTTATTGGGCTAACTCTTCCAGCTGTGAGACCCATGCTGATAGTTCAATATAAGATCTTCTACATTACTTCCTCCTGCTGGTGCACATAGTCCTAAAAATGCAGACTTTCTCCTTTTATACAGAGATAATGACCACCACAACCACCACCACCATCATCATCATCATCATCATCATCATCTTCTACTGTTAAAGTTGGGACTATTCAATTATTTTTAAACCAGTCATGCTTATCTTTTAAATATGGTGCTAGTGAAACTATTTGAAATGATCAGGGTAAGATGGTAAGGTTATTGAGTGCAGCTTTTCTTGACCTAACTGATTCTAAAAGTCTATTGAAATTCTTTTCCAGACACATACACACACACACACACACAAACGCATACACACTAACACACTTTTTTTTCTCCTAATAGCTATATTCTTCAAAAAAATCAAACATTTCCCCAAACAGTAGCCTAAAGAGGGAGGTTACCCTGATCTCTTCTGATTCCCTAGTAAATGAGAAAAGAATCAAAAGGTATTGGCTCCCCAAGGGAGCAGGGAGCTGACTATTGACTGGGCCATTTTAAAGTTAGGTTTTTATTCTGGCTTTATTGAGGTATAATTGACAAAATGTGTATGTATTTAAGGTGTACAATATGATAATTTGATATGTATACATTGTGAAATGATTCTATAATTAAGCTACTTAACACATCTATCACCTAATATTCCAATTTTAAAAAAATATAAGAATACTGAGTATCTACTTCCATAACAAATTTCAAGTATACAATACAGTATTATTGGTAATAACTATGACTATATTCGCTATGCTGTACATTAGAGTCCCAGAACTCATTCATCTTGCAACTGAAAGTCTGTCCACTTTGACCAACACTTCTCCATACACTGCCCCCCACCCCATCCCCAACTGTCCCCCACACCATGCTCACTTCCTCTTGAGGGTTTTGTGCTTATCTCTACTGGCTGGACGTTCTTCCAATGTGTTTCCATATAGTAACCTCATTTTCATCCTTAAAGACTCAGATTAATGTCACATCTCAGAGAAGCATTCTCTGATTATTTTAACACCATCAGTATTCTGTGCACTATATCCTGTTACACTATTGCACTTATTTATGTATATGTTTATTATCTGCCTATGTCCACTGGAATATAAGCTCTTTGAGGTCAAAGAATTTGATTATTGTGTATCCTTAATGCCTAATAGACAGCATCTCATAACAAGTGCTCTGCAAGAATTGCAAGAATCTGTTGACTCTCTGAATAAATCTAAATTGTTATAAACACATCATTTTCCTCTTTGTCTCAAATCGCTTCCTTCAAACCACTTTCCTTGCAAATTAAACTTCTTGAAAATCAACTTCTTGTGTTCAAAAGCATGCAGTAGCTTTGCTTTCTAAAAGAATTACATTCCAAACTTCTCTTCCTGAATTTCAAGAGACCAATTTTCTTAACTCACTCTTCTTATGCAAACTTTTTAGTCACTGTTCACCAAAATGAGCGCTTAGCTGAAAAACCAGTCTCTCTACTTTTTTTTTAGACGGAGTTTCACTCTTGTTGCCCAGGATCTCGGCTCACCGCAACATCCACCTCCCGGGTTCAAGCGATTCTCCTGCCTCAGCCTCCCGAGTGGCTGCTATTACAGGCATGCGCCACCATGCCTGGCTATTTTTGTATTTTTAGTAGAGAGTGGTTGCTCCATGTTGGTCAAGCTGGTCTCAAACTCCCGACCTCAGGTGATCTGCCTGCCTCGGCTTCCCAAAGTGCTGGCAGTCTCTCTGCTTCTGAGATGGTTCCTTTTTAGTTTCTTATCTTGGCTATTGTCCTTCCCATGAGAAAGTCTCACCCAGTTCTGCATGGTTCAAGTCCCATCTCCCCAACAGATAACTACCCCACCCTAGAGAAAGCTCTTCGTTTTCTGCCATATGTATATTTTATTTTATATTGTCATCAGATTAGTATAACATATATCCTATTTCATCTTTGTGTAGAAAATCTCCAGAAAGTCAAGCCTGAATCCTACTATTAAAATACCCCCTCGATCTTCAATCATATTATTCCGCAAATAGTACATCTATTTAATTCAAAATTAATGAGGGACTAGAATGATACCCTATGGATTTAATAAGGAATTATAATTTTTTAGTATTAAAATATAGTAAGCAGTTTATGTTATTAACAATAATGTGTCCCCAGACTTATTCCAGGATTGCAGACATAAGTGTTTAGGATGGCCATACGAGTTATAAAAATTGGAGAAGAGGGCCTGATGTATGAATATCAGACACAGAGGAATATTCTGTACTTAAAGAATTAAACATGTTCTTTATTTTTCTTGAAACATATGGGCTTTTCAGATTATCTTTTCTTTTAGCTTTACTAGCCATGGTGACAGAGAAATGTTTATTTACTGTAAACAATAGTAAAAGCAAGAGTAATGACAAATAGCGACTGCTGTTTGGACTCATTGTTAGGAAACCAGTGAGATATGGTGGGGATTATGAATCACTGTAGCTACACAATTCCTCCAAGGAGGGCAACAGTAGGATGTTCAGGGGATATTGCAGTATAAAAATAGAGGCCCAGTGTTCATCAAACTTCTATTTTTTTTTCACTGTGGGCCAAAAATGCATTATCTTCCACTTTAAATCATCCAACTTTTAAAGACTCAGATCAATGTCCCATCTCAGAGAGTTCAACAGATCTGGGTCCCAAATCTGCAATCTTGATTGTGTACATTTGCAATACTGACTCATAAAATGTACTATGTTGTTAATCAATTGAGCTACAGGAATAGGCACTTCATGCTCCCTGTTTTATCTTCTTTTTCCATAAGGGTTTAACGTACATTCATTTTTTTTCCCTCCTTTTCAACATTAGTCTTGATAAATTACCAAAAGATGAATTTAAAAGTTTGGTATGTATTTTCTCATAACAAAAGTAACATACATCTCTAAAAATGTGGAAAATACTCAAAAACACATATAAAGTATAATAATAATTATTCTATACACATGATTTTTATTCATTTTCTTCTATATTTAATTTATTATATTCGATTAACATAATAGTCATGGGTTTATTTTTTATAAAAAGAATTTCTCCATTAAATTAAAGATTCTTAGTAAGCATCATTTTAATGTCTTCATAGATTTCTTTTTTTTTTTTTTTTTTTGAGATGCAGTCTCACTCTGTCATCCAGGCTGGAGTGCAGTGGCACGATCTCAGCTCACTACAAGCTCCACCTCCCGGGTTCATGCCATTCTCCTGCTTCAGCCTCCCAAGTAGCTGGGACTACAGGTGCCTGACACCATGCCTAGCTATTTTTTTTGTATTTTTTTTTTGTAGAGATGGGGTTTCACTGTGTTAGCCAGGATGGTCTCGATCTCCCGACCTCAGGTGATCTGCCTGCCTCGGCCTCCCAAAGTGCTGGGATTACAGGCGTGAGCCACCATGACCAGCTGATAGATCTCTATTACTTGGATGTGCCATAATTTATTTAGTCCCTCCTCTATCTATAGACAATTAGGTTGCTTCCAGGATTTTTCCTTATAATGAATAATGTTGAAATTAACATTTTTGTATATAAACTCTGTCTTTATTGTAAATTGTTTTATGAGAAATAGTCAATGGAGTCAAACATATGAATATTTTTGAGGCCAAATTGATTTCCAAAAACATTTTGCCAATTTATAATGCCATCAGAAATTTGAGAGTGTATGTTTACTGCACCCAAGACATTTGGATATTCTCATGAATGAAAGTTTAAAGGTAATTGATTATTTCATGTTTTCACTCCTCTCTTCAAGTCT